>NC_000005.10:141328659-141953659 GCF_000001405.40 Homo sapiens
CTGTTTTCAGCTGGATCTCTGGTCCAAGCCCGGATATGGAGTTGTCTCCAACTTAAAGAAAGGAAATTTGCCCTGTTCCTACAACGTATGTGTGGTTTTAGATATTTTTAAAATCTTAATTTCTTTAACTCAAGAAACAGCTTTGAACCAGGTATTCTCTGCAGTGCCAGCAATGAAGCTTTGTTTTATTTTTGTTTTTGTAGAAACGGGGTTCACTATATTGACCAAGCTGGTCTCAAACTCCTGGCCTCAAGTAATCTGCCCACCTTGGCCTCCCAAAGTGCTGGGATTGCAGGCGTGAGCCACTGTGTGTGGGCAGCAATGAAGCTTTAAATGTTGCATTTGATTCAAATGTATTTGTGTGATATTTTAACATTTTTATTTTATACTTACCATCCTTTTATAAATCACTCCTGCGTGTTTTTGGTTGCTGAAAGTAGGGAGCTCTACAGGTTTACTTACTAGTTCTTATGTATATTTTAATTTACCTCATTAGCTCACAATTTCTTTGGGGAAAAGTTTATGCCTATTAATGTGTATTCTGAAAAGTTACATTCTCTGTTAAAGAGTTACTTCCTTGCAATATTGAAGATGATTTATTGCACCTTTAAATTTCTACTCTTTGGCTCCATGTACTTGTCTTTGAGAAGCTGAGAAACTGTAGATTTGGTTAAGAACTAAAGTTCTCTTTCCAAAAACTATTATTGAGACCTTTCATTGTTTTCTTTCTTTCCTCATTTTTAACTTTTCTCAGTCATGGTGTCCATGGGTTGGCTGGCCGAATTTGTTCCTGAAATTATCAGACTCTGGAGTACAGATAGCATGCTTCTCTAACTTTGGGGTAAAGATAAGTAAGTCACTCTAAGCCTGAGACATTTTAATTAGTAACCCTTTGCTAATAGTGCAGTGATTAAAAAAAAAAGAAGGCCACATCCTCAACTGGTTAAAAAATACTGTTAAGAGAAAACCAACTTCTCTTGGAGAAAATATTAAGTGCGATTATAGAGGAATACATATTATAAGAGCCTATCTAAAAATAAAGATGAGACCATTTTTCTTTTCAGCTGTGAAGAATAATATCATAGACTTTGTCTCTGAAATTTGAAATCTAAATTATATATTCATGTGACTTTTCAATGAAATTCCAAGAGCCCAGTTTTATTTTTTTCAAAATATATTGCCTTTGGTGAATCTTAAGAATTTTTTAAAAACCCACATAATGCAAAGACACTTCAAAAAAAAAAAAGAGGAAAAATAAGGATAGGGTTAAACCATGCTCTTCAAAATCCCAAGGTTTCTGATAAATATTCAAATCATAATGGGAAGGAAATGGGATGGTATGATTTTTTTAAAGTCTAGCTTATATTCTAAAAGATTATTTTTCCCTCTAATACTTTTCACCCTCCAGTCAAAGGGGAGCTGCTCTATGTGGCCTGGGAAATTACCAAGTGGTCAAACTTTACTACAGAAAAAGTGGAGAGATGATTTTGTCCTCATTGTAATGTTAGGTTTTTACTATAATTCCCTGAATAGCAAACTTGGAAAGCAGATAACATGGGAATACTTGGATTCTCCTGTATATTTCAATTTGGTGACATTTAGGCACATTTAAAGAAGTGAACATATAGTTTCTCTTTTTCATACATATATTGTAGAATTATTTCCTTGACAATAGACTAAAACTTAAGAAAATAACAAGTTAATGAGAAGGTTTTCAGTATTTGCTAGGAATGCAGTAACTGGTTAGGACTGTGGGCGCCGCTGTTCACTAATCTGGTAGATACAGGCAGTACACACAGGTCAGGAGGAGGAAAAAAAAAAAAAAGAAAAAGAAAAAAGCTCTCGTGCCTCTTAGAACCTCCATAACCGCCAGATTGAAAACTGACTGTCCAAGACTGCCTAAATCCTACTTCTGGATGACTCTCCAGTCAGAATTCTCCTGAAAATTGGGTTAATTTCAGCTCAGAAAAGCAGAAACGATACCCTTGGTACTGGACTGGAAGAAAACTACGAAGTGAGAGAGCCATGAAGATTCAGAAAAAGCTGACTGGCTGCAGCAGGCTGATGCTTCTGTGTCTTTCTCTGGAGCTGCTGTTGGAAGCTGGGGCTGGGAATATTCACTACTCAGTGCCGGAAGAGACAGACAAAGGTTCCTTCGTAGGCAACATCGCCAAGGACCTAGGGCTGCAACCCCAGGAGCTGGCAGATGGCGGAGTCCGCATCGTCTCCAGAGGTAGGATGCCGCTTTTCGCTCTGAATCCTAGAAGTGGCAGCTTGATCACCGCGCGCAGGATAGACCGGGAGGAGCTCTGCGCTCAGAGCATGCCGTGTCTCGTGAGTTTTAATATCCTTGTTGAGGATAAAATGAAGCTTTTTCCTGTTGAAGTAGAAATAATTGATATTAATGACAACACTCCCCAATTCCAGTTAGAGGAACTGGAGTTTAAAATGAATGAAATAACGACTCCAGGTACCAGAGTCTCATTGCCTTTTGGGCAAGACCTTGATGTGGGTATGAACTCACTCCAGAGCTACCAACTCAGCTCTAACCCTCATTTCTCCCTGGATGTGCAACAGGGAGCCGATGGGCCTCAACATCCAGAGATGGTGCTGCAGAGTCCCTTAGACAGAGAAGAAGAAGCTGTCCACCACCTCATCCTCACAGCTTCTGATGGGGGTGAACCAGTCCGTTCAGGGACCCTCAGAATTTACATTCAGGTGGTGGATGCAAATGACAATCCTCCAGCATTTACTCAGGCACAATACCATATAAATGTCCCCGAAAACGTGCCGCTGGGTACTCAGCTGCTCATGGTAAATGCCACTGACCCTGATGAGGGAGCCAATGGGGAAGTAACGTACTCCTTTCACAATGTAGACCACAGAGTGGCCCAAATATTTCGTTTAGATTCTTACACAGGAGAAATATCAAATAAAGAACCACTAGATTTCGAAGAATACAAAATGTATTCAATGGAAGTTCAAGCCCAGGATGGTGCGGGGCTCATGGCTAAAGTTAAGGTACTGATCAAAGTTTTGGATGTAAATGATAATGCCCCAGAAGTGACCATCACCTCTGTCACCACTGCAGTTCCAGAAAACTTTCCTCCTGGGACCATAATTGCTCTTATCAGTGTGCATGACCAGGACTCAGGAGACAATGGCTACACCACATGTTTCATTCCTGGAAATTTACCCTTTAAATTGGAAAAGTTAGTTGATAATTATTACCGTTTAGTGACTGAAAGAACACTGGACAGAGAACTTATCTCTGGGTACAACATCACAATAACAGCAATAGACCAAGGAACTCCAGCTCTATCTACTGAAACTCACATTTCACTACTAGTGACAGATATCAATGACAACTCCCCAGTCTTCCATCAGGACTCCTACTCTGCCTACATTCCCGAAAACAACCCCAGAGGAGCCTCCATCTTCTCTGTGAGGGCCCACGACTTGGACAGCAATGAGAATGCACAAATCACTTACTCCCTAATAGAGGACACTATCCAGGGGGCACCCCTATCTGCCTACCTCTCCATCAACTCCGACACTGGGGTCCTGTATGCGCTGCGATCCTTCGACTATGAGCAGTTCCGGGACATGCAACTGAAAGTGATGGCGCGGGACAGTGGGGATCCGCCCCTCAGCAGCAACGTGTCTCTCAGCCTATTCCTGCTGGACCAGAACGACAACGCGCCCGAGATCCTGTACCCCGCCCTCCCCACAGATGGTTCTACCGGCGTGGAGCTGGCGCCCCTCTCCGCAGAGCCCGGCTACCTGGTGACCAAGGTGGTGGCGGTGGACAGAGACTCGGGCCAGAACGCCTGGCTGTCCTACCGCCTGCTCAAGGCCAGCGAGCCGGGACTCTTCTCGGTGGGTCTGCACACGGGCGAGGTGCGCACGGCGCGAGCCCTGCTGGACAGAGACGCGCTCAAGCAGAGTCTCGTGGTGGCCGTCCAGGACCACGGCCAGCCCCCGCTCTCCGCCACTGTCACGCTCACCGTGGCCGTGGCCGACAGGATCTCCGACATCCTGGCCGACCTGGGCAGCCTCGAGCCCTCCGCCAAACCCAACGATTCGGACCTCACTCTGTACCTGGTGGTGGCGGCGGCCGCGGTCTCCTGCGTCTTCCTGGCCTTCGTCATCGTGCTGCTGGCGCACAGGCTGCGGCGCTGGCACAAGTCACGTCTGCTACAGGCTTCGGGAGGCGGCTTAGCGAGCATGCCCGGTTCGCACTTTGTGGGCGTGGACGGGGTTCGGGCTTTCCTGCAGACCTATTCCCACGAGGTCTCCCTCACTGCGGACTCGCGGAAGAGCCACCTGATTTTCCCCCAGCCCAACTATGCGGACACACTCATCAGCCAGGAGAGCTGTGAGAAAAAGGGTTTTCTATCAGCACCCCAGTCTTTACTTGAAGACAAAAAGGAACCATTTTCTCAGGTAAACTTTTGTGATGAATGTATCAGCTATCTAGAGAAAAATAATTCTTGATTTAACTTACTAGCGTTCGCTCTTTGCTACAGATAGTTCTTCTAACCCATGTATCTTTGTAGCTTTTTATTACAAGTCCTGCAAAATCACGATTGAGTCTACACGTTCATATGCAGGTATATTTATAATTGTTCTTGCACTGAAAAGGAGACTGTGATCATAATGTAGGTGGTTGGGTTGAAGGTATGTGTGAGATGCCATCTCTGTTTGGAAAGAGCACTGCATTAGAAACGGCGATCTAGCTTCTAACATTTTCTTACTTGCCTCTGGGCTAAAAGGTTTGATTAGAAAAGGCTCACCAATATTTAAATGACTAACACTATTTTCAAATTTTCTTTTTATAAGTACCTGCTAATCTACCCCTGAATTTAATGTAGATGTCATCTGTCAGGACACTGTGATAGTTTATTTGGGGACATTTGAAGAGGTGAAGATTGTCTAAAGTAGTATTTTTAGTTGTGTTCATATAAGATTATAGAGATCTATATAAACTGCAATTTTAAATTATTGTTGAATATTTTAGCCTTTTATTCTATCTTTATTATCAGATTTTTTTGGTTTTGAGATGGGGTCATGCTAGAGTGCAGTGGCATGATCATGGCTCACTGCAGCCACTACCTCCTGGGCTCAAGCGATCCTCCCACCTCAGCCTCTCAAAGTGCTGATATTACAGGTGTGAGCTGTGGTGCCTGTACTGAAGAATACGTCTATTTAAGTAATGTATGAAGTAACAAAATGAACAACACAAAATTTATCATGCAACTTGAGAAATATCTTTGAAGCCTCCTGACTTATACATTATACCTGTAATGAAATCAGCTAACAAAAATCAAGTATATATCCTATTTTAATGTGTGTTAACTTTTCAGAAGAAAAAAAAAGTATGGTCGGGGAGTAAGTCCATGCTTTGATGTATTTACTCTGCTCCAATAAAATACAGAGATACATAAAATATAAGAGGAAAGCAAAAGCAAAGTGGTGAGCTAGTCTAAAGCCATGTGAGTTATAGTCTTGGACTTAAAAGCAGAAATTGAAGGTTAGGAAACTGCCTCCAGCAATGTAATAGGGACAGAAGTGCTTCAGACTAGATAAATATCTGGACCAGGCTTACTGCCTGAATCCAAAATAAGCAATGAGGCCCTTCAGCTGGTTAAAAAGGAAAAGAAAGATGCATTAACATGCTGCCTAGCTGGGCGCAGTGGCTCACGTCTGTATTTCCAACAATTTGAGAGGCTGAGGCGGAAAGATCCTTGGAGCCCTGGAGTTCAAGACCAGCCGGACAGGGCGGCCTGCGACTGTAGTCCCAGCTACGCGGGGCGGGGAGGGGCGGGGCGGGGCGGGGCAGGAGCTGACGTGGGAGGATCCCTTGAGCCCAGGAAGTCAAGGCTTCAGCGAACCGTGATCGCGCCACTGCCCTCCAGCCTGGGCGACAGAGCCACACCCTGTTAAATAAATAAATATAATAATAAAAGCTGTTTCCCAATTCCGGTGGTTATAACTTTCTTCGTAAGCTGTGTAGACCAAGAGAGAGAGACAGACACGGATGCTGGATAGAGACAGCGAACACCAAGTATCTCATATGTGAGCTGTGGTATCCAGAATATCACTGCTGTGCATCATTAAAGCGTCATTAAGAGACCTAGTTATGGCCTGGGACCTGAGGTCAGATAGAAACTATTTCAAAACCATTACAAATGAGCACTGAACCCAGGAGGGAAGGAGAGAGGGATATAGTGTAGAAGAGAAAAAAACAAACTAAAACTAAAAACAAACAGAGCTCTTCCACTAAAAATAAATATACAAACCAAAATTTCAAAACACACTTGTCTCGTAGAATTTATTGTTACTAGTGAGAAACTTTCTGTCAACACACTGTTATTTTTTAAGGTAATCTCTGTTTTCTCTCTGGTAACTATTGAAGACTTTCTCTCATTCTTGCTGTGTGTCTGTTGCATTTTTATTTTTATTTTTTGCTTGGTACCAAGAGTATACTCTCAATTGATAACTAAGTTATCTCACTTCTGGACTTTCTCAGCTCTTATAATCATAATTTTTTTTCTGTGTATATACAAGTGAGCTACATTTACCTATTAAAGGACAAATATTACAAAACTGGTTGATTTTTAAAATCCATATTCTAATAATACACGTGCTTAAAATAAAAATACACTGAAACAGTGAAACTAAATATATATGTACACACACAAAAAAGAAAGTCATGTTAATGTAACAACAAAGTCATATTTAAGGTAACAAACACAAATTGTGATTTTAAAAAATGAACTGATTATAGTTGTAAAAAGAGCAGATGATCAAAAGGATATAAAAATATAAGCTTCTATTACTGAAAAATATAGCTTAGAAAATACCGGAATATTTAAACATAATTCCATAAGAAATAATAGACCCCACAGGAAGAAAGTTAGTTAACATAAAGAAGATTTGAACAACATAATTTAGAAGCTTGATCTATTAGGATTCTAATAGATCCGTTCTGCACACAACAAATATGGAATAGTCATCCTTGAACAAGCAGACAATCTACAAGTTTATTACCTAGTCATTACAAAAAAGGGTTCAGCAAATTGCAAAGTACCAATAATATACTTGCCTTACAACACATACTTAATCACAAAGCAAACATTTAAAAATAGAAAAGGGAAAAAGTTTGGATATTTACATCTACACCCTTAAATAACTCTTGGATTTCAAAAATCACAATGACAATGAAAACTACTCAGAAAAAAAGGACTTAAATATTCTTTATTAAAAATTGTGAGATGCAACTAAAACTAATTAGGAGTAAGTTTATAGACAAATGCAATAATTTTTTTAAAAGCAAACAAAATTATTTAAAATACATGAATTTAGCTTGCCATTCAAGAAGTAAGATAAAAAACATACAATGAGTATATACTAAAATAAAATGATGGAAAAAATAACAAAGAGTTACATTTTTGAAATGCAACCATGGAAGAGTTCTGAGGATGAAATAATGGAAGCAGACAATAAATGTAATAAAACCAGTGGGGAGAAAATGAAAATTCTGTCAAGTCTAACGTTAGGACTCATGTAAGAGAGCCAGGCACAATGGCACACCTATAATCCCAGGTACTGAGTAGGCTGAGGCAGTAGGATTGCTTGAGCCCAGGAGTTTGAATCCAGCCGGGGCAGTATAACAAGACCCAATCTCTATAAAACAAAAAAACACAAACACAAACACAAAAATAAAAATAAAAAACAAAAGCAAAATATACCATAGTAGCTCTACAAGAAAACATGGTGAGTTGGTATCAATTATTTCCAATATATTTTTCTTCAGTCTTGTAAGAGGAATGGATGAAAGTAAAAATGAGAAAATTTCAATAAGGAAGGAGCCAAAAGGCAAACAGATTAAAGTGTCACCAGAAATGGGCAATTCCACTTATGCCACATACAAAAATTAATTCAAAATGGATCAAAGAAGCAATATTCAGAAGCAATAAAACCCTTTTAGTTATTATGTTTAAGAACTAAAACTATACAACTCTTAGAAGAAAACAGGAGGAAACCTTCATAACATTGATTTTTGGCAATGATTTCTTGGATATGACACCAAAAGCACAAGCAACAAAAGAAAAAAATTGTATACTGGACTTTATCACAGTTAAAAACTATATGCAGCAAAGAACAATATCAATAGAGTGAAAAGGCAGCCCACAGAAAGAGAGAAAATGTTTCCAAATCATGTATCTGAGAATGGATATCCAGAATAAAGAACTCGAACTCAACAACAAAGAATCCCAAACAATTGGATGTTAAAATGAGCAAAGGACTTGAATAGACATTTCTCCAAAGATGATATACAAATGGCCAAAACCATATGAAACAATGTTCAACATCACTAGTCATTAGGGAAATGCAAATCAAAACCATAATGAGATACTACTCCACATTCATTAGAATTGCTGTCATAAAAGAAAAGAAAAGAAATGTTAACAAGAATATGGAGAAATTGGAATTCTTGTGCATTGCTGGTGAATATAAAATGACACAACTGCTGTGGAAAATGGTATGGTGACTCCTCAAAAATTTAAACATAGAATTACCATATAATCCAGCAATTCCACTCTGGTTATTACCCAAAAGAAGTGAAAATAGGGACTTCAACAGATATTTGTACACCTATGTTTATGGCATCATTAGTCACAATAGTTGAAAAGTGGAAGTAACCCAAGTGTCCATTGACAGATGAATGGGTAAATAAAAAGTGGTTCACACATACAATGGGCTGTTATTTAGCCTTAAAAAGGAAGGGAATTCTGTTACATGCTACAATATGGACGAACTTCAAAGACATGATATCAAGTGAAATAAACCTGTTATAAAATGACAAATACTGTATGATTCCTCATATATGAAGTTCCTAGATTAGTCAAATTCATAGAGAAAAAAGGTAGAATGGTAGTTGCCAGGGACTGGGTGAAAGGCAATGGGGAGTTGCTATTTAATAAGTACAGAGTTTCAGTTGGGGAGGATGAAAAAGTTCTGGAAGTGGATGGTGGTAATGGTCACACCAGAATGTAATTTGAATGTACTTAATGTCACAGAATTGTATGCTTGACTATGGTCAAAATGGTAAAGATGAAACAAGAGTAAGAAGACATCCACTGCATTGTATTTTACACCCTTGGAAAATGAATATCAGAAAAAGAACTTGACAACCTCAAACAATTTTGAGTGACTGATTCCTAGTGTGGTGAAAAACCCCTTCCGGCTCTAGCTTTATCAAATAGACCTGCTTTCTGTTTCTGTAATGTTCCATGCTGTCTCTTACCTTCAAGCATTTGTTCAGAGGTTCTAGAACACTTCTTCAGCCTTTTTCTTGATTCAATCCTACTTTTTATGATTCAGCTTCAATCATGCCCTCAAAAAGACTTTTCTGACCCCAAATCTAGACTGGATACCCCTCCTAGGTATTCCTCCATCACCCAGTGTTTCCTACCTCATATCACAGCAGTTACCATACTCTATTATACTCTCTTTACTTTCTTATGTCCTCCTCCAACCTTCACGCTTGAGACCAGGGCCTGTGTTTATCATGTTCACCATTTCTAGCTCCAGCTGCAATCATGCAAAGTGGGAGGCACATGTACCCAATTAAGTGTCTGATGATTCAATAATTTAAAGGCAGATTTTGAAGGTAAATGCAAAGCCATCAACCATAAACGTTCAAAATATATAACCTTAGAAGAAAACGTAGCTAACGTTTCTTAATTGATCTTACTGCTTCTGATTATACAATAAGAGATGGAAGATGTTTGGAGCAAGGGCAGTGGTGGCATTGATTAATGCCTTGAGCAGTCAATAATACTTTCCTAGCAACTATTATCAAGATCATGTTCATTTATACCATTCTTATTAATCCTGATAAAAAGATTCCTGTTTTGAAAGATCTAATTCTAGGGTATCTTAGAGCTGTAAGATTCTTTAAAGCGCCTTGAAAGTCAACAAAGGCAAACAAACAAGAAGTAACTTAGGTTTTCCTGAGCAGGTGCAGAAATTATTTAGGCCTCTGAGCGTCGCTGTTGACCACCTAAGGAGTAAAAGGCAGCGAGACATCCAATCCAGCAATACGGCTCCCACAGCACAAGGGGGTGGAGGTTTGGCCCTAAAGCTTCAGGACACCAAAGAAATTCAGTCGAACAGCCCACCAGTTCTCTCCATAGGGACCTGGGTCCCGTGAATGCTGGTTATCTCACACCCTGAGGAATAAAGATTGGAATCCGCACTGGATGCTGGAAGTTGACTCGGAGAAAATTGCGACAGGAGGGAAATGGCGGCTCTGCAAAAGTTGCCACACTGCAGAAAGCTGGTCCTGCTGTGCTTCCTTTTGGCGACCCTGTGGGAGGCCAGGGCCGGGCAGATTCGCTATTCTGTGCGGGAAGAGATCGACAGAGGCTCCTTCGTAGGCAACATCGCCAAGGACTTGGGTTTGGAGCCCCTGGCACTGGCAGAGCAGGGAGTCCGCATCGTCTCCAGAGGTAGGTCCCAGCTCTTTGCTCTGAACCCGCGAAGCGGCAGCTTGGTCACTGCGAACAGGATAGACCGGGAGGAGCTCTGCGCTCAGAGCGCACCCTGTCTGTTGAATTTTAACATTCTGCTGGAGGATAAATTGACTATTTATTCAGTAGAGGTGGAAATAACAGATATTAACGATAATGCCCCTCGCTTTGGAGTAGAGGAACTGGAGCTAAAAATCAGTGAAACCACTACGCCAGGATTCCGGATTCCTCTTAAGAATGCGCATGATGCAGACGTAGGTGAGAACGCCCTTCAGAAGTACGCACTCAACCCAAATGACCACTTCTCCCTGGACGTGCGAAGGGGAGCTGATGGGAACAAGTACCCAGAACTGGTGCTGGAGCGCTCTCTGGACCGCGAGGAAGAGGCTGTTCACCACCTCGTTCTCGTGGCTTCTGATGGGGGTGACCCAGTGCTATCTGGCACCTCCCGCATCTGCGTGAAGGTCCTGGATGCGAACGACAATGCGCCTGTTTTTACACAGCCCGAGTACCGCATAAGCATTCCGGAGAATACGCTCGTGGGCACCCGGATACTCACGGTGACCGCCACTGACGCAGATGAGGGCTACTACGCTCAAGTGGTATATTTTCTAGAGAAAAGCCCTGGAGAAACCTCAGAGGTATTTGAGCTTAAGTCAACATCTGGAGAACTGACAATCATAAAAGATCTAGATTATGAGGATGCTACATTCCATGAAATTGATATTGAAGCTCAGGATGGTCCGGGCCTTCTAACCAGAGCGAAGGTTATCGTCACGGTTCTGGATGTGAATGACAATGCCCCAGAATTTTACATGACATCTGCTACTAGCTCAGTTTCTGAAGACTCTCTTCCAGGAACCATAATTGGGCTTTTTAATGTACATGATAGAGACTCTGGGCAGAACGCATTCACCACCTGTTCACTCCCCGAGGATCTTCCTTTTAAGTTAGAAAAGTCAGTAGACAATTACTACCGACTGGTTACAACCAGAGCCCTTGACAGGGAACAGTTTTCCTTTTACAACATCACTCTAACCGCTAAAGATGGAGGGAACCCCTCCCTGTCCACGGATGCTCACATTTTGCTCCAGGTGGCAGACATCAACGACAACGCACCCGCCTTCTCCCGCACATCCTACTCCACCTACATTCCCGAAAACAACCCCAGAGGAGCCTCTGTCTTCTCAGTGACGGCCCATGACCCCGACAGCAACGACAATGCTCATGTAACTTACTCTTTCGCGGAGGACACTGTTCAGGGGGCACCCTTATCCTCTTACATCTCTATCAACTCCGACACTGGAGTACTCTATGCACTGCGCTCCTTTGATTATGAGCAGTTGCGAGACTTGCAAGTGTGGGTGATAGCGCGGGACAGCGGGAACCCTCCACTCAGTAGCAATGTATCATTAAGCCTGTTCGTGCTGGACCAGAACGACAACGCGCCCGAGATCCTGTACCCTGCCTTCCCCACAGACGGTTCCACTGGCGTGGAGCTGGCGCCCCGCTCCGCAGAGCCCGGCTACCTGGTGACCAAGGTGGTGGCGGTGGACAGAGACTCGGGCCAGAACGCCTGGCTGTCTTACCACCTGCTCAAGGCCAGCGAGCCGGGACTCTTCTCGGTGGGTCTGCACACGGGCGAGGTGCGCACGGCGCGAGCCCTGCTGGACAGAGACGCGCTCAAGCAGAGCCTCGTGGTGGCCATCCAGGACCACGGCCAGCCCCCTCTCTCCGCCACTGTCACGCTCACCGTGGCCGTGGCCGACAGGATCCCCGACATCCTGGCCGACCTGGGCAGCCTCGAGCCCTCCGCCATACCCAACGATTCGGACCTCACTCTGTACCTGGTGGTGGCGGTGGCCGCGGTCTCCTGCGTCTTCCTGGCCTTCGTCATCGTGTTGCTGGCGCACAGGCTGCGGCGCTGGCACAAGTCACGCCTGCTGCAGGCTTCAGGAGGCAGCTTGACAGGCATGCAGAGCTCGCACTTTGTGGGCGTGGACGGGGTTCGGGCTTTCCTGCAGACCTATTCCCACGAGGTCTCCCTCACTGCGGACTCGCGGAAGAGCCACCTGATTTTCCCCCAGCCCAACTATGCGGACACGCTCATCAGCCAGGAGAGCTGTGAGAAAAAGGATTTTTTATCAGCGCCTCAATCTCTACTCGAAGAAGAAAGAGAAGAAACGTTTTCTCAGGTAATCTATCTTTTCACAACATACGTACTAGCTAGTTTGCTGAAGTAATTCACTTACTTGTTTACTATATCTATTTTGTTCCCCATATTTCCTTGAGGGTAGAGTCAAGTTTTAGGAAGTGAGTCTTGGTGAATTATTTCTTGGTAGGTCTTAGTGTTCACAGGCTGTAAGAGGAAGAAGAGACGTGAGAATCTTTGTGCAATGAATGTAAACCAGGAGTTAATAGATAAGATTATCCAAAGAGCACTGCATTAGGAACTAGGGTGTCTGGTTTCTTATACTTTCTTCTCCATCCCTGGGCAAATCATCTCATCCACCCAGATCAACAATTTTTTCTTTGTTAAAAATATAAAGATTGGAGTTTATGTTTACTCAAGTCCTTTCTTCTTTTAAGTTATGACTCTTACTCTATATTTGAATCTGTATATGAACAGTGAAACATGTTAGTTGGCTAGTTCTTTCTCATTCAGTCTTAATACATTTCTTTCAGTTTGGCAGCAAAATTGTTTTCCTTAACTTGCATGCCCTTCCCTGTTAAAAATATGGAAATTTAGAAATATACATTCCTTACAGTGTTTCAGGAAGGTATGTCATATTATTTTGGCTTAGTTTTAAAAATCACATTAACCTCTAAGCTATATGCTTCTTGAAGAAGTGACTGACTTATCATCTGCTCTATAATAAAGCTGTAGAGTGGTAATAAACAGGTTTCTCCTTTTTTTTTATCTTTCTCATACGTGGGAACCATACTGTATTTTAATCTTTAAAATAATATATATCCTCAATATAGTTTTGCTTAAAGAAAAGATACAAAAGATTCATATCATACAATTGCCCAGAACCAACTTCTTTATACATCTCTCTTCTCAAGGTTTCTACTCACAATAGCTGCTAGAAATGTTCCCAATCCCTCACCCAATCCCAGTGCCCCTCTGATCAATTTTCTTTTCCCATTCCTCTTCCTATATTGGCTTTTAGTATGTTGGTTATGTATTTAATAACAGAGAATAATAAGCACACTAATGTTCTATGTAACTGGCATCATTTTTTATTTTTATTTGAAAATTATCATGTACCAATTGAGCCTTTTATTGAATGATACCATATTTCTCAAAGTGCTGTGATTCTTTCCGTTGCATTTGATCAAGAAAAAATTTTCTGAGACAAGGTGTTGTTTTGGTTACTATTACATAATTGTCTATGAGTAAAATTGGAACTCACTGTGGAATAATATGTCATAATAGCTTTACTTGTAAGTGAATAATAAAGTATAAACAGGAAAATTAAAGCAAAGTTATTTTTAGTGTGTGTAGTAACTCCACAAGAATAAATGTCTTATGCATAGATATGTAATGCATCATGATTGAAACGACAAATATATTGTATTTATATTTCTGTGCTTGGAAACTTATGGGGAAAGAGATTCTGGAACATAAAAGCTTATTTCTACTAGTTTCAGTTGGTTTTGAAAAAACATCCTTACAGTCTAGATTTAAACAAAGGAAACTTCTTTCAGTACCCTGAAGGTCTGTGATTTCTCTCTCACACCTAGGCATTGTCATGCTGTTCTCTCCCACATCCAGGCCTTTTCACTGATCCACTCCTCTCATGTTTCCTGGGAAAGCGTTTGCTAACATTAAAGGCCCAATTGAAGGCCCCCCTAACCCCCTTGGCTTCTCCCATTATGGTAATTATCTCAGTACACTGCAATTCCCTGTTTGCTTTTATATCCTTATAATCTCTGTGAAGGAAGCTACTGTGTCTATATTGTTCACCTTAAATCCCCAAACATATTGTCTGATGCCTAATTATGTGTTTGTTTAATGAATATTAAATAACAACAAATATCGAAACTAAGTTATCAGGTCACCAAGAACAAACTTAAAGAAATATAATGTATAAATATGGCTGATTTCTGTGTGTTTCTTTTCTTTTTTTCCTTGTCTCAGCTCTTAGAGAGTTAAGAGTATAGAGAGGGAAAGGTCAAAGAGGAGGTGGATATCTTATCAAATAACCCTGATAAATGTAGTAAGTATAAGAATAAACACATTATCAAGGTTCAGTGGTGGAAGAACAAGTGGTGGTCATGTCTTTTAATAGTTGTGTTGGTCCTTACGGCCAGTTCTTTGTTACTGTGTGTTTCTTAAACTGAACAATTCAAAAAAGTTAACTCCACTATGTTTGAAGCAATATTGGTGGCATTAAGGTTAGTGCATGGATTCCCAAGAAAGATAACTTGAGGTGACACTGTTTAACATATATCGATTCAATTATGTTCAATCAACACTAGTCCTCTTATCTCTGACAAGAAGGATTTCAGATCTTGGATAATTCAAAAATAATAATGTGTCTGAGAGGATGCAGTAAACGGTTAGGCCTCTTAGTGTCGCTGTTGACCACTCAAGAAGGAGAACGCAGCTGGAGAACTAGTCCACCATTTCCTTGCTCCTAAAATGCAAAGAACCAGCAAATCAGACTCAGAAGATCCGGGGCGGCTGCCAACCTCACCTCTTAGTCAACCAGCTGTTTGACCTGTGAATTAGGCCCGTAAAAGACTTCGTTTCTTGAGAAAATAAGATTGGAGTCCGTCGTAGGAAACTGGAACCGAATTCAGAGAAAGCGATTCACCGAAAAGGAAATGACCAATTGCCTGAGTTTCCGAAATGGCAGAGGACTGGCCCTGCTGTGCGCGCTCCTGGGGACGCTGTGCGAAACAGGATCCGGTCAGATCCGCTACTCGGTGTCTGAGGAGCTAGATAAAGGTTCCTTCGTGGGCAACATCGCTAACGACCTGGGGCTAGAGCCCCGGGAGCTGGCGGAGCGCGGAGTCCGCATCGTCTCCAGAGGTAGGACGCAGCTTTTCTCTCTGAATCCGCAAAGCGGCAGCTTGGTCACCGCGGAGAGGATAGACCGGGAGGAGCTCTGCGCTCAGATCCCGCTGTGTCTGGTAAAAATTAACATTCTGGTTGAGGATAAATTGAAAATTTTTGAAGTAGAAATAGAAATTAAAGATATTAATGATAATGCTCCTAATTTCCCAACAGAGGAATTGGAAATAAAAATTGGTGAACTAACGGTTCCTGGAACCCGATTTCCAATTAAAACTGCTTTTGACCCAGATGTAGGCATTAACTCCCTGCAGAACTACAAGCTTAGCCCCAATGACTACTTCTCTCTGGCTGTGAATAGCGTCTCTGAGGGGGCCAAGTATCCAGAGCTGGTGCTGGAGCGGGCCCTGGACCGTGAGAAAAAAGAAATTCACCAGCTTGTCCTGGTTGCCTCTGATGGTGGCGACCCTGTCCACTCTGGCAACTTGCACATCCAAGTGATAGTCCTGGATGCAAATGACAACCCACCAATGTTTACTCAGCCTGAGTACCGTGTGAGTGTTTGGGAGAACGTGCCTGTGGGTACCCGGCTGCTCACGGTGAATGCCACTGACCCTGACGAGGGATTCAATGCTCAAGTGTCTTATATTCTAGATAAAATGCCTGGGAAAATCGCTGAGATTTTCCATCTTAACTCAGTGAGTGGAGAAGTATCAATATTAAAAAGTCTAGATTATGAGGATGCCATGTTCTATGAAATTAAAATTGAAGCACAGGATGGACCAGGTCTTCTTTCAAGAGCCAAGATTCTAGTCACGGTTCTGGATGTGAATGACAATGCTCCAGAAATTACAATCACGTCTCTCACAAGCTCAGTCCCAGAAGAGGGCACCGTTGGAAGAGAAATTGCTCTTATCGACGTGCATGACCGAGATTCTGGGCAGAATGGGCAGGTTGAAGTTTTTGTCCTGGGAAATCTGCCATTTAAGTTAGAAAAATCAATAGATCAATATTACCGCTTAGTGACGGCCACATCCCTGGACCGCGAACAAATATCAGAATATAACATTAGTCTGAGAGCCTCAGATGGGGGAAGCCCGCCACTGTCCACAGAAACTCACATCACCCTGCATGTGATTGACATCAATGACAACCCACCCACCTTCCCTCATTTATCCTACTCCGCCTACATTCCAGAAAACAACCCCAGAGGAGCCTCCATCTTCTCAGTGACAGCCCAGGACCCAGATAGCAACAACAACGCCCGCATCACTTATGCATTGACCGAGGACACTCTCCAGGGGGCGCCCCTGTCCTCCTTCGTCTCTATCAACTCCAACACTGGCGTCCTATACGCGCTGAGATCCTTCGACTACGAGCAATTTAGAGACTTAAAGCTACTGGTGACAGCCAGCGACAGCGGGAACCCTCCACTCAGCAGCAACGTGTCGCTGAACCTGTTCGTGCTGGACCAGAACGACAACGCGCCCGAGATCCTGTACCCCGCCCTCCCCACAGACGGTTCCACTGGCGTGGAGCTGGCGCCTCGCTCCGCAGAGCCCGGCTACCTGGTGACCAAGGTGGTGGCGGTGGACAGAGACTCGGGCCAGAACGCCTGGCTGTCCTACCGCCTGCTCAAGGCCAGCGAGCCGGGACTCTTCTCGGTGGGTCTGCACACGGGCGAGGTGCGCACGGCGCGAGCCCTGCTGGACAGAGACGCGCTCAAGCAGAGCCTCGTGGTGGCCGTCCAGGACCACGGCCAGCCCCCTCTCTCCGCCACTGTCACGCTCACCGTGGCCGTGGCCGACAGGATCCCCGACATCCTGGCCGACCTGGGCAGCCTCGAGCCCTCCGCCAAACCCAACGATTCGGACCTCACTCTGTACCTGGTGGTGGCGGTGGCCGCGGTCTCCTGCGTCTTCCTGGCCTTCGTCATCGTGCTGCTGGCGCTCAGGCTGCGGCGCTGGCACAAGTCACGCCTGCTGCAGGCTTCGGGAGGCGGCTTGGCGAGTACGCCCGGCTCGCACTTTGTGGGCGCGGACGGGGTTCGGGCTTTCCTGCAGACCTATTCCCACGAGGTCTCCCTCACTGCGGACTCGCGGAAGAGCCACCTGATTTTCCCCCAGCCCAACTATGCGGACACGCTCATCAGCCAGGAGAGCTGTGAGAAAAGCGAGCCTCTTCTGATAACTCAGGATTTACTTGAAATGAAAGGAGATTCCAACCTACTTCAGGTGAGTTTATTTATTTCTTTGATTATTAAGAACAAATATGAGAATGTGGTTATTATAAAGCTTTAACACATATGTATTTGAGAAATAAAGCCATGAGGTTGTCATTAGTCCTTTGACTAAATATTTGTCCCCCTTTCTTTCTGGGCCTATAGTAGGACTGCACTCCCCGGTCTGGTTATGGTTGAGTGGGCTTAGGGAAAAAATAATACATCGTGAGTGAAAGTAAAGTGTCACTTCCTAGAGGAATCTGCCACTGTGAGAATTTTCAGATCTCTAAGTTACTATTTGAAATTGTGACTGCTCCTTCTACCTGGGTCCTTGAGTAACTATGATGAGAGAAACACAACACTGGTTTGTATACCTGTGATAAATAGGCCTTTTTCATTTTAAATCCCTGTGCTTTGGAGTTTGTCATTCCAACCTGTATAGCTTATCCTGATACATACAAGTAAAAATACATATGAATAAAAGATATTTTATGCCCATGAAATTAAATGATGTTTGACTCCTTCCAAGACAGGTGACACTCTTTTTTTCTTTCTCCTTCCTTCCTTCCTCTCTCTTTCCTCCTTCCTTCCTTCCTCTCTCTCTTTCCTCCTTCCTTCCTTCCTTCCTCTCTCTCTTTCCTCCTTCCTTCCTTCCTCTCTCTCTTTCCTCCTTCCTTCCTTCCTCTGTTTCTCTCTTTCTTTCTTTCTTTCTTTCTTTCTTTCTTTCTTTCTTTCTTGACAGGGTCTTACTCTGTCTGGAGTGCAGTGGCATGATCACGGCTCACTGCAGCCTTGACCTCGCAGACTCAAGTGATCCTCCCACCTCAGCCTCCCGAGTAGCTGGGACTACAGGCACGAGCCACCCTCCCAGCTAATTTGTTTTTGTTTTTGTAGAGATGGGGCAATTGCTATGTTTCCCAGGCTGGTCTGAAATTCCTGAGCTCAAGTGATCTGCCCACGTCAGCCTCCCAAAGTACTGCGATTAGAGGCATGAGCCACCATGCCTGGCCTGTTATTCTTTTCATCTCAATAACATAAAAATTGGAGAACAAAAATGTAGAGGCTGGGTGCAGTGGCTCATGCTGTAATCCCAGCACTTTGGGAGGCTGAGGCAGGTGGATCACTTGAAGTCAGGAGTTCAAGAACACCCTGGCCAACATGGTGAAAGCCTGTCTCTACTAAAAATACAAAAATTAGCTGGGCATGGTGGTGGGCGCCTGTAATCCAAGCTACTTGGGAAGCTGAGGCAGAAGAATTGCTTAAACCCAGGAGGCAGAAGTTGCAGAGAGCCAAAATTGGGCCACTGCACTCCAGCTGGGGCAATAGAGAGAGACTCCATCTCAAAAAAAAAAAAAAAGTAGAGGCTGGTCAAATGGTTTTACCTATAGTGCCTGTTACATATGCCTAATGTATATGCTTATGTGTGTATTCATTTTGATTTCAACATTTTGCCTGAGGGTGGAAAGCTCACCTAGCTAAATTATTATGAGCCTTGGAGTGGTATTTCTTGTCCTTGAGAAGGACATCAAAAACATGTAAAGGAATATGTCTCAGCCTCTGCGGGAGATTTCCAGACAATCTCTTCCAACAATGGAATAGAAGTCCCTTCTTTTGTCATGTTCTACAACTTTCTTGAGCCAGAAATTGTTGGCTTATTCTGCAATTTATGAAATTATTTTCACTCATGAAATCATATGAGAGTTATCCAAAATTAGACCAAAATATGTTTTATTAGAACTCAAACAAAAGAATAGATTCCTCCCTCAATATATTAGGAAAAGGCACATTTAAATGTATGAGACAACAGGGCCAGAACACAAAAGCTGTAAGCAGAGTAAGGTGTATTCTCACTGAAACATGGAAATACATCACAGAATTTAAAAGGCCCATAGCCAGGGGAGGACTTCTGAGCCTAGGACTTTGAGACCTACTTGGGCAACATAGCATGACCCTGTCTCAAAAGAAAAAGGCACGTAACTTTTAACATATCATTTTTAGAAAAAAAAATGTTTATAGTATTAGTATCACTTTCCCTGTAAGGAGAAAAAAAATTAATTAGCTGTGTCAGGGGAAATTTGGATGCTCAAAGATAATTTCTAAGAATTCTATATGAAACATAGCCTACATATGTGTCATGAAAATACACTGAGAGTATGGAACCCATACAATTCCACCTACTTGTACAGGTAATGGAAGGTCTCAGACATCCCATTTTCACTAAAAAGGATTTATTTTTATTTTTTTGAAGAATGGGCAAGAATCCACTACAACAGAAAGGGAGGAGAAGTTCATAGTAAAAGGAATGGAAAGTATAAAGGCATGATGCAAGGAAACAAGTGAAAAGGTATCTTAAGAAAACAGATAATAGGCTGTTTCGAATAGAGTATGAGTATGGGTGAGCACTGCAAAATAGTAGAATAAATTGTTGAGTTGGATCTCATTTGGTAATGCATTTGAAATAAAGGGATTTGCTTTGAACCAAGACTGGTTCTAAGCCTGGAACTACAGAATAAGTTCCAAAATTGGGTGTCTAAGAACTCTGAATACCTCTCCAATATTTACCAGTGGTCAAGTCAAACTCGTTTTGCTCATTAATGGTATAAGTCGGCTGGAGCTGAGAATTGGCATTATAGAGAATGTTTTTGAGACAGAGTCTTGCTCTGTCACCCAGGATGGACTTCAGTGGCATGATCTCAACTCACTGCAACCTCTGCCTCCTGAGTTAAGTGATTCTGCTGCCTCAACCTCCCGAGTAGCTGGCGTTACAGGTACCCGCCACCATGCCTGGATAATTTTTATTTTTTTTAGTAGAGATGGCTTGCACCATGTTGGACAGGCTAGTCTCAAACTCCTGACCTCATGTGTTCTTCCCACCTTGGCCTCCCAAAGTGCTGGGATCACAGGTCACTGCACCCAGCCTAGAGTATTTAATATACATTCATATAAAAAAGAAGCACTGGTTTCATAAAACAAATGTACATTATATGAGATTCCACTTCATAAAAGCATGTATGTGTACCCCAACACTAAATTGGCCCTTTTAACAAAATATCAGACTTTGTCCTACTTAACTGGAAAGATTATCTATATTTTATAAAGAAGAGAAATAACATAATAGTAAGGCTGTGATTTCCTCTTTTTTGCAAAAACTATTTTTGAAAAGTATTACTGAATTGATAACATATATATGGAGAGATTTAAAATACTAGATAAGGGAGCTTATTCCAATGAATTTACAGAAAGGTAGGTATTTTAGTCAACTAAAAATATAAATAAAAATTATCAATTCACTTATTTGGATACAGCAGTCATGCCAGAGTTTATAAATATAGTGAAATCACTGAAGATTTTTTTTTACCCCCAAAACTGAAAAAAATGGCAGTGTACCTTGTGAATTTTTTAAATGAAAAAAGAATACGAAATGATGAAGGCCCTTATCTGATGATGACAAACTAGAAAACTGAAATGTAAAGGGGAAAATGTGAGTATGTGTTTCCCTCCAGCAAATTAAAGACAGGGTACATAGATTCAAGAGGTTGCGCTTTGAGGATAAAAAGCTGGGCCCTGTGCAGTTTTCCAAGACAACCTCTGGGCGCCGCTGTCGACCAAAAGGAAGTGAAGGCTTCTCAATTCTGCAGGAGCGTCAGGCAGGGTGCCTTCCTGCTTTGTCCGGTGCACTGAGCACAGACGCTGCTCCTGTTCACCCTCGAGCGCCTAACTAATAAGTCCTAAGCTCAAATCACAGAAGTCCAGGGTGCTGCCATTTCTTTTTGAAAAACATCCCAGAGGAAAGAAGCTCCGCGGAGAGTTCCTGAAATGCAGAGAGCCAGAGAAGCCGAAATGATGAAAAGTCAGGTACTGTTTCCCTTCCTGCTGTCTTTGTTCTGCGGGGCCATCTCCCAGCAGATCCGATACACGATTCCAGAGGAGCTAGCCAACGGCTCACGGGTGGGGAAACTTGCCAAGGATCTGGGGCTCAGTGTCCGGGAGTTGCCAACTCGAAAACTGCGGGTTAGTGCAGAGGATTATTTCAACGTTAGTTTGGAGAGCGGGGATTTGTTAGTGAACGGTAGGATAGATCGAGAGAAGATTTGCGGAAGGAAACTTGAGTGTGCACTAGAATTCGAAACGGTCGCTGAAAACCCAATGAATGTTTTCCACGTGGTTGTTGTAATCCAAGATATTAATGACAATGCACCACGTTTCGTTGCAAAAGGCATTGACTTAGAAATTTGTGAGTCAGCCTTACCCGGGGTAAAATTCTCTCTGGATTCTGCTCAAGATGCAGATGTGGAAGGCAATTCACTGAAGTTATACACCATCAACCCCAATCAATACTTCTCTCTGTCAACGAAGGAAAGTCCTGATGGAAGTAAATATCCGGTATTACTGCTGGAAAAACCTCTAGACAGGGAACATCAGAGCTCTCATCGCTTAATCCTGACTGCCATGGATGGCGGGGACCCGCCTCTAAGCGGCACCACCCATATCTGGATCCGAGTTACGGATGCCAATGATAATGCTCCCGTGTTTAGCCAGGAGGTATACAGGGTTAGCCTCCAAGAAAACGTACCGTGGGGAACCTCCGTGCTGCGGGTGATGGCCACAGACCAGGATGAGGGCATTAATGCAGAGATCACCTATGCCTTCCTCAATTCCCCAATAAGTACCAGCCTCTTCAATCTCAATCCAAATACTGGCGACATCACAACCAATGGCACATTGGATTTTGAAGAGACAAGTAGATATGTGTTGAGTGTGGAAGCTAAGGATGGAGGAGTACACACAGCTCACTGTAATGTTCAAATAGAAATTGTTGACGAGAATGACAATGCCCCAGAGGTGACATTCATGTCCTTCTCTAACCAGATTCCAGAGGATTCAGACCTTGGAACTGTAATAGCCCTCATAAAAGTGCGAGACAAGGATTCTGGGCAAAATGGCATGGTGACATGCTATACTCAGGAAGAAGTTCCTTTCAAATTAGAATCCACCTCGAAGAATTATTACAAGCTGGTGATTGCTGGAGCCCTAAACCGGGAGCAGACAGCAGACTACAACGTCACAATCATAGCCACCGACAAGGGCAAACCAGCCCTTTCCTCCAGGACAAGCATCACCCTGCACATCTCCGACATCAACGACAATGCACCTGTTTTCCATCAGGCCTCCTATGTGGTCCACGTGTCTGAGAACAACCCACCTGGCGCCTCCATTGCACAAGTAAGCGCCTCCGACCCGGATTTGGGACCCAACGGCAGAGTCTCCTACTCTATTCTGGCCAGTGACCTGGAGCCGCGGGAGCTGTTGTCCTACGTGTCCGTGAGCCCGCAGAGCGGGGTGGTGTTCGCGCAGCGCGCCTTCGACCACGAGCAGCTGCGCGCCTTCGAGCTCACACTGCAGGCCAGGGACCAGGGCTCCCCCGCGCTCAGCGCCAACGTGAGCCTGCGCGTGTTGGTGGGCGACCTCAATGACAATGCGCCACGGGTGCTGTACCCCGCGCTGGGGCCTGATGGCTCCGCCCTCTTCGATATGGTGCCACGCGCCGCAGAGCCCGGCTACCTGGTGACCAAGGTGGTGGCGGTGGACGCAGACTCAGGACACAACGCTTGGCTGTCCTACCACGTGCTGCAGGCCAGCGAGCCCGGGCTCTTCAGCCTGGGGTTGCGCACGGGTGAGGTGCGCACAGCGCGTGCCTTGGGCGACAGGGACGCGGCCCGCCAGCGCCTGCTGGTCGCTGTGCGTGATGGAGGACAGCCGCCACTCTCCGCCACCGCCACGCTGCACCTAATCTTCGCGGATAGCCTGCAAGAGGTATTGCCAGACCTCAGCGACCGCCCTGAGCCCTCTGACCCCCAGACGGAACTGCAGTTTTACCTGGTTGTGGCCTTGGCCTTGATCTCAGTGCTCTTTCTCCTCGCGGTGATTCTAGCGATCGCCCTGCGCCTGCGACGTTCCTCCAGCCTCGACACTGAGGGCTGCTTTCAAACCGGTCTCTGCTCCAAGTCTGGGCCCGGGGTTCCTCCCAACCACAGCGAGGGGACTTTGCCCTATTCCTACAATCTATGTATTGCCTCTCATTCTGCAAAGACAGAGTTTAATTCTCTCAACCTGACACCGGAAATGGCTCCCCCTCAGGATCTGCTGTGTGATGATCCTTCTATGGTTGTATGTGCCAGTAATGAAGATCACAAAATCGCTTATGACCCTTCTTTGTCTTCGCACGTGAGTTTCTGCAAATCTAGTTAAATTTTATATATGGCGGCCGGGCGCGGTGGCTCAAGCCTGTAATCCCAGCACTTAACCAGGCTGAGGCAGGTGGATCACTTGAGGTCAGGAGTTTGAGACCAGCATAGCCAAGATGGTAAAACCCGGTCTACTAAAATTACAAAAATTAGTTGGGTGTGGTGGCACGCGCCTGTAGTCCCAGTTACTCAGGAAGCTGAGACAGGAGGATCGCTTGAGCCCGGGAGGTGGAGATTGTAGTGAGCCAAGAGTGTGCCACTGCACTCCAGCCTGGGTGATGGGAGGGAAACTGTCTAAAAAAACAAACAAACAAAAATTATATATTGCATTTTCTTCTCATTGGTGTATAAGTAATTTTGATTTTCTTTCATTGTTCTAGTGATGGTATCTACTGCGGGAGGGGGTACTAGATAGATGGAGATTGCTTTCTTGATTGCTCAGTAGTCTTGGCAATTTAATTTTCAATCTTTACTGTTGGCATTTCTGTATGGTTGGCAAATCTTGCTAAAGAGACCTGTTTCCTAGATGTTAACACTTAGTAATAGCAGTGCCTTTTCTTAGTTGATATGCAATACTATATTTTCAAGTCATTTTATTCTTAGCTCTTTATAAATGTATTTAGAGTTCTTCCCACCCAAGTTAAAGTTCATCAATTACATTAATTATGTAATTGATGTAATTATGTATTAATGTAATTATGTAATTAATGTAATCTTCATCAATTACATTCTAGTTTGTCTTTTTGCAGCAACATGTATGTTTAATACAGCCTTCCAATTATTAAGACTCTTAACACTTTGTCTCATCACAAGTAGCAAATATTGTCCAATTTTATATTTGCATCACTAACTTTGAGTCAATATTATTCCCACTCTATAATTTCAGTCAATGATATTTCATAATTTTCTTAACCATTCCTAAATTATTTGTTTTTATGCTCTTTCTATTTTGTCTCTATTAAAACAAAGAATGTAATGAACATTTGGGTTTATAAAGCGTTTTCCATACTTCTTGTTTCTTTAGTGTAGATTTCTGAGGAATTAGTTAAATCTATAAACATGTTGAGATTTTTTTAATGCATACTGTCAAATTTATTTCCAAACATCTTATTTCACCTCTCAATCATCCGCAGTTTGTGCGGTCTTTGAGGATTGTGAAAAACACGTTTAATCTACTCTCTCAAAGTCTGAGGGTTTTTAAATTCTGTATAGCTAATGCCCTTTTGTATGAGTCATTTCTACTGCTAATTGTTAAGTGAGGAATAAGCTTAAGAACTGATGTACTGCTTTATCTCAAATTTTCACAGATTAGTAAATTACTGTAAGTATTCATAAGAAAGAAAGCGATGGCACATGCAATGATAATCCATGTTCGGCTACCAAAACATTTCCTTTTACTGGCTATTTCTAAAATGAGAGCTAAAGTAAAGTTAGAAATTGTAAAATAATACTGAATGTGTCATGTGAAAAAATCACTAAACTATTATCTGCACTTTATAGTTATTCAGTCTAACTTTTCTTTTTATTTCTTTTTTATTTTTAAGATCAGAGTTATTTACCCATTGTTTTAGGCTTTGCATTTGAACTGGTCATTCATGAAACATTGAAAGGTTTCATAAAAATTACTACTCTATGAAAGGTATTGTTCTAAAGATTGAGAACACATTGTGAACAAGATAGTCATATGCATAGCTTGTGGCCAAGAATCTACTGTACACAAAATTAAGGAGCAAATTCTCTTCCCAAACCTATTATCCTATTTGTCAATCTCATTTGTACAGGGTAAGGCTAACTCTTGAACAGTAGGTGAGTTTTTTGCAAGGGAATTGAAGCATTGCCCCAGGTTCTAGAGGGTCAACTCCTGTGAGGAAACTTGTTACTGCATAAATTGGGACTAAAGCCAGACCTCCAAGTTCCTGTCCCACTGTCTTTTCACTTATCTGTCTCATCCATTTTTCAAGTCCACCTTTGTCTTTAGGAGAGATAATTATGTCCCTCACACAATACGCTATACTGAGAATGGGCTGTGGGGATGAACAATGTGAAAACTGAAAAGAGGAAGAACACATCTTAGGAAAAAAATCGTCATATTTTCTCTAAGAAAATAAATAACTTCATAAAGTTTATTGTACAGGAAGACTTGGATCATTCTTGAATTTTCATTGCAAATCAAAAACAGGAATTTGACTTTATTATCTTGGGAGAAATAGGAATAGAAAAGTGTATAAAAAATAAACTTTTTTTAACCAAGAATAAATTGCAGTAACAGGTTAAGACTCTGGGTGTCGCTGTTCACCAATCAGGGGGAAAAGACAAACCAGAAATTTAATCAGAATCACAAGATTTCTGCAGCACAAAGCACTGGCTCTGGAGCTTTATGAAAGCTTCAAGCGGAAGCCCTGAGAGCTCTGGCTGTGAATGCACTTTATTTTGGACCCAGAAGATCCTGGGGCTCCTCAGGCCTCGACAGAGGGAAAACCGAAGCACAGGCGACTCCGCGGCGGGGTTGTAATGGCGGCGCCTCCTGCTCGCCCAGACCACACCCGGCTGCTCCAGATCTGCCTTCTCCTGGGGGTTCTGGTGGAAATCAGGGCCGAACAGATTCTCTACTCGGTGTTTGAGGAGCAGGAAGAAGGCTCAGTGGTGGGCAACATCGCCAAGGACCTGGGGTTGGCGCCCCGGGAGCTGGCGGAGCGCGGAGTCCGCATCGTCTCCAGAGGTAGGACGCAGCTTTTCGCCCTGAACCCGCGCAGCGGCACCTTGGTCACCGCGGGTAGGATAGACAGGGAGGAGCTCTGCGACAGATCTCCAAACTGTGTGACAAACCTGGAGATTCTTCTAGAAGATACAGTGAAGATTTTGCGGGTAGAGGTGGAAATAATCGATGTTAATGATAACCCACCCAGTTTTGGGACAGAACAGAGGGAAATAAAAGTTGCTGAAAATGAAAATCCTGGGGCAAGATTTCCTCTTCCTGAAGCTTTTGATCCGGATGTAGGTGTAAACTCCCTGCAGGGTTACCAGCTCAACTCAAACGGTTACTTTTCCCTGGACGTGCAAAGTGGGGCCGATGGGATTAAGTACCCAGAGCTGGTGCTGGAACGCGCTCTAGATCGCGAGGAAGAGGCGGTTCACCACCTCGTTCTCACGGCCTTCGATGGAGGTGACCCGGTTCGCTCTGGCACTGCCAGGATTCTCATAATACTTGTGGATACCAACGATAATGCTCCCGTGTTCACTCAGCCCGAGTACCACGTAAGTGTTCGTGAGAACGTTCCTGTAGGCACTCGGCTACTCACCGTAAAAGCCACTGATCCAGATGAAGGAGCCAATGGAGACGTGACGTATTCTTTCCGGAAAGTAAGAGACAAAATATCACAGCTATTTCAGTTGAATTCTCTGAGTGGGGATATAACAATATTGGGGGGTCTAGATTATGAGGACTCTGGATTCTATGACATAGATGTAGAAGCCCATGATGGGCCTGGTCTCCGAGCTAGAAGCAAGGTACTGGTGACAGTTCTGGATGAAAATGACAACGCACCAGAAGTCACAGTTACATCTCTCACCAGCTCAGTCCAGGAATCTTCTTCCCCGGGTACAGTAATTGCACTTTTCAACGTGCATGACAGTGACTCAGGAGGAAATGGCCTAGTCACATGTTCTATTCCAGATAATCTGCCATTCACACTTGAAAAGACCTATGGAAATTATTATCGGTTGTTGACACACAGAACACTGGACAGGGAAGAAGTCTCAGAATATAACATCACTGTAACTGCCACTGACCAGGGAACTCCTCCACTGTCTACAGAAACTCATATTTCACTGCAAGTGATGGACATCAATGACAACCCACCCACTTTCCCTCATGCTTCCTACTCTGCTTACATTCCTGAAAACAACCCCAGAGGAGCCTCCATCTTATCTATGACTGCTCAAGACCCTGACAGTGGTGACAATGCCCGAATCACTTACTCCCTGGCCGAAGACACCTTCCAGGGTGCACCTCTGTCCTCCTATGTCTCCATCAACTCCAATACAGGGATCCTATATGCTCTTTGCTCCTTCGACTATGAGCAGTTTAGAGACCTGCAGCTGCTGATGACAGCCAGTGACAGTGGAGACCCTCCACTCAGCAGCAATGTGTCACTGAGCCTCTTTGTGCTGGACCAGAACGACAATGTCCCTGAGATCCTGTACCCCACCTTCCCTACTGATGGCTCCACTGGTGTGGAGCTGGCACCCCGCTCCGCAGATTCCGGCTACCTGGTGACCAAAGTGGTGGCAGTGGACAGAGACTCAGGTCAGAATGCCTGGCTGTCCTACAGCCTACTCAAGTCCAGCGAGCCGGGACTATTTGCAGTGGGGCTGCACACAGGCGAGGTGCGCACCGCACGGGCCCTGCTGGACAGAGACGCGCTCAAGCAGAGGCTTGTAGTGGTCGTCCAGGACCATGGCCAGCCCCCTCTCTCGGCCACCGTCACACTCACTGTGGCTGTGGCCGACAGCATCCCAGATGTCCTGGCTGACTTGGGCAGCCTCAAGCCTTCAGCAGACCCAGACGACTCGGGCCTCACACTCTATCTCGTGGTGGCAGTGGCCGCTGTCTCCTGCGTCTTCCTGGCTTTTGTCACGGTGCTGCTAGCACTCAAGCTGAGACGCTGGCACAAGTCACGCCTGCTTCACGCTGAAGGCAGCAGGTTGGCAGGTGTGCCTGCCTCGCACTTTGTGGGCGTGGACGGGGTTCGGGCTTTCCTGCAGACCTATTCCCACGAGGTCTCCCTCACCGCGGACTCGCGGAAGAGTCACCTGATCTTCTCCCAACCCAGCTATGCAGACACGCTCATCAGCCGGGAGAGTTGTGAGAAAAGCGAGCCTCTTCTGATAACTCAGGATTTACTTGAAACAAAAGGAGACCCTAATCTTCAGGTGAGTCAATCTTATAATAGATCATACCACACTGAAATATAGACAAAGAGTTGTGTAAATGTCTCTCATTTTATATGTAATATATCAAATAAAGTTGCCTCTTTTAATATTTTATTGCTTTAAAGAAAACTGGTGGATGACCTTCCAATAATGATCAACAGTATTTACCACACAAAAATGTTGTTTATTACTTATCCTTTTTGGTCTTCATTCAGTTGTAGTTTCAGCCAGAATTTTCTAATTTTACAACTCTGAGCCACCTCATTTCCTTAAATTTCCTTTTCTGTGCTGGGTGTGGTGGCTCACACCTGTAATCCTAACACTTTGGGAGTGTGAGGAGGACGGATTGCCTGAGCTCAGGAGTTCGAGACCAGTCTGGGCAACATGGTGAAACCCAGTCTCTACTAAAATACAAAAAGTTAGCTAGGCGTGGTGGTGTGTGCCCGTAGTCCCAGCTACCCTGGAGGCTGAGGCATGAGAATTGCTTGAACCTGGGAGGCAGAGGTTGCAATGAGCTGAGATCATGACACTGTACTCCAGCCTGGGCAACAGAGCAAGCCTCTGTCTCCAAAAAGTAAAATAAAATAAAGTAAAATAAAGAATAAATTTCCTTTTCTCTTAGGTGTTCCTGAAAAGATACAAGAGACCTGTAAAATAGAAGGCAATTGTGTAAATTCACATTTACAATATTCTTTCTCATGAAGCTATTGTTGGATCTGGACTGAGGGTTTTTTAATTTCCTATTTTCACACTCTACCATGCTTTGCTTGAAGTTTACTTTTCCTTCCTTGAAAGGGTATTTTCCATTATAACAGGCAACGTCAATTTAAGAATACTGGCAATTTGTGAGTTTAACTTTTAGATATAACTTTAACAGGATATTTTCTCAATGAACTGGTATATTTCAAATATTTTCTTGTTGCTGTTCTGAGATGCACCAGAAGTGACTATGTGTGATTCCTCTGGTGCACTCCTGTGATTATGAGAAATATTTCCAAGCTAATTTCAGTCATATATAAGTAGATTCTAGGAGTAACTTTAATAATTTTTAAATTGCTTATCATGACATCACTATTGAGACTTTCTTGATTTCCAAGGAAAATATAAGTTTTTGGAGTCTTTTCTCTTGTCATCATGTGAGCCTCTTTCAAAGGTTGAGTTACTTGGGTTCTGGACTGATATGATTTACGCTGCTTAGTAAGGTGGCCTCATCCCTATTGCTACAAATTGCTTTCAGATATTTCTGTCATCATGTGGCTCTGGGATTATTTTATATGAGGGAAAATATTTTGTGTGTAGGGGATATACAACACTTTTGTTCTTTGTGCTTTCATTTAGGTTCTGTGAGAATTCAAAATTCATGAATGCATATGCTTACACAAATTAGTGTAATTTGATAACTGGAAGTTGTAGTGATAGACTGTGGAATATGCCTCAATTTGACTTACAAAGGAGAGTTTTAGTTTCTACATGGTTTTGTATTCATAGAAAGTTGTGGTGCAATACATAGAGTAAGCTGGAATATGATATGATGCAGTTACCTGGCTTGGGGAGCAGAAAGCAGAAATAACAAGTGAATGTTGAGAGACAACTTACATCTGAGGAGAGATTGTTTAAAGTAATTAAGCCATAAAATATAATTTGGAAATGCTCAATTGGTCTGAAACTGTGTCAAGCATATTCAGGTGTTGGCATTAGGAATATATTCCAGAATGAGAGTGCCACATGTTTTAAAGGCCTAGGAAAGCAGTAGATAATTTATAACCTAAAATCAAATTTTTTAAAAAATGTGTTTTTGTTAGAATGGGCAGTGGGTTTCTTTTAGCAAATAACAATTTTGATTAAACAAATTGTTGTATATTCATATTACGGACTACTAGATAACTATATTATGGGCCACTAGATAACTATAAGAAATAAATAGGAAAGCTCTCTATGTACTGATATGATCTTTAAGATATAACAACTAAAAAAGCAATGTGCAGAATATGGTATGTTGTATGCTTACATTTGTGTAAAGAAGGAGACAGAATATTTATAAAAATCCGTTGCCCTATACAAGACATATCTCCGGAAGGATACCTAAGAAACTTTAACACTCATTTCCCCTGTGAAAGCATTTCTCCTCATCTAAAGCAGAGATGAAAGGAAGAACCTATGCTGAATGCATCTTTTGAATTTGGAACTATATGAATATTTCACATATTTTAAAACAAATGAAGACTTTATAAATTAAAAAAGAAAAGAAAAGAAAAAAGTTCTTAGCAAATATTGACAAGCCATTAGTGCAGTTTCCTGAGAAAACCTCTGAGCGTCGCTGTTGGTCAAAAGAACGAAGAGAAGCGTTTGGGAGCCTCTTAGAGGGGAACTTCCTGCACAAACCAACCACACAGAGAAGGCCAGTATAGATTCGGAAACAGAAAACAAAAGCAGGAAAAGTGACCTTAGCCCGGATTCTGCCATCCCCGGAAGGCTTATTCCTCCTATGGGCAAAGGAGCAAAGGGAGCCAGAAGATGAAAGCGAGCTCAGGGAGGTGCGGGCTGGTGCGGTGGCTGCAGGTACTGTTGCCCTTCCTGTTGTCTTTGTTCCCCGGGGCTCTCCCAGTCCAGATCCGCTATTCAATTCCAGAGGAGCTGGCCAAAAACTCGGTCGTAGGAAACCTCGCCAAGGATCTGGGGCTCAGCGTCCGGGACTTGCCAGCCCGGAAGCTGCGGGTTAGCGCGGAGAAGGAATATTTCACAGTAAACCCAGAAAGCGGAGACTTACTTGTGAGTGACAGAATAGACCGAGAACAGATATGCGGGAAGCAGCCTCTGTGTGTTCTGGATTTCGATACTGTCGCTGAAAATCCACTAAATATTTTCTACATAGCAGTAATTGTGCAGGATATAAATGATAATACCCCGCTATTCAAACAGACTAAGATTAATTTAAAAATTGGCGAATCCACTAAGCCAGGTACAACATTTCCACTTGACCCAGCCCTGGATTCAGATGTTGGTCCTAACTCACTACAAAGATACCACCTTAATGACAACGAGTACTTTGATCTCGCTGAGAAACAGACTCCAGATGGTCGTAAATATCCTGAGTTGATTCTAAAACACTCTCTGGACAGAGAAGAGCACAGTTTACATCAATTGGTCCTCACAGCTGTGGATGGCGGAGACCCACCTCAAAGTGGCACGACCCAAATCCGAATCAAAGTCACGGATGCCAACGATAACCCTCCAGTGTTCAGCCAGGACGTGTACAGGGTCACCCTGAGGGAGGACGTGCCGCCGGGCTTCTTTGTGCTTCAAGTGACAGCCACCGACCGGGATGAAGGCATAAACGCAGAGATCACCTACTCCTTTCATAATGTGGACGAACAAGTGAAACACTTTTTCAACTTAAATGAAAAAACAGGAGAAATCACGACAAAGGATGATTTGGATTTTGAGATTGCAAGTAGTTACACTCTGAGTATCGAAGCAAAAGATCCTGGAGATCTAGCAGCCCACTGCAGTATCCAAGTTGAAATTCTTGATGACAACGATTGTGCACCTGAAGTTATTGTGACTTCAGTATCTACTCCCCTACCGGAGGATTCGCCACCAGGAACAGTGATCGCCTTGATAAAAACGAGAGACAGAGACTCTGGAGAAAATGGAGAAGTTTACTGCCAAGTGTTGGGAAATGCCAAGTTTATTTTGAAATCTTCCTCAAAGAACTATTACAAACTAGTGACAGACGGCGCTCTGGACCGGGAGGAGATCCCAGAATACAATCTCACCATCACAGCCACCGACGGGGGCAAGCCGCCCCTCTCCTCCAGCATAATTGTCACCCTGCACATCTCCGACGTCAACGATAATGCCCCAGTTTTCCAACAGACTTCCTACATGGTTCACGTGGCAGAGAACAATCCTCCTGGCGCCTCTATCGCTCAAATCAGTGCCTCTGACCCTGACTTGGGCCCCAGTGGCCAAGTTTCCTACTCCATCGTAGCGAGCGACCTGAAGCCGCGGGAGATTTTATCCTACGTGTCCGTGAGCGCGCAGAGCGGGGTGGTGTTCGCGCAGCGCGCCTTCGATCATGAGCAGCTGCGCGCCTTCGAGCTCACACTGCAGGCCCGCGACCAGGGCTCGCCCGCGCTCAGCGCCAACGTGAGCCTGCGCGTGTTAGTGGGCGACCTCAATGACAATGCGCCACGGGTGCTGTACCCCGCGCTGGGGCCTGATGGCTCCGCCCTCTTCGATATGGTGCCACGCGCCGCAGAGCCCGGCTACCTGGTGACCAAGGTGGTGGCGGTGGACGCAGACTCAGGACACAACGCTTGGCTGTCCTACCACGTGCTGCAGGCCAGCGAGCCCGGGCTCTTCAGCCTGGGGTTGCGCACGGGTGAGGTGCGCACAGCGCGTGCCTTGGGCGACAGGGACGCGGCCCGCCAGCGCCTGCTGGTCGCTGTGCGTGATGGAGGACAGCCGCCACTCTCCGCTACGGCCACGCTGCACCTAATCTTCGCGGATAGCCTGCAAGAGGTATTGCCAGACCTCAGCGACCGCCGGGAGCCCTCTGACCCCCAGGCAAAACTGCAGTTTTACCTGGTTGTGGCCTTGGCCTTGATCTCAGTGCTCTTCTTCCTCGCGGTGATTCTGGCAATCTCCCTGCGCCTGCGACTCTCTTCCAGGTCAGATGCTTGGGACTGTTTTCAGCCTGGTCTCAGCTCCAAGCCTGGACCTGGGGTTCTCCCCAATTACAGTGAGGGTACATTGCCCTATTCCTACAACCTGTGTGTTGCCTCACAATCAGCCAAGACAGAGTTCAATTTTCTGAACATAACCCCGGAATTGGTTCCCGCGCAAGATCTCGTCTGTGACAATGCCTCTTGGGAACAAAATACAAATCATGGAGCCGCTGGGGTCCCTTTTGCCTCAGATACTATTTTGAAGGTGAGCTTTAATTAATTTATTTTCACTTCTGGTTTTATTGTTTCACCTAATTTGGGTAGGAAGTTCCACTGCGTATTTCTTTGTCTGTGAGTTAGATTTGGCCAATGTTGTGCCTTAATTGTCTTAATCTTATCTAACTGAATTTTAAGTGTTTTCTCTCTGAAGTGTGAGATTTATTTACCCATGATTGCAAACCTTTATCACATGAGATATTGCACTGTATTTCTTTTTCTTCCTCATCTTTACATTACTTCTCTCTGCAGATTTGTTGCTATTGAGACTTTAGGCAATTAGTTTCACCTTCAGGCTCTTTGTTATTCAAATTTTAGTTTTACTTCCTCTTAGAATCATAATACTTCAGAGTAAAGAGAGTCTTCATTTTAGTAGGCTTTGGAAATTGGGAAACAAAGAAGAAAGACTTTTGCATAATGGCATGGCTTGTTAATCACAGGGCATGGGTAGGACATTGTCCCATTGACTTGAAGACCAACACTCAGTAAGCTAAATGTCTTGGAATCACAAATGTATTTCTAAAGGACAGGCAATGTTTGAGGTCTGAGGTGTCTGCTAGAAAGAGTGCATTTAACAAATGTGAGAAATCATTCTCTAACATGCATTTTAACAAATTGCTCTTAAGAAAAACTACACATTGAGAAAAATCTTACAACCTATGTTCACATCATTTTCTACAAAATATTACTTAAAACTTTGCTTTTGAATTTCCTAATTATATAGAATTTTTATTTTCTTAGTTTTCTATGAAAGTGTTATTAAATAAAATGACTTTCTGAAATGTCCATTTTTTTCAATCAAGAGGTTTTTCTATTTCTGTTGTCATATAAAGATGATAGCAGTAAATATCTGTCTCAACATAGAAAGGTCACTCAGTACTTCTCGACAAGTATCTGCTCATGCTTTCCTGCATGGATGATGAAATAAAACCCCATCCTCCACAGTTACTATACTGGTTGTCACTGGAACTACAAATATTTGAACATGGTAATAGAAAAACATAAAAATGCATAGTTAACCCAACTCAAACGCTGTCTGAGATAGTGGAGAGACTTTCTCAAAGTCCTCACAAGTAACAAAGATCTTTATTTCTTCTGCATATGACAGCTAATATAACTTACATAAATCAGTAGGCCTGTTTGGAAAGGTGCATGGAGAACTGGGTTTGTTTCCTTGGTATTCTTATATGCAAATAAGCACGTTTTCCTAAATTTATCCTAATAAGGAGATGAAATCTTGAATCCTACAAAGGTAAGAATTTGAATGTCCTAATTTAATGGACTAAATATAGATAAGAGGTAAATAAAGGACATAGGCTCCCCCGATGACGCATTAAATAAAATTTTTGTAAGGTATTGAGATCTAATAATCATATTGATCTCAGGGATTGTGGAAGTCTTGCTATTCAGAATTAAAGCTGAATTAACGGTCATAAACAACGCTACACAGTTAAACATTAAGGATATGGCAACATTATTAGAAATAAAATTATAACTAAACTTAGGAGAAATAAAAATGGAATTTGATGCAGTCACTGGTTAGGACTCTGAGTGTCGCTGTTGACCAAAGTGGGAAAGAAGCTGCCGCAGAGGCGACCCGACTCTGCTCCCTCCATACTAAACACACAGACCAGACAAGCTCCTACGAAAAGCCAACGCTCCACGCCCATTTTCGTCAGGGAATATGTACCCATCGGCTTTAGATAAATAAGGAAACAGCAGGCTGAACCAGAACTAAGAGAAAATTGGGCAGAGAGAAGGCAATGGCGAGTCCACCTAGGGGCTGGGGCTGCGGAGAGCTGCTGCTGCCCTTCATGCTCCTGGGGACGCTGTGCGAGCCAGGATCCGGGCAGATCCGCTACTCGATGCCGGAGGAGCTGGACAAAGGCTCCTTCGTCGGCAACATAGCCAAGGACCTTGGGCTGGAGCCCCAGGAGCTGGCGGAGCGCGGAGTCCGCATCGTCTCCAGAGGTAGGACGCAGCTTTTTGCCCTGAACCCGCGAAGCGGCAGCTTGGTCACCGCGGGCAGGATAGACCGGGAGGAGCTCTGCGCTCAGAGCCCACTGTGTGTGGTGAACTTTAACATCTTGGTTGAGAACAAAATGAAAATTTATGGAGTAGAAGTAGAAATAATCGATATTAATGATAACTTCCCGCGTTTCCGGGATGAAGAGTTAAAAGTAAAAGTTAATGAAAATGCGGCTGCAGGGACACGGTTAGTGCTTCCCTTCGCGCGGGATGCGGATGTGGGTGTGAACTCTCTCCGGAGTTACCAGCTCAGCTCCAATCTGCACTTCTCTCTGGATGTGGTAAGCGGAACTGATGGACAAAAGTATCCGGAGCTGGTGTTGGAACAGCCCCTAGACCGCGAGAAAGAGACTGTTCACGACCTCCTCCTCACAGCTTTAGATGGCGGAGACCCGGTACTCTCCGGCACCACGCACATCCGTGTTACGGTCCTCGACGCAAACGACAATGCGCCCCTGTTCACCCCATCCGAGTACAGCGTGAGTGTTCCAGAGAACATACCTGTGGGCACTCGGCTGCTCATGCTAACCGCCACGGATCCAGATGAGGGAATAAACGGGAAATTGACCTACTCTTTTCGCAATGAAGAAGAAAAAATTTCGGAGACTTTCCAACTTGATTCCAACCTGGGGGAAATCTCAACTCTACAATCACTGGACTATGAAGAATCCAGATTCTACCTCATGGAAGTGGTAGCTCAGGATGGAGGCGCTCTTGTTGCCAGCGCTAAGGTGGTGGTCACAGTACAGGACGTGAATGACAATGCCCCCGAAGTGATCCTCACCTCTCTGACCAGTTCGATCTCTGAAGACTGTCTTCCCGGAACTGTAATCGCGCTGTTTAGCGTACATGATGGTGATTCTGGAGAAAATGGTGAGATTGCATGCTCTATTCCTAGGAATTTGCCTTTTAAATTGGAGAAGTCAGTTGATAATTACTATCACCTATTAACAACTAGGGACCTGGACAGAGAAGAGACTTCAGATTATAATATCACTTTAACCGTCATGGACCATGGAACCCCGCCCCTCTCTACAGAAAGCCACATCCCCTTGAAAGTAGCAGACGTTAATGACAACCCACCCAATTTCCCTCAAGCCTCCTACTCCACCTCTGTCACAGAAAACAATCCCAGAGGTGTCTCTATCTTCTCTGTGACAGCCCATGACCCCGACAGCGGCGACAACGCTCGAGTCACCTACTCCCTGGCTGAAGACACATTTCAGGGGGCGCCCTTGTCCTCCTATGTATCCATTAACTCTGACACCGGTGTCCTGTATGCTCTGAGATCCTTCGACTATGAGCAGTTGAGAGACCTACAGTTGTGGGTGACAGCCAGCGACAGTGGGAACCCTCCACTTAGCAGCAACGTGTCGCTGAGCCTGTTTGTGCTGGACCAGAACGACAATACGCCTGAGATCCTGTACCCCGCCCTCCCCACAGACGGTTCCACGGGCGTGGAGCTGGCGCCTCGCTCCGCAGAACCTGGCTACCTGGTGACCAAGGTGGTAGCGGTGGACAAAGATTCAGGCCAGAACGCCTGGCTGTCCTACCGCCTGCTTAAGGCCAGCGAGCCAGGACTCTTTGCGGTTGGGCTGCACACGGGCGAGGTGCGCACAGCGCGAGCCCTGCTGGACAGAGACGCGCTCAAGCAGAGCCTCGTGGTGGCCGTCGAAGACCATGGCCAGCCCCCTCTGTCAGCCACCTTCACGGTCACCGTTGCCGTGGCCGACAGGATCCCTGACATCCTGGCTGACCTAGGCAGTATCAAGACCCCCATTGACCCTGAGGATCTGGACCTCACACTCTATCTTGTGGTGGCAGTGGCTGCAGTCTCCTGCGTCTTCCTGGCCTTCGTCATCGTGCTGCTGGTGCTCAGACTGAGGCGCTGGCACAAGTCACGCCTGCTTCAGGCTGAAGGCAGCAGGTTGGCGGGTGTGCCCGCCTCGCACTTTGTGGGCGTGGATGGGGTTCGGGCTTTCCTGCAGACCTATTCCCACGAGGTCTCCCTCACCGCGGACTCGAGGAAGAGTCACCTGATCTTTCCCCAGCCCAACTACGCAGACACGCTCCTTAGTGAAGAGAGCTGTGAGAAAAGCGAGCCTCTTCTGATGTCTGATAAGGTAGATGCAAACAAAGAAGAACGGCGAGTTCAGGTTAGTTTTCTCTTTCGGTAAGGATGACCAGAACATTTTCATTTGTTTCCTTTTTCATGTTTCTGTCATATTCAGAATCAGCTAGTTATGTAAATAGTGGAACATTATTTGCTGTATTGGAGATTAATTTTTTTTATATAATTCATGCTTTCTCCATTTGTTTTCAAATTCTGTTTTGGGAAGTCTAGCTGATATCTGTAGACTTAAGTGAAACAAATACCTTAAAGGAAAGTGGTTAAATATAATCATTTTACCCAAATATTTTGTTATATTGGAACTGCAGTTCTATTAATAGAAAAGATGTTTTATTTATTCAAATTGTTAGATATATTGTTCTCTTTTGAGTGTCTGCCTAGACACCATTAGTGAATGTGTTTTGGAAAGGATAATGTATAGGACTGATATTTTAGTCTACCTGAAATTTGTTTAAGGAAATAATTTACAGTATTTACATAAATCAGTGGAAAGGTACAGAGAACTTCTGGGTCATAAATATCAGAAAAGAGGCCGGGTGCGGTGGCTGACGCCTGTAATCCCAGCACTTTGGGAGGCTGAGGTGGGCGGATCACGAGGTCAGGAGATCGAGACCATCCTGGCTAACACGGTGAAACCCTGTTCTACTAAAAATACAAAAAATTAGCCGGGCGTGGTGGCAGGCGCCTGTAGTCCCAGCTACTCGGAAGGCTGAGGCAGGAGAATGGGGTGAACCCGGGAGGAGGAGCTTGCAGTAAGCCGAGATCGCGCCACTGCACTCCAGCCTGGGAGACAGAACGAGACTCCGTCTCAAAATAAATAAATAAATAAATAAATAAATAAATAAATATCAGAAAAGTAGATAAAATTTATATTAATGATAACATGTAGCATTCTAAAGTCTGGAAAGTTTGTGTTAAGCCATGTAGTTATTGGATATGTGGGCTTGTTGAGAGAAGAAATCAGTGTAAAGGAACCTTAAGGTTGGGCTTCGTTCTGTGATGTAAAGCCTCCAGAGAGTTACATACTGCTGCACTCAATAAATGTAAATATGTCACACACCTGGCATCTTCTGTTATAGATAAACCCTTTACTTATTAGAATCAATACCTACTGCAATGTTAGCGTTTCTTTAAGTGTAGGTGCAATTCTTCTTTATTACTTGAGTTTAAGGTTGTATTTGAAAAAAAAAGAACTCAACTTAAAGATGGTTCAAAATTTTAAATTTCATATCTAACGTATGTGCTCATCTTAAATTAATAGATTTGTCTTAATGAAATACTGGCCTATGTGCCTCAAATTCCAGGAGGATGTGTTATGTAATGAAAGAACTACTATATTTCCCTTCTGCATCTGATTTGCTGAAGATGATTTTCAGATGTTTCTTATTAAAATATTCTTAATCCTTCAAATTTTGTACTTTTAAAACCTTGAGCATCAGCTTCAAATAATGACTAAATAAGGGGAAAAGGTAATAAAATATTACAAATGGGATAGTAAGCTACATTACTCAACCACATGAAAGGTTAATTGACACATTAAAGAACCTAAGACCACTTGATTTTTATTTTTTAAACACTGTTAAAGAGCATTCAAGTATATCTATATCTATATACATATACACACACATATATATACACACATATATATACACACATACACACACACAAACACACATACATACACACATGGACATTCTGACCAAAATGTAAAATGTACAAACTCACCGAATAGTGAATGCATCCAAAGAGTAACAAGAGAATCTATACAGTAGGTGTCGACATTATTCACTCCTATGTGAAAACTTGCTTTTCCATTTTTTTTAAAAGAAAATGTTATATGCTTCTTAGGGTAAGGTGTTTGGGAAAAAAGTAAAGGTTATAGATTTGGGTACATTTCTTCTGAGTTAAATGTTTTGTGCAATGGAAAAATATCTTTAAACCCTCTATAAACTACTAACAGACTATAAAATGCTTGATCCATACATTTTGAATGTATGTACTGTATATACCATATACTTTTAAATATCTGAATCTTTAGTTTTATATGTGTTCTGAAGAATAATTTTTCATACTAATTGAAGTGTTCATACAATGAACACTTGGCATTGTGTTGGAAGGCACTTGCTTTGGAATGTTTTGGAGCAAAGTCTTGAGTCAGTTATATTTTTGATGTTTGTATAAAGGTGACAATGAGTGTCTGTCTAGAATTCTGGTTACTGTGAGTAGTTTAAGATGCTATAATGCTTTTCCACTATAAGGTGAATTCGGTGTGGAACTCATTGCTTATTGCTGCACACTTGCCTAGTTTTAGAGTAACAATACATTATGTAGGCTAAAGATAATTTCTTTAGGAAGATTTTCTGGTTTGAAAATGGAATTAAAACTGTAAGACACCTGTCAGAAACATGGAAAATGGCATGTTATTGACCAGGGAAAAGTGTAAATAACAAAAAGTTAGGATTATCAGATGGTAAACTGGGGACCAAGGAAAAGTGGACAGGAAGATTACTTATATAATTAAATAATATAATTATAAGGACTTACAATTCACTCCCCAATCCTAATAACGCATCATTGTTAGGCTACTTGAGAAGAAACAGTACATTTCAGGACAATTGTGATGTAGTATGAAAAAACATCCTTTGTAAAAGTTTTTCATTTGGGCCAGGGTGGTTCATGACTATAATCCCAGCAATTTGGGACGCTGAGGTGGGAGGATTGCTTAAAGCCAGGTGTTCTAGCCCAGCCTGGGCAACATAGTGAAACCCCACCTCTATAGAAAAAAAAAGTTTTCAATCATACTTATTTAATTAAAAGTAGACACTTGGAAACAAAGGAAAAGAGACCCTCTTGCTTTTTACTATACTTCTATTTTATAAGGTCAATCATTTCCTCATTACCTTTAACTTCTTTTGGGGGGAGATAATAAAGATAAAAGAGAAGAAAGTGAAACATAGAATAAAACTAAAAGCTATGACATTATAACTTTTAGAAGTTAGAAGTAAAGGAAATAGAATGCAATAAGAATACACGTGAAGCTGATATTTCAAGCCTCTTTATACTACGTCTTCTGCCATCACCAAAAATAGCTTCCATTTGTATGATTTTCTATGTATTATTTTATTTGGCCCTCATTTCTACTAGAGTAAGCAGAGAAGATATTATTATGACCATTTTATGAAAATGGAAACTAAAAACGTGACGGGATTGAGCAAGATTATCTCTGCCCTTTGACAAGTAAAAGGTACTTGATTTGGATGGATAAAGCTCAAATTAAAAGAAATAACAGACTAAAGATATAGTAAGTATATTTAATGTTTTTTAAAAGTCCTTTTAAAATGGGAAGAAAGTATCACTATCAGTACACTGCCGATTTTTCTCCTAACTAGCTCCTTATTTGGAGCTGATTTAGTCACCATTACTGCAGTTCTGCAGCAGAGGCGCCGGGTGCCGCTCTTGGCTAGTGCTGTGCAAAATATTGGCTCCTCCCGCTGCAGCCAGCTCGGAAGAAAAGTGCACTCTCTATCAGGCTTCCTGCAGCGGAGACACCCATTAGAGAACCCAAGCACAAAGACAAAGCAAATAGTTGGTCCTGCTCGGAGAACTCTTGGGATTATTTAAAGATCTCCTCTCCTCGGATTTAGAAAGGCAAAGGCGCAGAGAGCGGGATGGGAAATAGCTCCGGATGGAGGGGCCCAGCAGGGCAGAGGCGAATGCTATTTCTCTTCCTGCTCTCTTTGTTAGACCAGGCTCTCTCCGAACCGATCCGCTACGCTATTCCCGAGGAGCTGGACAGGGGCTCGCTGGTAGGGAACCTCGCCAAGGACCTGGGGTTTGGCGTGGGGGATTTACCTACTAGGAACCTGCGGGTTATTGCAGAGAAGAAATTCTTTACCGTGAGCCCCGAAAATGGGAACTTACTTGTGAGCGACCGTATAGACCGAGAGGAGATTTGTGGCAAGAAGTCGACGTGTGTTCTGGAATTTGAAATGGTTGCTGAAAAGCCTTTAAACTTTTTTCATGTAACTGTGCTGATCCAGGATATTAACGACAACCCACCGACCTTTAGCCAAAATATCACTGAGCTGGAAATCAGCGAACTGGCTCTCACTGGAGCCACATTTGCCCTGGAATCTGCGCAAGATCCTGATGTAGGTGTCAATTCGCTGCAGCAGTACTACCTCAGCCCTGATCCGCACTTCTCTTTGATTCAGAAGGAGAACCTGGATGGCAGTAGGTACCCAGAGCTAGTACTGAAAGCACCCCTGGACAGGGAAGAGCAGCCACATCACCACCTGGTCCTCACAGCTGTGGATGGGGGCGAGCCCTCCAGAAGCTGTACCACCCAGATCAGGGTAATTGTCGCAGATGCAAATGATAACCCCCCAGTATTTACTCAGGACATGTACAGGGTCAATGTTGCAGAGAACCTGCCCGCTGGCTCCTCCGTATTAAAAGTGATGGCCATTGACATGGATGAGGGCATCAATGCCGAAATCATCTATGCCTTCATCAATATTGGCAAGGAAGTGAGACAACTGTTCAAGCTGGACAGTAAAACGGGGGAACTCACCACTATTGGAGAACTGGACTTTGAAGAGAGAGATAGCTACACAATTGGGGTGGAAGCAAAGGATGGTGGACATCACACTGCATATTGTAAAGTACAGATAGATATTTCAGATGAAAATGACAATGCCCCGGAGATAACCCTGGCTTCTGAATCCCAACATATACAAGAAGATGCTGAGCTGGGGACTGCCGTTGCCCTGATCAAAACACATGATCTAGATTCTGGATTTAATGGAGAAATCCTATGCCAACTAAAAGGAAACTTCCCCTTTAAAATCGTTCAAGATACCAAAAACACATACAGGTTGGTGACAGATGGAGCCCTGGACCGGGAGCAGATCCCAGAATACAATGTGACGATCACAGCTACCGACAAAGGCAATCCACCGCTCTCCTCCAGCAAGACCATCACTCTGCACATCCTTGATGTCAACGACAACGTTCCCGTTTTCCACCAGGCCTCCTACACCGTGCATGTAGCTGAGAACAATCCGCCTGGAGCCTCCATTGCGCATGTCAGAGCCTCGGATCCCGACTTGGGACCTAATGGCCTTGTCTCCTACTACATCGTGGCCAGTGACCTGGAGCCGCGGGAGCTGTCGTCCTACGTGTCCGTGAGCGCGCGGAGCGGGGTGGTGTTCGCGCAGCGAGCCTTCGACCACGAGCAGCTGCGTGCCTTCGAGCTCACTCTGCAGGCCCGCGACCAGGGCTCGCCTACGCTCAGCGCCAACGTGAGCCTGCGCGTGTTGGTGGACGACCGCAACGACAATGCACCGCTGGTGCTGTACCCAGCTCTGGGGCCCGAAGGCTCTGCGCTCTTCGATATGGTGCCGCGCTCTGCAGAGCCTGGCTACCTGGTGACCAAGGTGGTGGCGGTGGACGCAGACTCGGGATACAACGCCTGGCTGTCCTACCACATTGTGCAGGCCAGCGAGCCCGGGCTGTTCAGCCTGGGCCTGCGCACGGGTGAGGTGCGCACGGCGCGTACCTTGGGCGACAGGGAGGCCGCCCGCCAGCGCCTGCTGGTCACTGTGCGTGATGGAGGACAGCAGCCTCTTTCAGCCACCGTCATGCTGCACCTAATCTTCGCAGATAGCTTGCAAGAGATACAACCTGACCTTAGCGACCGCCCCACTCCCTCTGACCCTCAGGCGGAGCTACAGTTTCACCTAGTAGTGGCGTTGGCCTTGATCTCAGTGCTCTTCCTCCTCGCGGTGATTCTGGCAATCTCCCTGCGCCTGCGATGCTCCTCCAGACCCGCCACTGAGGGCTACTTTCAGCCTGGTGTCTGCTTCAAGACTGTACCTGGAGTTCTCCCCACCTACAGCGAAAGGACTTTGCCTTATTCCTACAATCCGTGTGCTGCCTCACATTCCTCAAACACCGAGTTTAAATTTCTCAATATAAAGGCTGAAAATGCTGCACCACAAGATCTTCTATGTGATGAAGCCTCTTGGTTTGAAAGTAATGACAATCCAGAAATGCCTTCTAATTCAGGCAATTTGCAAAAGGTGAGTTTCTTCAAACCTTTCCTTCCATAAATATAATTGGGTTTCAATTCATTGATTTAGAGATAAAAAGAATACAGATTAAATATTCCCTGATTACATTATTTTATTGATTTTCTGGTGTAGAGTAGGGTGTCTAGGAAATTCTTTGTAGAATTTCCTGTAGAATATCTGTGTTGCAGTTGTTCTTTCATAGAAAGCCTCCTTTTGATAGTCTTGAAACTTTTCTTAATCCTAATACACTATAATCTGAAACATTTTTAATACAGTATTATCTCACACTGTCATTTTCAGACATATCTATCCAGAATTAGACCCAAATCCTCACAATTAAGTGGTTTACTTAGTTTTAATGCAGTCAATCCTAAAATATATGAAACATTATGTATATCTTAACACATTTTTAATGTAACCTGTATATAATATTTTTACTTCCCTTTGCATGTTTTTAAAAGTATACACAGATGTTGCCTATGTCAGGGCAGTTTTTAACTTCTATGCTAATCAAAAGAAATAATGGCATCTAAAATGGCAACTCTTGTAATGGGCACTGTAATGAATTGGTTCAAAATGTGTTTGTGTAGCATATGCCTGTAGTCCCAGCTACTCGGGAGGCTGAGGTGGGAGGATCCCTTGATCCCAGGAGGTAGCAGCTGCAATGAGCTATAATTGTGCCCCTGCACTCTAGCCTGGGAGACAGAGCGAGACTTTGTCTCCAAAAAAGTGTTTGTGGTTGTTGGTACCCTTACTGAAAATGGGACTAGCATAAATGGTGGTGAAATGTGATGATAATTCAAAATTTACAGAAGATTGTAATATTATTTCTGTTCCCCAAGGTCCTAAGAGATATTTTCATAAAAATGAATGGTAAACTTCAGAGAACATTTAAAATTATTCAAAATAATCTCTTACACTCTTCTAAATGCTTCATTATCTTGGGGAGGGAAATATTATGAGTGTCATCTCTGCAGATTTAGCAGAAATAAAATCCTCTGTGTGATAGTTTCACAAAACGATGCAGTATTAAGTTAGGACTCTAAGCGTCGCTGTTGACCAACCTGGGCAAGAAAATCAACGGAAACTCAAGTTACATCCTCCAACAACAAAGCAAATTAGACGGGAAAGCAGGAAAGCTGTGCAGAAATTCTGACCTGAAACGCTTCGCATCCGGTCTCTGCTTGTTGAAGGACCTTCACCGCTATTTCTGAGAAGAGCAAAAGTGATGCAGATCTGTTCTTCCTCTTCTTAATCCCAGAGAAGTTCCTAATAAGCCAGTAATGGCGCCTCCGCAGAGGCATCCGCAGCGCAGCGAGCAGGTCCTGCTCCTCACGCTCCTGGGGACGCTGTGGGGGGCCGCGGCAGCGCAGATCCGCTACTCTATTCCCGAGGAGCTGGAGAAAGGCTCCTTCGTAGGCAACATCGTCAAGGATCTGGGACTGGAGCCCCAGGAGTTGGCGGAGCACGGAGTCCGCATCGTCTCCAGAGGTAGGATGCAGCTTTTCTCTCTGAATCCGCGAAACGGCAGCTTGGTCACCGCGGGTAGGATAGACCGCGAGGAGCTCTGTGCTCAGAGCCCGCGGTGTCTGGTGAGTTTTAACATCCTTGTCGAGGATAAACTGAATCTTTATCCCGTGGAAGTGGAAATAGTGGACATTAATGACAATACACCCCGATTCTTAAAGGAAGAATTGGAAGTGAAAATTCTCGAAAACGCAGCTCCATCCTCTCGTTTTCCACTAATGGAGGTCTATGACCCTGATGTGGGAATGAACTCCCTTCAGGGATTTAAGCTCAGTGGTAATAGTCACTTCTCAGTGGACGTGCAAAGCGAAGCCCATGGGCCCAAGTACCCGGAGCTGGTGCTGGAGGGCACACTGGACCGGGAAGGAGAAGCCGTTTACCGCCTGGTCCTTACTGCCATGGATGGCGGCGACCCTGTCCGCTCAAGCGTCGCCCAAATTCTGGTAACAGTTCTAGATGTGAATGACAACACTCCAATGTTTACTCAGCCTGTCTACCGTGTAAGTGTTCCTGAAAACCTGCCAGTAGGCACACCAGTGTTGGCAGTGACTGCCACCGACCAGGATGAAGGAGTCCACGGGGAAGTAACTTATTCCTTTGTGAAGATTACAGAAAAGATCTCACAAATTTTCTGTTTGAATGTTTTGACTGGAGAAATTTCAACTTCTGCAAATCTAGACTATGAGGACTCGAGTTTTTATGAGCTGGGTGTTGAAGCCCGGGATGGGCCAGGTCTTCGAGACAGAGCGAAAGTCTTAATAACTATCTTGGATGTCAATGATAATGTACCAGAAGTGGTTGTTACATCTGGAAGCAGAACAATTGCTGAAAGTGCACCTCCAGGAACAGTAATCGCCCTTTTTCAAGTGTTCGATCGAGACTCTGGCCTGAATGGCCTGGTAACCTGTTCCATCCCGAGAAGTCTCCCATTTGAATTGGAAAAATCAGTTGGCAATTATTATCGATTAGTGACAAATGCAGCTCTAGACCGGGAAGAGGTATTCTTGTACAACATCACTGTGACAGCCACGGACAAAGGAACACCACCTCTGTCTACAGAAACAATCATCTCTCTAAATGTGGCAGACACCAACGACAACCCGCCCACCTTCCCCCATTCATCCTACTCAGTCTATGTCCTTGAAAACAACCCCAGGGGTGCCTCCATCTTCTCTGTGAATGCACTGGACCCTGACGTGGACCAGAACGCCCAAGTCTCCTACTCACTGGCAGAAGACACCCTCCAGGGGGCGCCCCTGTCCTCCTACGTGTCCATCAACTCCGACACTGGGATTCTGTACGCCCTGCGCTCCTTCGACTATGAGCAGTTGAGAGACCTACAGCTGTGGGTGACAGCCAGCGACAGCGGGGACCCGCCTCTTAGCAGCAACGTGTCACTGAGCCTGTTTGTGCTGGACCAGAATGACAATGCGCCCGAGATCCTGTACCCCGCCCTCCCCACAGACGGTTCCACTGGCGTGGAGCTGGCGCCCCGCTCCGCAGAGCCCGGCTACCTGGTGACCAAGGTGGTGGCGGTGGACAGAGACTCGGGCCAGAACGCCTGGCTGTCCTACCGCCTGCTCAAGGCCAGCGAGCCAGGACTTTTCTCAGTGGGCCTGCACACGGGCGAGGTGCGCACGGCGCGCGCCCTGCTGGACAGAGACGCGCTCAAGCAGAGCCTAGTGGTGGCCGTCCAGGACCACGGCCAGCCCCCTCTCTCCGCCACTGTCACGCTCACCGTGGCCGTGGCCGACAGGATCCCCGACATCCTGGCCGACCTGGGCAGCCTCGAGCCCTCCGCCAAACCCAACGATTCGGACCTCACTCTGTACCTGGTGGTGGCGGTGGCCGCGGTCTCCTGCGTCTTCCTGGCCTTCGTCATCGTGCTGCTGGCGCTCAGACTGCAGCGCTGGCACAAGTCACGCCTGCTGCAGGCTTCGGGAGGTGGCTTAGCGAGCATGCCCGGCTCGCACTTTGTGGGCGTGGAAGGGGTTCGGGCTTTCCTGCAGACCTATTCCCACGAGGTCTCACTCACTGCAGACTCGCGTAAGAGTCATCTGATTTTCCCCCAGCCCAACTATGCCGACACGCTTATCAACCAGGAGAGCTATGAGAAAAGCGAGCCTCTTCTGATAACTCAGGATTTACTTGAAACGAAAGGAGAACCCAGGCAACTTCAGGTGAGTTTCTTTCCGCCTAAGCGGGAAGAGTAATCTGATCTTCCCGCAACCCAACTAATCAGACAGGCTCATCAGCTAGATCGGCTGTTATAGAAGCGAACCTCTTTTGGTACAGGAAGATTCGTGATTTTGTAAAGTGGAAGACTCCCTTGTTCAGGTGAGGGTATCGTTTTTTTTTTTTTTTTTTTTTGAGACGGAGTCTCGCTCTGTCGCCCAGGCCGGACTGCGGACTGCAGTGGCGCAATCTCGGCTCACTGCAAGCTCCGCTTCCCGGGTTCACGCCATTCTCCTGCCTCAGCCTCCCTAGTAGCTGGGACTACAGGCGCCCGCCACCGCGCCCGGCTAATTTTTTTGTATTTTTAGTAGAGACGGGGTTTCACCTTGTTAGCCAGGATGGTCTCGATCTCCTGACCTCATGATCCACCCGCCTCGGCCTCCCAAAGTGCTGGGATTACAGGCGTGAGCCACCGCGCCCGGCCGAGGGTATCGTTTTTATTGGTTGACAGGAAAATTCAAGATTGTCTTTGATTAGTGCTTAGTTTTCTTAGCCCTTTGCAGAGAGTCACATAATTCTAATGTTTTTCTTTTATATCAAAAGAATGTTCTGAAGTCTTAATTTTGTGGGGGAAAATAATGCATGTCCTAGTTTTTCTTTACCTTTCTCTTCTTGGCAAACTATTTGTGTCTTGGATTGAGTACATCTCGTTTCTTAGGTTTTTTCCTACTATGTGACATTTGTAAGGTTCTTTCTTTTTCTAATGTGGGAAAAAAAATAACCTTAATTTAGGTCAGTGTTAAAGATCAAGATCTTGGTTTTAGCTAGCATGGTGGTTCACGCCTGTAATCCCACCTCTTCAGGAGGCTGAGGCAGGAGGATCCCTTGAGACCAGGAGTTTGAGACCAGCCTGGGTGACTCTGTCTCTACCAAAAAGAAAAAAAAGTAGCCAGATGTGTGGCGTACACCTGTAGTCCCAGCTACTCGAGAAGCTCTGATAGGAGGATTGCTTAAGTCCAGGGGTATGAGGCTGCAGTGAGATATAATTGTGTCACTGCACCCTAGCCTGGGAGACAGAATGAGACTTTTTCTCTCTCTCTCTCAAAAAAAAAAAAAGATTTTGTTTTTTCTCAGTGTTACTTGATAACTATAAACGACAGACGTTCATACAAGAGATCTTTCACCTTTACTACTTAGGAATCAAAAATTATTTTTGAAAAGATAAGAATCATTGGTAACTGCAGCAGGGGACACCAGATCTTTGGTGTTAAAAGACCTGAATAACATTCCTGTAACTATCTGTTATTTACTTGGGCCAGTTACAATCGCCATTATCTTCCAATTAAAATTAAGATTTAAAAGACTTCTCTTATCAGAGATAGGATCCCCCTCTGTTGCCCAGTCTGGAGTAAAAATCCACCTGTAACTGCTGCTTATAGAGTGTGTATCCAGGGCAACTTGAATCTATGTTCCTGGGTTGCAATCCTAAAGCTTGGCTCAAATAAGCTCTACTTATATTATTTTTTAAAACAAGACTTTCCTTATCTATCTGACTCAAATTCTAAGAAAATAATTTTATAACTTTTTTTCAAACTCTAAAGCAGCATAGTGAACACGTATTTGTTGACATCACCATTATTATAATTATTGGGTTGTTAACAATAACTAAGCACCGATGCTGTGTGCCTACTACAGTGTCTTTTGCATACTGTGTGCCTGATAGTATTTAAGAGTGAAAATGGCCGGGTGCGGTGGCTCATGCCTGTAATCCCAACACTTTGGGAGGCCAAGGCAGGCATCTCACGAAGTCAGGAGTTCGAGACCAGCCTGACCAACATGGTGAAACCCCGTCTCTACTAAAAATACAAAAATTAGCCAGGTGGGGTGGCATGGGCCTGTAATCGCAGCTACTCGGGAGGCTGAGGCAGGAGAATCGCTTGAACCCATGAGGCAGAGGTTGCAGTGAGCCAAGATCGTGCCACTGCACTCCAGTCTGGGTGACAGAGCGAGACTCTGTCTCAAAAAATAATAATGATAATTAATAAATAAAGAGTGAACATGAATTTTAAAACATGCTCGGTAGTGTCTGCTTACAGGACATATCTCTAAAAATAGATGACTGACTGGTGAATGGGAGAACAAATGTTAATGAGGTTCAAATAAAAATTTAAATATTTTAGCATTTTAACCCAGACAATAAGGCTTTCATCATATAGGAACTCTTTATTGAAATATTTCAAGAAAAAAGGGATTATCATTTAGAAGACTGATTAGTCTTATTTATTATGACTGAAATGTGCAAACAGAATCATTGTTTCATGAACAGAAAACAGCAGAGTTTTTGACTGTCAATGATGTTCGAATAGAAAATGGATCACTAAGGAGATAGGAGATTCTGTTATCGACAGTCTTCAAAAGTAAGTTGATGGCCCTGGAATGAATGGAGTACAGGGGATTCTCTAATTTGATGACTTGTTGAACTACATTATAGTCAAGATTTTTCTCCAGTCATGAGTTGGAAGATTCTACAATCTGGTGGTATTATAGAATGGATTGGCCACTTGTGCATCTGAATTTGTTATGAATGTGTAAGAAAAAAGCAATTGAGAAGATACCTTGAAAATAAATGAGAACCTCCTTTGTAACCTGACTTTGTCAGTCTTCTTAAAGATAACATTGAGTTGATGTGTTTTTAAATAAGCTGCTAAGAGTAATATGTGTTTTTCTGAACCAATATTGTGGTATTTACATTTAAGGAATTGTTATAGATTTATTTATTTCAAGTTTCCAAAGGTATATACCTAAACAAGAGATCTAATCATACACATCTTCAAAGCTCATTTTCTTGTATCTTTGTGATATAATTTGATAAAATAACAATTTTAAACAACTTGAATCTTGGATATTAGTCTCATGAGTTAGATGGGCTGTTATACATATGATTATTTCATAAACTCTGAAAGTGTGAATGTTATTTTACTATACTACCAATTTGGGATGTTAAACTACATCTTGAGCATTTGTTGTTATAGGGAAAGCTCACTAACTACTTTTCATGGAGATCAGGCTGGTTTATTTTATTCTCTTATTACCTGTGACCATTTCATTTAAACAAATAAAATATTTCTCTGATGGAAAAACTACCAACTTCTACTCTCACAAAAGTCATTCACTCATGTGGACTGACCAACTGTTAAACATCCTGGCAGTCATGGAATTTGCTAAGTTATGGCTAAATGAGGTTCTTTAATCCACCTGCAATACAGATCATTAATAATAAGATAGGCTATCTGAGGTTTTGAGAGTTCAGTATAGAATTTTGAAGCATCAGGAAAAAAAACTACCAAATTATTGTCTTATTCTTATTTTATGGTCTGTGAAAGCCTCTTTTTTTTTTTTTTTTTTTTTTTTTTTTTTGTCAGAGTCTTGCTCTGTCTCCCAGGCTGGAATGCAGTGGTGTGATCTCTGCTCACTGCAACTTCCTCCTCCTGGGTTCAAGCGATTCTCCTGCCTCAGCCTCCCAAGTAGCTGGGATTACAGGTGCATGCCACCATGCCTAGCTAATTTTCATACTTTTAGTAGAGATGGGGTTTTACCATGATGGCCAGGCTGGTCTCAAACTCCTGACCTTAAGTGATCCACCCGCCTCAGCCTCTCAAAGGGCTGGGATTACAGGCATGAGCCACTGAGCCCGGCCTGAAAGGCATTCATTTCTGATCAGGCTTCTGTTGAGGTGGCAATTGTCAAAGGGGAAGGAGTAAAATCTCAGAGGAGAAACATTGGAAGATACCTATATCTTTGCTTGAGAATGAAAATCTAAATGGAACTTCAAAGAACTGTTTTGTTGTTTGTTTTTTAGAAAAAAAAGTCCCAAAAAAGAAAAGAGAGAAGATAATCAATTCGATGCCCAGGAAGCCAAATAGACTTTACATAGAATTCTTTTTAATGCAACCAAACAAATGGTCAGGATTCTTCCCAATATCTCAGTCAACAATAATATACACTCTTTAAACTATGAAATGATTTCAATTTGATACAATGAGCTTATGTTAGATTTTATTAAACATATCTTGGCGGTCTAGTAAAGATCTTTAATATTTAATTTTATGATGTTCGATAACTTAGAAAATGTGAATGCTAGAGACAATGAAGCCATTTACTCCATAGGGTATGTATGCTTTGTGTTCGGAGTAGTCTATAATTTAATTTAACTAGCTCTTATTTCCTTTTCTCCAAAGAAGGTACCAAGACACTATAAATTAATTGAGACTTTTTTAAAACAGTAGAATAAGAAACAAATGTGAGATGAAACTATGAATTTTGAGGCATCAGGTAAAAATGGATCAAGACATTGAGAGCTATAACCTCCAAACATGAAAGTTTGTTTGAAAATATCTACAAGTGCTTACATTGTTTAATAATCATACACTTTGCTTGCCTCAACAAGAAGTTCAAAAGTACTATTAAACAAATAGAATTTAACTCCAGTTTACAGAATTCATCTATAATACCTCTATTAGTTCCTTTAAACAAAATTTATCTACTTTGTGAATGCAAAGATAACTATGGATTATTTTGATAGATCAAAACAGAATGTCCTTCAAAGTGTTCCCTGTATTCTGGAGCAATGCCACCAGAAAGCAGAAATAGGTTACTTAGGAGCCTCCCACAAAACGAAGTTAAGCTTTCTTAGTGTTAGTTCTGGATTCTCCTCCTGGTTCCACCAACTACTCTCCAGGACCTAGAAGAATTTACAAACCAAGACTGTTTCTTGCCAGGTCTTTATTCCAGAGCAGGTCATTCTCTTTTATTCTGCAACTATGTGAAAGGAGCTTTCTTTTCTTTCTGCTAGCAGAGGGTAGCCTCGGATCCATCAATAATTTAGTTTTACTCTATCAACATCAGTGGAGAGACGAGTACCTCTAAGGATCCTGTCAGGACAGTCCTGCATTTTGCTCAAATGCTGTCTAGAGATCCCTGTTTTCTCAATTACACTAGAATAGAGTAGGATGAAGATTTGAATTGCATACTAGGATGAAGACTTGAATTGAATTGCATAATGAAAAGAATCAGCCAATCCATTATCCAGTTTCTTATGAATTCACAGCCCAGTAGGATCTCTGCAGATTTCTGCCTTCTGTAGAAAATGGGTTGCTTCTATAGCTGATTGCTGCAGCCAAGACAAACAACGATTTCTTTCTTTTTTTCTCACAAGACTGGGAGTGAGAATATTTGGATTCCGACATTGTTCTACTACTATATAATCAATAATCAGGAACAAGGCAAGGCAATTCCCTCTTTCTTTCTTTCTTTCTTTCTTCTTCTTTTTTTTTTTTTTTTTTTTTTGGCAGAGTTTTGCTCTTGTTGTCCAGGCTGGAGTGCAATGGTGTGATCTCGGCTCACCACAACCTCCACCTCCCGGGTTCAAGCGATTTTCCTGCCTCAGCCTCCTGAGTAGCTGGGATTACAGGCGCGCGCCACCACGCCCGGATAATTTTGTATTTTTAGTAGAGACGGGGTTTCTCCATGTTGGTCAGGCTGGTCTCAAGCTCCCGACCTCAGGTGATCCGCCCGCCTCGGCCTCACAAAGTGTGGGATTACAGGCGTGAGCAACAGCACCTGGCCCCCCCTCTCATTTTTTAAACGGTTAAAATGAAGGTGTTAGACCGTCTCTAAGGTTCTATACAATCAAAAATTTATTAAAATAGGTCTATATATTTTACAACAATTTTGACTTTCTGAATCTTGCATCATGGTGTCTAGAACATATGTGTTCAATTAATACTGAATTAATTAAAATTTATATACACTGATGTAAATATTTTCTAAGTAAAATCTTTCATATGTATTTAAATAAAATTTACCTTTTTGCCTTCAATAACTGATTTTCCCATGTGCAATAACGTGTGAGTCAGTGCCCAAAAGAGTCACTTGAAAGTTGCAAGGCAAAGCAGTTTTTTAAAAATTATCTAAGATTATCAAACACCGGTCCATGAACACTGTTGCATTAATTCAGTGTCTTAAAATGGATTTTTAATTATCAGGGATATCTAGAGCAAAGAAATCTAACAGGGAAATTTTGAAAGATGAAACAATTTTCTATGAAATCAGTGTATTGTGTGCATCAATGTGGTGCAGTAACTTAGTAAGGACTCACAGCGCCGCTGTTCACCAACCAGGGAAAAATGGTGCGAGAGATCCCACAGAAACCACCGAGTTTTACAGCACAGAGAAACGACAGATTGCGATAAGCCCTCTTCCAGGCTGCACTAAACTCAAGCCTCTATCCTGCTGGATTCTGAGCTCCCCTTCCTAAGACAGAGGGGTCCACCCGGATACACCCGCATTCTGAAGCACTTCCCGAGATCGGCGCCTAAGCAAGAGAAGCAGGACGACTATGGCGGCTCAGCCGAGGGGCGGGGACTACAGAGGATTCTTCCTGCTCTCCATCCTCCTGGGGACCCCCTGGGAAGCCTGGGCAGGACGTATTCTCTACTCCGTGTCGGAGGAGACGGACAAAGGGTCCTTTGTGGGAGACATCGCCAAGGACCTGGGGCTGGAGCCCCGGGAGCTGGCGGAGCGCGGAGTCCGCATCATCTCCAGAGGTAGGACGCAGCTTTTCGCCCTGAACCAGCGCAGCGGCAGCTTGGTCACTGCGGGCAGGATAGACCGGGAAGAGATCTGCGCTCAGAGTGCGCGGTGTCTGGTAAACTTTAACATCCTGATGGAAGATAAAATGAATCTTTACCCTATAGACGTGGAAATAATAGATATTAATGACAACGTTCCAAGATTCTTGACGGAAGAAATAAATGTAAAAATAATGGAGAATACAGCTCCTGGGGTTCGGTTTCCGTTAAGCGAGGCTGGGGATCCAGATGTGGGCACGAACTCCCTCCAGAGTTACCAGCTCAGCCCCAATCGCCACTTCTCCCTGGCTGTGCAAAGTGGAGACGATGAAACTAAGTACCCGGAACTGGTGCTGGAGCGGGTGCTGGACCGGGAGGAAGAGCGGGTTCACCACCTGGTCCTCACAGCCTCTGATGGCGGCGACCCGCCCCGATCCAGCACCGCCCACATCCAGGTGACAGTGGTGGATGTGAATGACCACACGCCTGTCTTCTCTCTGCCTCAGTACCAAGTAACTGTCCCCGAGAATGTGCCAGTGGGTACAAGACTGCTCACGGTACATGCTATCGACCTGGACGAGGGAGTCAATGGGGAAGTGACATATTCTTTTCGGAAAATAACTCCTAAACTTCCAAAGATGTTTCATCTGAACTCGCTTACAGGAGAAATATCAACTTTAGAAGGATTAGATTATGAAGAAACTGCCTTCTATGAAATGGAGGTTCAGGCTCAAGATGGTCCTGGTAGTCTGACAAAGGCAAAAGTACTGATCACAGTTTTAGATGTAAATGATAATGCTCCAGAAGTGACTATGACGTCTTTAAGTAGCTCAATCCCTGAAGACACACCTCTTGGGACAGTCATTGCTCTTTTCTACCTACAAGACAGAGATTCTGGAAAGAATGGTGAGGTGACCTGCACCATTCCAGAAAACCTACCTTTTAAATTAGAAAAATCAATAGATAATTATTATAGATTGGTCACAACCAAAAACTTGGACCGGGAAACACTCTCTTTGTATAACATCACACTGAAAGCCACAGATGGTGGAACTCCTCCCTTGTCCAGGGAAACTCACATATTCATGCAGGTGGCAGACACCAACGATAACCCACCCACCTTCCCCCACTCATCCTACTCAGTCTACATCGCTGAGAACAACCCCAGAGGGGCCTCCATTTTCTTAGTGACTGCACAGGACCACGACAGTGAGGATAATGCCCAGATCACTTATTCCTTGGCCGAAGACACCATCCAGGGGGCTCCAGTGTCCTCCTATGTCTCCATAAACTCTGACACTGGAGTCCTGTACGCGCTGCAATCCTTTGATTATGAGCAGTTGAGAGAACTACAACTAAGAGTGACTGCACATGACAGCGGGGACCCGCCTCTCAGCAGCAACATGTCACTGAGCCTGTTCGTGCTGGACCAGAATGACAACCCGCCCGAGATCCTGTACCCGGCCCTCCCCACAGATGGTTCTACTGGCATGGAGCTGGCACCCCGCTCCGCAGAGCCCGGCTACCTGGTGACCAAGGTGGTGGCGGTGGACAAAGATTCAGGCCAGAACGCCTGGCTGTCATACCTCCTGCTTAAGGCCAGCGAGCCAGGACTCTTTGCGGTTGGGCTGTACACGGGCGAGGTGCGCACGGCTCGGGCCCTGCTGGACAGAGATGCCCTCAAGCAGAGCCTCGTGGTGGCCGTCCAGGACCACGGTCAGCCTCCTCTGTCAGCCACCGTCACACTCACCGTGGCTGTGGCTGACAGCATCCCCGAAGTCTTGGCCGACCTGGGCAGCCTTGAGCCCTCCGACGGTCCTTACAACTATGACCTCACGTTGTACCTGGTGGTGGCGGTGGCCACAGTCTCCTGCGTCTTCCTAGCCTTCGTCCTCGTACTGCTGGCGCTCAGGCTGCGGCGCTGGCACAAGTCACGCCTGCTGCAGGCTTCAGAAGGTGGCTTGGCGAACGTGCCCACCTCGCACTTTGTGGGCATGGACGGGGTGCAGGCTTTCCTGCAGACCTATTCCCATGAGGTCTCCCTCACCGCGGACTCTCGGAAGAGTCACCTGATCTTCCCCCAGCCCAACTATGTAGACATGCTCATCAGCCAGGAGAGCTGTGAGAAAAATGATTCTTTGCTAACATCCGTAGATTTTCAGGAATGTAAAGAAAACCTGCCAAGTATTCAGGTGAGCCCAGCCCTTCCTTTATTTCCATGAGGAATTTATTTGCATGATATTTCTCTATTATTTTGCAAAACAAATGTTTTGAAAATAGGGATTTAAAAAACTTTATAGAGGTAAAAATGAGTTTACCAGTTTCCTTCAGTGGTGACACTTTAATATAGAACACATAGGATATAGTATTTCTTTAGTGAAAGCCTATGGACAAGATTATGAATATGTGGACTATCACATTTTATAATTTCCACCTACTTTCCAATCTATGTTCCAACCTACTTTCTTAACTCATATATTTTATACATTGGAATGAATCGAGTCTTTCATATTGCACAAGGTTAGCAGGAATAAAACACACCTCAGCTGTCTTCTCAGGATTCTCTTTAGCATTCAAATATGTAAAAGGTTCTGAAAGATTTCTTCCATGTGAAGATTTTTTTCTGTGGCTGATTCTGCCTCCATGTACCTCAGCTTGGTGGTCCTAAAAAATCTTGATTGCTTCTTGACCTATTTACAGTATAATCATTTATTAATGGGGTGGTAGTAGAAGGTTGGATTTATGCCTAAAGAATGAAATGTGTGTGTATCACACTTCACTAAGATCTATATCAAAGACAGACATCAAGTCTAATGCCACACTAAAGGCCATCGGACAAAACCAATAAAATATGTCAAATAAAATGTCATTTTAAGTGTTGTAATTGGCATTTGTGACATAGGCAATTACATGTTTTAACAGAGAATTCCAGTATGTTGTTTTAGTGGTACAGCCAGATGAAGTGTGTCTGTGGGCTATCAAAGTGGGAGATTGGGGATACTGGCTTTGTTTCAACTGTCTCACGTACTCAAACCTTAGACCATCTTATGTACACAGATCCTAGACCAGTAGTTGATTTTATTTATTAGGTCTACTGAAAAATTCAGTTGGAAATAACCCAATCTGGGATTAACTACTTCCATATTCTTTTGTATAACATTTTAGTAAAGCTCAGTATATCAAGTGATTGTCATCCAGAAGGGGTGGATGACAAGGTAATCTTGATTCCAGAGACCTTTGAGTATTAATTAAAAACACACTTTTAGCCAGGTATGGTGTTGCAAGCTGTAGCCCACCTGCATGGGAGGCTGAGGCAAGAGGACAGCTTGAACCCAAGAATTGGAGGCCCACCTAGATAATATAACAAGACTCTGTCTCTTCAAAAAAAGACTCTTTTTAGACTAGTGTTGTATTTGGTAGTATTTTGCACATGATAGACTCTGTACAATAGTGTGGGGGATACATTTTTTTTTTTTGACATGGAGTCTCGCTCTGTCACCCAGGCTGGATACATTTTACAAGTTCTGCAGTGTTCACATTTCAGATGTACAATCACTTGGGGTAGAAGACAATGTTGCTGACACCAACAATGTTACTGAGGGAAGATCCTATGGCAGAACTACGGTTATAAGGTATTTTGTAAAAGAAAATCTCCTGACCAAAATTTATTAGATGCATAAAATTGTTTTTAAGCAATGGAGAGACATAATCACTAAACTCAGTGAGCTATTGCAATCAAACTTTCCAGGGATTGTTTCCTTCAATTCAGAGGTCACCAAGGAATGTAAAATAAGTGCAGAGGTAGGAAGCAGTGCTTCAGTGCAGCAGATCTCAGTGACTTTGTGTTTTGAGGCTATGTATTATCCCCCTGATAACTTTGAAGATGAATGTTGTATTTCATAACCAGTAAAATAATTGTGTAATGAGGAGAGGAGTAGGCTACTGCCTGTGATCATCGAAATGAGAATCACATAATATTCCTGTAATGAAATCACTGAAACTATTGGGAAGGGGGTGTATTTGAAGATAAGTATAAATTGCACCTTCTAAAAGGCAATTTTGGTATTACTGATACTCTCCGGAAAAAGTTGAAATAAATCAACTTGGAGGTACTTAGAAAAGTGGAGAAAATGTTAGGAACAATGAAAGAAAGATAAAATGTATCCAGTATATTTCTAATGAGTAAGTATGGAAAATTACTGTACTCTGAGACGGTTTAGGCCAAGTCTGTGTTATGGCTATCTTTATATAGATAGTGCATGTTTGAAGATTGGGGAAAGCTTATGTCAATAAATGTTTATGTACTTAATCTACATGATTTGCCTAAAAATCCTCAAAGTTGGGATGAAGGCATTCCTAAGAGTACATTTTTAGACGTCATTAAATATACAGACGTATCCACGTAGTTTTTGTTCTTTCAGTTAGGCACACAATTATAATTATTGCACTGGTTAACTTGAAGCAGCAGAGGCTGTAGTTTCCTAGTGCTGACTCTGGGCGCCGCTGTTGGCCAAAGTGGAGAGCTTGGCGCTCCAGATCTCCTCGCGCAGCCGCAGCGCGCTTTCCAGGGCAGCCCCAGCTCAGACTCCCCAGCGCCAGCCTTTACACCGCTTCCTCCTCGGAAAAAGAAGAATTTTTTCTTGAACTGGAACTGCAACTAAAGTCCGTTCGGAGATCCAAAAATCTGCAATACAGAGGTTATTTGTAACCCGGCGTCTCCAGGCTGGTGAGCAAGCTGAGGAGAGCAAGAGGGATGGGGAGCGGCGCCGGGGAGCTGGGCCGGGCTGAGAGGCTGCCAGTGCTCTTTCTCTTCCTGCTGTCTTTGTTCTGCCCGGCGCTCTGTGAGCAGATCCGCTACAGGATTCCCGAGGAAATGCCCAAGGGCTCCGTAGTGGGGAACCTCGCCACGGACCTGGGGTTCAGCGTCCAGGAGTTACCGACTCGAAAACTGCGCGTCAGTTCGGAGAAGCCTTACTTCACCGTGAGCGCAGAGAGCGGGGAGTTGCTTGTGAGCAGCAGGCTAGACAGGGAGGAGATATGCGGGAAGAAGCCAGCTTGTGCTCTGGAATTTGAGGCTGTTGCTGAAAATCCACTGAACTTTTATCACGTGAATGTGGAGATCGAGGACATTAATGACCACACGCCAAAATTCACGCAAAATTCCTTTGAGCTGCAAATAAGTGAGTCTGCACAGCCTGGCACACGATTTATATTAGGATCTGCCCATGATGCGGATATTGGTAGCAACACACTGCAGAATTACCAACTCAGTCCCAGTGATCATTTCTCACTGATAAATAAAGAGAAATCAGATGGCAGTAAATACCCTGAGATGGTATTGAAGACACCTTTGGACAGAGAAAAGCAGAAATCCTACCACTTGACTTTGACTGCCTTGGACTTTGGAGCTCCACCCCTAAGCAGCACTGCACAGATACACGTTCTAGTGACTGATGCCAATGATAATGCTCCAGTGTTCAGTCAAGACGTATACAGGGTGAGCCTTTCAGAAAACGTGTACCCGGGGACCACGGTGCTACAGGTGACTGCCACGGACCAGGATGAGGGTGTCAATGCCGAGATTACTTTCTCTTTCAGTGAAGCTAGCCAGATCACCCAATTTGACCTGAACTCTAACACCGGGGAAATTACTGTTTTAAATACATTAGATTTTGAAGAAGTCAAAGAATATTCCATAGTTTTGGAAGCAAGGGACGGTGGAGGAATGATTGCGCAATGCACAGTGGAGGTAGAAGTCATAGATGAAAATGACAACGCCCCAGAAGTGATATTCCAGTCTCTACCCAACCTAATTATGGAGGACGCCGAGCTGGGAACACATATTGCTTTGCTCAAAGTCCGTGACAAGGATTCCAGACACAATGGAGAAGTGACTTGTAAATTGGAAGGTGATGTTCCATTTAAAATATTAACTTCTTCAAGAAACACGTATAAATTAGTGACAGATGCTGTTCTAGACCGCGAGCAGAATCCAGAGTACAATATAACCGTTACGGCAACAGATCGGGGCAAGCCTCCCCTCTCCTCCAGTTCCAGCATCACCCTGCACATTGGTGATGTAAATGACAACGCTCCGGTTTTCTCACAGTCTTCCTATATAGTCCACGTGGCCGAGAACAACCCGCCTGGAGCCTCTATTTCACAAGTCAGGGCTTCTGATCCGGACTTGGGGCCCAACGGCCAAGTCTCTTACTGCATCATGGCCAGTGACCTGGAGCAGCGGGAGCTGTCATCCTACGTGTCCATAAGCGCGGAGAGCGGGGTGGTGTTCGCGCAGCGCGCCTTCGACCACGAGCAGCTGCGCGCCTTCGAACTCACACTGCAGGCCCGCGACCAGGGCTCGCCAGCGCTCAGCGCGAACGTGAGCCTGCGCGTGTTAGTGGACGACCGCAACGACAATGCGCCACGGGTGCTGTACCCCGCGCTGGGTCCCGACGGCTCTGCGCTCTTCGATATGGTGCCGCACGCTGCAGAGCCTGGCTACTTGGTGACCAAGGTAGTGGCGGTGGACGCAGACTCAGGACACAACGCCTGGCTGTCCTACCACGTGCTGCAGGCTAGCGAGCCCGGGCTCTTCAGCCTGGGGCTGCGCACGGGCGAAGTGCGCACAGCGCGTGCCTTAGGCGACAGGGACGCCGTCCGCCAGCGCCTTCTGGTCGCCGTGCGTGACGGTGGACAGCCACCACTCTCGGCCACTGCCACGTTGCACCTGGTCTTCGCCGACAGCTTGCAGGAGGTGCTGCCGGATATCACTGACCGCCCCGACCCCTCTGACCTCCAGGCTGAGCTGCAGTTTTACCTAGTGGTGGCCTTGGCCTTGATCTCAGTGCTCTTCCTCGTGGCCATGATTCTGGCCATTGCCTTGCGCCTGCGACGCTCCTCCAGCCCCGCCTCCTGGAGCTGCTTCCAGCCTGGTCTCTGTGTTAAATCCGAATCCGTGGTTCCCCCCAACTACAGCGAGGGGACTTTGCCTTATTCCTACAATCTATGTGTTGCACATACAGGAAAGACGGAGTTTAATTTCCTAAAATGTAGTGAGCAGTTGAGTTCAGGACAAGACATACTTTGCGGTGATTCATCTGGGGCCTTATTTCCACTTTGTAATTCCAGTGAATTGACTTCCCATCAGGTGAGTTTCCTTTAAGTATAATTTAATGCTCATTGCCTACCCATTTCTCCATATTCACAAGAAAATATACATATTTGCAGGAAAATATATAATTTTTAGATGTCATGGATCATTTTAGGAAAGTTGTAGTCAGTTAAAAAGCTGTCATATCATTCTACAAAGGAGGAGTAAAGTAGGAGCAATTGTGTGGCCCAACATTTGTTTGTTTTTTAGCCAAGCTTAGATTTATAAAGCAATGAGGGTGTGGTTTTAACCACAAAGTGAAAGTGTTAGACAGTTGTTGGCTCTCTCCTAAAAAGTGAATGAGATTTTTCCTATACATTTTCCTTCTTGTTGACTAATATATGATGAATACTTTTTTCAGCTTGGATATACCATAAATATAAAAATAATAAAGCCAAAGAATTTAAGCTAAAATTCAACACTTTTCTTAACTAATTTAACTGGTATGGTCTCCATAGTAGTCCACTGTTTTGTTTCCTGTGTTAACTTCCCTTTTGTTTCAAAAGCTCTTAGAATAAGGAGTCAACTGGATTTTTATGTCCATGGACCCCTTGTGATTATATGCAGTGTACGCTGTGTGTGCGTGTGTGTGTGTGTGTGTGTGAGAGAGATCCTTTTACTTAGAAAAAGGTCTACTATGCTCATTAGAAGATCAAAAGCAGATTCTCCTTACTTGTAACATAGGAGTTTCAGGATTAATCTGTATTCAAGCTCATTCTATATCCTTCATCAAAGAAAAGACAATGTTTTGTGTCTGTTGTCCCTCTCACACACAGCCCTAATATATAATGTGTAACTGCCTTATCTGCAGCCCTAAACTAATATAGCTAGAGGTCTTCTAATCATTCTCCTACCTCTAGGAAAGAAATATAGTCTTGAAAACTGCCAATCTGGTGTGCATACAAAATATATACAAAATACCAAGGAACATTATATGAGCCTTTTGCTAGGTATATCTAAGCAACTGCTTCAGTTAATGGCCACTTTACAAATTGCTGAAAGAAGGAAACGTCTTTCGATTCTTTTTTTTTTCTTTTTTTTTTTTTGAGACAGAGTCTCTGTCTGTTACTCAGGCTGTAGTGCAGTGGCACAATGATAGCTCCCTCCAGCCTCAAACTCCTGGGCTCAAGCATTCCTTCTGCATCAGCCTCCTGACTAGCTGGAACTCAGGCTCATGCCACCAGACCTGGCTAATTTTTCTGTTTTCAGTAGAGAAAATATTTTCTTTCACTAATTTAACTGGTATGGTTTCCATTGTCTACCCAGTTTTCCATATGCATAAGAAAATATATTCACAGGAAAATATAAAGTTTTCAGATTTCATGAGTGGTTTTAAGAAAGTTTTAGTCAGTGAAAAAACTATCATACCAGTCTTCAAAGGAAGGGTGAAATAAGTTCATCTGCTACGTTGCCCAGGCTGGTCTTGAAGGGAAACAGACTTTTTTGTAGTCATACTTATCCTTTGGCTTCTTAGTAAGTATTATATAGTCATTACTTTTTGCAGTTTTTTAGATCAAAGTGTTAATGTAGGTAAAGTTAATTTTAGAATATATGTAAAAGTCAAGTCTGCTTTAAATTTAATCATCTCTTTGGTGAAAGGGATGGGATGGAGCTTTGCTTTTTATCATATATTCATCTGTACCTTTCAAGTATTCAAATAGAAAAATATAAACAATGTAAATAAAATAGCAAAACAATGTAATATCTCATAAAACTGCAATGGTAAAAGCATTTATCCTATTGAAATTCCACAATTTTTATTTGAAAATATTATCGACATGTAATTCAAGTGGCATTTAGAAGAATAATTTAAAAGCAACAACTCTATAGAAAGCTTGTAAAATGATTAAGTAGTTTAAACCAAATAAAACAATTTCTGAGTCAGTCATCTCCAGTAGGTCTATTTTAGTCTCAAGATAAATTCATTTCTGGTGACAACTGAAGTTCTTAGTTATTTGTTAGTATATATTGGAGACATTTACAATAAAGCTTAGAGCACAATGGGAAATGAAAGTATCATGTTTTTTTTAAGACCAAATGTATTGCAGAAATGTGAGTAATTTAATCCGATGCTACAATCTGATCATTCTGATCTAATCTGATCATTTAATAACACTAAATAAAACCTTCATCTCACATTCTTTGGCTGTTTCTTTTAAAATATGGGTTTACGGATAAATCAAATAAATTCAAAACAAAGTAATAAGCAAATGATTTTTTTTTCTCAGTAATCTAGTAGAGTATTACATTTAGAAGTAATCTGTATCTCAGTGCAGTAACTATTTAGGACTGTAAGCGCCGCTGTTCACCTACTGGAAGACAAATGCAACCGAAAACACTCAGATCTCACACCTCACGAAGACCCGCAGATGCCACAAACTAACTGCTGGACTGCAGCGAAACCCGACCCCTGTTTGGAGGCACTCCAGGTTTCCGGAGGATTGTCATCTCCATAGCTGCGGCAAGAAACTAAATAAGACCCATTTATGCACAGTGAAGATTCTGAGAGGATTCTGCAGCAAAACAACAATGGCCGCTCCACAGAGTCGCCCCAGACGCGGCGAGCTGATCCTGCTGTGCGCGCTGCTGGGAACGCTGTGGGAAATCGGGAGGGGACAGATTCGCTACTCTGTGCCAGAAGAGACGGACAAAGGCTCCTTCGTGGGTAATATCTCCAAGGACCTGGGGCTGGACCCCCGGAAGCTGGCGAAGCACGGAGTCCGTATCGTCTCCAGAGGTAGGACGCAGCTCTTTGCTCTGAACCCGCGCAGCGGCAGCTTGATCACCGCGGGCAGGATAGATCGGGAGGAGCTCTGCGCTCAGAGCCCGCGGTGTCTGATAAATATTAACACCCTGGTTGAGGATAAAGGAAAACTCTTTGGGGTAGAAATAGAAATAATTGATATTAACGATAATAACCCAAAATTCCAGGTCGAAGATCTAGAAGTAAAAATTAACGAAATCGCGGTTCCTGGAGCACGTTATCCACTCCCAGAAGCTGTTGACCCGGATGTGGGCGTGAACTCCCTCCAGAGCTACCAGCTCAGCCCCAATCACCACTTCTCCCTGGACGTGCAGACTGGAGACAATGGAGCCATAAACCCAGAGCTGGTGCTGGAGCGCGCCCTGGACAGGGAGGAAGAGGCTGCTCACCACCTGGTCCTCACGGCCTCGGATGGCGGCAAGCCGCCTCGCTCTAGCACAGTGCGCATCCACGTGACAGTGTTGGATACAAATGACAATGCCCCGGTTTTTCCTCACCCGATTTACCGAGTGAAAGTCCTTGAGAACATGCCCCCAGGCACGCGGCTGCTTACTGTAACAGCCAGCGACCCGGATGAGGGAATCAACGGAAAAGTGGCATACAAATTCCGGAAAATTAATGAAAAACAAACTCCGTTATTCCAGCTTAATGAAAATACTGGGGAAATATCAATAGCAAAAAGTCTAGATTATGAAGAATGTTCATTTTATGAAATGGAAATACAAGCCGAAGATGTGGGGGCACTTCTGGGGAGGACCAAATTGCTCATTTCGGTGGAAGATGTAAATGACAATAGACCAGAAGTGATCATTACGTCTTTGTTTAGCCCAGTGTTAGAAAATTCTCTTCCCGGGACAGTAATTGCCTTCTTGAGTGTGCATGACCAAGACTCTGGAAAGAATGGTCAAGTTGTCTGTTACACACGTGATAATTTACCTTTTAAATTAGAAAAGTCAATAGGTAATTATTATAGATTAGTGACAAGGAAATATTTGGACCGAGAAAATGTCTCTATCTACAATATCACAGTGATGGCCTCAGATCTAGGAACACCACCTCTGTCCACTGAAACTCAAATCGCTCTGCACGTGGCAGACATTAACGACAACCCTCCTACTTTCCCTCATGCCTCCTACTCAGCGTATATCCTAGAGAACAACCTGAGAGGAGCCTCCATCTTTTCCTTGACTGCACACGACCCCGACAGCCAGGAGAATGCCCAGGTCACTTACTCTGTGACCGAGGACACGCTGCAGGGGGCGCCCCTGTCCTCGTATATCTCCATCAACTCTGACACCGGTGTCCTGTATGCGCTGCAATCTTTCGACTATGAGCAGATCCGAGACCTGCAGCTACTGGTAACAGCCAGCGACAGCGGGGACCCGCCCCTCAGCAGCAACATGTCACTGAGCCTGTTCGTGCTGGACCAGAATGACAACGCGCCCGAGATCCTGTACCCCGCCCTCCCCACAGACGGTTCCACTGGCGTGGAGCTGGCGCCCCGCTCCGCAGAGCGTGGCTACCTGGTGACCAAGGTGGTGGCGGTGGACAGAGACTCGGGCCAGAACGCCTGGCTGTCCTACCGCCTGCTCAAGGCCAGCGAGCCGGGACTCTTCTCGGTGGGTCTGCACACGGGCGAGGTGCGCACGGCGCGAGCCCTGCTGGACAGAGATGCGCTCAAGCAGAGCCTCGTGGTGGCCGTCCAGGACCATGGCCAGCCCCCTCTCTCCGCCACTGTCACGCTCACCGTAGCCGTGGCTGACAGCATCCCCGAAGTCCTGACCGAGTTGGGCAGTCTGAAGCCTTCGGTCGACCCGAACGATTCGAGCCTTACACTCTATCTCGTGGTGGCAGTGGCTGCCATCTCCTGTGTCTTCCTCGCCTTTGTCGCTGTGCTTCTGGGGCTCAGGCTGAGGCGCTGGCACAAGTCACGCCTGCTCCAGGATTCCGGTGGCAGATTGGTAGGCGTGCCTGCCTCACATTTTGTGGGTGTTGAGGAGGTACAGGCTTTCCTGCAGACCTATTCCCAGGAAGTCTCCCTCACCGCCGACTCGCGGAAGAGTCACCTGATCTTTCCCCAGCCCAACTACGCAGACATGCTCATCAGTCAGGAGGGCTGTGAGAAAAATGATTCTTTGTTAACATCCGTAGATTTTCATGAATATAAGAATGAAGCTGATCATGGTCAGGTGAGTTTAGTTCTTTGCTTGCTTTTAATTTCCAGATGAATTTTATTTGGCATAAATTATGTTTTGAAAAACATTGTGAAGATAGTTGAAAATAATTTTTAAGGTGTATCACAGAGTTTTGGGTTTATTTTGGTGGTGTTACTATAAAATTGAACTCTAATAGTCATAGGTTATTGTTTCATTTGCTTTTAAACGACTTGGAAAAGATTGTTCAACCATTTTAAGCCTTCCAGTATTTTATTCCTATTATCACTCATTCACTTAAGAAGTAGCTACCCGTCCATACTGGTAATTTTGCTATTGTTTGTGTGTGTGTGTGTGTGTGTGTGTGTGTGTGTGTGTGTGTGTGTGTGTATCCCAAACTAGAACTTCAGAAAATTATCAAGAAGTCTAAAGCCTTGTTATTAGCTTAGCAAAAGTAAAATATATCTCAGAATTTTTAGGGTTATGTTTAGCATTTGAACCTGTAACTAGGCTCTTGTAGATTTCTTCACTTTAAACCTCTTTTCTGAGCCCTGTTTCTGTACCAGTGCCCTTCAAAACTTTAATACTTCTTACCATCCTTCAAAACATGAACAAACTTTAAAGATGGATCTTGGTGGGAGATGAGACTGGTTACTAAATATTAAGTATGTGAGTCAGTGGTCACCTGGGCTCCATGCCCATGGAGACATGAAATCTAAAGCCTAGAATGTCCATTGCTCCCCCAAACAAAAAACAAAAGCAAAAACATTAGATCTGAATTAAAATGTAATTTTAAACTGTTGAAAGTGACTTTTGTAAAATATGTAAGAACATATTTCAATACAATTCCAATTAGCTGTTTCGGTTGTGCATTGATGTGAAGTGGTGAGAATGTTGATATTAAGAACCAATGTTTCAGGTACACAAGTTCTAAATAAGCTGATCAATTCAATTAAAGTTATTCAGTCTTGGCTGGACACAGTGCCTCATGTCTGAAATCCCAGCACTTTGGGAGGCTGGGGCAGGAGGACCGCTTGAGCCCCGGGGGTTTGAAACTGCAGTGAGCTATGATCATGCCACTGCACTCCAGCCTAGGTGGCAGAACTAGACCCTGTCTCTAAAAAAACTATTATTAGGCCGGGTGCGGTGGCTCACGCCTGTAATCCCAGCACTTTGGGAGACTGAGGTGGGTGGATCACCTGAGGTCAGGAGTTCAAGATCAGCCTGGCAAACATGGTGAAACCCCGTCTCTACTAAAAACTACAAAAATTAGCCAGGCATGGTGGCATGCGCCTGTGGTCCCAGCTACTCGGGAGGCTGAGGCAGAAGAATCACTTGAACCCGGGAGGTGGAGGTTGCAGTGAGCCTCGATCCTGTCACTGCACTCCAGCCTGGGCAACAGGGTGAGACTCCGTCTCAAAAAAAAAAAAAACTAATATTAATAGTAAAAACTCGGTATAGGCTATCCATTATTGTATTCCTGCATACCTTCTTGTAGCATTTGAATAAAGCTAATACCTGAATTGATTGTTGTAAGGTAGAAGTAGATGACCCAATAAATGTTTGTTATTAATGAAAAGGACATTTCCTAAGGATTGTGTAGTGTTCTACTGTATGGTGCATATTCAGTGGAGTGGGAGTTAACTTCATAGTTTGTGTACCATTTGGATGCACATTTGAGAGGACAACATATTATTGGCACTTTGCAATTTTAAAAACTCGGATGAAAGTTGCCCTGGTAGGAAAGAAAATCCTTACTCTCCCTAAAAATGTTGGCTAGTTGTTTTTATTAATCTGACAAATGGACTAAAGAAGGTTGACCAATGTCCACAAATTTATGTAAATGAACTTATGAGCTTCATTTATCCAATTCCAAAGTCATTTCAGATAGGATAATAATGCAATCCACTAGAATATCCCTTTGTACCTTGTATTGCAGAATAGATAAGCATTTCCCCAATAACTCTTAAGAATGAATTTATGTACTGTAAAAGATATGACATAAGAGAAGTATTTTGAGATATGAAGAAGAGCAACGTAGTAGGGTATATCATTTCTTAGCTACATCATATGGGCAGTATACTTGAATGAATATTTCCTGAAGTAGAAGAGTAAAGAAAAATTATTTTTATAAAGAATGTTAATATAGTCAGGAAGAGGAGATGTTTGGGGATTGGTATAAAATTGCCACAACTTTACAAAATAGTTTTAAATAGTATAGATTTCCCTAATATGTGTAATATAAAACACTAGAAATATTGGGGAGTTGGAAATCATAGAAATGAACAGAAGAATGATAAAATTGTTTCCATAGCTAATAAAAAATGAATTTTTGAAATCAGTATAGTATGAAGGCTCTGAGAGCAAGAACTGTATCATATTAATTATTATATTGCCAGTGACAAGGGCAATACTTAGTTCTAGCTAAGAGTTCAAGGTATGTTTGCAGAATGGTGAAAGAATGGACCAATGTATGCAGGTTTGTATAAAAACCCAACGTGATATTTCTAACAATTTGGAAAACAGAGAAAGATACCTTAAAGAAGTTGTTATAATTTTTTATTAAGTATATGGACGTAAAAACTTGGCTTGTTAAGTTAGGCACACAAAAACAATTACTGCACTGGTTAACTTGAAGCCGCAGAGGCTGTAGTTTCCTAGTGCTGACTCTGGGCGCCGCTGTTGGCCAAAGTGCAGAGCTTGGCGCTCCAGATCTCCTCGCGCAGCCGCAGCGCGCTTTCCAGGGCAGCCCCAGCTCAGACTCCCCAGCGCCGGCCTTTACACCGCTTCCTCCTCGGAAAAAGAATCGTTTCCTAAACTGGAACTGGAACTAAAGCCCGTTCGGAGATCCAAAAATCTACAATACAGAGGTTATTTGTAACCTGGCGTCTCCAGGCTGGTGAGCAAGCTGAGGAGAGCAAGAGGGATGGGGAGCGGCGCCGGGGAGCTGGGCCGGGCTGAGAGGCTGCCAGTGCTCTTTCTCTTCCTGCTGTCTTTGTTCTGCCCGGCGCTCTGTGAGCAGATCCGCTACAGGATTCCCGAGGAAATGCCCAAGGGCTCCGTAGTGGGGAACCTCGCCACGGACCTGGGGTTCAGCGTCCAGGAGTTACCGACTCGAAAACTGCGCGTCAGTTCGGAGAAGCCTTACTTCACCGTGAGCGCAGAGAGCGGGGAGTTGCTTGTGAGCAGCAGGCTAGACAGGGAGGAGATATGCGGGAAGAAGCCAGCTTGTGCTCTGGAATTTGAGGCTGTTGCTGAAAATCCACTGAACTTTTATCACGTGAATGTGGAGATCGAGGACATTAATGACCACACGCCAAAATTCACGCAAAATTCCTTTGAGCTGCAAATAAGTGAGTCTGCACAGCCTGGCACAAGATTTATACTAGAAGTAGCAGAAGATGCAGATATTGGCTTAAACTCTCTGCAGAAGTATAAACTCTCTCTTAACCCAAGTTTCTCATTAATAATTAAGGAGAAACAGGATGGTAGTAAATACCCGGAACTGGCACTGGAGAAAACCTTAGACCGGGAACAACAGAGTTACCATCGTTTAGTCCTGACTGCCTTGGACGGTGGACATCCACCCCTAAGCGGCACCACTGAGCTCCGGATCCAGGTAACCGACGCCAATGATAATCCCCCGGTATTCAACCGAGACGTGTACAGAGTCAGCCTTCGGGAAAACGTGCCACCAGGCACCACTGTGTTGCAAGTGTCAGCCACTGACCAAGACGAGGGCATCAACTCAGAAATTACTTATTCCTTCTACAGAACCGGGCAAATCTTTAGTCTGAATTCAAAGAGCGGAGAAATTACCACTCAAAAGAAACTGGATTTTGAAGAGACCAAGGAATATTCAATGGTTGTAGAAGGGAGGGATGGTGGTGGACTGGTTGCACAATGTACAGTTGAAATTAATATTCAAGATGAAAATGACAATAGCCCAGAAGTTACATTCCATTCTCTACTTGAAATGATTCTGGAAAACGCGGTGCCTGGAACACTAATTGCTTTGATCAAAATACATGACCAAGATTCTGGGGAAAATGGGGAGGTTAATTGTCAATTACAAGGCGAAGTCCCTTTTAAGATTATCTCTTCATCCAAAAATTCGTATAAGTTGGTAACAGATGGAACCCTAGACCGAGAGCAAACCCCGGAGTACAATGTCACCATCACAGCCACAGACAGGGGCAAGCCGCCCCTCTCCTCCAGCATAAGCGTCATCCTACATATCAGAGACGTCAACGATAACGCTCCGGTTTTCCACCAGGCGTCCTACTTAGTCAGTGTACCCGAAAACAACCCTCCTGGGGCCTCCATCGCGCAAGTCTGCGCCTCGGACCTGGACTTGGGGTTGAACGGCCAAGTCTCCTACTCTATCATGGCCAGCGACCTAGAGCCTCTGGCACTGGCCTCTTACGTGTCCATGAGCGCGCAAAGTGGGGTGGTGTTCGCGCAGCGCGCCTTTGACTACGAGCAGCTGCGCACCTTCGAACTCACACTACAGGCCCGCGACCAGGGCTCGCCTGCGCTCAGCGCAAACGTGAGCCTGCGCGTGTTGGTGGGCGACCGAAACGACAACGCACCGCGGGTGCTGTACCCCGCGCTGGGTCCCGACGGCTCTGCGCTCTTCGATATGGTGCCGCGCGCTGCAGAGCCCGGCTACCTGGTGACCAAGGTAGTGGCCGTGGACGCAGACTCAGGACACAACGCCTGGCTGTCCTACCACGTGCTGCAGGCTAGCGAGCCCGGGCTCTTCAGCCTGGGGCTGCGCACAGGAGAGGTGCGCACAGCGCGTGCCTTGGGCGACAGGGACGCGGCCCGCCAGCGCCTGCTGGTTGCTGTGCGTGATGGTGGACAGCCGCCACTCTCCGCCACCGCCACGCTGCACTTGGTCTTTGCTGACAGCTTGCAGGAGGTGCTGCCGGATATCACTGACCGCCCTGTACCCTCTGACCCCCAGGCTGAGCTGCAGTTTTACCTAGTGGTGGCCTTGGCCTTGATCTCAGTGCTCTTCCTCCTGGCCGTGATTCTGGCCGTTGCCTTGCGCCTGCGACGCTCCTCCAGCCCTGCCGCCTGGAGCTGCTTCCAACCTGGTCTCTGTGTCAAGTCTGGACCTGTGGTTCCCCCCAACTACAGTCAGGGGACTTTGCCTTATTCCTACAACCTATGTGTTGCACATACAGGAAAGACGGAGTTTAATTTCCTAAAATGTAGTGAGCAATTGAGTTCAGGACAAGACATACTTTGTGGTGATTCATCTGGGGCCTTATTTCCACTTTGTAATTCCAGCGAGTCGACTTCCCATCCTGAGTTGGTGAGTTTCATTTATGTCTATTCTTTTTCATTACCCACCCAATTTTCTGTATTTACATGAAACTATCGTACATTTTCAAGTCCAATGAGTTGTCTTAGGGAAGTCAGAGCTGCTCAGAAAGCTGTCCTACCATTCTTTAAGAGGAGCAGTAAATTGTGAGTTTTTATGTCGCATAAAAGAAGTAGCCTTATAGATTTACAAAGTAGTGAGAGTTTGCTCTTAGCTTCCTCTCTAGCAAAAACATTTGGTGCGTTTTTTTGTCCTCTTTCTCAAAGCTAATGAATTTTACCTATTCGTTGTCTCATTCTTTAACATGTTTATATTTTATTGTATGTAGATAAACCATTAAATTTAATGTATGTAATCATTTAATTCATCTTTTAAAGCAAAGAAACTGCTAGTAGATGTCTTTCTTCACTGATTTCACTGGTAGTTTTCATCTCTTTCTTATGTTCCTCATATATGCTTTCTTATTCCTACCTAATGGATTTATGATTTTTTGAATCTCCTAAAATTTTATTAAAAATACTATATGTTGGCTGGGTGCAGTGGCTCATGCCTGTAATCCCAGCACTTTGGGAGGCCGAGGCGGTTGGATCACATGGTCAGGAGTTCAAGACCAGCCTGGGCAATATGGTGAAAACCCGTCTCTACTAAAAATACAAAAATTAGCTGGGTGTGGTGGCGGGCGCCTGTAATCCCAGCTACTCAGGAGGCTAAGACAGGAGAATTGCTTGAACCTGGCAGGTGGAGGTTGCGGTGAGCCGAGATCACTCCATTGCATTCCAGCCTGGGCAACAAGAGCAAAACTCCATCTCAAAAAAAAGGAAGGAGAAGGAGAGGAAGAAGAAGAAAAATACTACATGTTATGTGTATGAGAGAGAAAGAGAGAGACTGATTCACTGAACTTAGAAGGTCCAAATCATCCAAATAATTTTCTAAGTTTATCCAGGTTTTCTTGGATGCAAAATCCTTTTCCACCTCTATATAATTACCAGAAGAAACTTACAAAAAAAAGGAAATGCTATTGCCTGAATTTCTCTTGCTCGGAATCCTGACATATTCTTGAAGAAGGGGAAAAAGACACCGGATTTGTCTTATCGTTTGGAGCTTTAAATATAAATGACTGGATGTTTTCTCAACATCCTTGTAGGATGGAAGGTGAATACAGGATTATTCCATTTTTAAGACAAAAACTACTAGTCTTGTGTACATACAAAGCTCCCATTACATGGTATAAGTCTTTTGCTTGGTTTCCCTTAGTATGTGATTCAGTAAATGGGTTCCTTACAAAGTGCTGAGATTTCTTATAATACCACTTACTTTTAACCTTTCAGTAGTTTTCTTTGTTGTATATTTTGTGTTCTTTTTCCCAAATTATTATATAAGTTTAAGTGATGCTTAGAATAATGTTTAAGACCACTTTAAAATTGCATAATTTATTGATGAAGGATTAAAATAGAAACTTGCTTTTCAGTGTATATGCATTTGAATCATTGAAACACAGTCTGTGCATGCATTACATATTCACATTAAAAAACTAAGCATTTTTGAAATAGCAGAAAAGTTTAAGCAATTACAAAAATGTGAAAATTTCCAACTTTAATCCTGTTAATATTTAGCAATATTAGGCGAGAACATCTGTAACTATTGCTGAATTAATATTACTTTTATAATACAAAAATTTAAAATAAACGTTTTTCCAGGAATTTTATCATCAAAATAAACCCCAGAAAATAATTTCAAAGTGGATAATCTATCCTTATATATGTATTAATACAATTATATATTTTACATTTACAAATATATAGGTATAAAAATTAAAAATGAATGTACTTCCAAACAAGATTGCACATAAAAATTACTTCAGAAAATTGTTAAGATACACAGAAAAAATTGAAGCATCATAAAAAGGAAATTATAATAGTTTACATATCTAGAAATAGAGTGCAAAGTTCTACCAAGAATAAGAATAAATTAATATTAAGCAATGGTTTGTGATTTTATAATACACTTACAGAAATTTTATTCCACTTTATTTACAACTCAGATATCTAAAAAATAGATTGCTTTTGAAATACAAATGCAAGAAACAATTGGAGAAATCTAAAATCATAATTAGAAGAGAGTAGTGTTTTCTTTATCAGCCATCTGATATAATGTTACACATCAGTGGGTGTAGTAACGGCTTAGGACTCTGAGCGCCGCTGTTGATCAACTCTAAGCGAAAATCAGGACTCCATCCGGATTTCCAGTTCTGCGGCTACACAAAACCCGGCAGATACCACAAACCTGCTCCCAGGCTGCAGCAAAACTCAGCCTCTTTCTTCTAAGGAAAAGATCACCATACTTTGCAGGGTGGAAGAAAGAACCTGATGAAGCAGCGCGCACAGAGATCCTTTTGAGAAAATTCCAAAGCGAGGCAGCAATGGCAGCTCCAACCAAATGCCAGCTCCGCGGAAGATTAGTCCTGCTATGCTCGCTCCTGGGGATGCTATGGGAGGCCAGGGCCAGTCAGATTCGCTACTCAGTGCCTGAAGAGACAGAAAAGGGCTATATTGTGGGCAACATCTCCAAGGACCTGGCTCTGGAGCCCCGGGAGCTGGCGGAGCGCCGAGTCCGCATCGTCTCTAGAGGTAGGACGCAGCTTTTCTCTCTGAACCCGCGCAGCGGCACCTTGGTCACCGCGGGTAGGATAGACCGGGAGGAGCTCTGTGCTCAGAGCCCGCGGTGTCTGGTGAACTTTAAAGTCCTGGTTGAAGACAGAGTGAAACTGTACGGAATAGAAATAGAAGTAACTGATATTAACGACAGCGCCCCAAAGTTCCAGGCCGAAAGTCTGGAAGTAAAAATTAACGAAATCGCGGTTCCTGGAGCACGTTATCCACTTCCAGAAGCTATTGATCCGGATGTTGGCGTGAACTCCCTCCAGAGCTACCAGCTCAGCCCCAATCACCACTTCTCCCTGAACGTGCAGACTGGAGACAATGGAGCCATAAACCCAGAGCTGGTGCTGGAGCGCGCCCTGGACAGGGAGGAGGCAACTGCCCACCACCTGGTCCTCACGGCCTCGGATGGCGGCGAGCCGCGTCGCTCCAGCACAGTGCGCATCCATGTGACAGTGTTGGATACAAATGATAATGCCCCGGTTTTTGCTCAACGGATTTACCGAGTTAAAGTCCTTGAGAACGTGCCCCCAGGCACCTGGCTGCTTACTGCAACAGCCAGCGACCTGGATGAGGGAATCAACGGAAAAGTGGCATACAAATTCTGGAAAATTAATGAAAAACAATCTCTGCTATTCCAGCTTAATGAAAATACTGGGGAAATATCAACAGCAAAAAGTCTAGATTATGAAGAATGTTCATTTTATGAAATGGAAATACAAGCTGAAGATGGTGGGGGATTGAAAGGGTGGACAAAAGTGCTCATTTCGGTGGAAGATGTAAATGACAATAGACCTGAAGTGACCATTACATCTCTGTTTAGCCCAGTGAGAGAAGACGCACCTCAGGGAACAGTAATTCTTCTTTTCAATGCTCATGACCGAGACTCCGGGAAGAATGGTCAAGTTGTCTGTTCTATCCAGGAGAATCTATCTTTTACATTAGAAAATTCAGAAGAAGATTATTACAGATTGTTGACGGCCCAAATTCTTGACCGAGAAAAAGCCTCAGAATATAATATCACGGTGACTGCAACAGACAGAGGAACTCCGCCCCTGTCCACAGAAATTCACATCACCCTGCAAGTGACTGACATCAATGATAATCCACCTGCTTTCTCTCAAGCCTCCTACTCAGTCTACCTCCCGGAAAACAACGCCAGAGGTACTTCCATCTTCTCCGTGATTGCCTATGACCCTGATAGCAATGAGAATTCTAGAGTTATTTACTCCTTGGCAGAGGATACCATCCAAGGGTCTCCTCTCTCCACCTATGTCTCTATTAACTCAGACACTGGTGTGCTGTATGCTCTGTGCTCCTTTGACTATGAGCAGTTTAGAGATTTGCAAATGCAGGTGACGGCAAGTGACAGTGGAAGCCCACCACTTAGCAGCAATGTGTCATTGAGACTGTTTGTTTTGGACCAGAATGACAATGCCCCAGAAATCCTGTACCCTGCCCTCCCCACTGATGGTTCTACTGGTGTGGAGCTGGCACCCCGCTCTGCAGAGCCTGGCTACCTGGTGACCAAGGTGGTGGCAGTGGACAGAGACTCAGGCCAGAATGCTTGGCTCTCCTACCGCCTATTCAAGGCCAGTGAGCCAGGGCTCTTCTCGGTGGGGCTGCACACAGGTGAAGTGCGCACAGCTCGGGCCCTGCTAGATAGAGATGCGCTCAAACAGAGCCTTGTGGTGGCTGTACAGGACCATGGCCAGCCCCCTCTCTCGGCCACTGTCACGCTCACAGTAGCCATAGCTGACAGCATCCCAGACATCCTGGCTGACCTGGGCAGTCTTCAGATCCCTGCAGACCTGGAGGCCTCAGACCTTACCCTCTACCTCGTTGTGGCTGTGGCAGTCGTCTCCTGTGTCTTCCTCACCTTCGTTATCACGCTGCTGGCCCTCAGGCTGAGGCACTGGCACTCCTCGCATCTGCTGCGGGCTACCAGTGATGGGTTGGCTGGTGTGCCCACCTCACACTTTGTGGGTGTAGATGGGGTTCGAGCTTTCCTACAGACCTATTCTCAGGAGTTCTCCCTCACCGCTGACTCAAGGAAGAGTCACCTGATCTTCCCCCAGCCCAACTATGCAGACACACTCATCAGCCAGCAGAGCTGTGAGAAAAATGAGCCTTTGTGCGTCTCTGTTGATTCCAAGTTTCCTATAGAAGACACCCCTTTGGTTCCGGTGAGTTCATTTTTTTTCTTTCTTTCTTTTCTTTTTTTGTTTTTTGTTTTGTTTTGTTTTTGAGACAGAGTCTTACTCTGTTACCCAGGCTGGAATGCAGTGGTGTGATCTCGGCTCATTGCAACCTCCGCCTCCCAAATTCAAGCGATTCTCCTGCCTCAGCCTCCCAAGTAGAGTAGCTGGGACTAGAGTAGAGTAGCTGGGACTACAGGCCTCCCAAGTAGAATAACTGGGACTACAGGCACGTGCCACCACGCCCGGCTAATTTTTTGTGTGTTTTTAGTAGAGACGGGGTGTCACCATGTTGGCCAGGCTGGTCTTGAATTCCTAACCTCAAGTGATCCACCCACCTCAGCCTCCCAAAGCACTGGGATTACAGGCGTGAGCCACTGCGCCTGGCCCTTAACTTTCTATTATAGTTAGCTTTCTCTTTAACTGTCTGTACTTAAGGTAGTATAAGTTGATATCAGTGTGTTTCTCATCACTTTTCACTGGGCCTAATTGTTGCTCCAACACTGAAAGGAGGCATTTATTAGTTATATTTGCTGATATAACTTTCATGTTCTCATAATAATTAACCTGCTGTCAACGTAAACCATACTTCATGGGGTAGCTCTCAGCCTGCATTGATGTGGGCTTTTTGGGTAGGGTTGCTTCATTGGTTGCAGTGGACTCATATCATAAAATTCTTACTCCTTTTTTTTTTTTTTTAAGAGATGGGGGTGTCATTCTGTTGTCCAGGGTGGAATGCAGTGGTGTGGGTAAAGCTTACTGCAGTCTCAATCTCCTGGGCTTATGCAATCCTCCCACCTCAGCCTTCACAGTAGCTAGGACTGAGGTGGGAGGGCTAGCAAGCTATGTTGCCCAGACTGGTCTCAAACGATCTTCCTGCTTCAGTTTCCCAAAGCACTGGGTGAGGTGTGAACCACCTCACCCAGCAAATTCTTACTCCTACGATCATTTATTCAGGTCATACTATGTTTGTAAGGGTAAACTGATAAAAAGGTAAATGTATTCTTCTTAGAGAAACAGCTGAAAGCCCAGATTTATTGCTTCTATTCTTCCATTTCTATGACAGGAAAACACCTCTTTGAGGTTATATTTTTCAGATCACAAGTGTGTAAAGTCTGTTTGTGTTTACAGATATTTTCTGACGAAGATTCAAACTTCAGTTATCCACTTCCAAACCCTAGTAAACCAATTTTTTCCCTTTAATGGTGAAAGTTGTCACATCTTTTATTCTCATATCTTCAAAGGTCTTAATTTCCTAATGCTTTAATGTTAAATTATGGAGAATAGTAGGACATTCTTCTTTTCTATAGTATATGCTTGCTCAAGAGAAGTTTCTAAGACTGGACACTGTGAAATGACAAAACAAGGAATTAAAAATATTTCTCTCACTTATATATTATTTCTGGCTCAATTCTCCAACTTTTGAGTCTAGAAATGAACTTGCATATCAGATATAATTTAAGAAAATATTCTCAGGAACTGCTGGGAAGATTCTAAAACTATTTTACTGTTTTTAGCTATAAGGAAGAGAATAATGTATTATTTAATGTTATTTTAAACATAGTGTTGTTTCAAATAGTAAATAACATTTCACAAGACATTTGAAAATAAGCTTTGAAGTTGACTCAAAATTCTATGCTAAACATGTGATCCATAGATACACTGATGACTGCTGGCATTTCTGTGGAAATGAAGAATTGTTTTATTTGTTTGTAATTATTTGGGTTTCAGTTGCTTTATTTTTAAGAAAAAAAAGCTGAAGTGTCTGGGAATCCTTTATGACATACAGACATTTTAATTATTTCAAACACGTTTTCCCCCTTAAGTGGGTAGCAAAAAAAATAAAGCATACTTCAGGCTCATATTTTTAACCATGCAACAAGAAAATTGTTACAATTTCTGTTCTGAGGAGTAGCCTTCATACTTAGTATTTATAAATATTGAAATGTATGTTAATTTGGGGAAAACATAACAGATATCCATGAAGGCTTGTATGTCATGGTAGGTAGTTACTATTCGATACCACAAAAATGTCTCTTGCCCTTAAAACCAGAACACGAGGCTCACCAGACAGATGACTGAATGGAGTATGGAAAATCTTTATTTCTGTTTTTCTTAGGCTATGTAGGACTTAACTTATTGTGCATTGGTAACAGATTGTAGAACATAAGCTGAAAGATAAAATTCTTGACCTTAATGTCTCATCTTAAAAAGAAGCATTGGTTGACATTCTATATCTCGTATTACTTAAAAATAATGGGGGAGCGCAGTATATATTAAACAAAGATTGGCTTTGTGGTGATCATTGTTGAAGGTGGGGTGATGGCTATGTGAAGGTTCACTATATATACTCCCTACTGTTGTATAAGTTTGAAATTGTGCATAATAGATTTATTTAAAACACAAAGCATAGAAATATCTACTATAATATTATGGTGAGAGCAAAATTTGAGGGGGATGTACACCTGCATTTTCGAAGAATATATACATTTCGGAGACCGAATTCAAAATGAAAAACCGGGCTGCTGTCCCGCACGGAGCCTCTGGGCGCCGCTGTCGGCCAGTGCAGAGCAAGCGCTGACGCCGGGGATCCGTCAGCCTCTGGCCTGGGATTCCCTGCGCAGCCAACAACAGAAAGAAGAAAACCAGCTCCCACACAGAGCCTCCCGGCTGCGCAGACCTTTCCCAGCACAGCGGATTGCCAGCTCCGAGACCCGGGACTCCTCCTGTCCTGGGCCGAATGCTCTTTTAGCGCGGTAGAGTGCACTTTCTCCAACTGGAAAAGCGGGGACCCAGCGAGAACCCGAGCGAACGATGGGAGGGAGCTGCGCGCAGAGGCGCCGGGCCGGCCCGCGGCAGGTGCTATTTCCTTTGCTGCTGCCTTTGTTCTACCCCACCCTGAGTGAGCCGATCCGCTACTCGATTCCGGAGGAGCTGGCCAAGGGCTCGGTGGTGGGGAACCTCGCTAAGGATCTAGGGCTCAGTGTCCTGGATGTGTCGGCTCGCAAGCTGCGAGTGAGCGCGGAGAAGCTGCACTTCAGCGTAGACGCGGAGAGCGGGGACTTACTTGTGAAGAACCGAATAGACCGTGAGCAAATATGCAAAGAGAGAAGAAGATGTGAGTTGCAATTGGAAGCTGTGGTGGAAAATCCTTTAAATATTTTTCATGTCATTGTGGTGATTGAGGATGTTAATGACCACGCCCCTCAATTTGATAAAAAGGAAATACATTTAGAAATTTTCGAATCTGCATCCGCTGGTACACGACTATCGCTTGACCCTGCCACGGATCCTGATATAAACATAAACTCAATTAAAGATTATAAGATAAACTCTAATCCTTATTTTTCATTAATGGTTAGAGTTAATTCCGATGGTGGCAAATACCCAGAGTTATCTCTGGAGAAACTCCTAGACCGGGAAGAACAGAGATCTCATAGCTTGATATTGACTGCCTTGGACGGAGGGGACCCACCAAGAAGTGCCACCGCTCACATAGAAATTTCTGTCAAGGATACCAATGATAACCCCCCGGTTTTCAGCAGAGACGAATATAGAATTAGTCTTAGTGAAAATCTGCCCCCTGGGTCCCCTGTGTTGCAAGTGACAGCCACTGACCAGGATGAGGGGGTCAATGCTGAGATAAACTACTACTTCCGAAGCACTGCCCAGAGCACAAAACATATGTTCTCATTGGATGAGAAAACAGGTATGATTAAGAATAACCAGTCATTTGATTTTGAAGATGTAGAAAGGTACACCATGGAAGTGGAAGCGAAGGACGGAGGTGGTCTCTCTACCCAGTGTAAAGTAATCATAGAAATCCTTGATGAAAACGACAACAGCCCAGAAATAATCATCACTTCTCTCTCTGATCAGATTTTGGAGAATTCACCTCCAGGAATGGTTGTTGCCCTCTTCAAAACACGGGATCTGGATTTCGGAGGAAATGGAGAAGTCAGGTGTAATATAGAAACAGACATTCCATTCAAGATTTATTCTTCTTCCAATAACTACTACAAACTGGTGACAGATGGAGCCCTGGACCGAGAGCAGACACCAGAATACAATGTCACCATCGTAGCCACTGACAGGGGCAAGCCGCCTCTTTCTTCCAGTAGAAGCATCACCTTGTATGTCGCTGACATCAACGACAACGCCCCAGTTTTCGACCAGACGTCCTACGTGGTCCACGTGGCCGAGAACAACCCGCCAGGAGCCTCCATTGCGCAAGTGAGCGCCTCTGACCCGGATTTGGGGCTCAATGGCCACATCTCCTACTCTATAGTGGCGAGTGACCTAGAGCCCCTGGCGGTGTCGTCATACGTGTCAGTGAGCGCGCAGAGCGGGGTGGTGTTCGCGCAGCGCGCCTTTGATCACGAGCAGCTGCGCGCCTTCGCGCTCACGCTGCAGGCCCGCGACCACGGCTCGCCCACGCTCAGCGCCAACGTGAGCCTGCGCGTGTTGGTGGGAGACCGCAATGACAACGCACCGCGGGTGCTGTACCCAGCTCTGGGTCCTGACGGCTCCGCGTTCTTCGATATGGTACCTCGCTCTGCAGAGCCCGGCTACCTAGTGACTAAGGTGGTAGCGGTGGACGCCGACTCGGGACACAACGCCTGGCTGTCCTACCACGTGCTGCAGGCCAGTGAGCCCGGACTCTTCAGCCTGGGGCTGCGCACTGGGGAGGTGCGCACGGCTCGAGCCTTAGGCGACAGGGACGCAGCCCGCCAGCGCCTGCTGGTCGCTGTGCGTGACGGTGGACAGCCGCCACTCTCTGCCACCGCCACGCTTCATCTGGTCTTCGCAGACAACTTGCAAGAGATACTGCCAGACCTCAGCGACCGCCCTGTACTCTCTGACCCCCAGGCTGAACTGCAGTTTTACCTGGTGGTGGCCTTGGCCTTAATCTCAGTGCTCTTCCTCCTCGCCGTGATTCTGGCCATTGCCTTGCGCCTGCGACGCTCTCTCAGCCCTGCTACTTGGGACTGCTTCCATCCTGGTCTCTGTGTCAAGTCTGGACCTGTAGTTCCCCCCAACTACAGTGAGGGGACTTTGCCTTATTCTTATAATCTGTGCATTGCACATACGGGTACAAAAGAGTTTAATTTCCTAAAATGCAGTGTGCCCCTACATTCCAATGAAGACATGGTTTGCAGTGTTTCTCCTGGAGCCTTAATTCCACCTCATGGTGGGGAGGATTTGACTTCACATCCTGAGACTCTGACTTCGGTGAGTTTCTCTTTTTTGTGTGTGATTTATCTAATAGTCTACTAGTTTCTCATATTTTAGGCATACTACTTTATTTTCATATCTAGAATCATATGTTTAAAATCCATAGCTTTTTACAATATTTTCTCAATGTTTTTTCAATTATAGTTTTCACTATGTATTTGGTTCATAAGTTGCTCTATCTTTTTGTAAAATAATGTCACCAGACTGAAGATATTTTGTCTTTGTCTTTTTTTTTTTTTTTTTTTTTTGAGATGGAGTCTCGCACTGTTGCCTAGGCTGGAGTGCAGTGGCGTGATCTCTGCTCACTGCAACCTCCGCCTTCTGGGTTCAAGCGATTCTCCTGCCTCAGCCTCCCAAGTAGCTGGGATTACTGGTGCCCCTCACCACAGCTAAATTTTTTGTATTTTTAGTAGACATGGGGTTTCACTATGTCGACCAGGCTGTTCAGAAACTCCTGTCCTCGTGATCCTCCCACCTTGGCCTCTCAAAGTGCTGGGATTACAGGCGTGAGCCACAATATTTTGTCAAGTTCTGACTATCGAACAGAAGCAGTGGTCTTGGCATCTAAGAAAACAAACAAGTAACCTATCTATTCAAATTTGCGAAGACTTAGTGAATTTACGATATCTTATTTATATATTTTTAAAGCCTAAAAATATTCAGAAGACAGGCCCAGTGGCTCACACCTATAATCACAGCACTTTGATAGGCTGAATCGGAAAGTATCACTTGAGCCCAAGAATTGAGACCAGCCTGGGCAATATAGGGAGACCCCCCATCTCTACTAAAACAACAACAACAAAAAAAAACATTAGCAGAGTGTGGTAGCATTCCCCTGTGGTCCCAGCTACTTGGGAGGCTGAGCTGGGTGGATTGCTTGGTCCTGGGAGGTCAAGGTTGCAGTGAGCCCTGATCTTGCCACTGCACTCCAGCCTGGGCGACAGAGTGCGACCCTGTCTCTAAAATAAATAAATAAATATGCAGGCAGGGCCAAGTGTGCTGTAATCCCAGCACTTTGGGAGGTGGAGGTGGAGAATCTCTTGAGCGCAGGAATTTGAGACCAGCCTGGGCAACACAGGGAGACTCCATCGCTACAGAACATTTAAAAATTAGCAGGGTGTGGTGGCACATGCCTGTGGTCTCAGCTACTCTGGTGGCTGTGGTGGGAGAATCGCTTGAGCCCAGGAAGTCTAGGCTGCAGTGAGCTGTCTAGGTGACAGAGTGAGACCCTGTCTCAAAAAAAAAAGACATTTCTAAGAAATAAATGAAATACTATTGCCTTTGCACTCAGTCTCTGTCTCTGATTCTCTGATAGAAGATTTTTGAAGAAAAAAGATAAAATCTTTGAAGAGTTCTATACTTGGAAGGCATAGTGACATAAACACTTCTGAACATCCTGTTCTCTGTGTGAAAGAAGTGAACTTCTATACCCTTTGCATTTGAGGGAACAATTGCTACTGGGTTGATGGGCACACACAGTTGAAGATATGTGAACCACTGGACTTTGGCCTCTGATACAAACTGCCTAAGAGAAGAGATTATTTATACTGGTATTAATGCTCTGATGAAAACAGGTCATTTGACATAAACACTTACTTGTTAAAAACCTATATCACTACATCTAACTTTGTTTTCTAAAACTTTTAGTACTTCAAATTCTACGTATTTCTTTTCTCATTACAATGCAAACAGTTTAATTTGCAACTGTAATATATGTTCATTTTAGTTTGTGATTACCTGCTTAATCATTTAAATAGGTCCATTTAACTTGTATCCCTGTAAGATAAAGTATGTTTTACACAAAAAGGTTAATTAAGGCTCAGTAAAACTATTCTAGAAGAGTACTTTAAAAACCTCTTACACAATCCTAAGCTAAATAAGTTTAATGAATTAAGTAGTTACAATTATAAAGCTTCAGAGTGAATTATCTCATGAGTTTATTTAATATAATCTTTGTATGAATGTATACTAAATAAAATTGGCCTATTCAAATCACAATTTTAAATTATAAGACTTTTCTGAATTTACCTAGACACTAATATGACCTAAAATAAGTATTATTTACCTTTTATTAAAGTGTGTACATTTCTGTTGGGAAAACGTGTTGCAAATATATATTTAACCAAACATTATCTTGAAATATTTACAATATTTTCACTCCACTTTATCACACCTCCCCTAAGAAACCTACATATAGTAAATTATTTAAAGATAGGAGTGGAGAAACCAAAGAATCTATGTAAAATATAATAATCCAACAGAATAGTTTACTTTCCATTGCATGTATCACTTGGGTGCAGTAACTTCTTAGGACTCTGAGCGCCGCTGTTCACCTACTAGGAGAGAAAACGCAGCCAGAGCTCAATCCGGATTCTCAGGGCTTCAACTACACAAGCCCCACAAACCGGCTGCTGGGCTGCAGGGAAGCTCACTCCAGAATTTAAAGTGCCCAGGCTACAGAGACACCCTGAAGCCACAGAAAGACAAAGGAACCGGTTGAAACACACAACGTGTCCAGTGAGGACTTTGCAGAATTCTGTAACCAGACTACAATGGCCGCTCAAAGGAATCGCTCAAAGGAATCAAAGGATTGCAGCGGGCTGGTCCTGCTCTGCCTTTTCTTCGGGATTCCATGGGAGGCTGGAGCCCGGCAGATCTCCTACTCAATTCCTGAGGAATTAGAGAAAGGCTCTTTCGTGGGCAACATCTCCAAGGACTTGGGTCTGGCGCCCCGGGAGCTGGCGGAGCGCGGAGTCCGCATAGTCTCCAGAGGTAGGACGCAGCTTTTCTCTCTGAACCCGCGCAGCGGCAGCTTGATCACCGCGGGCAGGATAGACCGGGAGGAGCTCTGCGCTCAGAGCGCGCGGTGCGTGGTGAGTTTTAATATCCTTGTGGAAGACAGGGTGAAACTTTTTGGGATAGAAATAGAAGTAACTGATATCAATGACAATGCTCCAAAATTCCAAGCAGAAAATCTAGACGTAAAAATTAATGAAAATGTCGCTGCGGGAATGCGTTTTCCTCTCCCGGAAGCTATTGATCCGGATGTGGGCGTGAACTCCCTGCAGAGCTATCAGCTCAGCCCCAATAAGCACTTCTCCCTAAGAGTTCAGAGCCGTGCCAATGGCGTCAAGTACCCGGAGCTGGTACTGGAGCACTCCCTAGATCGCGAGGAAGAGGCCATTCACCACCTGGTCCTCACCGCCTCCGACGGGGGTGACCCTCTCCGATCTGGCACTGTCCTTGTCAGTGTGACTGTCTTCGATGCAAATGACAACGCGCCGGTCTTCACCTTGCCAGAATACCGAGTGAGTGTTCCTGAGAATTTGCCTGTGGGCACTCAGCTGCTGACAGTCACAGCCACCGACAGGGACGAAGGTGCCAATGGAGAAGTGACATATTCATTCCGAAAATTACCTGACACGCAATTGTTGAAGTTCCAACTAAACAAATATACTGGAGAAATAAAAATATCAGAAAATCTAGATTATGAAGAAACCGGTTTCTATGAAATAGAAATACAAGCAGAAGATGGAGGAGCATATCTTGCAACTGCAAAAGTGTTGATTACAGTAGAAGATGTAAATGACAACAGTCCAGAGCTGACCATCACGTCTCTATTTAGTCCAGTGACTGAAGATTCACCTCTGGGAACAGTCGTAGCCCTTTTAAATGTGCATGATTTAGACTCTGAGCAGAATGGACAGGTAACCTGTTCCATTTTGGCGTATCTACCATTTAAATTAGAAAAGTCCATTGACAGTTATTACAGATTGGTGATACACAGAGCCCTTGACAGGGAACAGGTATCCTCTTACAATATCACAGTGACAGCCACAGATGGGGGAAGTCCTCCTCTATCAACGGAAGCTCACTTTATGCTACAAGTGGCAGATATCAATGACAACCCACCTACCTTCTCTCAAGTCTCCTACTTTACCTATATCCCAGAGAACAACGCCAGGGGTGCCTCCATCTTCTCAGTGACAGCGCTGGACCCGGACAGCAAAGAGAATGCCCAGATTATTTACTCCCTGGCTGAAGACACCATCCAGGGGGTACCTCTGTCCTCATACATATCCATCAACTCAGACACTGGCGTCCTGTATGCACTCAGATCCTTCGACTATGAGCAGTTTCATGAGCTACAGATGCAGGTGACAGCCAGCGACAGCGGGGATCCTCCACTCAGCAGCAACGTGTCGTTGAGCCTGTTTGTGCTGGACCAGAACGACAATGCGCCCGAGATCCTGTACCCCGCCCTCCCCACAGACGGTTCCACAGGCGTGGAGCTGGCGCCCCGCTCCGCAGAGCCCGGCTACCTGGTGACCAAGGTGGTGGCGGTGGACAGAGACTCCGGCCAGAACGCCTGGCTGTCCTACCGTCTGCTCAAGGCCAGCGAGCCGGGACTCTTCGCGGTGGGGGAGCACACGGGCGAGGTGCGCACGGCGCGAGCCCTGCTGGACAGAGACGCGCTCAAGCAAAGCCTCGTAGTGGCCGTCCAGGACCACGGCCAGCCCCCTCTCTCCGCCACTGTCACGCTCACCGTGGCCGTGGCCGACAGCATCCCCCAAGTCCTGGCGGACCTCGGCAGCTTCGAGTCTCCAGCTAACTCTGAAACCTCAGACCTCACTCTGTACCTGGTGGTAGCGGTGGCCGCGGTCTCCTGCGTCTTCCTGGCCTTCGTCATCGTGCTGCTGGCGCACAGGCTGCGGCGCTGGCACAAGTCACGCCTGCTGCAGGCTTCAGGAGGCGGCTTGACAGGTGTGTCCGGCTCGCACTTTGTGGGCGTGGACGGGGTTCGGGCTTTCCTGCAGACCTATTCCCACGAGGTCTCTCTCACCGCGGACTCGCGAAAGAGTCACCTGATCTTCCCCCAGCCCAATTATGCGGACACGCTCATCAGCCAGGAGAGCTGTGAGAAAAACGATCCTTTGTCTTTGTTAGATGATTCGAAGTTTCCTATAGAGGATACCCCATTGGTTCCAGTGAGTTTTATTTTCATTTTTACTTTTGTTAAAAAAAAAAAGATTGGTTTTTACTTTGAAGTTTGCGGCATGATGGTGGAAAGTGTAAATGCTAAAACACTGATGAGTAGAATTTGATGTTTATTAAGGTTTTTTTTTTTTTTTTTTTTTTTTTTTTTTTTACTTTCTGGTAAAATTCACCTAGTCTCAATCAAGGCCTATATATCATAAGGCTTTGTTATGATTAGCTTTGCAGAACCTTGTAGTTTATAGTGTTGTTGAGTACAATATTGACAATTCCTAAGACAGACTTCCATACAGAAGTGCCTGTCAATTTATATTTCCTCCTGGGTGGTCACATATTGAAACTCCAGCCCCTTAAGCAACCCTCTTGTTCTGAAGGCAGGTCTGGTAAGAATAGGTAAGTATCAGAAAGAAATCACCTCTGGAAACACAACCCAAATCCAAGAATACTCAATGCAGTTCTTCCCAAGGAGAAGGGCAATAGGCCTTTTTCAAACTACATTTTATATATTTTTCAATCTATACTTTGTGGTGATAGTTGCAGTTGAATATACTAAGTTTTTCATTAATATTGAATTAACAATTTATTTATAACAATGTATGCTTAGATTTTTCCAGCCCTATTTATAACTGATAACACTGCAGTATCCTTTTTGCATACAATTCTCTAATTTCACACTGCTATGTGGAAGATATAGCATTTTAATTTAACTTTCATTGCTCAATAGGGATCCTGAGGAGGCTATAGAGGGTGAAATTAAGAATATTTGGGATTCTGCTTTTGTCTTTTTTGTTAAATTTTCTAGTGACTAAGGCTGAAAGTAAATATGGGTTGGGAAGACAGATAAATTTGTACATGTTCCCGAGAACAGGAGCAAGAGATATATGACAAAGCTATTTCAGTGGCTCTTTAATGTATAAGGAGGCAAACACCTGAAACTCTGAAAACTCTGAAATTGAGAGGCAAAATAAACTTAGAGTCAAGAAAGAAATGCCATTTCTGCAGATCAGAATATAAACACCAACCACAGCTGTAAAAAAGAAAAGAATATATGCAACGAAGGGAAATTATATAAACAAAGGATCATTGGAGGTACTGATGAGTTCATTTAGTTCAATGAAAATAGTGACGTATTAGGTAGATCTCTTAATTTTATTACTAGTATTCTACTAAATGTGGTAGTATAAAGTCAAAAAGCATTCCGAAGTTTCTCAAGACCCTTATAATTCCATGATTTTTTTCAGGTCAGTCAACATTTGTTGAATGATAGGTCTGTGGAAGGAAAGCACACTCTTTAGGGTCATAGTTATTAACTATTAAACCATTGAAACTATTATTTTATATTTGTGTTAATGAGAGTCAAAATTATTGTGCATTCATCTCAAATAATTCTATTATTTTGAAAAATACAGGTTTTTTTTTTAAAAAAAACTGCTCTTGACATTGTAGCTATTGTGAGAAAATATTTTGATTATAATTATTTAAAAGCAATACAGGACACCCTGGATGATGGTAATGACTAGGGCAATGGTTGCATTCCAGTACTTAAGTATGAAATAAGGAATTATTACTTTCTGGGTGAATATAGGCTAGAATTGAAGACAAAAAAATTTGTTGCTTATCTTCAGTACTTCCAGCTTCATAGATAATTACTCTTAAAAGGAACAAGAATGACTGCCTCTGGATGGAGGAATTGGATAGCAATGGGCCGTGGGATAGGAGACCTATAAACCTTCATGCTATATTATTTTGTGCCTTTTTAAATTTTGAAGAAAAAATATTCATTTATTCAAGATATATGTAAATTCAGTAAATAAAAAGATATGATAGTTATGACCAAGTGGAAATATATTTCCTGATGTAAAAGGAATCACTGAGGAAAAAGATTAAAATATTTTGGCTGTCAACTCGTAGTTTAAAAAAAATTCCTTGAAAGAGGTAGAGAAAAGTCAAGTTGCAGTCCCACACAGAGCCTCTGGGCGCCGCCGTCGGCCAGTGCAGAGCAAGCGCTGACGCCGGGGATCCCTCAGCCTCTAGCCTGGGATTCCCTGCGCAGCCAACAACAGAAAAGAAAACCAGCTCCCACACAGAGGCTCCCGGCTGCGCAGACCTTGCCCAGCACACCAGATTGCCAGCTCCGAGACCCGGGACTCCTCCTGTCCTGGGCCGAATGCTCTTTTAGCGCGGTAGAGTGCACTTTCTCCAACTGGAAAAGCGGGGACCCAGCGAGAACCCGAGCGAACGATGGGAGGGAGCTGCGCGCAGAGGCGCCGGGCCGGCCCGCGGCAGGTACTATTTCCTTTGCTGCTGCCTTTGTTCTACCCCACGCTGTGTGAGCCGATCCGCTACTCGATTCCGGAGGAGCTGGCCAAGGGCTCGGTGGTGGGGAACCTCGCTAAGGATCTAGGGCTTAGTGTCCTGGATGTGTCGGCTCGCGAGCTGCGAGTGAGCGCGGAGAAGCTGCACTTCAGCGTAGACGCGCAGAGCGGGGACTTACTTGTGAAGGACCGAATAGACCGTGAGCAAATATGCAAAGAGAGAAGAAGATGTGAGTTGCAATTGGAAGCTGTGGTGGAAAATCCTTTAAATATTTTTCATGTCATTGTGGTGATTGAGGATGTTAATGACCACGCCCCTCAATTCCGGAAAGATGAAATAAACTTAGAAATCAGTGAATCCGTCAGCCTGGGGATGGGAACAATTCTTGAGTCTGCAGAAGATCCTGATATTAGTATGAATTCGCTGAGCAAATACCAACTAAGTCCTAACGAGTATTTCTCATTGGTGGAGAAAGACAATCCTGATGGTGGCAAATATCCAGAATTAGTATTGCAGAAGACTCTGGACCGAGAAACGCAGAGCGCTCACCACTTGGTACTGACCGCCTTAGATGGTGGGGACCCTCCCCGAAGCGGTACTGCTCAGATAAGAATCCTGGTAATAGATGCCAATGACAACCCCCCAGTGTTCAGCCAGGACGTGTACAGGGTTAGCCTTCGGGAAGACGTGCCTCCAGGCACCTCCATCCTGAGAGTGAAGGCCACTGACCAGGACGAGGGCATCAACTCAGAGATCACTTATTCCTTCTTTGGTGTGGCTGACAAAGCTCAGCACGTGTTCTCTCTGGATTACACTACAGGAAACATTCTAACTCAGCAGCCTTTGGATTTTGAAGAAGTAGAAAGATATACGATAAACATAGAAGCAAAAGACCGAGGATCTCTCTCAACACGGTGTAAAGTAATTGTAGAAGTTGTAGACGAAAACGACAACAGCCCAGAAATAATCATCACGTCACTCTCTGATCAGATTATGGAGGATTCCCCTCCAGGAGTGGTTGTTGCCCTCTTCAAAACACGGGACCAAGACTCAGGGGAAAATGGGGAAGTCAGGTGTAGCTTAAGTAGAGGTGTTCCATTTAAGATTCATTCTTCTTCTAATAATTACTACAAGCTAGTAACAGATGAGGCCCTGGATCGGGAGCAGACCCCAGAGTACAACGTCACCATCGCAGCCACAGACAGGGGCAAGCCTCCGTTATCCTCCAGCAAAACCATAACCCTGCACATTACTGACGTCAATGACAACGCGCCGGTTTTCGGACAGTCAGCCTACCTGGTCCACGTGCCAGAAAACAACCAGCCGGGTGCCTCCATAGCGCAAGTCAGTGCCTCTGACCCAGACTTCGGGCTCAACGGCCGTGTCTCCTACTCTCTCATTGCCAGCGACCTGGAGTCACGAACGCTGTCGTCCTACGTGTCCGTGAGCGCGCAGAGCGGGGTGGTGTTCGCGCAGCGCGCCTTCGACCACGAGCAGCTGCGCACCTTCGAGCTCACGCTGCAGGCCCGCGACCAGGGCTCGCCCGCGCTCAGCGCCAATGTGAGCCTGCGCGTGTTGGTGGGCGACCGTAACGACAACGCACCGCGGGTGCTGTACCCTGCGCTGGGTCCCGACGGCTCCGCGCTCTTCGACACAGTGCCGCGGGCCGCGCAGCCAGGCTACCTGGTGACCAAGGTGGTGGCCGTGGACGCGGACTCGGGGCACAATGCCTGGCTGTCCTACCACGTGGTGCAGGCCAGTGAGCCCGGGCTCTTCAGCCTGGGGCTGCGAACAGGCGAGGTGCGCATGGTGCGTGCTTTGGGTGACAAGGACTCGGTCCGCCAGCGCCTGCTAGTCGCTGTAAGAGATGGAGGACAGCCACCCCTTTCAGCCACTGCCACGCTGCACCTGGTGTTCGCAGATAGCTTGCAAGAGGTACTGCCGGATTTCAGCGACCATCCCACACCCTCTGACTCCCAGGCTGAGATGCAGTTTTACCTGGTGGTGGCCTTGGCCTTGATTTCTGTGCTCTTTCTCCTCGCGGTGATTCTAGCTATTGCTCTACGCCTGCGACAGTCTTTCAGCCCTACTGCAGGAGACTGCTTTGAGTCAGTTCTCTGCTCCAAGTCCGGACCTGTGGGTCCCCCCAACTACAGTGAGGGAACGTTGCCCTATGCCTATAATTTTTGTGTGCCTGGGGATCAAATGAATCCAGAATTTAATTTTTTCACATCTGTTGATCATTGTCCAGCCACACAAGATAACCTCAACAAAGATAGCATGCTACTGGCTAGCATTTTAACTCCCAGCGTTGAAGCAGATAAGAAGATTCTTAAACAGGTAAGTATTTAAAAATGTATTTAATCCTTTTTATATTACAATATGCCAATATATTCCAATATAGTGGTATTATTTTAAGATTCTAGATAACTTCTTCATAGAGTTCGCAAAATATAGGTCAAATTTATGGTTATCATTATTAAAACAAAAGTTTAAATTAAATGCCTCAGTCTTCCTACTATTCAAAGACATTTTAAAGCAAACTACATGGGTAATCTCCGGTGACATTTTTATGAAGTAAAATACCTTTCGGTTAAAAATATAAAATACAGGTATATTTTTACGGCATGGTATTTTAATTGAAACCCTGATGCTACTCAATTTTTCTCAAGTATTTCATCTTCATTTACTCAATAAAGGAACCTTGTAAGAATTATAGTTAGGCATCCTACCTGATGATTTTATCGGGACCGTATTATTTCCACTTCCAGAAATGTCGTTCCTTTCAGTCGGTTAAAATCAATTGGAACCAACTACAACCTACAAGTTTTCAGCTCCAGTAATATTTTGAAAACTTTTTAAAAATTAAGCAAGCCCTTTTAATAATTACTCCTTTCGCAGGTGTTCTTGGTAAAGTTTTAACGTCACATAATGTAAGTATTGTGTATCATCGTTTTTAAGCTCTACAAATACGTGTGATTCACAAAGGTGAGCGTAATCATTTCTTCTGGAATTTCTTAGTCGTTGCAATAATAAGAATGGGCTCTAGGCGCCGCTGCTCACCAATCAGGGAATGGGAAGCTGCGCGCCATTGAGTCCCTCCCTCCCCCGCCTCTACCACACAAAGCGGAATGAGATGGATACTCACAGATCCTGACACTGGAGACTTAGAAGTATTTTCCTTCGCTTTCTGATATATTTTGGATGTAGTCGGCCTAGGACTTCATAGATACATAAGCCGATTCACAACCAACCAGCTCGAGAAACCGCGGAATATCGGCTTAGAGCCTGCCATGGCGAATCGGCTACAGCGCGGGGACCGCAGTCGGCTGCTGCTGCTGCTGTGCATTTTCCTGGGGACGCTGCGGGGGTTCCGGGCCAGGCAGATCCGATATTCGGTGCCAGAAGAGACCGAAAAGGGCTCCTTCGTGGGCAATATCTCCAAGGACCTGGGGCTGGAGCCCCGGGAGCTGGCGAAGCGCGGAGTCCGCATCGTCTCCAGAGGGAAGACACAGCTTTTCGCTGTGAATCCGCGAAGCGGCAGCTTGATCACGGCAGGCAGGATAGACCGGGAGGAGCTCTGTGAGACGGTGTCCTCCTGTTTTTTAAATATGGAACTTCTCGTGGAAGACACCTTGAAGATTTACGGAGTGGAGGTGGAAATAATAGATATTAATGATAACGCCCCCAGCTTCCAGGAGGACGAAGTGGAGATAAAAGTCAGTGAGCACGCAATTCCTGGGGCGCGATTTGCTCTTCCTAATGCTAGGGATCCAGATGTGGGCGTGAACTCCCTCCAGAGCTACCAGCTCAGCCCTAATAATTACTTTTCCTTGCAACTGCGGGGCAGAACGGATGGGGCCAAGAATCCAGAGCTAGTACTGGAGGGAAGCCTGGACCGAGAGAAAGAGGCTGCTCACCTGCTCCTCCTCACAGCTTTAGATGGAGGCGATCCCATCCGAAAGGGCGCAGTTCCCATTCGTGTGGTGGTCCTCGATGTAAATGATCACATCCCAATGTTTACACAGTCCGTATATCGCGTGAGTGTTCCAGAAAACATCAGCTCCGGAACTCGGGTGCTGATGGTTAATGCAACGGATCCAGACGAGGGAATCAACGGGGAAGTAATGTATTCATTTCGGAACATGGAAAGCAAGGCTTCTGAAATATTCCAATTGGATTCACAAACTGGAGAAGTTCAAGTACGGGGGTCTCTGGATTTTGAAAAATATAGATTCTATGAGATGGAAATTCAAGGCCAAGATGGTGGAGGTCTCTTTACCACCACGACGATGTTGATCACTGTTGTGGATGTGAATGATAACGCTCCAGAAATAACTATCACCTCTTCTATTAATTCAATTCTGGAAAACTCTCCTCCAGGTACAGTGATTGCTCTTCTAAATGTGCAAGATCAAGATTCTGGAGAAAATGGTCAAGTCTCCTGTTTTATTCCTAACCACCTGCCTTTTAAATTAGAAAAGACTTATGGAAATTATTACAAATTGATAACAAGCAGAGTGCTGGACAGGGAGTTGGTCCAGAGCTACAATATAACGTTGACAGCCACAGACCAGGGAAGCCCGCCTTTGTCTGCAGAAACTCATGTCTGGCTGAATGTGGCAGATGACAACGATAACCCTCCCGTTTTTCCTCACTCCTCTTACTCTGCCTACATTCCCGAAAACAACCCCAGGGGTGCCTCCATCTTCTCAGTGACCGCCCTCGACCCGGACAGCAAACAGAATGCCCTGGTCACTTACTCTCTGACGGATGACACTGTCCAGGGGGTGCCTCTGTCCTCCTATGTCTCTATTAACTCCAACACTGGTGTTCTCTATGCCCTACAATCCTTCGACTATGAGCAGTTTCGAGACTTAGAACTGAGAGTGATAGCACGTGACAGCGGGGACCCGCCCCTCAGCAGCAACGTGTCGCTGAGCCTGTTCGTGCTGGACCAGAACGACAATGCGCCCGAGATCCTGTACCCTGCCCTCCCCACAGACGGCTCCACTGGCGTGGAGCTGGCGCCCCGCTCTGCGGAACCTGGCTACCTGGTGACCAAGGTGGTTGCGGTGGACAAAGATTCAGGCCAGAACGCCTGGCTGTCCTATCGCCTGCTTAAGGCCAGCGAGCCGGGACTCTTCGCGGTGGGGGAGCACACGGGCGAGGTGCGTACAGCGCGGGCACTGCTGGACAGAGACGCGCTCAAGCAGAGCCTCGTGGTGGCCGTCCAGGACCACGGCCAGCCCCCTCTCTCGGCCACCGTCACGCTCACCGTGGCTGTGGCCGACAGCATCCCCGAAGTCCTGGCGGACCTCGGCAGCCTCGAGTCTCTGGCTAACTCTGAAACCTCAGACCTCTCGCTGTACTTGGTGGTGGCGGTGGCCGCAGTCTCCTGCATCTTCCTGGTCTTTGTCATCGTGCTGCTGGCACTCAGGCTGTGGCGCTGGCATAAGTCACGCCTGCTGCAGGCTTCTGAAGGCGGGTTGGCAGGTATGCCCACGTCACATTTTGTAGGCGTGGACGGGGTACAGGCTTTCCTGCAAACCTATTCCCACGAGGTCTCTCTCATTGCGGACTCGCAGAAGAGTCACCTGATTTTCCCCCAGCCCAACTATGGGGACACGCTCATCAGCCAGGAGAGCTGTGAGAAAAGCGAGCCACTCTTGATAGCTGAAGACTCAGCTATCATTTTAGGCAAATGTGACCCGACAAGTAATCAGGTGAGATTTATTTCTCTGCCTCCTAATTGTTGGTGTCTTGGCACAAGTCTTTTAAGGAGATGTTTTTTGAGCCTGTTATGAAAACTGTTTGGGGGGGGGGTGGGGCGGCATATATTTAGTTCATATATATTTAGAGCAATACATGTGAGTTTTACTTTGCCTTTCATGAGATTACGATAATCTTTCAGAACGTTTTTGTGAAAGTCATTTTTCAATCTTGGCATATTTTCTTTTGATTTCAAAGGGGCCATTCAACTATGCTGGTTTGGTTTGAAGTAAGTTGAATTTTAGTATTATTTTTCTATTATCAGTGTATGAGGCTCTCAATTTATTATATATAGATACAAATTAATGATTCACAAACACTTTTTATTTCCATTTCAATTTTGCTGTGCCTTCACTGATTTGTAGTTATATTCCACCATTATTTGCTATTACTGCTAATGTTCAAATTTTGATCCTGTTGATTTAATAGCATGCTCCCTCTAGCTCTCCTTCTCATCTATCTATCTATACACATGCACACACACTTATACACGTAAGCTTTTCTCTGAGCAATTTTATTTTGATTCTTGGTGGCTGGTAATATGCTTAGATCCTGTTGACTATTTCAACTTTGTCTCATTTCTTCATCCTATCAACACAGACATATTGACTGGCTTTTAACTACTGGATTTCCTTGGGAGATAAAATTTAGATCACATTTTTTCTTAAGCTCTAGATGTCTTTTCCATTACTATGGTGAAGTTACATTGACTGTTCTGAGGAAATAATTGAATTATTGAACTGGTATTATTTCCTTTTATTCTTTTACTTTGGTGTCTGTGTTTGTATGTATGGAAGGTTTTTTAATGTAGTAAATCCATATATAGAAATAACTTGATTTTGATTCAGTGCTTCTCAAAAACCTATTTTCAAATGTGCTAAAGATGTCTACAGATTTATTCAAATAGAGTAGTTTGTGAATATATAAATAGATTGAAGGTATTTGGACTTTAATTAAACTGATTTAGCTAGTATCCTTCTGGCTATTTTTTTGTTCATTTTCAGTGTAGTTGGGAGTCATAGATTCCTTCTTTCTTTCTTTATAAGGTCATTCTTATGGCAAATAGTACATTCAGTTCTTTTATTCAGACCAACTTGTTATTGAAGCTTGATAGTTGCCTGACATACATGTTATCTGAAGCAATGTCTAGGAAAGCCAAATGAGGAAAGGAGACTTATCTAGGGTTTTTGATCACAGGAATCATTTCCATAATCAATTCAGTCAACACTCTCACATCACTTCTAGGTATTTGCCCCAAATTACTTGGATATTTATGTTCCCTTTCAAGTTTAGTTTTCTCATTTAGGAATTTACCTTATGTCATTAGTTGTAAACTGACTATCTAGGGCTCGGACAAAAATAATTTCAACTGTAGGAAAGGCAAGTCTTCCAACAGATGCCTACATTTTTCTTGAAGTCAAGAAAAATGTTCAGGTATTTTGAGCATCTAGGGATAGGATTTATACTTGTGGAATTCCAAACTGAGAAAAATGATGTAAGGCATTGTACTTTGACTGGAATTAGTTAAATAAAAAGGATATGAGGTATTTGGCTGGGAAAAGGAGATTGTTCCATATTATAAAACCTCATCTAAACTAACTTCCCAAGATCGTGGAGAACAAAAAGGAAGGGTTGGCTTTGAAATGTGATATTAAGAGGGTTATGTTGATTCGGAGGTAGTGATAAAGTTCTGTTAAGGTATAACATATAGTCCCATTAAATAGAGGATAAAAATAAAACACCATCACATTTCATGTTATTAATTCCTATGGCAACCTACTAGGCTATACCTTTATATTCTCTTTATGATGAAACATGAAACAATAATCCTTTTCAGAAACCTCTTTTATAAGTGATAAGAAGGGTTTGGCTAACTTTATTCTGAATATGCCCTATATAGCTTTCAGTGCTCCTCCAGTTTTCTCTGATAAAACTAGGAGGAAAATTATCTGCACATCAGATTGAAAATAATACTGCATATCATTTCATAGTGGTCAAAATTTTCCCATACCACTTGATGGGGATGTTTTCCCACAAGGTTTTTGTTCTACAACAGGAGAGAAGACTTTGCCTAGTTCTTCCAATATGTGCATTGCTTCTGCTTAGAAAAAAACAAACTTTTAAATTCTCTTTGCTGGGTTAATGACTGTTCTATAGATTCCCATCTCTAAGGAATCTTCTTTGGTAGTAAACACTGGAAAACAGTCACTACGAAAACTCATAAAATGTCTAGTTTCCTATACATTAGTCCAACACATCAGTCTAATTCTGAATCCCATTGAATTAGCAAAGGCTTCCGGCTGCAGTTTTCTAAATAGACTCAGAGCCCTGCTGTTGGCCAATGTGCTGCAAGAACTGGAGCCTGGGATCTACCAGGACGATATTCTGTTCAGTCACAGAAGCAAGTCGGAGAGTGGCCAAGACTTGGGCTTTCTGCTCCTGCAAATCTGATTCCATACGGATTGGGGTGCCCTCAAACTGGGAGCATTGAGTTTTCTATGTATGGAAGTAAATATTTTAAAAGCACTTTGTGAAACATTTTCTCTTAACGTCGGAGACTGCAGCAACGCATGGGAAGGATGGGAAACAGGGTGAAGCAGAGAAGCAGGACCCGGCAGTGGCAAGCACTCTTCCCTTTCCTGCTGCCTTTGTTCTGCGGGGCACCCTCGGAGCAGATCCGCTACTCTATTCCAGAAGAAACGGTCCAGGGCTCCGTGGTGGGGAACCTTGCGGAGGACATGCGGCTGCATGTTCAGGATTTATTGACCTGAAACCTTAGAGTTAGTGCAGAGAAACAATACTTTACCGTGAACACGGAGAATGGGAACATACTTGTGAGTGACAGAATAGATCGAGAGTCACTGTCTTCAAAATCCTCTGTGTCATACCCTTAGAGATTGTAGCAGAGAATCCTCTAAATGTTTTTCACATAAATGTGATGATAGAAGATATAAATGATAACCCACCTCATTTTCCCCAAAATAGCATTGTTTTACAAATCAATGAACTAGCAATTCCAGGCATTCGGTTTGGCCTGGAATCTGCTATAGATGCAGATGTAGGGCCTCACTCTCTCCAGAGTTACCAGCTCAGTTCTAATGAACATTTCTCTCTGATGATGGACAAGACTAAAGGCAAGAACGCTCCAGAATTAGTGCTGGAGAAGCCCCTGGGCCAGGAGCAACAGAGCTCTCATCTCCTGGTCCTGGAAGCAATGGACATGGGTGACCCAGTCCCAACTGGCACTGCTGCAATTCAAATTGAGGTCACTGATGCCAACGATAATGCCCCAGTTTTTAGCCAGGATGTATACAAAGTCAGCCTTAGAGAGAATGTGCCCCCAGGCACCTCTGTACTAAAGGTGACAGCCACTGACCAGGATGAGGGTGTCAATGCGGAGATCACCTACTCTTTCAAATCCCTACGAGATGATATTGGAAATATGTTTGTGCTAGACCATCAAAATGGGGAAATTAAATCCAAAGACTTAATAGACTTCGAATTTCGTAGCAGTTATACCATGAGAGTAGAAGCTAAGGATGGTGGAGGCATGACCAGCGAATGTAAAATTATACTAGAAATCCTAGATGAGAATGACAATGCCCCAGACGTGGTTTTTACTTCAGTGTCCAGTTCTGTAACTGAGGACGCAGAACCCTGGACGGTGATCACTCTGTTCAAAACACATGATAAAGATTCGAGAGAAAATGGGGAGGTTACATGCCTCATAAACGAAAGAGTTCCTTTTAGAATCGAATCTTCCGCCAATAATGACTATAAGCTTGTAACAGATGGGACCCTGGATTGGGAGCGGATCCCGGAGTACAACGTCACCATCACTGCCACTGACAAGGGCAAGCCTCCGCTCTCATCCAGCACAAGCCTCACCCTACGCATTGGTGAAGTCAACGACAATGCTCCGGTTTTCCACCAAGTCTCCTACGTGGTCCACGTGGCCGAAAACAACCTTCCCGGAGCCTCCATCCCACAAGTCAGCGCCTCTGACCTGGACCTAGGGCTGAATGGCCAAGTCTCCTACTCCATCGTTACCACTGACTTGGAGCTGCGGGCACTGTCGTCCTACGTGTCCGTGAGCGCACAGAGCGGGGTGGTGGTCGCGCAGCGTGCCTTCGACCACGAGCAGCTGTGCGCCTTCGAGCTCACGATGCAGGCCCACGACCAGGGCTCGCCCGCGCTCAGCGCCAACATGAGCCGGCGCATGTTGGTGGGCGACCTCAATGACAATGTGCCGCGGGTGCTGTACCCCGCGCTGGGGCCCGATGGCTCCGCACTCTTCGATATAGTGCCACGCGCCGCAGAGTCCGGCTACCTGGTGACCAAGGTGGTGGCGGTGGACGCAGATTCGGGACACAACGCTTGGCTGTCCTACCACGTGCTGCAGGCCATCGAGCCCGGGCTTTTCAGCCTGGGGCTGCACACGGGAACCTGCTGGTTGCTGTGCGTGACGGAGGACAGCCGCCGCTCTCTGCGCCGCTACGCTTCACCTAGTCTTCGCAGACAGCCTGCAGGAGGCACTGCCAGACTTCAGTGACAGTCCTGTGCCCTCTGATTCCCAAGCAAAGCTGCAGATTTACCTGGTCGTGGCCTTGGCCTTGATTTCTATGCTCTTCTTCCTCGCAGTGATTTTGGCGGTCGCCTTGCACCTGCGATGCTCTTCCAGCCCCTCTGCCTGGGGTTGCTTTCACCCTGGTCTCTGTTCTAAGACTAGACCAGGGGTTTTTCCCAACTACAATGAGGGAACTTTGCTTTATTCCTGCAATCTGTATGTTCCCTCGGATTCTAGAAAAAGAAGATTTAATTTTCTCACCATGACACCAGAAACAGTCCCCCCACAAGATCTTTCTAATGAAGTTTCTCTGGTAGCAAGCTTCACTGAAGAGAATAACAAGATAAGCTCTAACTCTGTTGCTCCTACTCACGTGAGTTCCAATGAATGTCTTTCATTTACAAATGGATGAGGTTTAATTTTCAAACCAATATTTTGGCAAGAAAATCTTAAACATATTATATCTACTATTGCTTCAGGTTTGTTTGCCCACTCTTAATATTTCCTGTTCCTTTCTGTGTGGGCCAGTAACTTCATTATTAGCTTTCATGTATTTTTGAAACATTTTCACCATTTTTACGGGAGACTTTTTTTTTTTTTGGACGGAGTCTCGCTCTGTGGTCCAGGCTGGAGTGCAGTGGCATGATCTCGGCTCACTGCAAGCTCTGCCTTCCGGGTTCTGGCCATTCTCCCGCCTCAGCCTCCCGGGTAGCTGGGACTACAGGCGCCCGCCACCACGCCCGGCTAATTTTTTGCATTTTTAGTACAGACGGGGTTTCACCGTGTTAGCCAGGATGGTCTCGATTTCCTGACCTCGTGATCTGCCCGCCTCGGCCTCCCAAAGTGCTGGGATTATAGGCGTGAGCCACTGCACCCGGCCCGGAGACATTGTTTATACACACACACACACACACACACACACACACACACACGTGTGAAAAGTGGGTATTATGATACTGCTGTCATTGAGATATTTTAATTGAGGAATAAATTTTTTTCCTGTGATGTTTCTTGGGACATCAATATTTGAGTATATAAGGCTTTTTCTTTAATCCATTAACTATAAATTTTGAAGAAAATGCATGAGAAAATGGAGAAAATGTGTTTTTTTTTTAAAAAAAATTGAGATTAAGGTCTCATTATGTTGCCCAGGCTGGACTCAAACTCTTGGGCTACAGTAATCCTCCCACCTCAATCTCCAGAGTAGCTGAGACTACAGTTGCCTGAAACTGTGCCTGGCAGAGAAAAAAGCTTAAAAAAATAAGAACATGGTAATGATTTGATAATATTCAGTTACATTTACTTTTGATTCTTGTAATTCAAGTAAACTCAATTTTATGTCTGATATTTTCTCACAGCTACCTATATATTTCTTCCCAATTTAAAATATATTATTTTATTTTATGCCTAGCAAATATCTTTACAGTATAAATATTTACGCTCATGAAAGTACGTAGCCAGTTATTTCTTAGGGAGAATTTTTTCCCTATATTTTGATGGGCTTCCAAAAGTATTACCAGTAATTCTCAGTAATTACAATTAGGTCAGTTACCCAGGAAAAGGTAAGTCTGTAACATTCTTTGGACTACCAATTTTCTTTTACTAAGTTTCCTGAACAATAAATATTTTTGAAATATAATGTATTAATAGAATTCTGGAGTACTTCCATTATTTCCAGTCAATGCAAGTTGGAATGCTTCTACTTTATGCTAAAAATATTAATGTTTCTTTTTCACTTGGGTTCTTGTTAAGTGTGATTCTGATAATGTATACAATCACATATCATTTTTAGGTTTCCATAATATCATGAAAATTTGATTTTTAAGCGTTACATGTCAACAACCTGGTAAAGTAATCCTTCCATTCAGGATCATTCAAGGAATCTATTTAAAAATATTTTCCCCAAATTATAGCTGAATCAGAAAGTTTAAATTATTATATTATATGATTTGTCAAAAAGAGAAACTCCTAGGGAGACATCTCCATAATAGGTGTGTTGGGGGAACAGTAATCTCAAAGCAGATGCACTAACATTATAAGATTAAAATCATTGTTTATAGAAACTTCCAATTCATTTAAAAGCTCATTGGGGAAAAAAAAGCTCATTGGGAAAAAAAAAAAAAGCTCACTAAAGTTTCTATTAAAGCGAATACGGTAGATTTCCATCCCCTTTTGAAGAACAGTAGGTGGAGCTATTTAAGATATAAAAACGAAATATCCTTTCTGGGAGTTCAAGATTGTGCAGTAATTGGTTAGGACTCTGAGCGCCGCTGTTCACCAATCGGGGAGAGAAAAGCGGAGATCCTGCTCGCCTTGCACGCGCCTGAAGCACAAAGCAGATAGCTAGGAATGAACCATCCCTGGGAGTATGTGGAAACAACGGAGGAGCTCTGACTTCCCAACTGTCCCATTCTATGGGCGAAGGAACTGCTCCTGACTTCAGTGGTTAAGGGCAGAATTGAAAATAATTCTGGAGGAAGATAAGAATGATTCCTGCGCGACTGCACCGGGACTACAAAGGGCTTGTCCTGCTGGGAATCCTCCTGGGGACTCTGTGGGAGACCGGATGCACCCAGATACGCTATTCAGTTCCGGAAGAGCTGGAGAAAGGCTCTAGGGTGGGCGACATCTCCAGGGACCTGGGGCTGGAGCCCCGGGAGCTCGCGGAGCGCGGAGTCCGCATCATCCCCAGAGGTAGGACGCAGCTTTTCGCCCTGAATCCGCGCAGCGGCAGCTTGGTCACGGCGGGCAGGATAGACCGGGAGGAGCTCTGTATGGGGGCCATCAAGTGTCAATTAAATCTAGACATTCTGATGGAGGATAAAGTGAAAATATATGGAGTAGAAGTAGAAGTAAGGGACATTAACGACAATGCGCCTTACTTTCGTGAAAGTGAATTAGAAATAAAAATTAGTGAAAATGCAGCCACTGAGATGCGGTTCCCTCTACCCCACGCCTGGGATCCGGATATCGGGAAGAACTCTCTGCAGAGCTACGAGCTCAGCCCGAACACTCACTTCTCCCTCATCGTGCAAAATGGAGCCGACGGTAGTAAGTACCCCGAATTGGTGCTGAAACGCGCCCTGGACCGCGAAGAAAAGGCTGCTCACCACCTGGTCCTTACGGCCTCCGACGGGGGCGACCCGGTGCGCACAGGCACCGCGCGCATCCGCGTGATGGTTCTGGATGCGAACGACAACGCACCAGCGTTTGCTCAGCCCGAGTACCGCGCGAGCGTTCCGGAGAATCTGGCCTTGGGCACGCAGCTGCTTGTAGTCAACGCTACCGACCCTGACGAAGGAGTCAATGCGGAAGTGAGGTATTCCTTCCGGTATGTGGACGACAAGGCGGCCCAAGTTTTCAAACTAGATTGTAATTCAGGGACAATATCAACAATAGGGGAGTTGGACCACGAGGAGTCAGGATTCTACCAGATGGAAGTGCAAGCAATGGATAATGCAGGATATTCTGCGCGAGCCAAAGTCCTGATCACTGTTCTGGACGTGAACGACAATGCCCCAGAAGTGGTCCTCACCTCTCTCGCCAGCTCGGTTCCCGAAAACTCTCCCAGAGGGACATTAATTGCCCTTTTAAATGTAAATGACCAAGATTCTGAGGAAAACGGACAGGTGATCTGTTTCATCCAAGGAAATCTGCCCTTTAAATTAGAAAAATCTTACGGAAATTACTATAGTTTAGTCACAGACATAGTCTTGGATAGGGAACAGGTTCCTAGCTACAACATCACAGTGACCGCCACTGACCGGGGAACCCCGCCCCTATCCACGGAAACTCATATCTCGCTGAACGTGGCAGACACCAACGACAACCCGCCGGTCTTCCCTCAGGCCTCCTATTCCGCTTATATCCCAGAGAACAATCCCAGAGGAGTTTCCCTCGTCTCTGTGACCGCCCACGACCCCGACTGTGAAGAGAACGCCCAGATCACTTATTCCCTGGCTGAGAACACCATCCAAGGGGCAAGCCTATCGTCCTACGTGTCCATCAACTCCGACACTGGGGTACTGTATGCGCTGAGCTCCTTCGACTACGAGCAGTTCCGAGACTTGCAAGTGAAAGTGATGGCGCGGGACAACGGGCACCCGCCCCTCAGCAGCAACGTGTCGTTGAGCCTGTTCGTGCTGGACCAGAACGACAATGCGCCCGAGATCCTGTACCCCGCCCTCCCCACGGACGGTTCCACTGGCGTGGAGCTGGCTCCCCGCTCCGCAGAGCCCGGCTACCTGGTGACCAAGGTGGTGGCGGTGGACAGAGACTCCGGCCAGAACGCCTGGCTGTCCTACCGTCTGCTCAAGGCCAGCGAGCCGGGACTCTTCTCGGTGGGTCTGCACACGGGCGAGGTGCGCACGGCGCGAGCCCTGCTGGACAGAGACGCGCTCAAGCAGAGCCTCGTAGTGGCCGTCCAGGACCACGGCCAGCCCCCTCTCTCCGCCACTGTCACGCTCACCGTGGCCGTGGCCGACAGCATCCCCCAAGTCCTGGCGGACCTCGGCAGCCTCGAGTCTCCAGCTAACTCTGAAACCTCAGACCTCACTCTGTACCTGGTGGTAGCGGTGGCCGCGGTCTCCTGCGTCTTCCTGGCCTTCGTCATCTTGCTGCTGGCGCTCAGGCTGCGGCGCTGGCACAAGTCACGCCTGCTGCAGGCTTCAGGAGGCGGCTTGACAGGAGCGCCGGCGTCGCACTTTGTGGGCGTGGACGGGGTGCAGGCTTTCCTGCAGACCTATTCCCACGAGGTTTCCCTCACCACGGACTCGCGGAAGAGTCACCTGATCTTCCCCCAGCCCAACTATGCAGACATGCTCGTCAGCCAGGAGAGCTTTGAAAAAAGCGAGCCCCTTTTGCTGTCAGGTGATTCGGTATTTTCTAAAGACAGTCATGGGTTAATTGAGGTGAGTTTATATCAAATCTTCTTTCTTTTTTTTTTTTAATTGCTCTGTCTCCCAAGCTGGAATGCAGCGGTACGATCATAGCTCACTGCAGCCTCAAACTCCTAGGCTCAAGCAATTATCCCACCTTTGCCTCCGGTGTAACAGGGACTACAGGTGCAAGCCACCTACTGTCTGCCTATCTATCTATCTATCTATCTATCTATCTATCTATCTATCTATCTATTACTTTCTTGTACAGACAGGAGTCTCACTATGTTGAGCAGGCTGATCTGAAACTTGGGCTCAGGCTAGCCTCCTGCTTCTCCCTCCCAAACTGCTGGGATTACAGGCGTGAACCACAGTGCCCCGCCCTTATCAGATATTCTTTTCTGGCTGGGCGCGGTGGCTCACGCCTGTAATCCCAGTACTTTGGGAGGCCGAGGCGGGTGGATCACCTGAGGTTGGGAGTTTGAGACCAGCCTGACCAACATGGAGAAACCCCGTCTATACTAAAAAAATACAAAATTAGCCGGGCGTGGTGGTGCATGTCTGTAATCCCAGCTACTTGGGAGGCTGAGTCAGGAGAATTGCTTTAACCTGGGAGGTGGAGGTTGCAATGAGCTGAGATTGTGCCATTGCACTCCAGCCTGGGCAACAAGAGTGAAACTCTATCTCAAAAAAAAAAAAAAAAAACTTTATCCTCTAGTTTCATCCATTGATGACACTTGCTTTAATCACTTATTACAATCACCTCCAAATGAAGATTTTATAATTCCATTGTTTCTTCTACAGTTGTTAATTGGCTTTCTACCTTGAAGAAGAGTTTTATATTCTCTATATATGTTTGTTTCTATGATTCTGGAAGCATGGTTTTCTATTTTATTCAATGGCCTGTAATCTGTTAATATCAATTATTTATTTTGATGCTGAAATTGTCCCAGGATTGGCCTTTGGGACTCCCTTTAGGCTGATTTCTATGTCCTTTCTGTTACAGCAAGCTTGGGATTATATCCAAGATTTGTAATTCCAATGTACTTACTTCTGTCAGTGTAAACAAAGTACGATTTCTGGACTAGATGACTTGGGCATTGTGGGGGAGGTGGAAATTAGAGGTATTCTCTGTTTTTCCTGTAGGATCTTGCATTTCTTCCTCTTGCTGCTTGTCTCTTTGTGTCGGGAACAGGCCCCCCAAAATCTGGCCATAAACTGGCCCCAAAACTGGCCATAAACAAAATCTCTGCAGCACTGTGACATGTTCATGATGGCCGTAATGCCCATGCTGGAAGGTAGTGGGTTTACCGGAATGAGGGCAAGGAACACCTGGCCCGCCCAGGGCAGAAAACTGCTTAAAGGTGTTCTTAAACCACAAACAATAGCATGAGTGATCTGTGCCTTAAGGACATGCCCCTGCTGCAGATAACTACCTCAATCCATCCCTTTATTTCCGCCCATCTCTTCGTTTCCCATAAGGGATACTTTTAGTTAATCTAATATCTATAGAAATGATGCTAATGACTGGCTTGCTGTTAATAAATATGTGGGTAAATCTCTGTTCAGGGCTCTCAGCTCTGAAGGCTATGAGACCCCTGATTCCCCACTTCACACTTCTAAAAAAAAAAAAATTTTTTTTTCTGAGCTTGGAGAAATATATCCCTTAGTACACTTGGCATTTATAAAGCAGACATCAATAAATTTATATATATGTGACAGATACCAACAACAATCCAGTCCCCTTCCCTCATACCTTATTTATGTACATATATTTTATATAATAGATATAATTTATTAACAATTTATAAAATTACTTTGTTAATACTCTATATCATTTTCTAGCTGAATTTATCAATGATAATGCTCTTTTCCCACTTTTATTTTTTTCCCATTGACCATGCAGCAGTTTTGTGTAGACCGTCTGATAACAACTGATCTGTTTATCTAGGGGGGAGAAATCTAATTCAATGGAAAATATAAATAAAATTGTGATAAACTTTTGTAAATAGAGTGGCTTTTAACTACACTTGAGATGGCTAGCAAATTCATAAAGTGAATTTACTTTCTTTCAAAGTTCAGTAATTCTTTCTGGCCATTAGGGATATGTCCATTTATACTTTCTCAGTATCCCAAGTCATTTCATGGTTTTAAATCATTCATGAACTTCCAAATATAGTGAATTTATTTCTTCTGCATTTAAAATTTTATCACTTAAATATACAATATACCGTATTGCCATGACGAAAAATGGTAAAGACTATTTTTCACTTCTGTTATGCATTTCATTAATACGATATCTGTATGTGTTTCCAAGTTAGACATTTCTTTTGCCCATTTCCTACACTAATGATACTAATGATGACTTTGTGGAATATTCAGAATTAACAAAATGTGTTTTGAGTGCTTTTTTTAGTACTGGGGCAAATTTGCAGTAATATCGCCTGCTTTTTACATTAAATTCCCCATAACTTTTACAACTATGGGAAAATTTCTGAAACGTGCACAGATTCCAAGTGTTTTCTGAGAACTTTATGCTTATTGTAGAGTGGTTACAGACACTGAATGCTAAAGTGTATTACTCTTTGAAAAGCATTGCTTGATTTCTTTTGGTGAATTCTGTAAAGGTGCAGGGAAACATAACGTCCCAATTATTTTTTCTTTCTTCTTTGTTTGCTGCCTATCTACTTTGAAAGATACAATAGTTAAAACCCAGAAAAGAGATTGGAAACCCCTTAGAGAATGAAAGACATCCAAGGGCTCTAAAATGCGGCAGTTGCTGCTTCTGAGACCAAAAAAGGGGGCAAAATATAGAGTGTGTGGTTCTACTTGTGTGATTTTTTGAAAGAAAGTATTTGAATTTATCTAAAAATACTAAATTTGTATTTACATTAGTTTTCAAATAGAATTTAATAAGTACAGTGTTCTATAGGTAATATTGAGAGAAATAGAGGACAATGAAACCTCTCTCCTCCATCATCTTGTATGAACTACCAAAATGTTTATCATATGGACAGTTCTCATATATAGTCAAATAGAAAGAAAGACATAATAGGAAAACAAATGACTTGGGAAACTAAGCTAACATGGTCTAATTATTCTGACCTCTGCTCACCTAACTTGATTTAGGAACAAATCATTGAGAGTTAGAGCATGAATAGTCAAGACTGTTAGACCATATCTCAAATATCAGTGACTTCAATCAACTATGTTTCCAGTTTAAGCTGAATAGGCTTTATTAAATAGTTGTTGAATGAATGGATAAACAAATAATGTACTCTGGGGATTACCTGATACCAGGATTCTGAATTTTCAGATGTATCATAGAAGGATAGCAGCTTTGCAATTAGGTAAATTGTTAACTGTGTCACCTTTAGCAAGTTATTTAATCTCTTTGAGCTTCAGCAAAGTAGGAATAATCATATCTAATTTGAAAGGTCGTGGTGATGGCTAGGGCTAACAAAAATCTGATTCACAACATGCAATTAATTAACAGTAGCCATTTTTAGTGGTTGACCAAAAAAAGGATTTATATTTTCAATGCCAGCACACTCGATGTTCTGTTGGGAAAAATAATAATGATTTTTGTGTGCTTCTCCATATGGTATAATGGAATGATTTGTGGATGGAAATAAAACTGTTCTAAAATTTTTGTGACAGCTGGTTTAAAAATCTTAAGTGCCTAGGCACATTCTTGATTGAGAAGCCACAGTTTTAGGCCATAAAAGATGGGGGAAAGATTTTTATATGAGACAATTTTGTGAGTGTTACTTTTTCTTTGTCTGAACCATAGTGAAATCTAAACAAGGATCTTGTGAAACTTATTTTAAAGAAGCAGTTTACTTCAATGGGATCTTAGATAATTTCACCAGAAAATGGATCACCGAAACCAGAAGGCTGGTGATCATTATTTGGTTTGGGCCATATAAGAATTGAAACTAACGGCTTAGCTTTAGGATTTTTAGGACACTTGTTGATAATTTAGGATTCATAATTAACATATGTGTTGATTGTTTTCTGAGACTAACTGGGCAATGGGTTTGGATGTGTTTACATTTATTCTGATTCCAGTCATAAAATTATGTCAAGGACTTTCCTTGTCTTTTTATGTGTATGACAGATGTGTATGTATCCATTTCATCTAACAAGTTAAAGCGTTCAGCTATAATTTAAAATTTGTAGCTTCACTGTTTTATAGTACCTAAAATTGGAATGTAATCAGTCAGAAGACATTCATCCACTGCTTTCATTCCAGAAGTATTATGCTTTTTGAAGCAGCAATAGCATAGGAATGTTGAGGAGACTATACTATACTTTTATAGCATATTTAATCTCGTAGATCACTTTTCAATGAATTATAAGGCTGATGACAAATGAGCAAATTGTATCAGTTTTCTTTATGACATGTAACAGAGTATAGCTGTGATCATGAATTGGATAGTTCTGGTGTAAAAATCTGCTTTATCCCCATATAAGATGTCAGGTTCAGAAAAGCAAACACATAGTTTCGAAGAGATGTTGATCAAACTGATGAGGCTAAATCTCAAGAAAGAGACACAGTTACCCTCTAATGTTACACTTTGAGTTCACCTTTTTTTTTTTTTTTGAGACAGAGTCTCAATCTGTCGCCAAGCTGGAGTGCAGTGGCACTATCTTGGCTCACTGCAACCTCTGCCTCCTGGGTTCATGCTATTCTCCTGCCTTAGCCTCCCGAGTAGCTGGGACTACAGGCACACGCCACCACACCCAGCTAATTTTTGTATTTTTAGTAGAGATGGGGTTTCACCATATTGGCCAGAATGGTCTTGATCTCTTGATCTTGGGATGCACCCACCCCACCTCAGCCTCCCAAATAGCTGAGATTACAGGTGTGAGCCACCATGCCCGACCACTTTGAGTTCACTTTTAAGAAACCATACTTAATGGAAAATTACCAGTAACAGGGCATACTGTTTAGGATGCATTCCTAAAATATTAATGGCAAAAGATAGCCAGCCTATGGCAAAGCTAATTGGAAAAAATATTTTATAAAGGATGAGACTTCTGGATACCATATGGGAAGGGCTCTGGTTCAGGAAAATGTTTTTAAAAAACTGTCATTGAAGAGACCATAGAATCAAACAAAATAATTTAATCTGTATGTAAAAGAAGTTGGTACCACCATAATTTTTCTTATACATGTCATATAAGGATCTACTCTGTGTATTGTCATTGAGGGCAGATATAATTTCTTAGTTCATCATTAACTCTCTGAAGTATTTCACACAGTAGTTTGTACACCTTCTAAGTACTCAATACAATGCTTGAGTTCAATTATTGGAAAGTGGTCTCTTGGAGAAAAAAGAATCATAGTGCAAAACCAATTATTTTACATGGACTTTTCCTCTATATCTAAGCCCTAATAAGAGGCAGCTGTCTGATATACATACATACATACATACATATATATATATATATATATATATATATATATATATATATATATACACACACACACACACATATATGTATATATATATTTGGAGTAGGGGATGGAGTCTTGCTCTGTCACCCAGGCTGGAGTGCAAGTGGTGTGATCTCAGCTCACTGCAACCTCTGCCTCCTGGGTTCAAGCGATTCTCCTGCCTCAGCCTCTCCAGTAGCTGGGATTACAGGCGCCTGTCACCATGCCCAGCTAATTTTTTAAAATATTTTTAGTAGAGACAGAGTTTCATCAAGTTGGCCAGGCTGCTCTTGAACTCCTGACCTCAGGTGATCCACCTGCCTTGGCCTCCCAAAGTGCTGGGATTATAGGCATGAGCCACCGCACCCTGCCAACTGTCTGACTTATCTTAAAAGGCTAAGGACCTGGTTTGTTTGTCAAATTTTGAAAATAGATGCCTCAGTTCATAAGATTTCCATATTGTGTGGCAGGCGCCTGTAATCCCAGCTACTCAGGAGGCTGAGGCAAGAGAATCACTTGAACCCGGGAGACAGAGGTTGCAGTGAGCTGAGATCACGCCACTGCACTCCAGCCTGGGCGACATAGTGAGACTCTGACAAAAAAAAAAAAAAATCCATATGTGAAAATTCTTAGAAGCTTCCTATACAATTTCAGCTGAAGATTCAGCCAACAGTTCATTCTGAGACTGTGTTCCATGGAAAAAGTAAAGCCCAGGCATGGAAGTGGGAATGGAAAGAAAGATTCTAAGCCTACAAATACTCAAACATCAAGAAGAAATAAAAATAAGTCATCACTTCGACTTCATGTGCTAACATCACTGAGGTTATAAATTCCCAGGAATATTTTATTGCGGGAGCAAGACTGCACTGCTGCCTTTCAGCTTGCAAATTCCAGTGAGAAACGTCTTTCTCTCTGCTCTCAACTAACTCTACAGAACGCTGTCCTCTCATTTCTTCAGGCTGCAGTTCTAGAGTAGGGACTCAGAGTGCCACTGTTGGCCAGTCTGGAAACAGAGATAAATGAGCCAATCCCCAGACATTCCGGCTTGGTGGCTTTTCTAATTTCATGGAATGCAAATCCAAGAGCAGACCCACAACATTCCTATTATGGCTCCTAGTTCTACAAATTATAAGCAGGAACGGAACGGATTTACAGGCAATGAGTTCAGCTCCTTCTTGGCTGGAGATTCTATAATCCAAGAAGAGTTTGAAAAGGGGCTTATTTGGGCTGGAGCAGCAGCAACTCTAACTGTGGAAAAGGTGGGGAATGGTGCTGGACTGACAGTCTGGGTAGAACCAAGGCGACTACTGCCTCCTTTCCTGCTATTTCTATCCTGCTGGGCATTCTCTATGATGCAGATCCGTTATTCAGTCCTAGAGGAGCTGGCCAAGAGTTTGGTGGTGGGAAACCTTGCCAAGGATCTGGGACTCAGTGTCGAGGACATGCCCACTTGAAAGCTTCGGGTTAATGCTGAGGAATAATACTTCATTCTAAGTGGGGAAAGTGGAGACTTACTTGTGAATGACTGAATGGATCAGGAGCAGATACGCCCCCCAATTATAGCTTGGGCCATAACGCTTTGAAATAGTTGAAGGCCAGGCATGGTGGCTCACACCTGTAATCCCAGCACTTTGGGAGGCCGAGGCGAGCAGATTACGAGGTCAGGAGTTCGAGACCAGCCTGACCAACATAGTGAAACCCTGTCTCTACTAAAAATACAAAAATTACTGGGCATGGTGGTGCAGGCCTATAATCCTAGCTACTCGGGGGGCCGAGGCAGGAGAATCGCTTGAACCCGAGAGGCAATCGCACCACTGCACTCCAGCCTGGGTGACAGAGCAAGGCGCCATCTCAAAAAAAATGAACAAACGGTAGTTGAAAATTCTTTAAATGTTTTTCACATTAATATGGAGATTCAGGATATGAAGAATCATGCACCACGGTTCAGCAGGAATGTTATTAAGTTACGTATCTCTGAGTTTACCCAGCTGGAACAAGATTTGCAACAGAACCTGCAGAAGATCCTGATGTTGAGAGAAATTCCTTACAAAATTATCACCTTAGCAGCAACTCTATATTTCTCTTTGAAGTAAAAGTGACCAACAGTGGAAAGACATATGTTGATCCTGTGTTAGAGAAGCTGCTTGACTAGGAAAAGCAGAGCTCCCATCCCTTAGTGCTAGCAGCCTTAGACGGCCCCCCAACAAAGCAGCATCACTCAACTCCTGATCCTATTGGTTGAAGCCAATGACAACCCTGTGTTCATCTAGGATGTGTACAGCGTCGGCCTTCAGGAAGATGTGCATCCGGGCACTCCTGTGCTGAGAGTGAGGGCCACCAACCAGGACTAGAGTGTCAAGGCAGAGATCACATATGGCTTCACAACCCAGAGTACCCATATCTAGTTTGGCCTTGATCAAATAGTGGAGAAATGAAAACTTTAAGTACATTGGACTTTTAAAGATTTTTAATTTCCATGGTTTTGGTAGCAAGTGACAGAGAGGGACTCATTGTCCAGTGTACAGTTGAGACCGAATTTCTAGAAGATAATGACAATATCCTAGAGGCGATTTTTACTTCTAATTCCACAATGATTCCCAAAGATTCTGCACCTTGGACAGTAATCACTGTCCAGGATTTAAATCACAAGATCTTTAAATCACAAGATCTGGATTCGGGAGAAAACGAGGTCACATGTCTGATATAAGAAAATGCACCTTGAGAAAAATCTTCCTCCAATAATTAACTACATGCTTGTAACAAATGGGGCCGTGGACCAGGAACAGACCCAAGGTATAACATCAGCATCACTGCCACTGACAGAGGCAAACCAACCCTCTCGTCCAGCCCAAGCATCACCCTACTCATTGGCGATGCCAACGACAATGCTCTGGTTTTCTACCAGGCCTCCTACGTCGTCCACGTGGCCAAGAACAATCTTCCCAAAGCCTCCATAGTGTGCAAGTAGACACCTCCAACCTAGACTTGGGACCCAACAGCCAAGTTCCCTATTCCATCGTGGCCAGTGACCTGGAGCCACAGGCGCTGTGATTCTAGGTGTCCTTGAGCGCACAGTGCGCCTTCGACCAAGAGCAGCCGCGAGCCTTCAAGCTCACGCTGCAGGCCCGCGACCAGGACTAGCTCGCGCTCGGCGTCAACGTGAGCCTGCGCGTGTTGGTGGACGACCTGAATGACAACGCACCGCGGGTGCTGTACCCCAGCTCTGGAGCGCAATGGCTTCGCGCTCTTGGATATGGTGCTGCACGCCGCGGAGCCTGGCTACCTGGTCACCAAGGTGGTGGCTGTAGACGCAGATGTGAGACACAATGCGTGGCTGTCCTACCACGTGCTGCAGGCCAGCAAGCCCAGGCTCTTCAGCCTGGAATGCGCACCGACGAGGTGCTGACAGCTCGCACGATGGGCCACAGGAAAGCGACTCGCCAGCGCCTACTGGTCGCGGTGCACTGCGGTGGACAGCCGCTCCTCTCGCTACCGCCACGTCACCACCACTACCGCCCCTCGTCGCCGACAGCCTGCAGGAGACTCTGCCAGACCTCAGCGATCACTCTGCAAAGCTACAGCCTGAATCCAAAATTAATTTATATCTGGTGATTGCCTTAGCTTTAATTTCCTTTTTATTCTTCCTGATTGCATTGTTTGTGCTGGTTTTAAAGTGCCGAAGACCCCAAAATGATCCTGTCTGAGTCTTTCCCACGGATGTCTATCCCGCGCTAAGCCCCAGGTTTCTGGGTAACTGTAGCTCTATGATGCCATATTCCTACCAGGTGTGTGCTTCTCCTACGAATCCAGGGCTGAGTGAACTTCTTTTTTGAATCCCTACCCCTCAGGACTCAATAGCAGTTTCACTGCAGAAAGCCCCTTGGGGAAGGGGATGATTGTGATTATTCTAATTGCTTGGGCAGAATCCACTCTCCAAGGTGAAAAATTCTTGATGAAACTAAGTTCAGTCACAAGCAGGTTTTCTTCTAGCATTAAATATTTTCAGAGATCTCAGTAAAAAGCATTTCTAGCAGCAAGACCAAAGGCCTAAGATGAGAAATATTTGGCATGGTGAGCTTGAGGGACAGTAGTCAGGCAGACAAGAGTATCAGACATGCCAGAGCATTTGGGGCCTGTAGGTAAGGAGCATGTTTTGATTATATATATTTGTATGTGTTTGATTATATTTTATAATTTTACTTTGATATTCAAATTGTACTGATCCAAAAATAAGGGAGGGACAAATCTTGGCCATTGTAGTATGAGAGATGTAAATTTACAACTCAGAATCCCTGCTTATCACTTCTCCTTCAGCACACAACTGTTTCATTTTCTATTTAAGAAACTTCCTCTCACTGCAAAAAGACATTCTGGCTGATAAAGTTAGCCTATAATTTCAGTAAATCTAAGAATATGACTAATGGAAGTTGCCAGACCTAAACTTTGAAAATTATTGTTCCACTGAAGAGCGTCTTATGACTGAGTGTTCCAGTCTCCTTCTCAAGCTGAACCTTGCTTTTCAAACCAGATTAAGAACACTATCATAAGTTATACTGCATTTTATTTCCCTACCCATGTCCACTGCATCATTCTCTATAGTACAAAGAGCTTGTCTCGCCAGGCGCATCTATAATCTTAGCACTTTGGGGCGCCAAGGCGGGTGGATCACTTGAGCCCAGGAGTTTGAGACCAGCCTGGACAGCATGGCAAAAACCCATCTCTACAAAAAAAAAAAACAAAAATTAACAAGGTTTAGTGGTCCATGCCTGTGGTCTCAGCTACTTGGGAGGCTGAGGTGTGAGGATCACCTGAGTCTGGGGAGATTGAAGCTGCAGTGAGCTGTGGTTGCGCTCCTGTACTCCAGTCTGGGTGACAGAATTAGACCCTGTCCCAAAACAAACAAACAAATAAAGAGCTTCTCTCCTTATGACTTATTTAAAGCTTGGGAAATTGTTCCAATTCAAATGCTTTAAATGGACTTGAGCTAAAACAGAATGTGGTATATGAAATGTTCTTATAATCAGGTGATTGTAAAAATTGATCCAGATAATGTTAGCATAGCATTTTACTGAACTAGTAGTTTACAAACACTTCAAAAATTATAGAATAACATTTGCATATAAAATTCCTCATACATTTCCCTATCAGTGAATTGGAAGCTTACAATATACAATATTACCAAAAAGACAAAAAAAATGAAAAGGAAACAGTTACCTTTGGAAAACATAATTAGGTAAAATGGGTAATATGGAAAGTCTGAAAACTGAAAAAATTACTGATAAGTCAAGAGAAAAGGAATATTAGTAGGAAAATTCATAAAAGTGTGTCTGACTACTCACAGCAGGTTTCCTTATTGGTATGTATTCTGTGGTCCATCTAAGCTATGTTAATTTTATTTTAAATGCTACCTGGGTATTGGCTTCTAAAAGGAATTCAGTAAATCAGATAATTTGGCATCTTCAATCTAGATTCTGATGCTCACCTGAAAAGTCTGCTAAGGATTGGAAACCAAGAAAAGTGAAGTATCTCAACAGATATGTGTCACTTGTGTGTACTGGATTTTTTTTTTTTTTTTTTTTTTTTTTTTTTTTTTTTGAGATGGAGTTTCACTCTTGTTGCCCAGGCTGGAGTGCAATGGCATGCTCTCGGCTCACTGCAACCTCCGCCTCCCAGGTTCAAGTGATTCTCCTGCCTCAGCCTCCCTAGTAGCTAGGATTACAGGCATGTGCCACCACGCCCAGCTAATTTTGTATTTTTAGTAGAGACGGGGTTTCTCCATGTTGGTCAGGCTAGTCTTGAACTCCCAACCTCAGGTGATCTTCCCTCCTTGGCCTCCCAAAGTGCTGGGATTACAGGCATGAGTCACTGCGCCCGGTCGCGTACTGGATTTATATTGTGTAATACTTTGCTCTAGCAGTATAGTAGGTGAGACAGTGACTGTGTCTAGTGAGCAAAAGGCACTTATTTGACACTTTTGACTCTTCCTTTCTACTTACCTTATTTAAAATTGATTTTTGCATGTGGCATGATGCACCAGTTCATTGAGGTAGGGGTTGAAGTTATTTCCCATTTTTTTCAATACCATTTATTAAAAATATTTTCCTCTTTCTGTTGAATTTGCTTGGTGCCTTTGTTGAAAGTCATTTCACTGATATATGTAGTTCTATTTCTATATTCTTGATCATGTTTCATTTGTCTATTCTTTTACTAATAGCACACTGTCTCAATTATTGTAGCTTTATAGTAAGTCTTGCTACAAAGTCTTACTACAGGACAAAGCTTGTAGGATTTTTGAATGGGATGGCATTGCATCTATACCTTTATCAGGGAAAGAGGGAAGGAGGGAGGAGGATCATCTTAACAATATTGACACTTCAAATCCATGAACATGGTATATATTTCCATTTAATTAGGTCTTTAATTTCTCTCAGCTATGTTGTATAGTTTTCAGTGTAGAGAGGTCATGTATATTTCTCATTAAATTGTCCCTACATATTTGATGTTTTCTAATGTTATTGTAAATAGTATTTTTAAAATTGTATCTTCTAATTGTTCATTTCTAGTTTACAGAAAAATGAAAAACTATGTTTTTATGTATTCTATATGCTTTTGAAAAGTAAGAGGTGCAAAGTGCTCTATTCTTACACTATATTGTGTGAGAATATAAGTCGAAACCACTCTGCATAAGTTCAGGCTTCCATTCTCTTCAGTTTGTAGGTTGAGAGAACCCATCCAGAAACAGTAAACATTGGTGTCTGCCCAAGTCTGGTCCTGGGTGGTTCATTCATTCATTTACATAACAAATATTTATTAACTGTCTGCTATATGCAAGGCACTGACCTATGGACTAAGGATGCAGCAATGAACAAGGCATATATGATTCCTGAGTTAATGGGCCCTATTCTAATACATGATATTTTACAGGTCTGATAAAAGCCAACAAGGAGAAATACAAAAGCACTAAGAGAAAGCTTATAGTAGGGAAGCTTCGCCTAATCTGAAGGTCAAGGAAGGCTTTCTTTTTTTCGGAAAGTGATATTTAGAGAGATGAATAGATTAATAGGATGAGTAGAAGTTATCTAGGTAACAAGGAAAGTAAAAAAGAAATTGTCAGGCAGAGGAAATAGCATGTGTAAAGATCTTTTTAAAAAATAAAAGGTGTGACTCAAGCAATTTAAAAGGGCTAGGGAGGCTAGAAACAGAAAATAAATAGATGAAACTAATAAGGCAGGGAGAGCCTTGTAAATCACACTTAAAATTCTGGATTTTGTTCTAAATACCCTTGTACTTAGGAGCTATTAAAATATTTTAAACAAGGCAGTGACAAGATATTTGAATTATTAAGCTTACTCTGGCTGCTATATGGAGAATTGATTTATGAGGGTTATAAATAGAAATAGGAAGATAAGATAGGAGACTATGGCAATATTCCTGGTAAGAAATGGAAGAAGAGCTGGCTTGGATTAAAGGGGAGGCAGTGGATGTAGAAATAAATGGATGAATTATAGATATATTTAGGAAATGGGTTCAATAAGACTTAATAATGGAATAGGTGGAATATAAATTTCATGAGGGCAGGGGGTGTTTTGTTTATTATTATATTCCTAGGTGTCTGAAAATATTGTTGTGTTGCCTGGCAAGTGGTAGATCTTCAGTGAAATATTATTAACTGAATAAATACAATGGATAAATGGGGAGCAGGGATTAAGAGTGATTCCTGGGTTTCCACATTAAGGAACTGGATGGACAAAGCTACCATTTGATGAGAATGGAAGACTAAAGAATGATAGATTTAAGAGAAATCGAGTTGAGTTCCAGCCATGTTCATTTGAAGGATCTGAGAAACAGTGCAGATATTCAGTGTGTGATTAGACATATGGTCATCATTCTTTTTTTTTTTTGAGATGGAGTCTCGCTCTGTCACCCAGGCTGGAGTGCAGTGGCCCTATCTCTGCTCACTGCAATCTCTGCCTCCCAGGTTCAAGTGATTCTTCTGCCTCAGCCTCCTGAGTAGCTGGGACTACAGGCGTGCACCACCACGCCTGGCTAATTTTTGTATTTTTAGTACAAGACAGCATTTCACCATATTGGCCAGGCTGGTCTCGAACTCTGATCTGCCCGCCTCGGCCTCCCAAAGTGTGGGGATTACAGGCGTGAGCCACCGCGCCCAGCCGGTTACCATTCTTTTACTCTGAGTTCTTCCATTGTGATCATCTAGTCAGATGGGTAGATCCTTATAAGGCTGAGCATAATAAGCTTCCTGATAGCTCTACACTGGTATGTTTTGGGGTTCATGGCTGAGCTACTTTTGTGTTTTATTTATCTTCCTGATCTCTTTTTCACTGTAAGAAACATCCAGCACCCAGGGAAATTTGCTGTCTAATTCATACTCCACTCTTCAGACTAGTCCTAGTGTTCAGTTTTGTTTTGTTTTTTTTCTGTGTCTGGAATTCTATTAAAATGTGTCAGGCTGTTTTAATTTTTGTTGTTTAATTTTCTTTCACATGATTATATGTGCTCCATGGATTTTTTTGTTTGTTTGTTTTTTGTTTTTGTTTTTGTTTAAGCGGGGTCTTGCTCTTGTCGCGCAGGCTGGAGTGCAATGGCTTGATCTCGGCTCACTGCAACCTCCGCCTCCCGGGTTCAAGTGATTCTTCTGTCTCAGCCTCCCAAGTAGCTGGGACTACAGGCACATGCCACCACACCCGGCTAATTTTTGTATTTTTAGTAGAGACGGGTTTCATCATATTGGTCAGGCTGGTCTCAAACTCCTGACCCTGGTGATCTGCCCACCTCGGCCTCCCAAAGTGCTGGGATTACAGGCGTGAGCCACCGCACCCGGAGGAAATTTTTAACCTCAGTTTTTCTTCACCATCTGTAAAACTGCATAGAAGGAATGTTTAGGATAAAAGATGCATAACAATCATAACAAAATTGTTGGGTTTTAATGTTATGAGTACACTTGGAGGATTCTATGTCCACACATACCTTAAACATCCTATAGAGTCCTTAGCATTTTAAAGTTGAAACCAACAGTATGAATGATGGTAGAATTTTCCCCCCCAGGAAGTTAGAACTGTTCCATATCTTGATAGAGGGATGGGTTATAAGGATGTACACATTTTCCAAAACTCATTGAACTTAAGAGTCTTGCATGTGACTGTATATAAATTATACTTTAATTGAAAATAAATTTAAGAAAATAAAATTGGCTGGGCGTGGTGGCTCACGCCTGTAATCCCAGTGCTTTGGGAGGCCGAGGTGGGTGAATCATCTGAGGTCAGGAGTTCGAGACCAGCCTGGCCAACATGGTGAAACTCTGTCTCCACTAAAAATACAAAAATTAGCTGGGCATGGTGGCGGACACCTATAATCCCAGCTACTCGGGAGGCTGAGGCATGAGAATCGCTTGAACCCAGGAGGTGGAGGTTGCAGTGAGCCAAGATCATGCCATTGCTCTCCAGCCTGGGCAACATGAACGAAATGCCATCTTAAAAAAAAAAAATTAAAAGAAAAGAAAATTAGCCTCCCCCACCCTCACTATACCTCAGACTCACCCCTGAAAGATCACTACTATTCATCCCTGGTTATGTACACTTACAAACATTTTCTGTGTGTATGCGAATGTATGTGTGGGGTTTTCTTTGCACAACAGGATCATTTTACAGTATATATACTGTTGTGCAACTTGCTCTTTCCACTTAATATCTCAAGGAATCTTTTCTTTGAATCTTTATAGCCATGTACCTCAATCTTAGTAGTTTTCTTTATTTTATTTTTGAATAGGAAATACATTTACATGGTTTTAAAAATCAAAACAATATACTATGTATATATTGAGAAGTCTGACTTCCATCCCTATCCTACTCCTATTCCACCCTTGCTTCCTCCTGTCCCCTGTAGGTAAACATTTTATAACTTTATTAAGCATCCTGTCAGCATTTCTTATGCAAATATGTACATATATTTTTATTTCCCCATTTTTTTTACAAAAAGATAAAATACTATACACCACTTTATATCTTCCTTTCTTCACATTATATCCTTTAAAAATATTTCCATATTGGCCGGGCGCGGTGGCTCACGCCTGTAATCGCAGCACTTTGGGAGGCCGAGGCGGGAGGATCACGAGGTCAGGAGATCGAGACCATCCTGGCTAACACGGTGAAACCCCGTCTGTACTAAAAATACAAAAAAAAAAATTAGCCAGGCGTGATGGCGGGCGCCTGTAGTCCCAGCTACTCTGGAGGCTGAGGCAGGAGAATGGCGTGAACCTGGGAGGCGGAGCTTGCAGTGAGCCGAGATCGTGCCACTGCACTCCAGCCTGGGCGACAGAGCAAGACTGCAACTCAAAAAAACAAACAAACAAACAAAAAAGAACTTCCATATTAATATATAGAAAGCTGTTTTTTTTAACAGTTGCTTAGCATTCCTTTGGATTATTAACCAGTCTCATAAATGAGCGCTATTGAATAGCCCTGTACCTACATCAGTTTTTACATATGCAGTATATCTTTGGGATGAATTCCCAGAAATGGAATTGAAATTGCTGGGTCAAAGAGGAAATAGGTGTAATTTTCTTAGGTATTTTCACAAGAAGTGTTAATTCTAACTTTCTGTTTTGAAATGATTTCAAATTTTCAAAGGAGTTGCAAGAATTGTACAAAGAACTGTATCTCCTTCACCCGGATGCACCGGGTGAATTATATGTATTATATAATTGTATCTGTAGGCCAGGTGCAGTGGCTCACTCCTGTAATCCCAGCACTTTGGGAGGCTGAGGCAGGTGGATTACTTGAGGCCAGGAGTTCAAGACCAGCCTGGCCAACATGATAAAACTCCATCTCTACTAAAAATACAAAAATTAGCCAGGCCTGGTACCCCATGCCTAAGGGTGAGGCATGAGAAATGCTTGAACCTGGGAGGCGGAGGTTGCAGTGAGCCGAGATCGCACCACTGCACTCCAGCCTGGGCGACAGAGCAAGACTCTGTCTCAAAAAAAAAAAAAAAAAAAGTAAAAAAGTTTTTTAAAAAGATGTATCTATATATACATATTTACATACACACCCAAGTGTGTATGTATATATGTTTGTGTGTATGTACACAAACACATTATTTTTATATGATATGATTTTTTTATGACATGATTATTTTTATGACATTTGAGAGTAAGTTGTAGAAATTATGTTTCTTTATTCCTAAATACCTCATTGTGTATTTCCTAACAAGGACATTCTTTTATATAATTAAATTTTAATAATAAAAATCAGAAAATTTAACATCAATGCAATATAATTATTTAGCCTATAGTCCATATTTAAATTCTACCATACCTTATAGTATATTTTACTATACCTCATAGTAATTTTTTTTAGTCCAAAATATCACACATTGCATTTAGTTGCCATGTCTCTTTTTTTTTTTTTTTTTTGAGACAGGGTCTCACTCTTTCGCCCAGGCTGGAATGCAGTGGTATGATCTTGGCTCACTGCAACCTCCGCCTCCCAGGTTCAAATGATTCTCCTGCCTTAGCCTCCTGAGTAGCTGGGACTACAGGCATGTGCCACCACACTCCCACCACACCCAGCTAATTTTTGTATTTTTAGTAGAGACAAGGTTTCACTATGTTGGCCAGGCTAGTCTTGAACTCCTGACCTCAAGTGATCTGCCCACCTCAGCTAAGTGCTGGGATTACAGGCGTGAGCCACCATGTGTGGCCTAGTTGCCATGTCTCTTTAATCTACTTTAATCTGAAACAGTTCCTCAGCCTTGTTTGTTTATATGAAACTGACATTTGTAAAGACTAGAAGCCATTTGTCTTGTATAATGCCTTTAATTTATATTTGTTTTATGTTTCCTCGTGATTTTATATATAGAGTTTGTTTGTTTGTTTGTCTGTTTGTTTGTTTTGAGATGGAGTCTCATTCTTGTCACCCAGGCTGGAATGCAGTGGCGCAGTCTCGGCTCACTGCAACTTCTGCCTCCCAGGTTCAAGCAATTCTCCTGCCTCAGCCTCCTGAGTAGCTGGGATTACAGATGCCTGCCACCATGCCTGGCTAATTTTTGTACTTTTAGTAGAAACGGGGTTTTGCCATGTTGCCCAGGATGGTCTCCAACTCCTGACCTCAGGTGATCCGCCCGCCTTGGCCTCCCAAAGTGCCGGGATTACAGGCATGAGCCACCGTGCCCGGACCTCATGATTGTATTTATTTATTTATTTAATATTATTATTATTATTTTTTTTTTTTTGAGATGGGGTCTTGCTCTGTCACCCAGGCTGGTGTGCAGTGGTGCGATATCGGCTCACTGCAACCGCTGCCTCCCAGATTCAAGCAATTCTCCTACCTCAGCCTCCCAAGTAGCTGGGATTACAGGCATGTGCCACCACACCCGGCTAATTTTTTTGTATTTTTTTTAGTAGAGACGAGGTTTCACCATATTGGCCAGGCTGGTCTCGAACTCCTGACCTTGTGATCCACCCACCTTGACCTCCCAAAGTGTTGGGATTACAGGCGTGAGCCACCACACCCAGCCTTATGATTGTATTTAGACTAGACATTTTTTTGGTAGTATATTATTTAGCCATTGCTGTGTAACAAATTATCCCAAAACTTAGTGGCTTAAAAGAAGCATTTATTATCTCATAAATTTTGTGGATCAGGACTGGGTATAGCTTTGCTGAGTGCCTCTGCCTCAAAGTCTTACAAGGCAGCAATTAAAGTGTCACCTAAGGCTATTGTCTTATCTGAAGGGTCAACAGAGGATGGATCCGCTTCTAATCTCTCTCACATAGTTAATGGCAAAATTAAGTTCCTTGTGGATTGTTAGACTAAGGGTTCCAGTTCCTTGCTGGTTGTTAGCTTGAGGTCTACCTCAGTTCCTTGCCATGTGGACCTCCATAGGGCAACCAGCTTCTGTTAGAGCAAGTAAAGGAGAGTGCCAGAGAGGGCAAATGTGATGAAAGCCACAATCTTTTTATAAACCTAATTTTGAAAGTGACATACAAGGCTAGGCATGGTGGCTCAAACCTGTAATTCCAGCACTCTGAGAGGCCAAGGAGGGTGGACTGCTTGAGCCCAGGAGTTCAAGACCAGCCTGGGTAACATGACAAAACCCTGCCTCTACTAAAAATACAAAAATTAGCTGGTCTGGTGGTGCATGCCTATAGTCCCAGCTACTCAGGAGGCTGAGGCCAGAGAATTGCTTGAACCCAGGAGGCGGAGGTTACAGTGAGCCGAGATCACACCACTCCACTCCAGCCTAGGCCACAGAATGAAACCCTGTCAAGAAAGAAAGGAAGGAACAAGGGAGGGAGGGAGGAAGGAAGGGAGGTAGGGAGGCAGGGAAAGACCGAGAAAGTGACATACCATCATTTTTGCTGTAGTTTGTTCATTAGAAGCAAAATCACTTGGTCCAGCCCACACTCTGGGGAGATGATTTTCTAACTCCATTTGTAATAACTTATTCTACTTTTATTAGTTGGCATTATACAGTAAGAAAGAGCTTTCTTTTCTCTTCTTATTTATTCATATATGGCTCATGTGTTTTTTCCAATGAGTTATATTCTATTACTAACATTTTTTATTTTGACCTCAAATTGTTTTAGATGTTACCAATAAGAACCTCTTCAAGCTGGTTCTTGTGTCCTTTTGCCATAACTCTCTCATTTTCTTGAACCCTTTCTTACTTTCTGATATAAGAAAATATTAGAGACTCATACTTTCCTTGTTCCAGTTCTGAGATGAACCATTTATCCAAAAGCCTTGCTTCATTTTAGTAGGGAATAGTATTTAGAAACTAAGATCTGGGTGTGAGGTATGCTCACTGCTAATGGGCTGTCACTGTTTCTAGGCCTTGTCAGCAGACGGAGCTAGGAAAAACACACATAAACACACCCATATTTATATTTGTACACACACTCCCTCAAAATCGTGAGTTCATATTGATACCTCCAGTTCTGGTTCTTCCTAGCCTTCCCCCTTTCCATCTTTGTATTTTTATTTTCCAACAGTAAGAACCCTGGCTCCCAGTGCTATGAATATATTTACTCATTTGCTCCATCCACTGCACTCCAGCCTAGGCCACAGAATGAAACCCTGTCAAGAAAGAAAGGAAGGAATGAGGGAGGGAGGGAGAGAGGAAGAGAGAGAAGGAAGAAGGAAGGGAGGGAGGGAAAACTGAGAAAGTAACATACCATCATTTTTGCTGTAGTTTGTTCATAAGAAGCAAAATCACTTGGTCCAGCCCACACTCTGGGGAGATGATTTTCTAACTCCATTTGTAATAATTTATTCCACTTTTATTAGTTGGCATTATACAGTAAGAAAGAGCTGCTGAAGATTTGCTTGCAATTGGTTGTCTTTAAACTGAGGGTATATTGTCAAAGTACTGTGCTGAAAAGTTACCTGTAGTATAGTTATGTGATTCATTAAAATAAAGTTTGTTTCTATTATGTGCAGTTTTAGAGTTTTGCCACACTCTGGTTGATTAGTATATTTTCTGTTGCTTTTTTGTTTTGTTTTGTTTTGTTTTGTTTTTGAGATAGGGTCTCGCTATGTCACCCAGGCTGGAGTCCAGTGGTACAATCACAGCTCACTGCAGCCTCAACCTCGTGCACTTAAGCGATCCTCCCACCTCAGCCTCCCAAATAGCTGGGGCTGCAAGTGCACACCACCATGACTGGCTAATTTTTTAATTATTTATTTATTTATTTATTTATTTTAGAGATGGGGTCTCACTATGTTTCCCCAGGCTGACCCTGAACTCCTGGGGTCAAGTGATCCTCCTGCCTTAGCCTCCAAGTGCTGGTATTACAGGCATAAGCCACCACACCTAGCCTAGTATTCTTTTTTGAATATGTAAAACATTAACATAAAGTCAAAACTATTAAAAAAAGGTGTACTCAGAAAATTGTCATTCCTCCCCTATACCTTCTGCCTCATTCACACCACACTCTGTAGATAATCGATTTCATTAGTTTGTGGTTTATCCTCACTGTGTTTCTTTTTGCAAAACGCAAAAACAAAACCTATACATATTTATATTTTCTTATGTCCTCTTCTTTCTTACACAAAAGGTAACACACTATGTAGGTAGTCCTGGCTTTGAACAGTTTCACTATAAAAATATTTGTTACTACAGCTTAAATAACATAAGTCTCCTAAAAATAATTCAAATTTTAGTTACCATGGTATATTAACTTTGAGTAGTTCCATAAAGGACAAACTTGGCTGCTAGCCCTTCAGTCCACAGAGCACTTTGAAAATAACAGATGAGCAAAATAATGTGGCCAATCACATGACTTCTTTCAAAGTATGTCAGTGATCAGTCACTGTGTGCCTATAATTTAGTTCATGCACAGACAGCAAAGCATGTAGTTGTGTTGCCTTCCAGTGATAAACCCACATAACATTTTAGAAAAATGTATTAAGAATTGGCCAGCAAAGATAAAAGTGCAGCAAAGAAACAAAAGTGATAATGTTTTCAGTGAAATTTGAATTGAACATAAATGGAGTTATAGAAGAAATAGCTGACCATGGGAATGTTCACACTGCTACTTTCAAGAATCTCTAGAAGGGCAGCTAAAGGAGCTTAGTGAAGGTGAATTTATTGACATGAATGAGAAAAGTAATTGTGATGAAAAGGATGAAGATGTCCCAGAGAAAGTAATGCCAGCAAAAACTTCACATTAAAGGAACTCTCAGATATTTCAAAGCATTGAAACCTCCAAGAATAAATAAAATGTTGGAAGTTGATCCAAACTTAGAAAGGAGTATGGCAACTTGTCAAGATGAAGAAAAGGTGCTTATTCCTTTTTATTTATTTATTTAGAGACAGAGTTTCACTCTTGTTGCCCAGGCTGGAGTGCAATGGCATGATCTCAGCTCACCGCAACCTCCACCTCCTGGATTCAGGCAGTTCTCCTGCCTCAGCCTCCCAAGTAGCTGAGATTACAGGCATGTGCCACCACGCCCGGCTAATTTTGTATTTTTAGTAGAGACAGGGTTTCTCCATGTTGGTCAGGCTGGTCTCGAACCCCCAACCTCAGGTGATCTGCCCACCTCGGCCTCCCAAAACACTGGGATTACAGGCATGAGCCACCATGCTCCACCTGCTTATTCCATATTATATGTTATAGGATGAAAAGAGGCCAAACTAATCTTGACATGTTTTTTACAAGGAAATAATCCTCCATGGTTCTAATTTTTTTTTTTTTTTTTTTTTTTTTTTTTGAGACAGAGTCGCGCTCTGTCACCCAGGCTGGAGTGCAGTGGCACGATCTTGGCTCACTGCTAGCACCGCCTCCCGGGTTCACGCCATTCTCCTGCCTCAGCCTCCCGAGTAGCTGGGACTACAGGCGCCGGCCACCACGCCTGGCTAATTTTTTAAAAAATATTTTTAGTAGAGACGGGGTTTCACCGTGTTAGCCAGGATGGTCTCGATCTCCTGACCTCGTGATCCGCCCGCCTCGGCCTCCCAAAGTGCTGGGATTACAGGCTTGAGCCACTGCGCCCGGTGGGTCTAATGTTTTAAATTACACTGTGTTAAATAAATATTAGTTTGTTGGTTTTTTTTTTAGTTTTTTTATTTCTCTACAAATTTACAACCAATAAGAGTTTTTAATGCTTTGACAAAAAATGTTAAAGGTCATAGTACAATCGCATTTCTTCCCATTGATTATTAACATCACTTTACATAGTTTCATCTTGCATTAGCAATTTTGTGTGTGTGTTTGTGGTTTTAAGGAGCGGAGAGTTTAATAGGCAAGAAGGAAGGGAGAAGACAGAAGGAAGGAGCTCCCCCTTACAGAGACAGAGGGAGCGGGGCTCCAAAAGAGGAGGTCCCCATCTACCGCGGATACCAGCCAGGTATATATGCAGAGGCTGGTGGAGGTGATGTCTGATTTGCATAGGGCTCAGGGGATTGGTTTGACCAGGCATATCATTCACGTAGCCCGAGAAAAAGCTGGCCCTCCCACCCCAGCCTTTTAATATGCAAACGTAGGGCGCCATGGATGTTCTAAACACGTGGAGATATGTGGGGGGCAGCCATGTGGCCAGGAACTTGTGGGGCAAGGGCAAGAAGGCTGTGGGAATCGCCAAGTTGAATGGACCTAGTTTCTAATGGCCTGCATTTGCATATCAAAGGTTGCTGGCCTGGCTCCTAGAGCCGGGGCTTTAAAAGAAACTTTTCCGGAGATGCTTTAAAAAATGAAAACTTCCCAAGGACCCCTTTTCCTGTCTATCTGCATAAAATAATTTCTTTTATTATTTATTTATTTATTTATTTATTTATTTATTTATTTATTTATTTATTTATTTTGAGACGGAGTCTCGCTCTGTCGCCCAGGCTGGAGTGCAGTGGCGCGATCTCAGCTCACTGCAAGCTCCGCCTCTCGGGTTCATGCCATTCTCCTGCCTCAGCCTCCCGAGTAGCTGGGACTACAGGCGCCCACCACCACGTCCGGCTAATTTTTTGTATTTTCAGTAGAGACGGGATTTCACCGTGTTAGCCAGGATGGTCTCCATCTCCTGACCTCCTGATCCGCCCGCCTCGGCCTCCTAAAGTGCTGGGATTACAGAATAATTTCTTAATAACTCCTACCACATTCCTCCCTGTGGCGATATCAAACTAACTGCTGTTAGGAGGCTTTGGGCGACCATTGCTTCTGGCTACTTCCTGCTGAAAAGGGGCGTCTAATGGAGAACAGCAGCTAGGGCTCCTCCTGGGGTTGATCTAAGGGTCCTCGGAAGAATGGCGTCCATGTGTGGTTCAGTTTACAGCACCGTTTGGAGTTTGATTGCTTCTAGGCGAGAAGAAACAATTCAAGTTATAGTATTGAGTATACAGAGTCCAAATATCAATACAAGACATATAAGCAAGAGAGTGCTTAATAAAGGGGTTAACCAATTCCATAAAGAAGACTGGAAGTAATTAAAGAGGGATTGTAGCCACTCGGGGCTGAAGCCCACATTTTCCCTGAGCCTGTCAATAATTTTGATTTGATTTTTAAGTCCCTGTAGATTTGCCTCTTCTTTACTACAGGTGTTAATCCCAAAGAAGCATGTTTCATTTAAAAATGCATTACTGGCCAGGCGTGGTGGCTCGCGCCTGTAATCCCAGCACTTTGGGAGGCTGAGGCGGGAGCATCATGAGGTCAGGAGTTTGAGACCAGCCTGGCCTACATGGCAAAACCCCATCTCTACTAAAAATACAAAAAATTAGCCATCGTGGTAGTGGGCGCCTGTAATCCCAGCTAATTGGGAGGCTGAGGCAGGAGAATCGCTTGAACCCGGGAGGCAGAGGTTGCAGTGAGCCGAGATCGCACCACTGCACTCCAGCCTGGGCAACAGAGCAAAACTCCATCTCAAAACAAAACAAACAAACAAACAAACAAAAACTGCATTACTAAATCCAATAAAAAGTCCTAGTAGACTCAGTGATAGTAAAACTTTCATGCTTCCTTTTTGCCAGTAACTATTATCCCTGCTATAAGGATACTAATTAAGCAAAATACGACAGCAATGGAAACTCTGTCCAATATTTCAGTTAGAAGGTGCTACCATGGATAACCCTATTGCAAATAGTAGAGTGAGGAAAGCAGTTCCCACAAATGTGGTGTGGTAGGTAATTTCCATCTAAAATTTTACTTGCCAACATATAGAATTCCCCTCTGTGGGCCTACGAAGTTCCTTGGTTTTATTTTCCCAAACAAAGAAACCTCCGGGTTACAGGTACCTTACTTACTTTCATTACCTGGCACAATTTGCAAAATAATTGCCCAGAACTAGCATATTGATTCACATTTTCACATTACCCATCCCTTTTTCCCCCCCACCAAGCTGCAGAAGATCACCACTTGATTCACAGGAATAAGCAGGGCCAGGGTTAGTCTAAAATGTAGGCAAAAAGCTTAAAAACAATTAATGAGACTAGGGTTTAATGACAAATGTATGATAAGCTTTGGAGCAAAATTTTTCTCTCCAGTCCTCATTTTTGGTAAAAACTAATTATGAATGAACTTTAATCTTATACTTGGCCTGATTATTTGCATGAAGTGCAGCAAGAATGGTTATTTCTACATAGGACTTTTGGATTGGCTTTGATGAAACACTGTTCCACAAGGAATTTCAGATTAGACTTTTAAAGCTGAGCCCAGACATGGGTTTGTATCCTCTAATACCTGTGAGTTGGGTTATCCTCTCCTCTTGAGGTCCCAAGATAAACTCAGAGCTTCCAGACCTGTTAGAAAGTGACATTCTTCACTGACCACAGGTTAGGAACCCTGTGTGGGGACTGTGTAGACAAGGTGTGAGGCCAGTTCTCCCCAAGGGGCTTTTATTGGCTCTGCATGTCAAGCTTGATTCCTTAAAGGGAAACACACCCTTTCAGTTAAAGCCTTGGCAAAATAACCGGTTTTTCCAATTGTGTTCTGTTGACAAAGAAAAATGGATTCTTGCTGCACTGATGCGAACAACTATATTGCCGTAAGTTAAGAGTACTTACAGATAGTCTCCAAATTTTAGAGGAACCAGGCAGAGAAAAATGAACATGCTCCAAATTTTGTTCACAGTAGTATACCTTACTTGATTATTAAAGGCCATAAATAGTTTAAAATAAGTTTCCTTTCCCAGTCCATGCACCAAAATGATACGGCTCTGATGAGTGGAGGAACAACAGGGTTCCTGGTCCTCATGCTGGTTTAGATAAAATGACACAGACACATGTGGAGTGGTTTTAAGGAGTGGAGAGTTTAATAAGCAAGAAGGAAGGGAGAAGAGAGAAGGAAGACGCTCCCCCTTGCAGAGACGGAGCGGGGGTTCCAAAGCTGAAAGAGGAGGTCCCCCACATTAACAATTTTTAAAATACCGTACAACTGCAGAAAATGAGGACTGCCTGTACATACTGTTTGACACTTTGTTTTTTTTTTTAACTTATCAACTTTATTTTGTTTGTTTGTTTTGGTTTTGGGTTTTTGTTTGTTTGTTTGTTTTGGAGACGAGTCTCACTCTGTCAGCCAGGCTGGAGTGCAGTGGCACAATCCCAGCTCACTGCAACCTCCACCTCTCGGGTTCAAGCAATTCTACTGCCTCAGCCTCCCGAGTAGCTGGGATTACAGGTATTCGCCACCACATCCAGCTATTGGTTTTGGTTTTTGAGACAGGGTCTTGCTGTGTCACACAGGCTGGAGTGCAGTGGTGTGATCTCAGCTCACTGCAACCTCTGCCTCCCAGGCTCAAGTGATCCTCCCACCTCAGCCTTCCAAGTAGCTGGGACTACAGGCATGCACACCATGCGCAGCTAATTTTTTCTATTTTTTGTGGAGACGGGGTCTCACTATGTTGCTTAGGTTGGTCACAAATTCACAGCCTCAAGCAGTCCTCCTGCCTCACCCTCCCAAAGTGCTGGGATTACAGGCATGAGCCACCACATCCAGCCTTACCAGCTATATTGAAGTATAATTTATATAACATAAAATTTGCCTTTTAAAATTATACAGTGCAATGCATTTTGACAATTGTTTACATCTGTGTAACCACCATGCAATCAAAATATAGAACATTTCTATAACCTTCAAAAGTTCCCTCATGCCCCTTTGCAATCAATTCACTACTTCTCCAGCTCCAGGCAACAACTGGTCTGCTTCCTGTCACTATAAATTAGTGTTGCCTCTTTCAGAATTTCATCTAAATGGAATCCTATAACATATACTATTTTGTATCCATCTTCTTTTACTCCAAAGTTCTTGAAATTCATTCATGTTCCTGTGTGTATCAGCAGCGTGTTCCATTTGATTGTTGAGCAGTATTGCATTGTGTGGATATATCACAATGTGTTCATTCATTCAACTGTTGGTGGACATTTGAGTTGTGTCCAGTTTAGTGCTATTCTGAATTAAAGTGATGTGAACAATCATGTACAAGTATTTTTGTAGGCATATTTTTTTTATTTCTCTTGGATAAATACCCCAAAACAGAATTGTTTTGGGGGTCATATGAAATGGGAAGTATATGCTTAACTTTATAAGAAGCTGCCAAACTATTTTTCAAAATGGTAATATCACTTTACATTTTCATGAGCAATGCATAAAGCGTTCCGCTTGCTACATTTTCTCACCAATGCTTCCTATTGTCAATTTTTTAAATTTTAGCAATTCTAGTGGGTGTGTGATACTATCTCATTGAAGTTTCAACTGTTTTTCCCTGTTGACTAGAGACACTGAGCAACTTTTCATGTGTTGTCTATTTGTATATCTTCTTGAAGCATTCGTTCATCTTTAACTGAGCTGAACGCCTTCTTAAAATTGAGCTATGGGAGTTTTAAAATATATCCTTGTAGCTGGGCGTGATGGCAGGTGCCTGTAATCCCAGCTACTCAGGAGGCTGAGACAGGAGAATCGCTTGAACCCAGGAGGCGGAGGTTGCAGTGAGCCGAGACTGCACCACTGCACTCCAGCCTGGGCAACAGAGTGAGACTTCATCTAAAAAATAATAATTATACATGTAATTATATATGATTTTTATATATGTAATATATATATTCTTGATGTGAGCTCTTTGTCACATACATATTTTGTGGATATTTTATCCCAGACTATGACTTGTCTTTTCATTTTCTTAGTTGTGTCTTTTGAAGAGCAGAAGATGTAATTTTGATAAAGCCCAATTTATTTTTTCTTTTATAGTTTGTATTTCTTATGTCCTATTCAAAAACTCCTTGCCTACTGAAAACTTATGATGATTTTCTCCTATATTTTCTTTTAGAAGTTTTATAGTTTTACCATTTATAATTTGGTCTATGAATCCTTTTGAGTTGATGTTTATGTATGGTGTATGGTGTGAGGTAACAATGAAGATTCATATTTTTTTCCAAAGGAATATCCAATTGTCTCTTTGGAAAAATATGCTGAGAAGGCTATCTTTTCCCCACCAAATAATCTTAGCACCTTAATCAAAAATCATTTGGCCATGGACATATGTAGGTGTGGGTTTTTTCTGGGCTCTCTGTGTTAGATGGATAGATAGACAGATACAGATATATAACTGTGTTTACACATATGTAACTGTAAACACAGTTATATATCTATATATCCACCAACAGTTGAATGAGAATAAACTATTGTTATAAGCATATATACACATTGTATATATATGTGTACATATACATATTGCATATGTATGTATACATATATACACACAAAGTATATATATGTATGTATACATATATACACACTTAAAGTAATGGCCTCCAGTTCGATCCAAGTTGCTGCAAAGGACATTATTTCATGCCTTTTCGTGGCTGAGTAATATTCCATGGTGTATATATATATATGTGTGTGTGTATATATATGTATTATGTATATATATATGTGTGTGTGTGTGTGTGTGTGTATATATATATATGTGTATATATATATACCACATTTTCTTTATCCACTCATTAGTCGATGGGGACTTAGGTTGGTTTCACATTTTTGCAATTGTGAATTGTGCTGCTATAAACATATGTGTCCAAGTGTCTTTTTCATATAATTACTTATTTTCCTTTGGGTAGATACCCAATAGTGGGATTGCTGGATTGAATGGTAGATCTGTTTTTTGCTCTTTAGAGAATCTCCATACTGTTTTCCATAGAGGTTGTACTAATTTATATTCCCAGCAGCAATGTGTAAGTGTTCTCTTTTCCCCACATCCACACCAACATCTATTGTTTTTTGACTTTTTAATAATGGCCATTCTTGCAGGACCAAGGTGGTAGCTCGTTGTGGTTTTAATTTGCATTTTCCTGATGATTAGCGATGTTGAGCATTTTTTCATATGTTTGTGGGCCATTTGTATACCTTCTTTTGAGAAATGGCTATTTGTGTCCTTTGCCTACTTTTTAATGGGATTGTGTTTTATTTTTCTTGGTGATTTGTTAGTTCCTTGTAGATTCTGGATACTAGTCCTTTGTCAGATGTGTACTTTGCAAAGATAATATTTTGGATGTTATATTTCCATTATAATTTAGTTCAAAGTATTTTCTAATACACCTTGCAATTTCTTCTTTGACCCATGGATTATTTTAAAGTTTGTTATTTTGTTTGTTTATTTTGAGACAGAGTTTCACTTTTTTTGCCCAGGCTGGAGTGCAGTGGCACAATCCCGGCTCCCAGATTCAAGCGATTCTCCTGCCTCAGCCTCCCAAGTAGCTGGGATTACAGGTGCCCACCACCACACCCAGCTAATTTTTTTTTCTTTTTTTTTTGAGACAGAGTTTTGCTCTTGTTGCCCAGGCTGGAGTGCAATGGCACGATCTCGGCTCACTGCAACCTCTGCCTCCTGGGTTCCAGCAATTCTCCTGCCTCAACCTCCTGAGTAGCTGGGATTCCAGGCATATGCCACCACGCCAGGCTAATTTTGTATTTTTAATAGAGACGGGGTTTCTTCATGTTGGTCAGGCGGGTCTTGAACTCCCGACCTCAGGTGATCTGCCCGCCTTGGCCTCCCAAAATGCTGGGATTACAGGCATGAGCCACTGCACCCAGTCCAATTTTTTGTATTTTTAGTAGAGATGGGGTTTCATCATGTTGGCCAGGCTGGTCTTGAACTCCTGACCTCAGGTGATCCGCCTGCCTCGGCCTCCCAAAGTGCAGGGATTACAGGTATGAGCCACCATGACCAGCCTAAAGTGTATTGTTTAGTCACCAAATATGTAAGTATTACCCAAATATATTTGTCACTGATTTCTAATTTAATTGTATTGTGATCCAAAAATATACATTGTATAGTTTCTATTCTTTTAAATTCGTTAACATTTCTTTTATGGCACAGAATATGGTCTATCTTGGTGAGTGTTGCTTACACACAACTGTGTAACTGAAAACTGTGTATTCTGCTTCTCGTGGTTGTTGTATCCTATAATTGTCAACTAGATCAAGTTAGTAAGAGTGTTGTTCAGTGATCTTTTCTTCTTCAGTGTTTACTGTATTTGCTAATCCCATCCAGTGAAGTTTCCATTTCATATATTGTATTTTTCACTTTTAGAAGTTCCATTTGACTCTTTCATTTCCATCCTCAATTATCTTCATATTTTTCTTTAAATTTTTGAGCACATTTATAATGGAGGTTTTAAAGTCCTTGTCTGCTAATTTTGTCACCTCTGTAATTCCTATGATGATTTTCTTCCTGGCTTGGGGTCATAATTTGTTGCTTATTTGCATGTCTAATAATGTTTTTATTGGACAGCAGACATTGTAAATGTTATATTTTTGAGTGTTTGGATTTTGTCTTTCTTTAAGAACTATTGCAGTTTGTTTTGGAAGGCTATTATGTTTTTTGCAGATCAGGTTGATCTTTTCAAGGCTTGTTTTTAAGCTTTGTTAGGACAGGTCTGTAGTAACTTTTGCCTTGGGCTAATTTAGACCTACCACTTAATTCTGACTTTTTTGATTAATCTGAGTGTTCAGCAGGGTCTCTTTATTATGGCTAAATGAAATTCAAACATTTTCCAGCCCTATGTGACCATCAAGAATTCAGCTAATAGCTCCCTGGCAGTTCTTCGCCCAGCTGCAGAAAAGTGTCAGTGCACTCTATGTATGCTCAGATTATTATTTAGCCAAAGACTTGGGGATCCATATTAATATTCCTGGAGTTCTTTGTGTAGCTCCATTCTCTTTAGTACTCTATCCCATAAATTCTGGCTGCCTCAATCTCCTAATCTCCCCAAACTCTAATATCTATTCCTCAACTCAGCAAAACCATGGTGTTATTCTTGGATTTCCCCTTTCCTGCCCCACAGTCTGAAAGTTGTCTCCAGGCAAAAAAAATGGAGATCCTAGTTTGCGGATCCTCATTTCCTTCTCCTTTTTTTTTTTTTTTTTTTTTTTTTTTTGAGATGGAGTCTCGCTCTGTCACCCAGGCTGGAGTGACGTGGCGTGATCTCGGCTTACTAGAAACTCCGGCTCCCGGGTTCATGCCATTCTCCTGCCTCAGCCTCCCGAGTAGCTGGGACTACAGGTGCCTGCCACCATGCCCGGCTAATTTTTTGTATTTTGTTTAGTAGAGACGGGGTTTCACCGTGTTAGCCAGGATGGTCTGGATGACCTCGTGATCTGCTCACCTCGGCCTCCAAAAGTGCTGGGATTACAGGCATGAGCCACCGCGCCCGGCCTGCTTCTCTTCTCTTATGGGTTAGAATCCTGCACTGTCTTTTGAACAAATGTCTAAAAGCTTTTATCACACATTTTGATCCACTTCCCAGTTGTTATAGTGGTATATCTGGTTTCACATGACTGAAAGGAAAAGTTTTCACCTTGCTTTTTGTACTAATAATATATCCTGGAAATCATTCTATATAAATTTATAGAAATCTTCATTTTTAAAATAGCTTCATAAAACTCCATTGTAAAAACCAGGTGCAGTGGCTCATGCTTGTAATCCCACACTTTGGGAGGCCAAGGCGGGTGGATCACCTGAGGTCAGGAGTTCAAGGCCAGCCTGGCCAACATGGTGAAACTCCGTCTCTACTAAAAATACAAAAATTAGCTGGGTGTGGTGGTGGGCGCCTGTAGTCCCAGCTACTTGGAAGGCTGAGGCAGGAGAATTGCTTGATTTCAGGAGGCGGAGATTGCAGTGAGCTGAGATTGCGCCACTGCACTCCAGCCTGGGCTACAGAGCGAGACTCCGTCTAAAAAAAAAAAAAAGCAAAAAAAAAAACTCCATTGTATGTGCACATATCATTATCTGTTCAACCCATCTATGACTTGTCATTTAGGTAGTTTCCATCCAATATTTTTGCAATATAAAAAATGCTAATGAAGAACCTGAGATATATATATATCTATATATATAGATATATATGTTTGTTGTTGTTGTTGTTATTTTTGAAGTATGTACGTATAATAAATTCCTAATAGTGTGATTGCTGCATCATAAGGTAAAGGCATATGTAGTTTTGTTAAATATAGCTATTCCCCATCTTGCATTCCTACAAATAGATGAGAATGTCCATTGTCCCATAGTCTCCTTTGCAGAGTATATTGTCAAGCTTTTTAATTGTTGCCAACCTGATGGGTAAAAAGATATCTCCAAATAATTTTAATTAAAATTTCTCTTATTATGAATGAGGTTAAATAGTTTTTCATATGTTTAAAAGCCAGTTTATATCTTTTTGTTTTTTTAGAGACAGGAATCTTGTTCTGTTGCCCAGGCCAAATTGCAGTGATGCAGTCATAGCTCACTGTAGCCTCGCACTCCTGGGCTCAAGCAATCCTCCTACCTTAGCCTCCCAAGTAGCTAGGACTACAGATGGATGCCACCATGTCCAGCTAATTTTTTTATTTTTTTGTAGAGATGTGAGGTCTCACTATGTTGCCCAGGCTTGTCTTGAACTACTGGCTTCAAGTGATCCTCCCACCTCAGCCTCCCAAAGTGCTAAGATTACAGCCATGAACCACCACAAATGACCCTATATATTTTTTTGAATTGTCTGTTCATGTCTTATTTTCATTTTTCTAGTAGTTTTTTTTTTAAGTGTTTTAGCCTAAATTTGTAAAAAGTTTAGGGGATATATGAAGGGACTCTAAATGTTTATGAAGAAATTTAATTAAAAGATAAAAATAAAAATATAAGCTTTATTTTTCAACATGAGCTCCATCAAGTTCAAGGCACTTTTGTAAGCAATGATACTAGCCATTTAGTTCACCCCTAAAGAACTGAGAGTCCTGGGAATTTAGCCATGTCAATGCAGTATTTTTTATATTGGTTACTGAAGAAAAAATGGGTGCCCTTTAAAGTTGTAAGATTAGGAACAAAAACAAGTCAGAAGAAGCCAAATCAGCACTGAAAGGTGGGCACTTAATGATTACCCAAGAAAACTCTCACCAAATTGCCCTTGCTTCATGAGAGGAATGAGCGGGAGCATTGTCGTGGTCAGGAAGGATTCTGGGGAAGTTTTCCCAGGCATTTTTTCTGCTGAAGCTTTGGTAACTTTCTCAAAACACTCTCATAATAATCAGATCTTATCACTCTTTGGCCCTCCAGGAAGTCAACCAGCAAAATGCTTTGAACATCCCAAAAAAGCGCTTGCCATGACATTTGCTCTTGACCAGTCTGCTTTTGCATTGGTCAAATGCCACCACTTCCACCTCTTGTGCTTTGTTTTCAGGATCAGACTGGTAAAGTCATGTTTCATCTCTTGTTACAGTTTTTTTTTTTTTAAGAAACCCTTCAGGATCTTGATCACATTTGTTTAAAATTTCAACTGAGGCTGGGCCCAGTGGCTCATGCCTGTAATCCCAGCACTTTGGGAGGCCGAGGCGGGCAAATCACGAGGTCAGGATTTCGAGTCCATCCTGGCTAACATGGTGAAACCCCATCTCTACTAAAAATACAAAAAATTAGCCGGGCATGGTGGCAGGCACCTGTAGTCCCAGCTACTCGGGAGGGTGAGGCAGGAGAACGGCATGAACCCAGGAGACGGAGCTTGCAGTGAGCTGATATCATGCCACTGCACTCCAGCCTGGGCAACAGAGTGAGACTCCAGCTCAAAAAAAAAATCAAGTGAAAACTCTGGTCTTAAACTGCAGCTGATCTATTTTATTTTTATTTTTTTTCAGACACAGCCTTGCTCTGTTACCCAGGCTGGAGTGCAGTGGCACCATCATGGCTCAATGCAGCCTTGGCCTCGTGAGCTCAAGCAATCTTCCCACCTCAGGCTCCCAAGTAGCTGGGACTACAGGCACATGCTACCATGCCTGGATAATTTTTTTGCAGCTAATCTAGATGTAATGGTTTTGGCACCCATCTAATGGAAAGTTTGCTCAACTTTAATTTTTCAGTCAGAATTGTGTAAGCTGAACCGAGATGTCTATGGTGTTGGCTATTGTTTCTGCTGTTAATTGTAGGTCTTCTTTAATTAGAGCACAGACAAGATCATTTTTTTTCCTCCCAAATTGATGTAGATGGTCTTTTGCTGTGGGCTTCATCTTCAACATTGTCTCATCCCTTCTTAAAACAAGCTAGCTACTTGTAAACTGCCGTTTTCTTTGGAGCATTGTCTCCATAAACTTTTCACAAAACATCAGTGATTTCACCGTTCTTCCACTCAAGCTTCATCATAAATTTGATGTCTGTTCTTGTTTCCATTTTAGCAGAATTCATGTTACTCTGATAGGGGCTCTTTTCAAACTGTTATCTTATTCTTCTTAGTGCCTCAAACTAGATCCTATTCAGACATGGTATAACAAGTTAGTATGGGTTTATTTTGGTGCAAGAAATATTTTGAAATCCACACATTTTTTTCATAATATGCATTTTCCATGAAGTTTTTGAAAACTCCTTGTATTAGGAATATTAGTCCTTTGTCCAGTAAACAGACTGCAAATATTTTCTCACAGCTCATCATTTACCTTTTGGCATTTTTTTGCAATGCAATTTTTTTCCCTTTGTTTTTGTTTTTTGTGTAATGAATCAATGTTTTCTTTTTTTTTTTTTTTTAGACCAAGTCTCACTCTGTCACACAGGCTGGAGTACAATGGTGCAATCTCAGCTCACTGCAACCTCTGCCTCCCAGGTTCAAGTGATTCTCATCTCTCAGCCTCCCAAGTAGCTGGGATTACAGGCACATGCCACCATGCCTGGCTAATTTTTGTATTTTTAGTAGAGATGGGGTTTCACCATGTTGGCCAGGCTGGTCTCGAACTCTTGACCTCAAGTGATCCACTCACCTCGGCCTCCCACAGTGCTGGGATTAGAGACGTAAGCCACTGCCCCCGGCCAAATCAACGTTTTCTTATATTGCATTTAGGTTTTAAGTCATAGTTAGAAAGCCTTTCCCCACACCTAGGTTATAGAAACATTCATTACTTTTTTCTTCCAGTGCTAGTACTTGCATGGTTTTTGGTTTCCACATTTAGATCCCTGATCTAATTGGAGTTTATTCTTTTGTGTGCTGAGATATGGATCTGATTATATCTTTTTTCCCAAATGGCTATCCAGTTGTCCCAATGCCATTTATTAAGCACTTCATCTTTGTCCCAGTGATTTGAGATAGCATCTTTATCATGTACCAAACTTCTATAGTGCCAGAAGATTTTTATTTTTTTTAGACAGGGTCTGGCTCTGTTGCCCAGGCTGGAGTGTAGTGGCACAATCCCAGCTCGCTGCAACCTCCGCCTCACATGCTCAAGTGCCCGCACCTCAGCCTCTCAAGTAGCTGGGACTACAGGCACATGCCACCACACCAGGCTGATTTTTATATTTTTTTGTAGAATGAGATTTCACCATGTTGCCCAGGCTGGTCTCAAACTCCTGAGCTCAAGAAATCCGCCCACCTCAGCCTCCCAAAATGCTAGGATTACAAGCATGAGCCACCACACCCGGCTGCCAGAAAATTTTAATGATCAGAAAACCACAATTCTTTCTTCCTCTGTTATATGTTGAAGTAAAATACTTCATTTAGAAAACTAAGCCGGGCACAGTGGCTCACACCTGTAATCCCAGCACTTTGGGAGGTTGAGGCAGGCAGATCACCTGAGGTTAGGAGTTTGAGACCAGCCTGGCCAACATGGTGAAACCCTGTCTCTGCTAAAAATAGAAAAATTTGCTGGGCATGGTGGCGGGTGCCTGTAATTCCAGCTACTTGGGAGGATGAGGTAGGAGAATTGCCTGAACCTGGGAGGCAGAGGTTGTGGTGAGCCGAGACCACGCCATTGCACCCCAGCCTGGGCAACAAGAGCAACGGTAAACTCCATCTCAAAAAAAAAAAAAAAAAAAGAAAGAAAAAAGAAATAACTCAGCCATACAAGGCTACCCATTTGGTGAGAACTAATAATAAGTTAGATAGCAAGGTAATAGCAAAATGTGGGTGCAAAATTAAAGCAAGTTATTTCTGAGGAGAATGTAGGTCTCATGGAAGATTTTCATGTGGACAAATTTAGTAAATTTTTTGCAGGTAGTTTCCTGACATATTTAACATTTGTGATATAGTAAACAATAAGAAGGTACTAAAGGCTGGGCGCGGTGGCTCACGCCTGTAATCCCAGCACTTTGGGAGGCCGAGGTGGGCGGATCACAAGGTCAGGAGATCAAGACCATCCTGGCTAACACGGTGAAACCCCGTCTCTACTAAAAATATAAAAAGTTAGCTGGGCGTGGTGGCGGGTGCCTGTAGTCCCAGCTACTCGGGAGGCTGAGGCAGGAGAATGGCGTGAACCCGGGAGGCGGAACTTGCAGTGAGCCAAGATCAAGCCACTGCACTCCAGCCTGGGCAACAGAGCGAGACTCCATCTCAAAAATAATAATAATAATAATAAGGTACTAATATGATCCAGACTAGAAGAGAATAGCACTAAAATGGGAGATGGGGTAAACCTGTGGTTTTTTTTACCTTAGGCTTTTGACTTCCAAAATTATTGTTTTTGCTGGGTGCGGTGGGTCACTCCTGTAATCCCAGCACTTTGGGAGGCCAAGGTGGGAGGATTGCTTGAGCCTAGGAGTTTGAGACCATTCTAGGCAACAAAGCAAGAACCTGTCTCTAAAAAAATTTAAAAATTAGCCAGAAATGGTGGCACATGTCTGTAGTCCCAGCTACTTGGGAGGCTGAGGCAAGAGGATTGCTTGAGCCTTTTGAAGTTGAGGCTTCAGTGAGCCATGATCACCCCACTGCACTCCAGCTTGGGCAACAGAGCAAGACCCCATCTCAAAAAATAAAACAAAATAGACTGGGCACGATGGCTCACGCCTGTAATCCCACCACTTTGGGAGGCTGAGGTGGATGGATCATGAGGTAAAGAGATCGAGACCATCCTGGCCAACATGGTGAAACCCCGTTTCTACTAAAAATATAAAACTTAGCTGGGCGTGGTGGTGCACACCTGTAGTCTCAGCTACTCGGGAGGCTGAGGCAGGAGAATCGCTTGAACCCGGGAGGTGGAGGTTGCAGTGAGCCAAGATTGTGCCACTGCACTCCAGCCTGGCGACAGAGTGAGACTCTGTCTCTAAATAAATAAATAAATAAAACAAAATAAGTAAAATAAAATAAATGTTTGTAGTTCCAAAATATTTTGATGACATAATTTCTTCTTGTTCTAATAAAACTACATATGCATTGGTCCTATGACCTAGTAATCACACTATTAGGAATTTATCATAAATACACACCTCAAAAATTACAAAAATACATATATACCAGCTTATTTATTACAGCGTTATTTGTAATTGCAAAAACATTGTAGATAGAATGGAGGTCACATAAAACTTATTCTTAAGATTCAGACCGGGTGCAATGGCTCACGCCTGTAATCTCGGCACTTTGGGAAGCCGAGGCAGGCAGACCACCCGAGGTCAGGAGTTTGAGACCAGCCTGGCCAGCATGGTGAAACCCCATCTGTACCAAAAATACAAAAATTAGCTGGTCGTCGTGGCACGCCTGTAATCCCAGCTACTCGGGATGCTGAGGCGCGAGAACTGTTTGAACCCCGGAGGCAGAGACTGTAGTGATCTGAGATCATGCCACTACATTCCAGTCTGAGCAACAGAGCAAGACTTCGTCTCAAAAAAAAAGATCATAGATCATCTTATCAAATCAAAGTATGCAAAATATTCAAGTAAACTTCAGATAAATATGAAGGCTAAACCATTCAGCTTCTTCACCAAACCCTTGAATGTCCCACCTGTCTAAATGGAGATACATGTTTGTTTGATTTATTGGTTAACTGTTTTTATTCCATTTTTCCTCAAATGATCCCATAATTTGACCTTAGGAAGCTGTTCAAATAGACACATTAGGTTGAATGGAAAGACTACTCGATGATATTTAGGATTTTAAGAGGATTTTATGTATTTTTTCCTTGTGTGCAATAATTTAATAGCATCTTGAATAGGATTTTCTGATATTACTAACCCTCTGGGAATAATATTAGGTAATTAGACAGTTAGCTAATATTAAAATATGTATCAGGTAATATTTATTGAGAGTTTCCTCTGTGCCAAGCAGGATCAACTTCATAGGCAGGCGACCTGTGCGGGGACACAGGGCTTCATGCTTAGATAGGCCCCCTTGCTTTGAAGGCCCCTACCCTTTGGTTAGGGCTCTGCTGTTACCATCTTGAAATTCTTAATAATTTTTATTTTATTTTTTTGAGTCAGGGTCTTGCTCTGTCGCCCTGGCTGGAGTGCAGTGGACTCACTACAGTCTTGAATTCCTGGGCTCAAGCAATCCTCCCACTTCAGCCTTCTGAGTAGTTAGGACGACAAACACACGCCACCATGCTCAGATAAGTTTTTTGTTTGTTTGTTTTTTTGTTTTTGTTTTTGTTTTTTGTAGAGATGGGACTGTCCCTATGTTGCTCAGGCTGGTCTCAAATTCCTGGCCTCAAGTGATCCTCCCACCTCAGCCTCCCAAAGTGCTGGGACTACAGGCATGAGCCACTGTGCCTGGTCAATCATTTTTATTAACAAGCCCAAGCCCTCTTTTTTTTTTTTTTTTTTTTGAGACAGGGTCTCCCTCTGTTGTCCAGGCTAGAGTGCAGTGGTGCGATCTTACCTTCACTGCAACCTCTGCCTCCTGGGTTCAAGTGATTCTCCTGGCTCAGCCTCCCTAGTAGCTGGAATTACAGGCACCCACCCCCATGCCTGGCAATTTTTTTGTATTTTTAGTAGAGATGGGGTTTCACCATGTTGGCAAGGCTGGTCTCAAACTCCTGACCTCAAGTGATCCACCCAACTCGGCCTCCCAAAGTGCTGGGATTACAGGTATGATCCACTGCGCCCGGCCTCCAAGCCCCCTATTTTTATTTTGCACTGACCCTACAAGTTACGTAGCTAGGCTTAGTTATGTTTTTAGCAAGGAAAGTGTATAATCTCATGTACCTTTTGAAAGATTACTCAGGTCTCTGCATGTGAAATGGAATTTAGGGAATGCAAGAGAGGGAGTAAAAATAACAGCGAGGAAGCTATGATAGCATTTAAGGTTGCTTTGACTCAGGGGTAGCAGTAGATAGGGTAAGTAATTGATAGTTTCAAAATATATTTTGGGAGTAGTAAGCATTGGTATGGATTAGTAATATACTGGATGTGGGGATGCAGAAAAAAATATTAAAAATTACTTCTGAAATTCTGGCTGGAATAGAAGTGCCACTTACCAGGTAAGGAAGGTTGGAGACATAACATATTTGAGGGTGTGGTCAAAAGATGAGTTTGACATTATGCTATGTCATATAAAAGACATATAAAAGACTACCTATTTTATAATTCCTTTTTAATAAAATATTCAGAAAAAGCAAAACTGTGGTTGCCTGAGGCTGAAGCTAGGAAGATTGACTACAGACAAGCATGAGGGAAATTTTGGGGGTGATGAGAGTTTTCTAAAACTGGATTGTGGGGTTGGTTGCATTACTGTATAAATTTATTAAAAATCCCTGCATCGTATAGGGGCACTATATTGTATGTAGAAAGCTGTGAAAAGATTTTAAAAATGATTGACATGTCTGTGGTTATATCAATGAGTACTATTATTATTCCCATTTTATACATAAAGAAAATAAAAGAGAAGTTAAAAATAAAAGTTTCATGGTTACATAGCTACTAGGTGTAATATCCAGTATTGGAATTTGAATCTTTTTGACACTAAGACCTTACTCTCGATCATATAATACATTCACTTTCTATTTTAAAGTTATATTATAGCCGGGCACAGTGGCTCACACCTGTAATCCCAGCACTTTGGGAAGCCGAGGCAGGCAGATCACGAGGTTGGGAGATCGAGACCATCCTGGCTAACACGGTGAAACCCCGTCTCCACTAAAAATAGAAAAAATTAGCCAGGCGTGGTGGCACGCACCTGTATCCCAGCTACTAGGGAGGCTGAGGCAGGAGAATCGCTTGAACCCAGAAGGCAGAGCTTGCAGTGAGACGAGATCGTGCCACTGCACTCCAGCCTGGGTGACAGAGTGAGACACCATCTCAAGAAAAAAAAAATTATATTATAAATGCTGCATCTCATTGGTCAGAAGCTCTCTTGAAATTATAAAACAAAGAAGAAAAAAGATAAAGACTGGGAAATTGTGTTGAATCAGTATATAAATCCTGTATACTGGTCCTTCCATTTCCCCTAGAAATAAGTGATACAGGCCAGGCGCTGTGGCTCACACCTGTAATCCCAGCACTTTGGGAGGCGGAGGCTGGCAGATCACCTGAGGTTGGGAGTTCAAGATCAGCCTGACCAACATGGAGAAACCCCCGTCTCTACTAAAAATAGAAAATTAGCTGGGCATGGTGGCACATGCCTGTATTCCCAGCTACTCGGGAGGCTGAGGCAGGAGAATTGCTTGAACCCAAGAGGAGGAGGTTGTGGTGAGCCAAGATTATGCCATTGCACTCCAGCCTGGGGAACAAGAGTGAAACTCAAAAAAAAAAAAAAAAAGAAAGAAAAAGAAAAAGAAAGAAGGAAGGAAGGAAGGAAAGAAAGAAAGAAGTGATACAACAAGTTACAGCATCTTTGTTTATTATCCACTGTGAGTTGTATTACCACACTTTACTTGGCTCTTTGGCAAACTATATTATCTCTTCAGATCACTAGGGCTAGGAAGGCCCACTGGTAACTTGAAGGAGTAAATGTATCTTCTAAAAAATGCTTACTTCCAGGGAGATTGGATCCACACAAGTGAATACATATATAGTCCTTAGTGTATGCTATGATTATTTTACTATGTCAGTAGCATAAAGATTGCTATATTAATAAGCATTAAGTGCCTGCTGTGCTAGACAGTGAGGATGCAAGTGGCCACCAAAATAGCATGGTCCCTGCCCTCCTGGAGCTTCTTTTTTTCTTCTTCAGTGGGGGAAGCAGATACTTTGCTTATGCAAAAATAATTATAAAATTTAAAGTTGTGCCAAGTTCAATGGAAAAAATATAAGGTGTTCTGAGAGAGCATAACAAAGGATCCTGGTTTTAACTGGGGCCTAATGGAAGACCTCTATTAGGAAATAACATTTAAACTAAGACCAGACAGACCTGTAGAAATTAGCAAAGCAAAGGGAGGGAGGAAAAAGCAGCTTTCCTGGCAAAGGAACAATTTGTGTGAAGGCCCTGAGACAGGGAAGGGCTGGGGTTCTGACCACCCTCCAAGTGGTGCAATGGAATATAGTGAGAGAGGGAGAAGACATGAGAACTTGGATACTATGCAAAGGATTTGGTATTTTAATTCAAGAGCAGTATGATGCTACTGAGGAGCAGCTGGACAATTGTGTGATCCAATTAAAATTTTAGGAAGATGAACCTCGCTATTGTGGAGAATGCATACACAAGGGTTCTGTTGGTTCATGAAGAGGTCTTAAGAAAACTATGAGCTGGGTGCAGTAGCTCAGGCCTGTAGTCCCATCTACTTAGAAGTCTGAGGCGGGAGGATCCCTTGAGCCCAAGGAGCTGGAAGTTACAGTGAGCTATGATTATTCCACTGTACTCCAGCCTGGATGACAGAGCGAGATCCTGCCTCAGAAACAAAAACCAAAAAACAAACAACAACAAAAACAACAACAACGAAAATCTCAGAAAACTACAGGCCTTATTATCAAGAAAATGACAGGCCTTATTATTGAGAAAACTACTTACATTTTTAAAAGCTGATTTTCAAAAACCAGATTGTGAATTAAGTGATGCTGAATAGGGGAAAAAAAGACTGATAAACCAGTGTATCTCTGAATAACCCACTAGATCAGTGCTTGTCAAACTTTAATGTGTTTTCAAATCACCCTGATGTTTTGTTAAAATGTAAGTCATGTCTCAGTAGGTCTAGAGGAGGGCATTTCTGCATTTCTAACAAGCTCCCCGGTGATGCCTAGACCATTGGTCCTCACACTTTGAGTAGCAAGTGATTGGGCTATACTCTTTATTCTAAATTCTAAATGTATTCTATCTTCTAATGCCTATCAGCCCTCTTGCTGGTCTGGCTAATTATCAAACTTGAGCATTTAAAACTGGGGGTTTTCAGAGATTAATTGAAGTGTTAAAGACATGGAAATATAGGTCACATATGGCTTTTCATCTCTTCCGGAAATATCCTATATATCCTTACTTCTTTTCTACCTACCTAACCTATGTGCCTACCCCTTCACTTATGTTCAAGGTTCTATTATACTTCAAAAGGACTCTATGCAATCAAAGTGATGTCCAAGACAAATATACAGAAATAGTATGAGGCTCTAACACTTTACATCTAATGGAGTGGTTTGCATCATTAATTGAGGCTTACTCTGTGCCAGGCACTTTACCTGCCTTCTTCATTTAATAGGATAGGAGCAGGAACTCTTAGAGGTTCATTTCTTGTTCAAGGATATACATCTCATCTCTGGCTTATATCACAGTGGACTCTTTTATTCACTATCCTAATCATTATAATTTTGTTTGGTGACAACAATTCTAAATGCAGAAAAGTTAAGGCTCTTTATTCTGTGACTAAAGGCTTTGTATTTTCTAAAGATTTGTGGAGCTTTGCTGCCATTATTTCAATAATTTTATAAAGATCCTAGGTGGTAAATAGGCCTGGCTTTTTTTCTTTTTGAAATCTTCTCCGTCTTCTTCTTCATTAGCAGTGCAACTTCTTGTGGCATATGGTACCCAAGATCTTGGGAAAAGGATTGATCAAGTAAAGGGAAACGATAGAGAGAGTGTGCTCTACAACTGAGATCATGCTCCTTGTGAAAGACAGGGTAGGGAAATTTCTTATTGCTCCCTGGTTCTTAAGAAATGAGAGCTAACAATGACATCCAGTTTTAAAAGAAATAAAATCTGAATTGTACTTTTAAATTTTATAAGCCAGAGTTAAACCAATAGATTGTAACTCCTGCTAATTTGATAGTAGCTCCAGATAATGAGGAAGTGACAGGGAATGCTAATTTCATTTGGTAAGAGATAAAACTGAAATTATTAATGTCTCCACGGAAATGCTAAATGCCTCCTTACAAGTAGGGTCCGGCTAATTGTCTGTCTTCCAACAAGCCAGATTTGTTGGTGTTTTTCCAGACAATGTTGTGTAGTTTTCGGTTTGGTTCGATCCCCTTTCTTGTGATCAAAGAAAGTGATTCAAATGTTTAATGAGTCTTGATTTGGATTGGAGACTTGCAGAACGGCTAGCCTCACAGCCCCAAGGCTGGCTTTCCCTAAGGTAGGTTTCCTATGCACCGATACTGGCAAGGCGCTTTGGCTGGAAACTCTGGAAGGAAGCCAAAGGAAAGTGAAGTTCCTGGCGCTAGCGCGTGTCCTGCTCAGAGAGCCCGGCGCTAGCTCATTCTTCGTGCAGTTATTGGCTGGGACTCTGTGTGCCGCTGTCGGCCAATGAAGACGCTGGAGATCGGGCCCCTGCCCGTCCCCTTTCTGCGCCCCGGGATGAGGCAGAGACTGAACAGCCGGCGAGCAAATCAACGGCATCCAGAAAGCCATGTCGGACTCGGCGCCCAGCGCCCAAGCGCTAACCCGCTGAAAGTTTCTCAGCGAAATCTCAGGGACGATCTGGACCCCGCTGAGAGGAACTGCTTTTGAGTGAGATGGTCCCAGAGGCCTGGAGGAGCGGACTGGTAAGCACCGGGAGGGTAGTGGGAGTTTTGCTTCTGCTTGGTGCCTTGAACAAGGCTTCCACGGTCATTCACTATGAGATCCCGGAGGAAAGAGAGAAGGGTTTCGCTGTGGGCAACGTGGTCGCGAACCTTGGTTTGGATCTCGGTAGCCTCTCAGCCCGCAGGTTCCGGGTGGTGTCTGGAGCTAGCCGAAGATTCTTTGAGGTGAACCGGGAGACCGGAGAGATGTTTGTGAACGACCGTCTGGATCGAGAGGAGCTGTGTGGGACACTGCCCTCTTGCACTGTAACTCTGGAGTTGGTAGTGGAGAACCCGCTGGAGCTGTTCAGCGTGGAAGTGGTGATCCAGGACATCAACGACAACAATCCTGCTTTCCCTACCCAGGAAATGAAATTGGAGATTAGCGAGGCCGTGGCTCCGGGGACGCGCTTTCCGCTCGAGAGCGCGCACGATCCCGATGTGGGAAGCAACTCTTTACAAACCTATGAGCTGAGCCGAAATGAATACTTTGCGCTTCGCGTGCAGACGCGGGAGGACAGCACCAAGTACGCGGAGCTGGTGTTGGAGCGCGCCCTGGACCGAGAACGGGAGCCTAGTCTCCAGTTAGTGCTGACGGCGTTGGACGGAGGGACCCCAGCTCTCTCCGCCAGCCTGCCTATTCACATCAAGGTGCTGGACGCGAATGACAATGCGCCTGTCTTCAACCAGTCCTTGTACCGGGCGCGCGTCCTGGAGGATGCACCCTCCGGCACGCGCGTGGTACAAGTCCTTGCAACGGATCTGGATGAAGGCCCCAACGGTGAAATTATTTACTCCTTCGGCAGCCACAACCGCGCCGGCGTGCGGCAACTATTCGCCTTAGACCTTGTAACCGGGATGCTGACAATCAAGGGTCGGCTGGACTTCGAGGACACCAAACTCCATGAGATTTACATCCAGGCCAAAGACAAGGGCGCCAATCCCGAAGGAGCACATTGCAAAGTGTTGGTGGAGGTTGTGGATGTGAATGACAACGCCCCGGAGATCACAGTCACCTCCGTGTACAGCCCAGTACCCGAGGATGCCCCTCTGGGGACTGTCATCGCTTTGCTCAGTGTGACTGACCTGGATGCTGGCGAGAACGGGCTGGTGACCTGCGAAGTTCCACCGGGTCTCCCTTTCAGCCTTACTTCTTCCCTCAAGAATTACTTCACTTTGAAAACCAGTGCAGACCTGGATCGGGAGACTGTGCCAGAATACAACCTCAGCATCACCGCCCGAGACGCCGGAACCCCTTCCCTCTCAGCCCTTACAATAGTGCGTGTTCAAGTGTCCGACATCAATGACAACCCTCCACAATCTTCTCAATCTTCCTACGACGTTTACATTGAAGAAAACAACCTCCCCGGGGCTCCAATACTAAACCTAAGTGTCTGGGACCCCGACGCCCCGCAGAATGCTCGGCTTTCTTTCTTTCTCTTGGAGCAAGGAGCTGAAACCGGGCTAGTGGGTCGCTATTTCACAATAAATCGTGACAATGGCATAGTGTCATCCTTAGTGCCCCTAGACTATGAGGATCGGCGGGAATTTGAATTAACAGCTCATATCAGCGATGGGGGCACCCCGGTCCTAGCCACCAACATCAGCGTGAACATATTTGTCACTGATCGCAATGACAATGCCCCCCAGGTCCTATATCCTCGGCCAGGTGGGAGCTCGGTGGAGATGCTGCCTCGAGGTACCTCAGCTGGCCACCTAGTGTCACGGGTGGTAGGCTGGGACGCGGATGCAGGGCACAATGCCTGGCTCTCCTACAGTCTCTTGGGATCCCCTAACCAGAGCCTTTTTGCCATAGGGCTGCACACTGGTCAAATCAGTACTGCCCGTCCAGTCCAAGACACAGATTCACCCAGGCAGACTCTCACGGTCTTGATCAAAGACAATGGGGAGCCTTCGCTCTCCACCACTGCTACCCTCACTGTGTCAGTAACCGAGGACTCTCCTGAAGCCCGAGCCGAGTTCCCCTCTGGCTCTGCCCCCCGGGAGCAGAAAAAAAATCTCACCTTTTATCTACTTCTTTCTCTAATCCTGGTTTCTGTGGGGTTTGTGGTCACAGTGTTCGGAGTAATCATATTCAAAGTTTACAAGTGGAAGCAGTCTAGAGACCTATACCGAGCCCCGGTGAGCTCACTGTACCGAACACCAGGGCCCTCCTTGCACGCGGACGCCGTGCGGGGAGGCCTGATGTCGCCGCACCTTTACCATCAGGTGTATCTCACCACGGACTCCCGCCGCAGCGACCCGCTGCTGAAGAAACCTGGTGCAGCCAGTCCACTGGCCAGCCGCCAGAACACGCTGCGGAGCTGTGATCCGGTGTTCTATAGGCAGGTGTTGGGTGCAGAGAGCGCCCCTCCCGGACAGGTAAGGTTTAGCAAGTCATGCTTGACCCTGTTAGTGCTTTTTTATTCCTACATCATATTGAGGAAGGAATGGAGCTGTTTTTTTAGTGATGAAGATGTTTTCCTGGTGATGCATTCACACTTTCAACTGGCCCTTCCTAGATCAAAGTTAGTGCCTTTGTGAGATGGTGGCCTGCCAGAGTGTGGTTTGTGGTCCCATTTCAGGGGGAAGATACTTGACTCATCTGTGGACCTAATTCACATCCTCAGCACTCTTTTGCTATCACAACTAACCAATCTTGCTAAGGGATGGTTAAGCTAAAACACAAGATCTCAGCGATCAGAGTTTAGCTTGGTATCATTTACATTAGGAATAAGCTGCTGGATACCTCTAACCAGTGGCAGCTTCTAGGAATACAAAAACTACCTCATTCCTCCACCTTTCAAGTGATTGTGACATTTGTATTAAAACTAATAGCTTTTTGATAATTTTCCTTTGTTTATACAGATCGTGTACCTCATTCTCAGATAATTTTTTATGAATGAAATGAAATTCCAGGCATCCTTTAAATTTTATTTCAAGCATTCTACTGGAAATGATGTGCACCCTGCTTACAAAATATTTTTACCTTATAACAGTAATGCATGTTTGCTAGAAAATTCAGAAAATACAGAAAAGTATTTAAAAAATTAAAACTATAATCTCCAAACCCAAAGATAACCATTTTTAATTATAAAAGTAATAATTTATTTCAAAAATAAATCTAGGCAACCCAAGAAAACATAAAGTAGCCAGACTCAGTGGTGTGCACCTGTAGTTCTTGCTGCTCAGTGCCTGAGGTGGGAGGATTGCTTGAGCCCAGGAGTTCTGGGCTGTGGTGCACTATGCTGATCAATTGATCAATCCACTGTCTGCACTAAGTTCAGCATGAATACAGTGACCTCTTGGGAGGGCAGGACCATCAGGTTGCCTAAAGAGGGGTGAACTGGCCCAGGTTGGAAGTGGAGAAGGTCAAAACTGCTGTGCTATCCAGTAGTGGGATGACATCTGTGAATAGCCACTGCACTCCAGCCTAGGCAATATAGGGAAACCATGTCTCTTTAACAATAACAACAACAACAACAACAATCCCAGAAACTACAAAAGGAGAGTCTTTTTGGTGCCTCCAGTGTTAGTCCCTGTCCTTCCAGCCTTATTTTTCTTAAGTATATGCACAATGTGAAAGGTAGATAAATTCATATCCTTAGACAGGTAAAGCATTCATTAATTCAGGGTGGTATGCAAGGATACTATCCAAGGCATGGTATCCATGCAAGGTGACTGCAAGGCCTTTGCCCTGGAGAGAACCCTATACATACTCTCAACTGTAGGAGAAACACTGTTATTTTGTTACTCAGTGCATCATTGCTATCAACTCTTGGATTTGGCAGTTAGTCAAATGAGGTTCTACCATTTACCAACTAGGAGTCTGTGGCCAAGTTACTCAATCTCCTTTCTAAGCCTCTTCCTCATATGCAAAAAGGGAATAATAAGTGTTTTATAAGATTCATGCATGATATAATGTATGCAAAGTGTTTAGCATGGTGCCTGGCATATCATAACTGTTAAACAATTATTAGCCAGCTCCTAGCATTTTGGGAGGCTGAGGCAGGCGGATTGCTTGAGGCCAGCAGTTCAAGACCAGCCTGAGCGACATAGTGAGATCCTGTCTCTACAAAAAAAAAAAAAAATGTGTTTTCATTAGCTGGGTGTGTTGGCATGCACCTGTGGTACCAGCTACTTGGGAGGCTGAAGTGGGAGAATTGCTTGAGCCTGGGAGGTTGAAGCTACAGTCAGCTGTGATTGCACCACTACACTTCAACCATGGCAATAGAGTGAGACCCTGTCTCAAAAAAAAAAATTATCAGCTATTACTATAATTATTTTTATTAGTTCCTCACTCACCTAAAATCTCAAACACACCTTAGAAATACACATATGAGAACAACCAAAAATGACAAAGTAGAAGCACATATGAAAAGGCTAAGAAAGCATGAAAGCCAGCAAGAAATAACTGCCGCTCTTCTGGTCAGCCTGGAAAGCAACTGGCATTTTCCCTAGAACAATGTTTTCAAACTTGGTTGCACATTAAAATCACCTAGAGACCTTTTAAAAATTCTGAAACCCAGGCCACACCCCGACAAATGAAAGCACAGTCTCTGGGGGTGGGACATAGGCATCATTTTTTGAAGGTCCCCACTTGATCCTAATGTGCAGACAAATTTGAAAACCACAGCTTTGGGAGGCTGAGGTGGGTGGATCATAAGATCAGGAGTTTGAGACCAGCCTGGCCAATATGGTGAAACCCCGTCTCTACTAAAAATGCAAACATTAGCTGGGCATGGTGGCGCATACCTGTAGTCCCAGCTACTCTAGAGGCTGAGGCGGAAGCATCAGTGAGGGAGAATCAGTGAACCCAGGATGTGGAAGTTTCAGTGAGCCCAGATCACACCACTGCACTCCAGCCTGGGCGACAGAGCGAGACTCCACCTCAAAAACAAAAAGAAAGAAAGAAAAAAGAAAAGCAGTACTCTGGAACCTACCAATCCATCATTTAGCATATTTGTGAAGTAAAGTGTTATTCTGGTATTTGCAGAACCAGAATCCAGCTTTATTGGGCCAGGCCCAATTTTTTTAAAAAACATGGTAAGGTCTCCCAGCCTTAAAGTATTACATAGCATAGCTCTAAAAGATCACTGTAGGAAGACATAAAATGGTATTTCAGTCATCTAAGGGAAAAACCTTCCTAAAGCACTAGCCCCTGGACAACTATTATTTAAACATCTACAGCTGTTCAATAGATATTGGGTTCTTTTTGGAGGGATGTGACAAAATTCTTGTATAATTAGATTGTGATGATGATTGTATCAGTTTAGTACATGTAAATACACTGAAAACCATTGGATTATACACTTTAAATATGTGATTTGCATGGTATGTGAATTATGTCTCAGTAAAAATCTAGAGATGGGGCTGGGCTCAGTGGCTCACGCCTGTAATCCCAGTACTTAGGGAGGCTGAGGCCAGCGGATCACCTGAGGCCAGGAGTTCAAGACCGGCCTGGCCAACATGGTGAAACTTCATCTCTACTAATAATACAAAAATCAGGCCGGGCCTGGTGGCTCACGCCTGTAATCCCAGCACTTTGGGAGGCGGAGGCGGGCGGATCACGAGGTCAGGAGTCCAAGACCAGCCTGGCCAACATGGTGAAACCCCGTCTCTACTAAAAATACAAAAATTCACCAGGCGTGGTGGCTGAGGCAGGAGAATCGCTTGATGGTGGAGGTTGCAGTGAGCCGAGATCGCGCCACTGCACTCCAGCCTGGGTGAAAGAGCGAAACTCCATCTCAAAAAAAAAAAAAAAAAAAAAATCAGCCAGATGTGGTGGCAGGTGCCTGTAGTCACAGCTACTTGGGAGGTTGAAGCAGGAGAATCGCTTTATCTCAGGAAGCAGAGGTTGCAGTGAGCCAAGATCATGCTGTTGCATTCCAGCCTGGGCAACAAGAACAAAACTCACTCCATCTCAAAAAAAAAAAAAAAATATCTAGAGATGGGAGAATCATATGGCTGGCATAAAAAGGTCAAGTCAAAGATATGTAAGATTAAGGCTTTACGATGCTCCAGTTCTAGTAAAACAGACCAGGTACTTGTTTTGGTGTGAAATTGCCAATATAAGTATAGTACTGTACATATTAGTTGTTTAGCTTAGGTAAGTCTTTTAATCTCTTTAAACTCCAGTTTCCTCATCTATAAAATAAAGAGAATATCTACTTTGCAAACTTGTTGTGAGAGTGAAAAGTAATGCATATAAAGTCCCTGTATGGAGCAAGTACTCAATAACTATTTGTTGAACTAAAAATGATAATACTGATATTCACCATTTATTAGCATCCCTATGTGCCAGACACTGTAAACAATTAAAAGTTATCATTCTGGTACCCAGAGTACAGTATGAGACAGACATGCAAAAAAAAAAAAAAAAAAAGATAATGGAGATCTGCATAGCATAAGATGCAGTGGGACCAAACGGGAAAAAACACCTAAATGAGCCTGGAGAAAGGAAGAAATGATAGAGGTGGTGATGCTTGAGCTATGATCTAAAGGTTGAGTAGTAGCTTGTCAGACAGTAAAGGGGAAAGGACAGGGCAGGGAGGGGCCATTGCAAGAAATTCCATGCAGAGGGATTATGGTATTTCATTATCACTGAACCTTAAACTGTGTGTGTGGCCGGGTACGGTGGCTCATGCCTGTAATCCTAGCACTTTGGGAGGCCAAGGTGGGCAGATCACTTGAGGTCAGGAGTTTGAAACCAGCCTGGCCAACATGGTGAAACCTCATCTCTATTAAAAATACAAAAAATTAGCCAGGTGTGGTTGTGGGTGCCTGTAATTCCAGCTACTTGAGCAGCTACTTGAGAGGTCGAGGCAGGAGAATTGCTTGAACCCGGGAGGCAGAGGTTGCAATGAGCTGGTGTCAGGCCACTGCACTCCAGCATGGGCAACAGAGAGAGACTCCATCTCAAAAAAAAAGTGTGCGTGTAAAACAGACAGTCTTTGTAGGAGATGAGGTGAAGCAAGTAGGCAGGAGTTAGATCCTGAGTTACCTTTGGGCCAAGCCAAGGAGTTTTTATTTTATTCCATATAGATGACAGTCACTGCAGAAATTTGAACTGATATGCATATATCATGAGGTTTTTTTGTTTTAGAAATATTATTCTGTCAGTCATAAGTGAAGGGACTGGGGACATTGGGACTGGAGGCAAAGAGATCTTATCTCTTTGCAATAGTTTGAAAGCTATTGCAATATTTGAAGAGAAGATTGATAAATGCTTGAACCAGCACAGTGGCAGTACAGATGGAGGGAGCTGACTACAATAAAATCATCAGGACTTGTTGATTGACATGATATAGGAAGTGAGGGACAGGGATGAGTCAAGGCTGATCCCCCTAGATCCTGACTAAGGAAGCTGGGTGGTTGACAGTGCCATTCACAGAGACAGTGAATTCTGGCATAAACACCTAATAGGTCAGGCTGGTTTACACCTCCATCATTCCCATGGGAGAAGGTATAGAGGGGTGTGTGTTTGTGTGTGTGTGTGTGTGTGTAAAAGAACACAGAAAGCCAGATTCCTCTTTTTGACACCAGAATATTGGTTCCCACCATAGTCAAAAGGATATTCCTGAGGATCGAGGCTTGGAAAAATATTGGGGAAGGATAAGAACTCCAGTTGTTGCTGCTTTTTTTGGCAGCCAGTGTAACCTAGGTAAGGACTTGGTTGAATTAAGAAATTTCATGTCCAGATCAGGATGGATTTTTCTATTTCTCTGAGCTCTGGTGTGTTTCCCACTCAGATTGCAGGTCGTAGGTACCTACGGTGTGAATTGTGTTGTGTTTCTGTGCTTGTGCAAGGGAGTAGCTAGGTTGCTGGGAGGTCTGGATGAGGGTGGGGGTGGGGTGAGATCAAGTCTCCAGCTCCAAGAGGTCCCCTGGGGCTAAGTGAAAAGCTTGCTCTTTTGAAATGGTCTTCGTTGGTAATTAACAAAAGATCAAGAATACCTTGGTGTCAGATAAAGGGAATTTGTAGGCACAATGCTGTTGGTAGCTGATCTCAATCATTCAAGGAAGCTATTAAATCTATGAACATTAGCATTCTGCCAGGTAAAGAGATCTGGTCCTTAGCACCTCCCAGACACACTGATTCTTTACTGTTTTGAAACATCTCCCTCTCCTGGCTTCCTCCACCCCGCTTCCATACTGTCCTTGAAATCAATGAATGGTAATTTAGTGTATCTAGTGTATCACTAGCAAATGTCTGAATAAGAAAGGTTTGGTTTCCGCTGTGTCTCCTGTTACAATGAGAACATGTACTGCATAAATTTAATTGGCTACGTTAATGTGTAAGCCTTTTCTGCAAAGAGATGGATCCGTTTCTGAATATTCTGCAGAAGGGCAGAGTTTTGAGTATATGGCAGTGGTTCTAATTAGCAGTTGCTCCAATACAATCAGACTGAGACGGAAGCTACTCATTTAGAATACTGGTTGATGACAACACTGGCTTGAACAAAGTGACCACTCTCCAATGGCTACTCTCCCTCTCAGTGGGCCGCAGGTTGCTAGGGCTCAGGCTGTGGCTGTTTTCCCCGCCGAAAAGGGGCGGGGTCAGTCGGTGTGTTAGGAAAAAAAATGTATATATATATATATGTTGTCTGCCTCCCCACAGAGATAACAACCCGTGGAAAAACATGCCGTTGAGCGGGAGGAAGGCGAAAAGATAGGCTGGGTTTTTTGGGGGGTGGGGGAGCGTGGAGGATAGGGTGGGCTTTTTCCCCTCCAATGCTGCGACGCATTAACCCTGCTGCTGTTGGGACGTTCTCTGCTCAGCCTATTGGCTGAGCCCGGGAGCCGCTGTCTGCCAATCGGGTGGTGAAAGGCAGACAAATCTACCCCGCCACCAGCAAAAACGGCGCGTAACCCTTGCGGCGCCGGCCGAACCGCGCCAGAGCTGGCGCGGGGAAAGGGAGATAGGTGTCTCCAGCTGCTGTGGCTGTTTGGGGCGGGTCGGCTTCATCCGCGTCTCAGGAGCAAGTAGAGAATTAGCGGGCGGCAGCAATGCTCCGCAAGGTGAGAAGCTGGACAGAAATCTGGCGGTGGGCTACCCTTTTGTTCCTCTTTTACCACCTGGGTTACGTTTGTGGGCAGATCCGCTACCCGGTCCCAGAGGAGTCACAGGAAGGGACTTTTGTAGGGAATGTCGCTCAAGATTTCCTGCTGGATACGGACAGTCTGTCAGCTCGCAGGCTGCAGGTCGCTGGAGAGGTGAACCAAAGACACTTCCGTGTGGATTTGGACAGCGGAGCCCTGCTCATCAAGAACCCAATCGACCGAGAGGCACTGTGTGGGCTCAGTGCCAGCTGCATCGTGCCCCTGGAGTTTGTCACCGAAGGTCCTTTGGAAATGTACCGAGCAGAGGTAGAGATCGTAGATGTGAATGATCACGCCCCCCGTTTTCCGCGGCAGCAGCTGGACTTGGAAATTGGGGAGGCAGCTCCTCCAGGACAGCGTTTCCCGTTGGAAAAGGCTCAGGATGCAGATGTGGGGAGCAATTCGATTAGCAGCTATAGGCTGAGCTCCAATGAACACTTTGCACTGGATGTGAAGAAGCGCAGCGACGGCAGCCTGGTCCCAGAGCTGCTCCTGGAGAAGCCTTTGGATCGAGAGAAGCAATCGGACTACCGCCTGGTGCTGACTGCTGTCGATGGAGGGAACCCGCCGAGATCTGGCACCGCAGAGCTCCGGGTATCCGTGCTGGACGTAAACGACAACGCCCCAGCCTTCCAGCAATCCAGCTACAGGATTAGTGTGTTGGAGAGCGCACCAGCGGGCATGGTGCTCATCCAGCTCAATGCCTCAGACCCGGACCTGGGTCCCAGTGGTAACGTCACCTTTTATTTCAGTGGTCATACCCCTGATCGTGTAAGAAACCTCTTTAGCCTGCACCCCACTACTGGAAAGCTTACTCTTTTGGGGCCCCTAGACTTTGAGAGTGAGAATTACTATGAATTTGATGTGCGGGCTCGCGATGGGGGTTCTCCAGCCATGGAGCAACATTGCAGCCTTCGAGTGGATCTGCTGGACGTAAATGACAATGCCCCTTACATCACAGTGACCTCAGAGCTTGGAACCCTCCCCGAGAGTGCAGAACCTGGCACTGTGGTGGCACTTATCAGTGTGCAGGATCCAGACTCAGGGTCAAACGGAGATGTGAGCCTCCGCATTCCTGACCACTTGCCATTTGCCCTCAAGTCTGCCTTCAGGAACCAGTTCTCCCTGGTGACTGCTGGACCCTTGGATCGAGAGGCCAAATCTAGCTATGACATCATGGTCACTGCTTCTGATGCTGGGAACCCTCCTCTCAGTACCCACAGAACTATTTTCCTCAATATTTCAGATGTGAATGATAATCCACCCTCTTTCTTTCAGAGGTCACATGAGGTGTTTGTTCCTGAGAACAATCGCCCAGGGGACCTGCTTTGCTCCCTTGCAGCCTCTGACCCAGACTCTGGCTTGAATGCGCTTATCTCCTACTCACTCCTGGAGCCCAGGAATCGAGATGTATCAGCTTCCTCTTTCATCTCTCTGAACCCCCAGACAGGAGCTGTTCATGCTACTCGATCCTTTGACTATGAGCAAACCCAGACACTGCAGTTTGAGGTGCAGGCCCGGGATCGGGGCAACCCACCCCTTAGCAGCACTGTAACAGTTCGTCTATTTGTGCTGGACCTCAATGACAATGCTCCAGCTGTGCTCCGTCCTCGGGCCCGGCCTGGTTCCTTATGTCCCCAAGCACTGCCTCCATCAGTTGGTGCTGGCCACCTAATCACAAAGGTGACTGCTGTGGACTTGGATTCAGGTTACAATGCTTGGGTTTCCTATCAGCTCCTGGAGGCCCCAGATCCCAGCCTGTTTGCAGTCTCTCGATATGCTGGGGAGGTGCGGACGGCTGTTCCTATCCCAGCTGACCTCCCACCACAGAAGCTGGTCATTGTGGTAAAGGATAGTGGTAGTCCACCACTCTCTACCTCTGTTACTCTCTTAGTGTCCTTAGAGGAAGACACTCATCCAGTTGTCCCAGATCTTCGAGAATCTTCAGCTCCAAGGGAAGGAGAATCTCGTCTAACCCTCTACTTGGCTGTGTCCCTAGTGGCAATTTGCTTTGTCTCCTTTGGCTCATTCGTGGCACTACTCTCTAAGTGTCTTCGTGGGGCAGCCTGTGGAGTCACATGCTTTCCTGCTGGCACCTGTGCCTGTCTCACCAGATCTCGAAGGAGGGAGGGGCTTCCCCCTTCCAATGGGATCCTCCGAATCCAGCTAGGGTCAGATGACCCTATCAAGTTTGTTGATGTGGGAGGCCACTCTCATGGCTGTACACCCTTGGCTTCTGCACCCACTCGGAGTGATAGCTTCATGATGGTGAAGTCACCCAGTGCACCTATGGCAGGGGAGCCTGTTCGCCCAAGCTGCCCACCCTCTGATCTTCTCTATGGGCTAGAGGTGAGACCTTTGCAGGCTCAACAAATGCTTGAGGGTTATTCTGATCCAGGCATATGGCTAGGCCATGTCCTAGAGAGTACTGGCCTCTCAGTAAGTGCCCATAGTGATGTCACCATTTTTGTAAGAGGTAACTATGTGGTAGACGCTGTGCTTTGTAACTGTTTCGTGAATTAACCAGAGTTGTCACAGTTTAGCATTGGGGGCGGGTCATGCCTATATCTGAGTAAGAAATGAAAGTAATTGGTGATCAAGAGCCAGGCTGTTGTGGAAGCATGATGATGGAATGTGGGAGCACAGGAGGCTACAGTGCACAGGGTACAGTGCACCAGGCAGTCACTTGGACAAAGGTGGCTGTTTTCTCTACTCTTCCTGAAAGAGGGGATCAGATTCTGAAGTACCTTAACTCTAGGTTACCATTTCCCAAGGGATTGAGGGGAAATAAAATCTTTGTCTCCCAGTATCTAGTACACTGTGAAGGGACCTCTCTATTTGAAACATAGAGACAGCAGAAAGAGGAGAGAACTAAAGGAATAGAGAGGCACGCATCAGAGTGGTGGCATAGATCTTTTGGTCTGGGTCTTAGGACTCATATCAAGTCCCTACTGGGGATTTGAACTAGATGCGGTAAATTGGAAGGTTGGGGCGGGTTGGTCATCACCTTTGGAAAAAACAGTAAGTGAAATCACTTATGTCAGAAAACTGGTTTACAGTTGGCTGATTCATAGAAACAGCCACCCTGTGCATCTTTAAGTTGAGTTCTCCTGAATTTGGTGAAACCATGAAACCTAGAAGCCAAGCCATCCATGCTTGGCCTCTGACCACCCTCCTGGGTGACCTGATTCAGCCCCAGAAATGTTCCCCTACCCAAAAACTGTAACACTCATTCCACATTTGGGGTCTGGGGTGTCAGAAAAGCTAAGTCCCATGTCAGCTGACATTGAGATTTCCGCAAAGCATTGCTGGAGAGTCAGGGCAAGACTTTACAAGGTTCTTACTAATCTTTTCTCTCACCTTAGCAGCATTCAGCAGGATGGGGGAGGGTGGGGGAATACATGGGCTTTGCCTCTCCCAGAAGGACAAGATTTTGCTGGTTCAAGCAAAGTGGTGGAAGCTTCTGAAGTCATGCAGGAAGTTGCTGGGACAGAACGCTGAGGAGTTTTGTATCACTTTGTCTTCCCTGTTGAGTACCATCTGAGCTGTCAAACTTTGCTGCCAAGGGGGCTGAATCAACCTGCAGCACGAAGTGAGTGGGGAGGTAGGAAGCTTCTGTGACACAGATTTGCAGCCTGTGTTCCCAAGGTTTCCAGGATTGAGGAAACTCCATAATTGGTTGAGAGCACACAGACTTTTTGGCCAATCAGACTCAGAGCTGAGGTGGGAGATCTGCTCTTCCAGCCCGCCTCTCCTCCTCCAGCTCCCCAGCTCCACTCAAATTCAGCTCCCCTCCCCCCTGCCCACCCCCGCCACTCGGTGACTAAGAACTGCTGCAAGCAGGCAAACCTCCGAGCAGTTTTTAAGAGGCTGGAAGGAGACATAAGAGACTTCAGCTGCTGCATTCCAAGCCCTGGGTCTACCTTGGAGACAGGACAGCACAGACTTACTCTCCACAAAGGGACTTCTGGGTCATGGGGCCCAAGACACTCCCACAGCTCGCTGGGAAATGGCAAGTGCTGTGCATGTTGTCCTTGTGCTGCTGGGGCTGGGTGTCTGGGCAGCTTCGTTACTCAGTGGTGGAGGAGTCTGAGCCGGGGACGCTGGTGGGGAATGTTGCTCAGGATCTGGGCTTAAAGATGACAGATCTGTTGAGCCGGCGGCTGCAATTGGGCTCTGAGGAGAATGGGCGCTATTTTTCCCTGAGCTTGATGAGTGGTGCCCTGGCAGTGAATCAAAAGATTGACCGAGAAAGCCTATGTGGAGCCAGCACCAGCTGCCTGCTGCCAGTGCAGGTGGTGACTGAACACCCCCTGGAGCTAATCCGTGTAGAGGTAGAGATCCTGGATCTCAATGACAACTCTCCTAGCTTTGCCACCCCTGAGCGAGAGATGCGCATCTCAGAATCAGCAGCATCTGGGGCACGATTCCCACTGGACAGTGCCCAGGATCCGGATGTGGGCACCAATACTGTGAGCTTTTACACTCTAAGCCCCAACAGCCACTTCTCTCTGAATGTGAAGACCCTAAAAGATGGGAAGCCATTCCCAGAGCTGGTGCTAGAGCAGCAGCTGGATCGTGAAGCCCAGGCAAGACATCAGCTGGTGCTTACTGCTGTGGATGGGGGGACCCCAGCCCGCTCAGGGACCACCCTTATCTCTGTCATCGTGCTGGACATCAATGATAATGCTCCAACCTTCCAATCCTCAGTTCTACGTGTGGGAATCCCAGAGAATGCACCCATTGGTACTCTGCTGCTCCGCCTCAATGCCACTGATCCAGACGAGGGCACCAACGGCCAACTAGACTATTCTTTTGGAGACCACACATCTGAGGCAGTGCGGAACCTCTTTGGCCTAGACCCTAGCAGTGGGGCAATCCATGTGTTGGGTCCCATAGACTTTGAGGAGTCACGTTTCTATGAAATTCATGCAAGAGCCCGTGACCAGGGACAGCCTGCCATGGAGGGCCACTGTGTGATTCAAGTGGATGTGGGGGATGTCAATGACAATGCCCCAGAGGTGCTATTGGCCTCTTTGGCCAACCCTGTCCTAGAGAGCACACCAGTGGGCACAGTAGTGGGGTTGTTTAATGTGCGAGACCGGGACTCAGGTAGAAATGGTGAAGTGAGCCTTGATATCTCTCCGGACCTGCCATTTCAGATTAAGCCTTCTGAGAACCACTACTCGCTGCTAACCAGCCAGCCTTTGGACCGGGAGGCCACATCCCACTATATCATCGAGCTGCTGGCCAGCGATGCTGGTTCACCTTCCCTACACAAACATCTCACCATCAGGCTCAACATTTCAGATGTCAATGACAATGCACCCCGCTTCAACCAGCAGCTTTACACTGCTTACATCCTAGAAAACCGGCCTCCGGGCTCCCTTCTTTGCACTGTGGCTGCCTCAGATCCAGACACTGGGGATAATGCCCGCCTCACCTACTCCATTGTAGGAAATCAGGTTCAGGGAGCCCCAGCCTCCTCCTTTGTGTATGTCAACCCAGAGGATGGACGGATCTTTGCCCAGCGTACCTTTGACTATGAATTGCTGCAGATGCTGCAGATTGTGGTGGGGGTTCGAGACTCCGGCTCTCCCCCATTGCATGCCAACACATCTCTGCATGTGTTTGTCCTAGACGAGAATGATAATGCCCCAGCTGTGCTGCACCCACGGCCAGACTGGGAACACTCAGCCCCCCAGCGTCTCCCTCGCTCTGCTCCTCCTGGCTCCTTGGTCACCAAGGTGACAGCCGTGGATGCTGATGCAGGCCACAATGCGTGGCTCTCCTACTCACTGTTGCCACAGTCCACAGCCCCAGGACTGTTCCTCGTGTCTACACACACTGGTGAGGTGCGCACAGCCCGGGCCTTACTGGAGGATGACTCTGACACCCAGCAGGTGGTGGTCCTGGTGAGGGACAATGGTGACCCTTCACTCTCCTCCACAGCCACAGTGCTGCTGGTTCTGGAGGATGAGGACCCTGAGGAAATGCCCAAATCCAGTGACTTCCTCATACACCCTCCTGAGCGTTCAGACCTTACCCTTTACCTCATTGTGGCTCTAGCGACCGTCAGTCTCTTATCCCTAGTCACCTTCACCTTTCTGTCAGCGAAGTGCCTTCAGGGAAACGCAGACGGGGACGGGGGTGGAGGGCAGTGCTGCAGGCGCCAGGACTCACCCTCCCCGGACTTCTATAAGCAGTCCAGCCCCAACCTGCAGGTGAGCTCGGACGGCACGCTCAAGTACATGGAGGTGACGCTGCGGCCCACAGACTCGCAGAGCCACTGCTACAGGACGTGCTTTTCACCGGCCTCGGACGGCAGTGACTTCACTTTTCTAAGACCCCTCAGCGTTCAGCAGCCCACAGCTCTGGCGCTGGAGCCTGACGCCATCCGGTCCCGCTCTAATACGCTGCGGGAGCGGAGCCAGGTGAGGGGCTCGGCGCCGCCCCGGGCGACCCCTGGGGGCGGCACTGGAGAAGCCGCCCGTCCTCATAAGGGATTGAACTTGCATCCACTCCTCTCCGGCCGGCTTGGTCGCTGGCTGCGCTCCACCCGATTCTCGGGATCATTGGACCGTTTGCGCGAAACCAGAGTGGCCGATTAAGGGATGGGGCTCCGAGCACCGGGGGTGGTGGCGACTGTGGGCGAGGGGAGGTGGGACCGACCCCCACCCCTACACTCAAAAAAGGCCGGGGCCTCCTTCGAGCTTCCGGTGAATTTCGGGCGATTTCCGCGGGTGTCGGGGGTCCCGGGAGGAGGCAGTCACAGATCCACCCCTGCAGCCAGCCTCCTAGGCGCCGGCTCCGGCACGCTTCGCCGGTCTGTAGATTTCCTCTTCGATTTCTCCCCAGCTCCCAGCATCTGTGACTTCACTGTTACCCTCCCTATCCCCGCATCACCCAACCGCACCTGTCTGCGGGACTTAGGTGTGCGCGCGGGGCTCATGCGTGTCCTCCCTGCTGGCCACCCCCACGGCCCACACAAGTTGCACGGGCTCGCCACGCCCCGCCAACACGTGCGCGGACGCACGCACGCACTCCTCGCACGTGGGCTTACGCGAATACCAGCTTTCACTGCCACTCGCTCGCGGCCAGATTCACAGGCCTGTTCCGGTCCACTCGCAGCTCCCCTCTGCCGCTCCCTCCGCCGGGCTCAGGAGTACTCGTAGCTGATTGTGCGCGCCTGAGGGTCCCAGATCGCGGCCGCCCAGGACCAGGCGAGGACTCCGGAGCCTCCTCTCACCTCTCCCACCTGCGCCCCGGGCTGGGCCGGGTCGCCTGGGGGGCGGCCTGAGCGAGGCGCGGGGCCAGGAGCGCTGGAGCGACTGCCGCTCTAAGTGCCGGGCGGGCAGGACTCTACGATCCTTGGGCCAGAGGTCCGGATGGTCCCGGGACTCCGTCTCAAGGGTCGGCGACCCCTCAACCCAGAAGCCTCGAGCAGGCGGACAGGCAGAGCTGCCCAGTGGCCGAGGCGCGGCAGGGCTCCGCGTTGGGCGAGTGAGTGAGCCTCTATAGGACAGCAGGACTGGGACTCCAGTGGCACCAGCGGCCCCTTCCTCCCGCAGGAAGTGAAAGCCTCGAGCGCCCTGGCTCTCAACCCCCAGAGATACAGGCTTTTGGCGCCGTCGTGATCACAATGTGCCCAGCGATCTAGGGTCAGAGATTTGGAGGTGACCAAACTATCTGACACTCTAACAAGTCCTGTCTCCTCTGGCAGATGGAAAGCTATAGGCTCTGCCAGATGCCAGGGTGCCCTTATGTGTGAGGAAACTACAATAGTAAAAAACACAAGTTTCTCCAACTCCAGGAGCTTTTATTCAAAATATATCAATGCCTAACTCTGCTCCTAGGACTGTATTTTGAAACACCCCCAGGTGATTTTGATAGCTGATTGAGAGAAACTTACTATATAACTCCTTTGAGAACCTCATCTCATTTGCTCTTCCCACCATTGCTGTTGGCTAGGTACTAACATGCCTCTCTTATAACAGCTTCACAGAGGTCAAGTGACTTGCTCAAGTTCACAGAGCAAGTAAGAGAGATTCTAACCCCTGTCTAACTCCAGAATGTGTGCTTTTAATTTCTTGGCACTTGGAACTTTAAAAGCTTGAGGACAGGAGAGGGGAGTTGCCTCTGCTGGGATTTTGCTTCTGCTGGGATGGGGCAAGGGTGGGGTTCCTTCCCTTTTAGGACCTTACATGTGGGGAAAGTCTTCTGTGGCTCCTCATTTCTGAGCAGTCCCCGCAGCGCAAACTTGGCCAGTTATCCTTTTGGAGATTGAGTTCCCCCAGCTCCGTTTCCTCCTATCACAATCACTGCATTTCCATGTAGATTCTGCTGTGTCTAAGAATACAGTGGCTGAGGGCTGGCCATCCCTGTGCCCTTCTCCATGGCAGCCCCAGAATGGTGCTGGTGACTCCCGATACACCTGGAATGCTAGGTTTCTGGGTTCTGCTCATATCACTGCCACCTGTGAGCCTTGAGTGAGCCACTGGCAGTTCCGGAGCTTCCTTCTCCCTGGAGTAATCTGAGATACTCACACTCTCTGCTTCTGGGAGCAAGTATGAGTATTAATTACCAGCCCACCCCAGAACCAGTGAGGAGGTGGCTCTAGGAGTGCTCCATGAGAGTGTGTGATGGGATAACACACCCCCTGGAAAGACCAGAAGGGACTCAGGAATGAAGTGGCTGGCCAGAGCCCCACACCTTCAGCTAGGTGGGAGATGGCTACACATCAGCCCCTTGGGAGCCCTGGAGACTTAGTTGGCCCTGCTTGGAGGCTGTGGGAGCTGGATCCCTCCCCGCTGCATCCCTTCCATTTTTCTCCGTCTCAGACAGAGCAGCCTTGTTCTCTTCTCCTTAGTCACAGACCATTGTCTGGCACGGAGTTCTAGGGGTGAGAAGTGTCCCGGGACTTGGATGCCCCGCAAAGGCCCAATCTGGCATGACTCCTAAATTAATAATGTATTTAGCTGTGGGAAGAGATTCTTGCAAGCCAAGGGCCCAGAGAAGATGTCCCTGTGAATGTGTCACTGCACAACCTGGCACCAAAAGGGTTACCAAGAACAGCAGCCATCTTGCTGCAGAGGATGCTTTGTTCCCAGCTGAGGAGTTGAATAAATTCATTCTAGGGCTGGTAGAATTCTCATTGAAAAGCCTCCTTTGCCACTTTAGGGGGCTTTGTCTGCACCTCTTCCCCCAGTTCCACAGAAGATGCCTTCAGTCCTTGAATTTTGGCTCAGGAGTTCTGACTCTGGGGGCAGGGAGGAAGGGGCCATTTCTTTAGGAAAGGAGTCTCAGCTTGCTCACTGTGGTCAGATGAAATGTGATTTATCTCTTGGTTTCTGGTACCTCAGACCTCTGAGACCTGAGGTGTATTTTGTCTTTGGAGATGAGTCCACCCCTGCCCCCTCTTAGTCCGTTTTCTTCTCTGTGCCCACTCCCCTCCTTCTCTCCCGGCCCATCCCTAGGGGCTCGGGTGACATTCTAACTTCTCACGGGTACTCAGCCCCTTTCCCTCTGTTTTCTCCACAGCAAGCCCCGCCCAACACGGACTGGCGTTTCTCTCAGGCCCAGAGACCCGGCACCAGCGGGTAGGTGACTGATTCTCCAGCCCACCCTCTTCTCTGCGGCATTTTCTCAGGGATGACGTGGGAGGAGATGGGGGAGGGCCCAGCATTTGCTACAGATGGCTTCTCCCTCAGTTTGAGATCCCAGGGAGGTCTTGGTGTGCGGGGGGCTGGCACACAGACCCCGGAAGGAAGAGGCGACTGCCCTGACTGTTCAGGAAGCTCAATTCACATGCTTGCCCCTTCCCTCCTCGCCACGACCGGCACCTTTTCCTATCCCCTGAGGGCACTGTGGAACCAAAGGATGGTCTTAAGCTGGTCTCTGGGTGAAAGCGAGGCTTTCTATGCCCATGTACTGCCTAACCCCCTCCCCTGAGTTGAGCTGGGCTCCATTATGACCTGGGGCTCAGGCAGAAAAGCATTTGACCGGAGGAGGCGGTCCGCACTCAGCGCCTCCTCCAGAGCCTCCAGAGCCGAGGCTGACTGCAGCCTGGGGAGAGTGGAGGCAGCACAGCTGGAGGTGGAACTGAGGAAGGACTGGGCGGGGCATGGAGCAGGCCCCCTTCTCCGGCCCCTCCTCCCACTGTCCTCTGCCCCTACTTGTCCTGCTCTCTGTCTGTGGGGTCTCCGTGTCTCTGCCCCTTTTTCTTGAGTTTCCGTCTTTGCCACTTTCTCTTACCTCTCAGTCCTTCCCTCAGTCTCTATCTCGCTTTGCAATCTCTGCCTCTCCCTCTCTTCTCCATCTCTGTCTTAGCTTCCGTCTTGATTGCTGCACCTCAGCCTCAGTCCCTTTCATTTGTCTACTTGCATTGATCTGTGCCGCCCACTGTGCCTGCCATGGCATAAGTGCTCAATAAATGTGGAGTGAGTAACTACACGGGACCCTTAGTCTCTTTCTCCTTCTCTATCTCTGCCTCCCTGTCCTTGTCCTGGACCTCTTTTCTGTTTCTCCTTTCACCGTTTCCTAGCGCCTTGTGTTCTTCTATCCCCAGCCTCTATGTTTCTCTGTCTCTCACTATTTCTGCTTTCCTCTCTGTTCTTTGTCTCTCTTTGTCTCTGTCTCTGTATATCTTTCTTTGTCTCTGTCTCTGGTCTCTGTGCCTGTTGTCTTTTTCTGCCTCTTTCTCTGTTACTCTTTCTTTATCTCTCTTTTTCTTTTATCTTGTCTTTTTTCTCTGAGCCTCTGTCTCTGTCTCTCATTTTTTTGTGCTTGTGGGCAAGCCAGCACACACAACCCCCCACCCACCACCCACCAACACCCCGCTCTCTTCCTTCCCTGCCCCTCACACACTGAGCCTTTGATCGCAGCTCTCCACCAGACACCCTCCCATCCAAGCAGCCCCAGCTGCTCATTTCAATCTGGTATGAATTCCTGCTGAGACAGGAACCCCCTGCGGGCTGAAGGGGAGGGAAACTTCAGCAGAAAGACCTTCAGTTGGTCTGAGCAGAGTGGGATAGGCTCTGCGCCAGGCCTCCCAGTTAGAAGTCAGGAGCCTGGAGGAGTCTCAGAGCCCAGGGAGAGAAGCAGGAGCTTGGGCCACCTTACCCTACCTCCTCAATGGTTGAGTACTTGCTGTCCACATTTGCCAAGTTGCTACAGATGCTGAGCTTCCAAGAGTTATCTTTCCCCCATCCTGCAACCAACCAAACCCTTGTTGCCACAAGGACCCAGGAGCCCTTGGTGTATGGCAGAGATTCCAGCTTCTGGGCATGCACAGTCCTGTCACCCATTTTAGGAACGCAAAGCGCTTCTTAGAAGGCCCCTAAAAAGCAGCAGATCAAAAGGCTTGGGCTGCCCTTGCCCTTCCTTTGACCCCAGCTGTTGTCCTTCTCCCTGCTGGCCTTGCCAACCTTCTCATAAGTTATCCATTAAGTCATTAATGTATTCATTCGTTCATTTATTCAACAAATATTTATCGAGCATCTACTATGAGCAGGGCCCTGTGCTAAACATTGGGCTATAGGAGTGAACAAGTAGATGTGATCCCAGAACTCATAGGCTTCCAGACCAGCAGAGGAGACTGAAAATTTGCAACAAGTAACACTTAAAAAAAAAAAAAAAGGCTGGGCACTGTGGTTCACGCCTGTAATCCCAGCACTTTGGGAGGCCAAGGTGGGTAGATCACTTGAGGTCAGGGGTTTGAGACCAGCCTGGCAGCCAACATGGTGAAACCCCATCTCGATTAAAAATACAAAAATTAGCCAGGCGTGGTGGCAGGCACCTGTAATCCCAGCGACTTAGGAGGCTGAGGCAGAACTGCTTGAACCCGGAAGGCAGAGGTTGCAGTGAGCTGAGATCACGAAAAAAAAATAATCTAGCCACAAATCACAGTAAGTTCTGAGAGGCAGAGAACAATGTGAGTGTAATGGGGGGGGGAAGATCAGAGAAGGCTTCTAGGAGGAGGTGACATTGAGAAGTTCTAGGCCATTTATGTTCCCTCTACCTACCACCACCCCAGGCCATACACTGGCTTTGAAGCAGAATTCACCATTGAACCTGGAAGCCCCACCAACTGCCTCTCATGTGTCCTCTGGGGTGAGCACCTTACCCCTGCCTCAACTCCCATTCCATCAAATGAGAGGCTTAGTGGCCTGGAATACATGTGGGAGCTCTTGGAGATATGGAGGAGAAGGTGCGGAACCTCTCTCTCTCTCCTCTCTCTGCTTCCTTAGTTAACTTGTGGAGGATGCAACAAACCTTTTTTTTTTTTTTTTTTAGACAGAGTCTTGCTCTGTTGCCCAAGCTGGAGTGCAGTGGTGCGATCTTGGCTCACTGCAACCTCTGCCTGCCAGGTTCAAGCGATTCTCCTGCCTCAGCCTCCCGAGTAGCTGGGACAGCAGGTGTGCACCACCACACCCAGCTCATTTTTGTATTTTTAGTAGAGATGGGTTTCGCCACGTTGGCCAGGCTGGTTTCAAACTCCCCGACCTCAACTGATCCACCTGCTTCAGCTTCCCAAAGTGCTAGAATTACAGGTGTGATCGCCCCCGGCCACAACAAACATTTTTGATTCAGCGGCTCCAAAGTGAAATAAGCGTTAGGATCTAGTCCAGTAACTTCAACTTCTCTCCTTCATTCATTCAACAAATGGTCAGTGAGCACTTTCTGTTGGCCAGGCAGTGTTCTCGATGTGGGAGGCCCCTGCCCTCAAGGAGTTTACAGTGCACTGAAGGAGACAAATATTGACCAAATAATTACAAAAATAAATGTGAGACTGAAACTGTCATAAGTGCTAGGTAGAATTGTATCTGGTGGTGTGGGCGTATAATAGGGATTTGATTTAGGGAGCAGGAGGACATCCTGGAAATGAAGTTGTGCTGAGATCTGAAAGACAAATACAAATTAACCAGCTAAAGAAAAGAAGGAAGAGCATTCCAGATGGTCAGGCATACCAGCTTCAAAGCAGGGCTGGTGTTGAGTTCTTCAGTAAACTTGGTTCAAGATCAAGCCAGCTCTGGGTCACACTGCCTACACAGAAGGAAGAGCATTCCAAATGGGAAAAGCCTATGCAAAAGCCTTGTGGTGAGGCCTCCTGGGATCAAGGGAATGGCAGGGAGTTTTCTCTTTGCTGGCACTGGAGTGAGGGGATGAAGAGGAGAGGTTCCTTTTATCCAGTCTAACCCTGGTTCCAGCCTTCTGTTGATGCCCTGCCTCACTCCCTCCCCACCATCTTGCCCACTGCCCTCCAGCCTGGTCTGGTCAGACACACCAGCTTCAAAGCAGGGCTAGTATTGAGTTCTTCAGTAAACTTGGTTCAAGTTCAAGTCAGCACTGGGTCACACTGCCTAGACAGAAGGAAGAAGACCTGGCCAGGTGTGGTGGCTCACGCCTGTAATCCCAGCACTTTGGGAGGCTGAGGTGGGTGGATCACCTGAGGTCAGGAGTTTGAGACCAGCCTGGCCAACATGATGAAACCCCATCTCTAGTAAAAATACAAAATATTAGCCAGGTGTGGTGGTGCACACCTGTAGTCCCAGCTACTCAGGAGGCTGAGGCAGGGGAATCGCTTGAACCCAGGAGGCGGAGGTTGCAGTGAGCTGAGATCACACCACTGCACTCCAGTCTGGGTGACAGAGCGAGACTCCATCAGGAAAGAAAGAAAGAAAAAGAGAGAGAGGGAGGGAGGGAGGGAAGGAAGGAAGGAAGGAAGGAAGGAAGGAAGGAAGGAAGGAAGGAAGGAAGGAAGAAAAGAAAGAAAAAGGGAGAAAAAATGAAGAAGACTTACATTCTGAAGTTCCTGCTTGGCACATGCTTCTCCTCCCCACCACTATCCCTTCTCAGGTCATCCTTTGGGTGTCTGATCCCAATAGCTGTTGTCTCAAGCTCTGAGCCCAGCAAACCATTTCCCCCTTCTTAGGCTGTAACCCAGGCCCTGCCCTGCAGCTGTCCCCAGCCTCTGCACAAAGAGTCTCCATTTGGTCCCTAGACTGTTCTCTGATGGCTCCACACTACCATCCCTCCTCTGAGAGACAGTATCCCTGCTCTCTCTCAGTTTGGGCAGTCATTCAACAAACAAATAGCAACTTAATTTTTTTCCACTTATAAAATAGTACATGCTCATTATAGAAACATGAAAAATAGAAAAAAAATTAAAAGGAAAACCACCCATCATTTTACAATCTAGGGAGAACCACCACCAACTACAGTTTAATATGAAACATTTCAAATATGTACAAAAGTAGAGAGAATGGTGTCATGAACCTGTATGATACCACTATCCAGCTTCAACTAATGCCTTATCTTGTTTCACCTATATCCCTACCCTTATCCTGTCCTTGGATTCTTTTGAAGCAAATCTCAGACATCATATAATTTCATCTTGGTCTCCACCATCTTTAACAGATGACTTTTTTTTTTTTTTTTTTTTTTGGAGACAGAGTCTCACTCTCTTGCCCAGGCTGTGGCACAATCTCAGCTCACTGCAGCCTTCGCCTCCCGGGTTCAAGCAATTCTCATGCTTCAGCCTCCTAAGTAGCTAGGATTACAGGTGTGCACCACCACACACAGCTAATATTTTGTATTTTCAGTACAAACAGGGTTTCGCCATGTTGGCCAGGCTGGTCTTGAACTCCTGGCCTCAAGTGATCCACCCTCCTCGGCCTCCCAAAATGTTGGGATTACAGGTGTGAGCCACCTTGCCCGGCCAGATGATTCTTTCATAAGGTCCACATTTTATATTTGAGTGAGTGTCTCTTAAGTATCTTAATGCTCTTTTAATGTAAAAGACTTCCCCTCCATCTTCCATTTTTGCAATTTATTTGTTGAATCCCTGCCTTTTCATATATATCTTTCTAAACTTTTCTTTGTGTAATCAAAGAACATGCATGAGCTTCATTTTTATTTTTATTTATTTATTTATTTATTTATTTATTTATTTATTTATTGATACGTAGCCTTGCTCTGTCACCCAGGCTGGACTGCAGTGGCGCAATCTCGGCTCACTGCAAGCTCCGCCTCCCAGGTTCACGCCATGCTCCTGCCTCAGCCTCCAGAATAGCTGGGACTACAGGCGCCCACTACCACGCCCGGCTAATTATTTTGTATTTTTAGTAGAGACGGGGTTTCACCGTGTTAGCCAGGATGGTCTCGATCTCCTGACCTCGTGATCCGCCCGCCTCGGCCTCCCAAAGTGCTGGGATTACAGGCGTGAGCCACCGCGCCTGGCCGAGCTTCATTTTAAAAAAATCTCATTCACCTAAATAAGTTGTTCACAAACTTGTCACACTTTCATGTGACACTTTATTCACATATTAAGAACTGTTATTCCCAGTCATACGGTACATTTCCTACTAGTTTTTTAAAAATAGCAACTGAGGCCATACTGTCCAACAGAATTATAGCTTTTTTCTTCTTTGCAGTGTATCATGAGAATTTCCCCATGTCTTTCAAAATTCTTCCCAAGTCATTTGCAGAGTAACTCCTCTTATGAATATACATATTATTTTACAGAATAAGTCCTCATATGAATATACATATTATTTTTCTAATGCTAATGGGCTTTTGCTACATTAGAAAACATACACATTCATTTACAATTTTTTTTTTTTGAGACAGTCTCGCTCTGTCTCCAGGCTGGGGTGCAGTGGCGCCATCTCGGCTCACTGCAAGCTCCACCTCCTGGGTTCAAGCAATTCTCCTGCCTCAGCCTCCTGAGTAGCTGGGACTACAGGCACGCGCCACCACGCCCAGCTAATTTTTGTATTTTTAGTAGAGACGGGGTTTCACCATGTTGACCAGGATGGTCTCAATCTCTTGACCTCGTGATCCGCCTGCCTCAGCCTCCCTAAGTGCTGGGATTACAGGTGGGAGCCACCATCCCCAGCCTCATTTACATTTTAACACAATTAAATTCAGGGTGTTGTCAGGGTGACTTCCTAGATTTCTCAGTTTTTTGAGCATGATGTAGGGAGTATTTTATTATAGTCCAGTCTATGGGATATTCCCTTATACACACACACACACACACACACACACACACACACACACACACACCCCAAACTCAATAGGGCAAGAACCATATTCATCATCTCTTAAATCCTAGGTCCTGTCACAGGCCACTGCTTGGAAAATAGTTGACTAAATGTAGTCCATTTCTTCCATTTTTACTTTTCACTATTCCCCAAATCCTGGAAGAGTCCCTCATATCTGCTGCTGGGGCTCCAAGGCCTCCAAGCTGAAGCCCAGTACGTTGTTGTGCATAAGATCATAGGCCCTGGAATCATATTAGGCTGGCTTTCAGGTTGCAACTCTACCAGTTCCAGCTGTGTGACTCTGGTATAGTCTCTCAACCTCTCTGAGCCCTGTTTTCATCTGTTGGAAAATATAGATAATCACAACACTTATCTGCAGGGTGATTCCGAGGATAAAAAAGACAAATATATTACCCAGTCAGCTTAGAATAGGAAGCTCTCAGTAAATGGTTAAAAAAGAGGTCTCTCTCCCTCTGCTCATCTCTTACCCAGCTTCACATAATTGGCAGCCCACCCACCTGTTTGGCCCTCAACCTTCAACCATTTCCCAGGACGCCTCCTTACACTCCTGATCATCATGGTTCCAACCCCACTGTTCCACTCAGCTTTGTTCCCTCAACACCACTGCTCCCTGTGACAGGTCATCCTCCTAACCTCTGGCATCTGGTCCCGTTGTCTCCCTGACAACCCGCATGCTCTCCTCCCTGCAACCCCCGCCGCTTGCCTGCTCTCCCTACTTTATTCCCATTAGCCCCCTTCACCTGGGGCTGAGAACACCTGGCCTTGACCCTGCACCCTCAGCCAGGCCCACAGAGCTCAGTCGGGCCGGAAGTAAGGACCCCAGATATTCAGTTGAGGAATTTAACATTAATACAATAATATAGAATCCACCAGCAGATTTTCATAAATGTTCTGTGTGTTCTTTTATCCTTTTTTTTAATCCAGGATTTTATCAAGGAGCATAGATTGCATTTGGTTGTCACGTCTTTCCTCTCCTTTAATCTGGAGCCAGCTCCCAGTCTTTTTATTTTTTTAATGACATGGATATTTTTAAAGAGTCCAGGCCAGTTGTACTTTAAAATGTCCCCGAACCTGGATTTGCTGGCTATTCTCTGATGGTTAGATTCAGATTACACACCTTGGTAGGAATACTTCCCGCAGCATCACACTGGGACTCATCTAACGTCGGCCTGTCCCACTATCAGTGATGCCGAGTTTGTTCGTGTGGTAAAAACAGTGTCCCAGATCTCTCCATTATAAAAATATATTTTTATAAAGATATTTTAAAATATTTGTGAAAATATAAGTAATCTGTGGATGATACTTTGAGATAGGCAGCAACCCTTCATGCAATTTTAGTATTCCCTGATGATCCTTGCCTGTATCTGTTTTTACATCAGTGATTACAAAGCGGTGATGTTCTGTCATTCCTTCTACATGTATTTGCTGGTATTCTTCTGAAAATTACCTGGATGATTTCTTCAGATTTAAATTCACTGTCTTTTCCTTGGGGAAGCCTGGACTGGCTGAGCTGCCTAACCCTGACTCTCTGTCTTTTTTTTTTTTTTGACAGGGAGTCTAGCTCTGTTGCCAGGCTGGAGTGCAGTGGCAACCTTCACCTCCTGGGTTCAAGCGATTCTCCTGCCTCAGCCTCCCAAGTAGCTGGGATTACAGGCGTGTGCCACCATGCCCGGTTAATTTTTTTTTTTTAATATCTATTTTAGTTGAGACAGGGTTTCACCATGTTGGTCAGAATGGTCTCGATCTCCTGACCTCGTGGTCTGCCCGCCCCTGCCTCTCTTCATACCCTCTGGTAGCCCCTGACACAGCCCATGGCAAGTATCACAATTGCAATTACTCTATTGTGTAATTATTTAAAATCAGCCTCTCAGTGCCCACCATGAGCACCGTAAAGATGGACAGTTTCTATCATACTCACAGCCACAACCCCAGCACCTGGCTCTGTGTCTGGTACATAGAAATTGCTCAAGAAAGAATTGTTGGAGGGGCGCGGTGGCTCACGCCTGTAATTCCAGCACTTTGGGAAGCGGAGGCAGGTGGATCATGAGGTCAGGAGTTCGAAACCAACCTGGCCAATATGGTGAAACCCCATCTCTACTAAAAATACAAAAATTCGCTGGGCATGGTGGCATGTGTGCACTTGTCGTCCCAGCTGCTCAAGAGGCTGAGGCAGGAGAATCACTTGAACCTGGGAGGCAGAGGTTGCAGTGAGCCGAGATCGCGCCACTGTACTCCAGCCTGGGTGACAGAGCGAGACTCCAGCTCAAAAAAAAAAAAAAAAGAAAAAAGAAAAGAAATAATTATTGAATCAATGGAAACAGAATTACAACTCTTCCCACTTTTGGGAAGGAGAATTGAGATTCCTGCTTTCCCCTTCAACCCTAGCTTTATGTTTGTTGTGATGGTATAGAGGTCACACATGGCAGCCTTGTGTCTGTTCTTAGGCTGAGTTCATCTACTTAGGGACGGGGAATCCCAGATTGGGCAAAACCAAAAGCAGGGACAGACCTTGGAAAAATTGTAAAGCAGTTCTTGGTTGTGCTCACCCACCATGACAAAATATGCACACACACAACGCAACACACACACAGACATTTTCATGCCTTCAAGGCCTACCCTACAGCCTTTCCCATGGTGCCAAACCCTTCTTCTTACCTTACAGTCACTTAACTGTCTCTGCTGGTCTCTTCCCACTCATTTAGGCAACAAATATTTATTGAAAAACTTCTCTGAGCCAGATGGTGCCAAACAGTTACCTAAAGGGCAGACTGTGTGTGTGCCAGGGCTGTTTCCCGCCAACACTCCCCTGCAAATTGAAATAATTTCATCCTTGGAAATTCAAAAAAATCATGAAAATTGTCACTGTGGGAAAATTCCAAGTAGAGCTGAACCTTCTAAGAAGCAGAGAGTTCTTCTTATGGTTTAGTATTTTTTTAAATTATGAATCATTTCATGTTTTTTCAACACTCGGAGTTTCTAAAAGTCTCACTTAGGTCCAAGTGCTAGGCTTTGTGCTAGGTGCTTCAGTAGGAAGCAGGTGGAGTCGCTGCCTCACAGAAGCCAGTGTGGTGGAGGAACAGACAGGCACTACAACAGCTGCAGTGTGACTAGTGCCATGTGGGGCAGCCGCTGGGATGGGAGTACAGTGGAGGCACCTGCCCAGTCTGAGTGGATCTCCTCTGATATATTTTATTCGTGTCATCATGGCAAATGTTGGGGGACTGGCATTCTAGGGAACACCATCTGCCCAGGATTCACAGCAAGAGGGAACTTGAGGGATAGGAAAGTGCACCTTGGAAAAGGTTTGATGATAGAGTGTTTGAGGGCGGGGGGTGGGGGTTCTTGTAAAATAGGAGGGGCAGGTTCTTCTATGGCCGTGGATTTTACTCTGAGGGCTTAGGAAGCCATTGAATTTTAGAAATTTCTTCTCCCTGCTCCAGGGTCTCTTGGGGCCTCCTACATCTCCCCCTAGGTACCTCCTAGGTCCCCACTTTTTCTCTAGCTCTGGAACATTCTCTTCCATTTCCCACCTTCACAGTCCTCTGGAGAAGGTCTGATCTCCCTCACTATGACAGGAAGCCAGGCTCTCTCATGGTGGGTGGGGGAATGCACTATGTTCAATGCATTGGACCAGCCTGGCCAACATGGTGAAACCCCGTCTGTACTAAAAATACAAAAATTAGCCTGGCACAGTGGCAGGTGCCTGTCATCCCAGCTACTTGGGAGACTGAGGCAGGAGAATCGCTTGAACCCAGGAGGTGGATGTTGCAATGAGCCAAGATCGCGCCACTGCACTCCAGCCTGGATGACAGAGTAAGACCCTGTCTAAAACAAAAAGAAAAAAGCATCGGAGGCAGCAAAGAGCTGGTTTGAGGGACTGACTTGTGGGATTCTGGCTTCTGAAGGATTGTAGAAGTGCCTCCTACCTTGCTGAGAGAAACAGGTCTTGGGCATGGGGTAGGGTTAGGGTACTAGGTTTGGGAGCCCTGGGAGAGGACAGGAGGGGCATGAGCTGTGCCGGCCTGGGAGTCTGTGCTCACCATCCTACTCTCTCCCCAGCTCCCAAAATGGCGATGACACCGGCACCTGGCCCAACAACCAGTTTGACACAGAGATGCTGCAAGCCATGATCTTGGCGTCCGCCAGTGGTAAGTGGTGTCAGTGTGTGTATGGAAGAGTGGGAGACCTGGGGTTCTGGGGTGCATCTCACAGCCACCATGCCCACGGACTGGATGTCAAACCTGTGTAGTTTCTCCAGATCTTTCGGCAGGTCTGAAAGGACCCACAATTCCAAACATAAAGCCTGGAATTGTGGCTAAGGAACAGCAGAGGGGTTGGGGGTCCTGGGATGCCTGGAGGAGAGCGAACAAGGAAAAGACTCATGGAGGGAATAGTGGTTACAAGTCTAGCTCTGGAATGGGACAGTGTAGCTCAGGTCCTAGCTCTGCTACTATCCTTGGGACTTGGATCGACTTGCTCAATCTCTCTAAACCTCAGTTTCCTCAGCCTAGAAAGTGGGGACAGGGACCCCAAAGGGTTGTTGTAGAGATTAAATGAGATGATACCACAAAGCATAGAGTTCTGGGCCTGGCGCTTGGAAGCCCTCAAGCAATGAAAGTGGGTGTAGAAATCCCCAGCCGAGAGAACACCTCCTCTTTATGCGAGGCTCCTCTTTTGCTGCCCCTAACTCCAGAGTAGGATTCTGGTTTTCCCATAAGGTTGACTAAGGGCTTCCTTTGTAATAGAGATTCGGCTAGTGGTGGTTGTCCCTGAAGAGTCACTAGGGCCCAGAGCAGGAGAAGAAGAATATCATTTGTCCTTAAGAGCACAGCCTAAGCTGGGCGTGGTGGCTCACGCCTGTAATCCCAGCACTTTGGGAAGCTGAGGCAGGAGGATCATGAGGTCAGGAGTTCGAAACCGGCCTGGCCAACATAGTGAAACCCTGTCTCTACTAAAAATACAAAAATTAGCTGGGCATGGTGGTGCGTGCCTGTAGTCCCAGCTACTTGGGAGGCTGAGGCAGGAGAATCGCTTGAACCTGGGAGGTGGCTGTGGTGAGCAGAAAATCGCACCACTGCACTCCAGCCTGGGCAACAGTCTCGCTCTGTCTCAAAAAAAAAAAAAAAAAAAAAGAGCACAGGCTTTAGAGGCAGGCCAATCTGGATTCAAATCCTGGCACCTGGCACCACCACTTAGCAATGAGTCCTTAGGTAAGTTATTAAACCCCCTCGGTTTCACTTACTATTAATGGGCACAGTATTAACGGATCTCATTGTGGTGTTACCAGGGCCAAATGCAAGTCCCTCAGCACAGGATTGGCAGAGAGTAAGGGCACAATATATTATTATCTTTGCTGACCCAAACCCGTTTTTTACTGGGTAGAAAGCAGAATTAGAATAATGCCTATTAATAAAGACTAGCTTCTGGAGCAGCAAATCCTGGGCTTATAAGGAGGCTGGCAGAGGATCAAGGCATTGCCCTATATCATGAACTGATAGCCCTGCCCTCCAGCATGTCTGGAGGACTGGTGGGTAGAGAACCAGGTGAAATCACAAGAAGCACTGTCATCACACCTGGGCACATACTAAACAAACTTTAGGGGCCTCCTGTCAATGAATCCTCTCAATAGCTCTGCAAGGCAGGTCTGATTTCTCACACTCGACAGATGAGAGAACCGAGAAGGCACTTGCCCCAGGGTCCTCAGTTTTGAGCTGCCAAGCTGAGGTTCTAACCTGGCTCAACTCCTAAGTTTATGCTCTTTCTACTATAGGGACCATGGCTGCCTTTGGATCCAGCCTCGGCTTCTCTATTACCTGAGCAGGATGAGAGGCTGTCCTCTTCCTCGAGCTCTGCTTTATTCTTCCAGATCAGGGTTGCCAGATAAAATACAGGATGCCCAGTTACAGTTGAATGTCAGATAAACAGCAAGTACTATTTCAGCATAAGTCAGTCTCAAATGTTGCATGAGACATAATGTACTAAAAAAAAAAATGCTCATTGTTTACCTGAAATTCAAATTTAACTGGGAGCCCTGTACTTTTATTTACTAAATCTGGCAACTCTACCCCAGATGTCTGTGAGGTTAAGTGGGGCCAGGCCTACAGCTGACGGAAGGACAGAGAGAGAGGTGGCAGGGACTGCTGGCCTCCTGAGGCAGAGCTGTCCCAGGTCTGGTGGGGCTATGATTCCAGAGAGGCCAGAGACTGAGTATGAAAGTGGCAGGCGGCTGGGTCTGAGGAGATGCCAAGTTGGCCTCTTGAGGGAAATAAACAGGTATATTTAGCTGTTGTGGCCTTGCGCCCTGAGGCCAGGAAGCAGCTTTTTAGCCTAAATCCAGATGTTAAAAACAGAAATGAAATCAGTATTTATGGCCCCAAACCCTCCAAGCAAGTCATGCAGCTCGTTCCCCTGTCAAGGCCTCCCACCTTTGGCCCACACAGGGCCTGACCCTCGTCTAAGCCTGCGCCCTGGGGAACGGACCCTGGGGGTGGAGGTGGTGGGTCAGGCCCTGCTCTCACTTTCACACCCGCTTCCTAGCCCTGAAACCAGAGAGGTTCCTGAAGTCCAGCCCAGCCAGGCCTGTGGGGCTGCTGAGAGGGGTTAAGTAAGAGGGAGAGTAAAAACCGACACTTGGGAGGAGGCTTTTAAAATAAACATCTGCGGGGAGGGATGCTCTCAAGGAGGCTGCGGTTTGCAGCTCAGCCAGCTGTGTTCCAGCTAATCAGCCTCCTTGGGCTACTCTGGAGTTGCTGCCTTGGCCCTGGGATGGGGTAGGTTAAGAGGACAGAGGGAGGTCAGGGAGCTGGGGGCTGAGTTTCCCTGAGTAGAGGCTGGCACAGGAGAGAAGGCATCACCCCCACCTCGTCCAGGCCAGAAGATGTCCAGCTTCTTGAGGCTCTCCTAAGTCTGCCTCTCCTGGGACCAAGAGAAAATCCCGGTCCTTGACCAAGGTGGGCCTTGGGGGGAGTGGGGTGTAGAGGGAGGGGCACTGGAGAACTGACTCTACAGAAAGTCAAAGCTGGCAATCCAACTTCTTCCCCTCAGATTTATAGATGGGAAAACAGGCTTGAGCCACGCAGAGACTTGACCAAGCTCACACAGTTCCTTAGTGGCAGAGCAGAGCAAATATTCTCTTTCTTTTACATTCTGGATTTCCATATCTTCTCTCCCTCCTGGTCCAGCCCAACCTCAGGGCACCCCCCACGAGGTGGGCGGGGGATGGCTTTGTCACTTGCACCCACTCGGGGTGCTACTCAGAGATCTTGGGTGCACATAGGACGTGGGTGGGCCGAGCTTCTAGCTACTCCGTCAGGCCCTTCCTGTCATTCTGTCTCTGCCTCCCTTCTCCCTGCTTCTCCGTGTTCCTCCTCATTCTTTTCTGTGTGCAGGGAGACTACACCCCCCACCCCGCTCTTTCTCTGGCGCCTCTGAGGTCCCCCCTCTAGCCCCTAAATCACTCTGGAATCCTGGCTCTTTGAAGCCAGATCTGGGCCCCCCTCCCCTACCCCTTCCATTCCCAGGCTGGGAAAGGCTGAAGAGGCTGACGGCTGGAGGGGAGGGGGCGGGGCGGTGGCGGATCTGGCTTCCTTTTGGAGTTAATTAGGGAAAACAGAGAAATGTCAGCGGAATGAAAGGGCTGGGGGTGGGGGCCAGCTGGGGTAGGAGAGGAGGAAGTGGGCAGCTGCTCCCTCCCACTCAACCCCTCTCCCCCGCCCCCAGAAAGCTCTCAGCTCCGGGGATTTGCGACATGAAATGGGGGCTGTAGAAACCTGAGCGCTGGTGCGTGAAGAGAAAAACCGAGGCGCATCCCGGCTCTCCCCTCCCGTGTGCCCTCCTCCTCTTATGCCGGCTTGAAAATATTTCCTGTCTCTCTATTTCTCAATCCCTGGTTGATGTCCCAGGATTACTCAGCCTCTCCGGCTTTAGTCACTCTCGCTACCCGCTCCCAGGGTCCAGGGTGGAGGCAGAGGGAGGCTGGGAGAGAAGCTCTACTGCCAGCTGGGCCTGGGCTGGCCTGGGCATCCCTGAGGTTTTAACTGTCTCCTAACCACAGAGGATCTCAGGGCCTCCAGCAGCGAGCCCCAATGAGTCAAACTCTTGTTTCCTCCTCTCCCACCCCCGACCCAGTCAGGGCAGGTGAGGGGTAGAGGTGATGGCATGCTGGATGTGACGGTGTTGATGATGTATTGCACAGGATGAAGCACCATCTCATTTAGTCCTCACAGCAGCCTTCACAGTGCGTACAAATCAGCTGGCAATTCCGAGAGGCTGCATTCTAAACAAGTTCCTGGGTGATGCTGAGCCAGGGCCAGAGTGTGGACTTCTCTGGGCCCCAGTTTCTTCTTCTGTACAGTGGGACGTTGGACTGGAGGTGCTGTCTGATGTCACCTAGCTGTGGCACTCTGAGCCTGTGCCTAAAGTGTCCCTGAGATGTCTAGTCCCCGAGATCATCATCTCCTCAGCTTCATAGAGCCGAGCTCTTCTCCATCTTCTCTCTACCTCCCATTCACTCAGAACAGGGATAAGGTCCAAGCTGCTGGTGGTGATGGTGACTGACTGTCCCTTCCAGCATGCGCTTAGGTACACTTGGGCCTGAATGCCCCTCTAACAAATGCTACCGGGTATGGCCTTGGTCCTTCTAACACTTGGTTCCCTCATCTGTAAAATGAGGGTCATACCACATAGCTGGCTGGGCTGTTATGTAGAGGTTAAAAGTGATTGTGCATGTGAAGCATCCAGCAGAGTGCCTGGCACACAGTAGGTGCTCAAATGCTGTTTTGAAATACAAAAATTAGCTGGGCTAGTGGTGTGCACCTGTAATCTCAGCTACTCAGGAGGTTGAGGCAGGAGAATCACTTGAGCCCAGGAGGCAGAGGTTGCAGTGAGCCGGGATCGCGCCACTGCACTCCAGGCTGGGCGACAGAGCAGGACTCCATCTTAAAAAAAAAAAAAAAAAAATGCTGTTTTGAAATGGAGGCTTGGAAGAGCACTCTTCACCCCCACCCCACACACTTACTAACGGAACTACCGAATCTCTACTCGTGCCAGGCCTTGCTTGGCAAAGGCTAGGGGCATGTAAAGCCATGGTTTCATGGCTGCTGCCCTCCAGGAGCCCATGGTCTAGTGTGGGAGTCAGAGGCTCCCTTGAGAAAGCCAGGGCAAGGAACTGAGAGCCCGTGTCACAGCCCTGAGAGAAATACCAGCGAATGTGTTTTGAGCACTTACATCTACCAGGCACTATTTTACGTACCTGACATACATTTTCTTATTTAGCATTCACTAAAACCAGAAGAGGTGGTTACCATTATCATCCCCATTTTGCAGATGAGAAAACTGAAGTGGCATAAGGAGGTTAGGTAGACTTGCCCAGGATCACAGTGAGTAAGGAAAGGAGCTAGGAATCAAACCTAGACTTTCTCACTCCAGAGCCTCTTAACCTCTACCCTCAACTCTTGTGAAGAGAGACTACCTTGGTGACCCCTATATTCCCAGTGCTCAGCGTGGTCAAGGCCCAGGGTGCTGTATAGGCATTCATTAACTGCTGGGGATATAAGACAGTGACTGTTGAGGACCCTAAGTTTAGCTCCCACCTGATCTTCCTCTGTCTCTGCAGAAGCTGCTGATGGGAGCTCCACCCTGGGAGGGGGTGCCGGCACCATGGGATTGAGCGCCCGCTACGGACCCCAGTTCACCCTGCAGCACGTGCCCGACTACCGCCAGAATGTCTACATCCCAGGCAGCAATGCCACACTGACCAACGCAGCTGGCAAGCGGGATGGCAAGGCCCCAGCAGGTGGCAATGGCAACAAGAAGAAGTCGGGCAAGAAGGAGAAGAAGTAACATGGAGGCCAGGCCAAGAGCCACAGGGCGGCCTCTCCCCAACCAGCCCAGCTTCTCCTTACCTGCACCCAGGCCTCAGAGTTTCAGGGCTAACCCCCAGAATACTGGTAGGGGCCAAGGCCATGCTCCCCTTGGGAAACAGAAACAAGTGCCCAGTCAGCACCTACCCCTTCCCCCCCAGGGGGTTGAATATGCAAAAGCAGTTCCGCTGGGAACCCCCATCCAATCAACTGCTGTACCCATGGGGGTAGTGGGGTTACTGTAGACACCAAGAACCATTTGCCACACCCCGTTTAGTTACAGCTGAACTCCTCCATCTTCCAAATCAATCAGGCCCATCCATCCCATGCCTCCCTCCTCCCCACCCCACTCCAACAGTTCCTCTTTCCCGAGTAAGGTGGTTGGGGTGTTGAAGTACCAAGTAACCTACAAGCCTCCTAGTTCTGAAAAGTTGGAAGGGCATCATGACCTCTTGGCCTCTCCTTTGATTCTCAATCTTCCCCCAAAGCATGGTTTGGTGCCAGCCCCTTCACCTCCTTCCAGAGCCCAAGATCAATGCTCAAGTTTTGGAGGACATGATCACCATCCCCATGGTACTGATGCTTGCTGGATTTAGGGAGGGCATTTTGCTACCAAGCCTCTTCCCAACGCCCTGGGGACCAGTCTTCTGTTTTGTTTTTCATTGTTTGACGTTTCCACTGCATGCCTTGACTTCCCCCACCTCCTCCTCAAACAAGAGACTCCACTGCATGTTCCAAGACAGTATGGGGTGGTAAGATAAGGAAGGGAAGTGTGTGGATGTGGATGGTGGGGGCATGGACAAAGCTTGACACATCAAGTTATCAAGGCCTTGGAGGAGGCTCTGTATGTCCTCAGGGGACTGACAACATCCTCCAGATTCCAGCCATAAACCAATAACTAGGCTGGACCCTTCCCACTACATAATAGGGCTCAGCCCAGGCAGCCAGCTTTGGGCTGAGCTAACAGGACCAATGGATTAAACTGGCATTTCAGTCCAAGGAAGCTCGAAGCAGGTTTAGGACCAGGTCCCCTTGAGAGGTCAGAGGGGCCTCTGTGGGTGCTGGGTACTCCAGAGGTGCCACTGGTGGAAGGGTCAGCGGAGCCCCAGCAGGAAGGGTGGGCCAGCCAGGCCATTCTTAGTCCCTGGGTTGGGGAGGCAGGGAGCTAGGGCAGGGACCAAATGAACAGAAAGTCTCAGCCCAGGATGGGGCTTCTTCAACAGGGCCCCTGCCCTCCTGAAGCCTCAGTCCTTCACCTTGCCAGGTGCCGTTTCTCTTCCGTGAAGGCCACTGCCCAGGTCCCCAGTGCGCCCCCTAGTGGCCATAGCCTGGTTAAAGTTCCCCAGTGCCTCCTTGTGCATAGACCTTCTTCTCCCACCCCCTTCTGCCCCTGGGTCCCCGGCCATCCAGCGGGGCTGCCAGAGAACCCCAGACCTGCCCTTACAGTAGTGTAGCGCCCCCTCCCTCTTTCGGCTGGTGTAGAATAGCCAGTAGTGTAGTGCGGTGTGCTTTTACGTGATGGCGGGTGGGCAGCGGGCGGCGGGCTCCGCGCAGCCGTCTGTCCTTGATCTGCCCGCGGCGGCCCGTGTTGTGTTTTGTGCTGTGTCCACGCGCTAAGGCGACCCCCTCCCCCGTACTGACTTCTCCTATAAGCGCTTCTCTTCGCATAGTCACGTAGCTCCCACCCCACCCTCTTCCTGTGTCTCACGCAAGTTTTATACTCTAATATTTATATGGCTTTTTTTCTTCGACAAAAAAATAATAAAACGTTTCTTCTGAAAAGCTGAACGTTTCTGTATAAGCGATGGAAGCTCCTGGCATGTGTGCATGAAGTGATGAGCTGAGGTGGGTGCTGGAAGAAGGGCGGAATCGGGAGGCCACTTTGTGTCATTGCGCGTCTAGATGTTTCCGAATTGCGTGTGTGTGTGTGACTGTGCAATATGGTTGTGTATGCTTGCAATGCCGTTGTGCCTATGAGACAGTGTGCGATTGTGTGCCTATGGATCTGTGTACCGTGTGCCATTGTGTGATCGGTCCGCTGTGGGGGTGGGGATCTGAGTGCGGCGTGTCAGTGTGCAGTGGAGTGTGCAGTCTAAGCTTGCGGCTGTCTCCAGGCAGAAGAGGAGACCCCGGCGCGGGCGGGGGCGGGTTGGCGCCGGGCAAACGCCTTGGGTAGAGGGGAGAGGACGTTTCGTTAGTTCCCGCCCCTTCCTGACTAAAATTGCCTACCCGAAGCGCCCCGGAGGGCTTCACGGGAGGAGGGTAGACTCTCCTTTGCCCCCGCACCCCCACCCCCGCTGCCTAGGGGTTTTGGGAAAGCCGCGGGAGTGGGAGGGAATGCGGGAGGTGATTCTTCCAAAGCCAAGTCTGCAGCTCGAGCCTCAGTTTCCCCATCTGGAATTCGCCTTCCCGCTGACATCTCCGTAGCGAAGCCTAAGAAATTGGAGGGCTCATCCTCTTCTTGCGGGGGTCAAGGGGACTGAAAGGACGTGCAGGAAATGAGATCCATCGCAGACTCAGCTCCCCTCCCTCCTTCCTGTCGGTGCTTTTCCACTCACTCGCCTGCTCTCCCATCTCCCCGCCCCCTCCGCCTGCCTCCTCGAAGCACTGTGGGATTCCGAGGTTGCTGCAGCCAGAGAAGCTGCAGAAAAACACGGAGCTGGGGGTGAAGGGGGACTTAAAAGGGGAACTACCCGGAAGGACCCAAGAACACAAAGACAGAGCCACTGCGGTTATCTGGCTGGTCAGCAAGGGTATGCGGCTTCCTCCGCGCTGCGGAGGCTCCCAGAGCCAGGTCACCCATTCTGCCAGCTCAAGTCTGTTGTCATGGGAACCAAACCTTCCAACTTAAGAATCTGGGGGCGACTTTCTAGCGTGGGAGGAAGGGTGGTGTGCACGGTTGCTGAGATGGAAGCAGGGTTTTGTTACTCAGAGCCAGGCTGCGGAGGGGCGGGGTGCCGGGCGCCTGGGTTCTATTCCAGGCACAGCAGCAGACTGGCAGAGCGCGTGAGCAGCTGTGGTTTGTCCCCTAATTGGTATGTGTGCCTATAAAGCTCTGAACCAGAAAGGCGTGGCCTCCGGGGGGACGGGAGGGAGGCGGCAGGCAACCCATCCCCACACCTCAGGCCATACTGAGGAGGCAGCTGCCCAGGCTCCAGGGCTATTTAAAAGGCTTTTATTTCCAGTTCCAGAGCCCGCCCGAATGGGTTTGTGGTCCTCTCCAGGCCTCTCCCTGTCTATCCTGGGCCTGCTCATTGCTGGTCTGGCTTTTTTGTGCAGGTCATAACGTGCTCAGACAAGTATGGCTCCAAGTGGCAAGTCATCTGGAGCATGACCTCAGGCTCCCAACCTCTGCTGGGCAGGCTCAGGTTTCCACCCCAGGGTAAACCCCTCTACTCTGGAATGTGGTCTGTGGCCACCAACAGAGCAGAGGGGATGAGAAAATGGGAGCCAGATGCTTCCCTCAGCAAGAGACACAGGTACTGCCAGGAAACCTTGCGTGACATCTGGGAACATGAAAGGTTCCAAGTGAGTTCCAAAAAAGGGCTCCAAACCAAGTAGCAGCAATGTGGAAGAGTCAGGGAGCTGAACCAGGCGCCCACTCCTTTACTGTGGCCAAACGGCCCTGAGGTGAGCTCTGGTGGGGCAGCAGCCACCATGTATTAATCATCTCTAGCCCTGTGCCCAAGTAAAGTGTCTGGCACCTTTAGCTTTTTCACAGTGATTTGTCAGGTCAACCAGGGATTTGAGGCAGGAAAGACTAGAGGAGCCTGGACTAGAGTGAAAAGAAAACAGCTCAGAAATTCACACAGGAAGCTGTAAGGCAGTACTGTTTCAATGCTTTATTAACAGTTGGAAACAAAACCAACAAACTGGAGGTGATGACATCCCAGAAGCCTATGAGGCAAGGGAAATAGGTTTGCATTTTGTCCCTCACACCTCTCTCTCTCTCTCTTTTTTTTTATTAAATGCATCTTAGCAAAAGTAGATTAAAAAAGAAAGGGTCAAAGCCCCAGATGTCAGCGAGCAGGGAGGAGGTGACCCAGGGGAGCAACAGACGCCCTGCATCAGAGTCCTCCCAGGAATAGTCCAAAGGAGCTGCTCTTGCCCCTTTATACACAAGCGCCAGCAACCAAAACCCTCCCTCCTGGCAATAAGGCCTCACTATAGTTGCCCTCATGCTTCCTAAGCTCTCTCTTGCTCTAATAACTCTAATTCTGGGCCAAGCCCAAGAGTGCCATTCTTTCTTCCTAGCTGGGGATGGAAAGCTGAGAGGGGCACAAGGAGGGCAAAAGTATCACCCTAAGCCAGAGAATTGCAGCTTCCTGTGGTTGGGGCCACCAAACAGTTCAGTGTGCCCACCCACTTCTCTTTTAGAAGAGAGCTGGGGTACAGTGTATGAAGGCACTCCTGGTGCCCAGTTCCCCAGAATGTCCAGTTAGCATCTGCACATTTGGCTTGATACATTTATACATTTATAAAAAACTCTGTGGTCTTAGAGTTCCTGCTACTCTTAGGCCTGGCCCAGCTCAACCAGAGAAGGGGTTCCTCCTGTGTCGGATTCCCTGGGAGAGAGGATCTGCCTTGGACTCAAGGGTCCAGAAGGTCCAGGGGCACATTCAGGATTGGGCCTGTGAGAAGAAATCCCAGAACTCTGTAACCTGCCACCAAAGCTTCTTACATTATGGAGGGGAAAGGGGGAAGGAACAGTTTTCTTTAAAAAAATTTTTTTTTTCATACAAAAATAGATCCATTTGCAAAACAATTTCTCAGCCAGGAGGCTCCACCTCCCATTTCCTTGTAGACAGAGGGTGAGGTGTTGGGATGGTCACAGTACAACCCATAGTCCAGATGAGATGCACCAAAGCTCAGGGAAGGCATGAGGAGGGAAGGTGGCTCAGTAGCCTGGGGTTGGTGCAGAGCGTCCAGAGAGGCAAGGGCATAAAGCGTGGCAGAAGCTGGGGGCAGGTCCCACACTGTCGCTATGCCCTGCCTGCCTGCCCACAGGCTCTGGCCTGGGCCACAGCACAGCAGGGAAACTGGTCCAGATCCTTTGCTTTGGAGGCCTTTCCCAGGAAGGTGGGGTAAAGGTGGGATTTGCTCCCTGCTTCCTTAGGAGCAGCTCCCAGTGCCACACCACTAATAATAAATAACCACAGCCAGGAGAGGGAAGAGCAGAGACAACAGCAATGAAAGGAGGGATCTAGCCCAAAGGTTTACAAGCCCCATGCTATTCTCAGGGCCAGAGAAACCACAAAAGAAAAGCACAAATCCAGCAAGACTGACCTAGGGGGGAAAGCCCATTAGAAAGTCAGGGCTGAGAAAAAGCAGGCTGGGCCTTGTCTGAGATGAGGCCCTCTGAGTAACAGAGAGGAGACAGGGTTAAGGCAGCAAACATGGACCCTGCTTTGGTAATACAACAGCCAGGGCTGGCTAAGTCGGGCTCAGGCCTCCCCTGCACTGCCCTTTCCTTCTGGCCTCCAGGCAGCTGAAGCTGTATGTGATGTTGAGAGAGCAGCAGGCCAGAGAGAAAGACAGGGTCAGGGTGGTGGGAGTGGCCACCCCAGAGGAATATCCCCTTGAGCCTTTAGGCACATGCTGCAGGGCAGGACAGTCTGCGGCTCCGCTGAGGAGCTGCCGCGGTCACAGGACCCACATTAGCTTGCACGGCCAACCAACTCCTTGGCTTCCTCAAGGATTGTGGGGAATGTCTCACTGTTCTTGGACACCTTGGCAGGAACAGCAGCCATGGCATCATCCTTGGTCAGCTCCGAAGCTAGCAGAGATGTGACTGCACACCCGGCCTTCCTGTTGGCTGCAAGAGAAGACGAGAGATTCTGTCTATGGAAGGCCTCATTTCTAATTTCTTTCAAACTCTACAGCAGATAATCAGCGTAAGCCATGCAGACATGACTACCTTGGCCACTTCACAGAGGCCCTTACTTTGAAGAAAGGGGCAGAGATCCAGCATGTGGAATATATTGTTGGGTGGCAAAGAATGTAAGAGAGTGTGGTGCAACAGGAAAGCAAGCCTTGCCCCCTTGCTTCCCTGTGTGAAAACAGCACAAAAGTTTGAACACAGACAGACAGAACTGGGCTGAAGTGTTAGCTATGTGACTTAAGGAGAGATGAAGTATTCAAAGTCTATTTTCTCGTAATAGGGATGTTGGAATTAAATAGACTAAAGTTTAGTACATAGTATTATTTTTGTTTTCTTGACAGGTCCCAGGAAACTCCTAGGCCAAAACACTTCTCAGTCAGCCCTGGGAGGGTTGTCCCTAGCAGAAGGCAACCTTCCGTAAGTGGCTGGAGAGACTCCCGCAAAGAGGAACAGCAGCCACGCACTGACACCGCACTCCCACGTGTTCCTCCAACAACAGATGCCCACATGCCTTAGCTCTTTCCCACCCCTTCAAAGGTAGCAGCCGTAATACAAATGCCAAGGGCCCTACAAGGTGTGTAGAGTATGTGGGGGTGGCATGGCGGGGGGGAGGTAGTAATAAAAACTATGCCAGGGAAGCAGAACTGGGATAAAGATGGACAGGAGAGGACCCCTACCAAGAAATCTCAGCCCAGGTGGCTAAGAGATGGTCAAGTTCCGGCTGTCATACCAGATTAGAAAAGAAGAACCAAATCAATCCACGAGTTTCTGTTCTAACTGCTGGGTTTCATCCCCAAGACTCTCATATTCATTTATGGTATCTAGGCTTATGGCCCCAGTATCTGCAGCAGGAAGGCCACTCCTTGAGACCATGCCCATCTCATGATGTTTCCTCCTCCCATGCCCCAGAACAGCACAGAGCAACTGTGTATACACAAACAGCTGTCTGGGACGAAAGAAGCCTGACACGAAAGGCCATATGTTATGGGTCAGCTTCTGCGAAATGTCCAGCACAGGCAAACCCAGAGATAGAAAATAGACTGGTGGTTGCCAGAGGCAAGGGGAGGGGAGAATCAGTAGTGACTGCTAATGGGGATTATGAAGTTTTTCTTCTGGGGATGATGAAACGTCCTGGAATTAGATAGTAATGGTTATACAATCTTGTGGATATTCTAAAACCCCTGAATTATACATTTTTAAAAGGTGAATTTTAGGTATGTAAATGATAGCTCAATTGGAAAAAAAAAAAAAAAAAAAAGACTTCCTGGAGATCTGGGAAAGCTGGAGTGGAGAAAGCAGTACCGGAATGTTTTAGAAGCAGGACCAGATGAAAGAGCCGAGCACTCCTAAATAAAGACCAAGACTGGGGCAGCTGCATGACTGGAATGAAGCGCCTTTTTGGACCAGCAAAAAGCTTTAGGTAGGCAGAAGCCAAACAGGATCAGATAGCCCGTCTTTTTTTTTTTTTTTTTGATGGAATCTCAGTCGCCCAGGCTGGAGTGCAGCAGCGCAATCACAGCTCACCGTAGCCTCAACCTCCCAGGCTCAAGTGATCCACCCACCTCAGCCTCCCTAGTAGCTGGGACTATAAGCATGTGCCACCATATCTGGCTATTTTTGTATTTTTTTGCAGAGATGGGGTCTCTCCATGTTGTCTAGGCTGGTCTTGAACTCCTGGGCTCAAGCAATCCTCCCACCTTGGAACCTAAAGTTCTGGGATTACAAGCATGAGTCACCACAGCCTGCCAAAGCCCAAGTCTTAACCAGGTCTTCTCTCCCTGCAGAGCCATGACCCAGAGCTACTGTTTTCATCCCAGGAGAGGCTGCCCATAGATCAAGCAGGGAACACGCAGCATGCACACAGGTTACCAATTTAAAGGTCTCCTCCTCCTCCTCTACTTCCCAGGGGCACAAGAGGTTGTCTACCAAGAGGAGAAAGAATAGTGAAGACCCTGACTGACAGCCACAGGACTTATCTAGTTACAGATCATAGGTATGTGCCCGAGACTGTGGGATTTTCACAAAACCATTTATTGGATTATGAACATAAACTAATGCCCCGTGACTGAGACAAGTGAGGAAAAGGAGCCTACGTGAGTGTGACTATGATGGTCTACATGTGTGCATTTCTCATACTGTCCTTACCACCAAAATCTTCCTCAGGCCTCCTACATTTCCACTCTCTTCTGAAGTACTCCCTCTCTAGACCCCATTTCTCATATCCAGAAGGGTAGTAGTTTCCTATCATTTTATTATTTCTTTGAATTCAGTCTCCAACAGTTGAGAAGACACTGCGACTCTGTGCATGTGTGTGTGTGTGTGTAACTCTAGTGGTATATATATGTTGAAATAACATCTGACTCCAGACCTTGGGAAAAGAACACTGGGCCACTTGTCCTGGGCAACACAGGAGAAGGCAGAGGTCCCATGTGGTAGGTCTTTAGCTGCTGCTTTCTGTGGTTTCTTCCTCCAAAATAAGAAGATACCAGTTGTACCTAACCAAGTGGTGTTTCTAGACTTTTCTGGACTCAAGAAGCTTCTGATGTATTACAAACTTCATAAGAACCAGGAGCAGAGAGTAGGTAGGGAGAAGATCAAAATTTCCCTTTTAAGCCTTGAAAGCCTATACACCAGGGAGGGTGTGATTTGGCCTAAGGTCAGGGGATGAGAAAGCTCTTGTTGGAACAGGTCTCCCAGCTTTCCACTCACTCACCATTATGCTCAGCAGGTTGAACAGTCAAGAAAAACTGACCTCCCCATGCTTCCCCCAACTTACTCACTTGTTATTAGACTATTGAAAAGTAGCCATAGAACCAGATAAATATTTTGACTACAAGAGAACAGTCCCACAGGCTGTGTGGGAAAAGGGAACAATGTTGAGATACTGGTGAATGCTCTCTGAGGACAGATTCCTAGAAGTTAGGGGTGGGCTAGGATAAAAACACCAGCAAAATCAACCATATAACGCAAGTTTTAAAAAGGTTAGTGATTTGAAAAAAGACCTTTATAAAACGTAGGCTAGGAACTATTACTAAAGAGGAAGTGCTCTTGTTAATACATTAAGCTTCCTTAGGGAAGAGGAAACTAGGACAGATGGGGCAATCATCATCACACTAAATAACTCATTCTTGTCTCAAACTCTGCTAATTATGTTTCTTGTCCTATTTACAAAAGTAGGGGGGAGAATAAGCAGTGGTACAGGAAATATTCTTAGCAACCTTCTCTAGATAGGAGGTGATATGGTTTGGATGTATGACCCCTCCAAACCTCATGCTGAAATGTGGACTACAATGTTGGAGGTGGGGCCTAGTGGGAGGCACTTGGGTCATGGGGTGGATCCCTTATGAGTGGCTTGGTGCCCTCCCCACAGTAATGAGCTCATACAAGCACTGGTTGTTTAAAAGAGCCTGGCATCTCTCTAGCTCCCACTTCCGCCTTGTGATACACCTTCTCCCCCCTTGATTGGAAGCTTCCTGAGGCCTCAACAGCAGATGCTGGCGCCATGCTTTCTCTACAGTCTGCAGAACTGTCAGCCAAATAAACCCCTTTTCTTTATAAATTACCCAGTCTCCAGTATTTCTTTATAATAATACAAAATAGACTAACACAGGTGGTCATGAGAGCACCTTCCTGAAGCAATGTCATTATGTCCGACTCTCCTTGCTGGAAGGTATGAAAGAATATTTCCGGCCCATACTGTGGGTTCACTGCTGTCTCCTGTTCAATCACGCAGGCTGAGGGGAAACAGGCCTGGACTTGGAGTCACAAAAGTGGGCTACAGTGCTCTGTCATTAGCCATGTAGACCTGGGCAAGACTTTATCTGTTTTTTATTTTTATTTTTTTGAGATGGAGTCTCATTCTGTCACCCAGGCTGAAGTGCAGTGGCGCAATCTCGGCTCACTGCAAGCTCCGCCTCCTGGGTTCATGCCATTCTCCTGCCTCAGCCTCCTGAGTAGCTGGGACTACAGGTGCCTGCCACCACGCCCGGCTAATTTTTTGTATTTTTGGTAGAGACAGAGTTTCACCGTGTTAGTCACCTTATCTGGTTTTAATCCCTTTCCCTATGAGAAGGTTAGATACTAATCACTGGAAGTCTTTAGAGTCTTTCCAACTCTATGGTTCTGTTAGATGGATGGAGCTTATAGGGAAGCTGGGAAATGGTAGAGGGAAGGAAAGGAAGAGTTGAATTTCTTTCTTCCCTTGGCTTTTATCCCAGTGAGCAAATGACTTGTATACAAGAGGCCACAATTCAGACATGGAGATAAAGTTGAGTCATTAAAACCACAAGCTGACTCAATCATGGGCCTGAAATAGCAGCTGTAATACAATCACATGGATTCTTCCCCTTGACACTCCAACCATTGTTCTCCCACACCCTGCGGATCACAGGAGTTTACATGTTGCTTTTAATGAACCAAGCCTGATAGTAACTCTCCTCTTCCAACTCCTCAATGAGTCTTTGTATACTGGTCACTCCCCCAGGTCTCCAGAGACCGGAAGAATTTAACATTCCTTTAAATTCTAGGGAAAAAGCTAGTGTCTTTGAATAGGGACAGCTGCCTCTCTGGAAAAAAGGAGGGCTATGAGGCAGATATGTTCCACAGTGCCTCTGTTTTTTTAGCTCAAAGCAATCAGCCAAGAGGAATAGTCAGAGACAGCCAGGCAAGGGGTGGAACAGCCAAATTCAGTAGCTGCATAGAGAAACCTATAGCCAGTGGAGCCTTTGTATTTTGAGAATGGGGCCATCTAAGTCCAGCCTCTCTCTCCTCTTAATCCTGTTGTCACTGCACAAAAAAAATATTAGAGCTGGAAGGGACCCTGCAGACCATTCATTCTAGTCCAACTCTCATTTTATACCTGAGGAACTGAGTCCCAGAAACATTAAGTGACTTGCTTAGGATAACACAGACAGCATCAGAACTAGATGTGACTTTAGGTCTTTTGATCCCTACCTAGCCCTGTGTTCTTTGTAATCTACTCTGATGGCTATCCTCCTGTTTAATGTGAGACCGCATCACATCACTTTACATGATGTGAATGCACCAGGGTCTAAAGAGTTACCAGAATAACTACAAATGTCTCCCTTGAGATTCTCCCAGATATATTCAAGTGTATTTAGTGGACCCAGAGCCTAGAAAGATAAGCTTATAGGCTAGAGCCACTTAAAATATATGTAATTGTCATTTCACCTACTTTCCAATTTAGTATCTCCTAGTATAAGTCTCCTCCTATTCCCTCTTGCATGGGAGAGAGTACTTTGACTAATTCAGGTCCTCTGCTGGAAGGTTAGTTTCCAACAAAATTCCTCCTTCCTCCACCTGTGAGTTCTGATTTTCTACTTGGAAAGAAGTGAAGAATGGGGCTTCCCCAGCAGAGGGAAGCCACTGATGTCTGGCTACCTGTGGACAGGAAGCATCTGGGATTCTAGTATAGTTCCACAGGAAGAGGCTTAAAAGGGAATTCCCCACCAAAATTCTGATGCAGGCACTTAGCCGACGGGGTCAAAAAAAAAAAAAAAAAAAACAATAAGATGCAATGTATTTTTGTAAGGCTAGAAATGCTTAATGTTAAGGCCACATCACCTTGTGTGGTCAGTAGGAAATAATGTTGTAAGAACCTATAAAGACAAAATACAGGAGTAATAGTACCTCTAGCTGTACTCTCCTTGCAAACACCTATCTATAAGACTAAATGCTCGAGCCCAGAGAGTACTCAGCTCTTCATATCCACTTCTCCCCACGCTTTAGAAAGCCTGTACTCAGAGAATGCCAGAAAATGGGTAAGAACTTTGACTCGGGAGCTTTCAGTTTGGGGAACATTCTGAAGTCATACAAGAGAACCCTCAGAAGGGAGTATCACTCTGGTTATTCAGAGTATAGGTAGAAATGGGCAGCCAGCCATTACAGATGAAACTCACAGTGATGGCTGTTGTTGGGCCAGAATACTGAGTTTACATAGGCTAGCATGCTCTAAGGTCCCCCTTTCCAGGCTGTGGCAGGTACTACAGGCCCTACAGATACCACTGTATTAATAGCTAAGCACTGGCCAAAGCAAGCTGTGTTAACTCCTTCTGTTTACAATAATCTCAAAGTATAACTATCAAATGGGCCTACACAATGCAACAGCCAGGAAACAGGGAACATAGATTTAAGTCCCTCTGAAGTAGAAACCTCTAATGATGCCTTTTTTTGTAATTCCCACTCTTCAAATTAGTAAAGAAGCCACCACTCCTAGCCTCAAAAGACCTTCACTAGACACGATAGTGCAGGTCAACTCCACATGAGGGGCAGACTTGCCTATACCTTCCTTTGAATTAGTCTCTTGGCCACTGTAAGCTTCCCTGAAAGGGAACTTATTCATTAATCTTTTCCCATACTAATGCCTGGATCACTTGTCCTAGCTCCATAATTCTTTTTAGAATCTCTAGCTCAATGTAATCCACTTAGATCTTCCAAAGGACATGAAAGGAGATTGCAGGGCAGTGATGGGGAAGGCAAGGGCAATAGAGGCTAACTGCACTCAAGGAAAAGGTAGTTTTCAGACACGGCATAATCCTTCAACTGAGATGCTCCTCTATATTTTTCTATCTGGGAATAATGATGCCTAAACCTGTCTACAAAATTTTATACTTTCTATTATTAGTTCTCTCTACGTATGTCTTCTGCTTGTGAAGTCCAGAGTAAGGACTCTGACTTATTTTTTCTTTGAATTTCAATCTATATCTAATATACATTTTGTATTTAGATCAACTTTTGTTCATACACACAAATGCCAACTCAAATCCCTGGGTCCTGCAGCTCAGTTCCTTTGTTCCAAATATCTGCTTCAAGAGTGGGGAGAAATGCGGCATAATCCAATGTAACTGATTTATTGCCAGTCCCTTAAACCCCAGTTTTCTAAGTCGCTACTCTGTAACATGGGAAGAAGAGGACTAGATAATCCGTTCTGGATGCAGGGACTAAAAAGATGCTTAGAGCATCATTATTTGCTCTTTAGCCGCAGACTGGCAGGAGTAGAGAGCCCTCACCCCCTTCGACACCCAGGATGAGCTCCATGTGCTTACTTACCTTGACGGGGCCCTCTCTTCCGTCGGAATGCTGCCCCTGACTGCAGGGCTTCTAGAAGACTGTCCATCACACCTGTCTCATCGCCCTCTGTTATAAAGAACAAGATGGAGATGTGAACTCTTCAGCCAGAGCAGCATGGCAAATATCAAGCCCCACACAAAATGAATGGCTATTGCTTGATTTCCCCTCTCCCACAGCAGCTGGCAGCTAAGAAGAGGCAAAGAGAGCTCAGCCTTAAGTCTCACACGCTCATGTTTACTTGTATCTGCTAAAAAATGGTTAAAACAAAAGATCTCATTGCCTATTATCCAATGCAGACCTTGGGATATTTTCCCGCAATGCCATCCTCCCCACCCCAATCAGGACTAGCAACAAAATTATACAACTGCCCAACTCCAAGACCAGGATAAGTAGAGACTACGATTGTGAAATTACTAAGCAACTATATCACTCCCTTTTATCCTAAAGTGTTTTGCCTGGTTAGGTTTCAGAGCAGGGCCGAGGAAAGACCACTGATCAAAGAGTGCACTTTCCTGAAGTACTGCCTCCAGTGGCTAAGTCTTCCTGATGTCTAAGTCCTCTGCATCTAAGAGGAGCAGCCTGGCTGGAATACAAAGAGTTAATGTAGAATCCTTGTTCTAGCCTGGCTCGGTTTCCATGACAACAGCTTAGGATAGTGAAATCTGAAACTGTGAAATCCCAAAAAGTCCATAGGCTGCCAGATCCAAGGCTGGGGCTCACTGCTCCCAGCGCCACCTGCTGGCTGAGCATCACCAGTGCAGCTGACCTACATTCCACCCTCATTTGCTTGACCCGGGTACTGGAAACTGGGCAAGGTCCATTACGCCACCTGTTGACCGTGTGCAGCCCTCATCCCACATGTCAGCGGGACTCCACCTTCCCCCACTGCATCCTAGCCAGTACCTGGGGACAAACCCTGGAGTCCCAGGGGAAGGTGAAGGATACTTGGTGTGGGCTTTAATAGCATTACGAAGTTGTGGCTTACAACTAAGGGCAAGGAAATTGCTTTACAGAAAAGTATAAAAAGTCCCTGGTAGCAAGAGGTATCAGAGCAGCCCTTGTGCCTGTGCTCTGTAAAATACTGATTCCTAACAAACTCAGCAGCTCTGTGAACACCTCTTCATTTGCAGAAGGTTTGTGGCCCCTCAGGTTTAGAGGAGGGTGGCATGGGCTCAGTGCTGTGTGAGCAGTGTATGCTGTATTTCCGCTGCCCACAGAGAGAGCAGTGGGGGCGAAGGGGTAGGGAATCTGCAGCAAGAAAGAAGCAGAGACAGGAAACAGAGGGCCAGTAATTGAAACCATATGTTTCAACAAAGACATGCTTCTGGTAGTGAAACAGAGATTCTGCTGAAGAAAGAAGAGGGTGACCGGCTCCCCACCCGCTCCAAAAGTTCAATCCATTTAAAATCTAATTGTGCATACAACTGTGCTAAGGTACTAGGGACATAGTACTTTGTGAAATAAGCAGAAAGGGAAGACACGCCACAATTAAAAGATGGGAGGAGCGTCAGGAAAATATTTTACAGAAAAAAACCCGAAAGATTTAGTGGAGGGAATGAGAACAGGCCAGAGGAACCTTTGGATGGACAGAAGGAAAACAGTATATATCACAGCAATACCACAATCACAGGGGAATGAGAGAGAATGCAAGAGCGAGCAAAGGAGAGAAAAGGTAATAGTTTAACCAGGGCAAGTTGGAATGCGCATGTATCAGAATTGGGGTTAAAGTCCGGCATCAGGATCTCGGAGTGAAGACTGCCAAAAATCATTTGCCAGGAGGTGAGCTCAGACATGAGACTCTGCCTCTAGACTCTAGGCAGAGAAGTCTTCCCAACATTCCTATCTCAGCCCATCAACCCGTCTTCACTCCTCACCTGCATTCATGTCTATGAGTTGCTCTCTCTTCTGCTGCTTCTCTAGCCGCTCCTTCTCTGCCTTCTCCTTGGCTAGTTTTGCTCGCCTCATCTTTTCTTCTGTCTCCCGCCGCTTCTGGTTCTCCTTGACTGCTTGCTGGGGCAGGGAAGAGGAGGAAGGAACACATGGGCATTGTATACCTACTACCAGCCAACAGGAACCCAGGGGAAAGTGAGAAATGCCCACAAAAGATTCAGTCAGCAAGTATCCCTTGCTCACCAAAAACATATTCCGAAAATTGTGAAGATCCATGAAAAATTCTTCAACAGACAACTTCTTGGGGTCAAAGAGGAAGTACTCGCCCAGCTCCTTATAGAGGGTCTCCATGTTAGAATGCATCATCCGCAGCTTGTTATACTGTTCCTGTGCATCCTTCACAAAGCTGTGCAGCCAAGGAGTAAAGGACCAAGACCAAGACCAAGAAGCAGACCCACTTCTCTAGCCCAAGGAATTACTCAAAGATGAGTACTGGCATGCAAAGGGATGTTCAATACAGCACTGTTTATAACAGCAAAAACCAAAGCCATGTAGGTACCCCTAAATAGGGGAATAGTAAACCATGAACTATGGTACACCTATAAAAAAAGAAGGTGGCAGTTTAAACTGTTGTTTGTTTGTTTGTTTGTGTTTGTTTGTTTGAGACAGGGTTTTGTTCTATCGCCGGGCAGGAGTGCAGTGGCGCGATCTTGGCTCATTGCAACCTCCACCTCCTGGGTTCAAGCAATTCTCCTGCCTCAGCCTCCCAAGTAGCTGGAACTACAGGCGCGCACCATCACGCCCAGCTGATTTTTTTGTATTTTTAGTAGAGATGGGGTTTCACCATGCTGACCAGGATGGTCTCCATCTCTTGACCTAAAAGGAGGTTTTCTATAAATACTATTATGGAAACATGGCCAAGACATATGTGCAAAACACAATACAATGCAGTTTTTGTTTAAAATAAATGTATGAGGTGCAAATCAGAATAAAGTCCAGTGGCAGTGGTTACCTCTGGGGAGGGGAAAGAGAGGGAAGCATGTGTGAGCGTGTGTAGTGGAGACGGGGTACAGGCAGGGGAGTTGGTGGGACTTTTATGGTTGATCTGCATGGTGTGCTTCTACTCCACAACAATGGAATGCTCTCAGGAACTATGCAGCCTGGGCAACAAAGTGAGACCCCATCTCTAAAGAAAAAAAGGTTACAAAAAGTTTAGCAGGGCCTGGTGGCACATGCCTGTAGTCCCAGCTACCAAGGAGGCTGAGGGGGTAAGGATCGTTTGAGTCCAAGAGGTCAAGGCTGCAGTGAGGCGTGATGGCACCACTGCACTCCAGCCTGGGTGACACAGAGAGAGCCTGTCTCAAAATACTAACAAACCCAAAAAACTATGTATTTAAAGAAAAAGAGTTTTTTAAGAGAAAAAAATTGCATACTGCCCTATCTATCCTGTTTTTCCCCCACTACAGGAAGTTTTCTTTCCCTTCCTAGGGAACAACTCCCTCCTTTCAAGAGAGGATATGGTCATTTTTTCAACAAACTTGTCTTTTTCATCTGTGGCAGCTGGGAAATTCTGAACATCACGTTCCACATCAGAAATTTGTTTCTTCATCTGATCTAGGTTCTTTTGCAAGTTTTCAGCAGAAACTAAAAAAAAAAAAAAAAAAAAAAACCATAAAAACAGACAGCAAGAGCTTACTAATAATCCCAGCCTCAACACCCCTTAGTTTCACCTTTCAGAGCATAGCTTCAGTCTATACACACATTCTGGTACTTAATAATTTTAGTTCCTTATGTACTTTAGTTGTGTCACATACTTAAGTTTTCATCTTTCCAGTGAAACTATAAATTATTTGATCATTGAACCTCCAGCCTTCACAAGGTATGCAGTACTAGGAACAGAAGAGAGACTTCATTTAATTTAACATGAATCTATGAAATCCCCTGAGATCTTGGTCTCATTTATTTTAGAGAACAGGGTTTGGGAGGAAGGAGATATACATAGAAATATAGAGGCGGGGGCAGAAATCTGTTCCAATTTCCAGTGAATGCTGCTTTTTCTTTGTCTAGTTCCAGGACAGTGAGGCCTAATTTTTGTTAATGTAGTCTATGTTTTCTTAATGAAAAGAACTATTAACCTAGACTAAAAACACCTGCCTTTCTAGCTGTTTTTTGGTGTTTGGTGTTTCCTTAGGAAGAGAAAGAGTGCTTCCTATTTCTACACATAAAGATCTCTCCTCAGCCATACGCTCTGCCCTTGTGACTTAGGCACCATGCCTAAATCCTATCTCATTTCCACTTGAAATAGTCTGAACTGAAAATGCTCTCACATCTAGACTGTGTCTTATTTCCCTCCCCATGCAGAGACTTTTGGGCTCTAGCTTCATTCCAAACTGCCCCACCTCGGCTGGCTTTCTCCACATGGGCAAGCTCGTCTGGAAACTTGAGGACATCGGGATAGTCATTCTCACACAACTCAGCCAAGAAGTGTAACAACGTCATCTTCTGATCTGTGGACTTGGTGTCTCGAAGCTTAGAGAAAGAGGAGAAACTGTTAAATCCTGACATGTCCAAGATGGCCTCCTGCCAACACTGAACTCATAGAGGCTACAGCCTTCCTTGTGTTGTCCTGCCCTACCTCTTTGGCTCACCTTACAGAGGAAGCTGATATTGAAGCCAAAAGCACCAGCATTTCTGGAGCCAGCATTCATGTAATTTCCAACAAGCAAGGTAATCTCTAGGAGATTGGAAAAGCTCTCACTCTTACGTAACTCCTCACATGCAGCAGTGACAGACACAATCTCTGGCTTGATATTCTCCACTTGCTCGCTGAATTGTAGCTTGAAGAGAATGGCATTGAGGCGAGGCCGCAGTCGGGGCACAGTGCCCATCTAGTAAAGAACACAAGCAGTTCCATTACAGTCAAAAGAGGGGGAAGTCAGAAAAAGATACACGCTTGAGCCTCCTATGGGAGGATCACAGCTCCAGAGCAGGGAGAAGAGAGAGATTAAGACAGGTTCAAAAACAGACAAGCGGCAAGGAGCATATGCCCAGGCTGCTCTCTAGAGGGGAGGGGAATACAGGAGGTGGAAAACCGCTTACTGCCACAGGCCTCACTCACCACCACGCCAAACTGCTCTGACTCAGCCAGGTCATCATATTCATCCTTCAGTTCAGAAAGCATTTTTAACTGCTCTGGCTCTGGCATTTGCTTAATGAGGTTCTGAAAGACAGAAGAGACATCTCAGCTGGAGGGGAATTCGCTAACAACTCAAGCCTAAACAACTTTTACTCTGTTGTCAGTCCCACACTCTGCTCAAGGACCATACAGAAAGAAACATATGGTGGGAGAAGAGAGGCAGCTACTGAGATGGGGGTACTTTTGCAAAATATACCAGAAGTAATCTGACCACCAGAGAAAAGGCAGTTTCTCAAAGCCAGCATTCATAAGTCAGCAATGCTGGAGGAGGATCCTCTTCATCTACACAGAGATGAGGCCAGTGCCCAGCGACACAGAAGAGCCTGCTCCAGCAGAACCACCTTACTCCTTACCTGGATCATAGACTCAGTCAGAACAGCCTCATTCACCTCCAGGATGACATTCTTAATCTCTTGATAGGGCATGCGGAAGGAACCCAAAAAGATTGCTGCCAGAAAATGAGATATTAAGACATGTTCTTCTCGGTCTGTTCCCGCTTCCAACCCATCCTGCAAACCTATGCTGGATAATCTTCCTAACAGGGCTCTTTTAGGCCAGGCACAGTGGCTCATGCCTGTAATCCCAGCACTTCGGGAGGCCAAGGTGGGCGGATCGCTTGAGCCCCAGAGTTTGAGACCAGCCTAGGCAACATGGGGAAACCTCATCTCCACAAAAAATACAAAAACTAGCCAGGCGTGGTGGTGTGCACCTGTAGTCCCAGCTGCTCGGCAGGCTGAGGTGGGAGGATCACCTGAGCCCAGGAGGTCAAGGTTGCAGTGAGCTGTGACCGCACCACTGCACTCCAGCCTGAGCAACAGAGCGAGACCCGTCTCAAAAAAGTATATATACGTCAAAGACTTTCACCCCACTCTACTTTAGTTCCCCACTCTCAGGACGTGATCCTCAAAGCTGCCTTGACCTTAAACCACCATATCCTATTCCCTAACAAATACATCCTGTTTTTTCAACTCTCCCTTTCTAATCTCTCACTTGACTCTTCAGCCTTATCAGGACCTCTCTTTCCAGTCTCCTGACCATTCTGTTTTCACTGATATATCAGTTCCACTCTGCCTTTCCTATTTCATTAGGAGCCTCTAAACCATCAGTTCATTTGCTCTCTACTATGACTCCCATTAGTATTATTACTCCTACTATTACCTTTCTTTTGCTTCCTTCTCCTTCTGGGTCCCTGGTCAGTCTAGCCATTTCATTTCTCTACTCTGACACCTAGGCTGATGCGGACTGGAGTCTATGAATTTGCAGTAGCACCAATGATAACTGGGGCCTCCGCGCTGTTAGCAATTCTCTTTGTGTGTCCCAATTCCACTTTCTCCCACCCTTCTTGGCAGGTCCTCCAACATATTCCCACTTTCCCCACTGCCCCACCACTTCCCCATTTGTTCCAGGAAGACCCTGCTCCTCTTCACTGAGAAAAATCAAAGCCACTGGTCAAATTACTTGCTCAGCTTTCTCTTATCCTACTTAAAAATAAAGCACTAGGGCTCTTGGTTAGAGCCAGACTAGAAAAGACTCAGATAAGCCTTTTGGAATCGCCTAGAAGAAAACTATACCAACATTTTCGTAAGCTTATAGGAGGCATGTGTTCATATATTTACGTCTAAGTATATATACTCCCATGTACTCATCCTTTCCTCATGTGTCAACAGAAGAGGCAGCCCCACAGACCTTTCCCTTCATCATATATACATAATCAAGTTTTTTAAATCTTACTCAATGTTCCTCTCTAAATTACCAGTTTCTCTTTCTTTCACTTTATAGCAATCTAAACTAGCCTATTCTCTCTCACTTCCACGACTCTGATTTATTCCATAACCACAAAGCCAATGAAAAGATGGCAGCCACTTAGAGAATATACTTTAAGTAAGACACCAACCTGCTACCTCTCACATCCACCTCCCCGAAAAGACAATCTGTTCCTGCTGAATTTTCCTATTTCAGTAAATGGTACCACTTTCCGCAGAGTGACCTAAACCTCAAAGCACCTTCTCCTTTATCCCAAGTCAATCACTAAATTCCATTAATTTTACCTTCTCTCTCTCTCTCTCTTTTTTTTTTTTGAGACAGCATCTCACTCTGTTGCCCAAGCTAGAGTGCAGCAGTGCAGTCATAGCTCATGGCAGCCTGGACCTCCCAGCCTCAAGCAATCCTCCACCCACCTCAGTCTCCCAAGTGGCTGGGACTATAGGCATGCGGCACCACATCTGGCTAGTTTTTTATTTTAATTTATTTATTGCTTGAGATGAGTCTCACTCTGTCACCCAGGCTGGTGTGCAACGGCATGGTGTTGGCTCACTGCAACCTCCGCTTCCCGGGTTCAAGCGATTCTCCTGCCTCAGCCCCATGAGTAGCTGGGATTATAGGCGTGCTCCACCATGCCCAGCTAATTTTTCTATTTTTAGTAGAGACAGCATTTTGCCATGTTGACCAGGCTCGTCTCGAACTCCTGACCTCCAGTGATCCACCTGCCTCAGCCTCCCAAAGTGCTGGGATTACAGCCATGAGCCACTGCACCTAGCCTAATTCTACCATCTTAATATCCTCTCCCTCTCTTATTCTCATCACCTTAGTTTCAGGCCCTGATCACATCTCACCTAGTTTAAAACAATGACATAACTCATCTCTGCCTATAGTCTCCCCTTACCTTAGCAATCCAGCCTCAAAATCACTGCCAAAGCAGCCTTCCTAAAAATTACACAGGATAAAAAGCAATCCAGCCTCAAAATCACTGCCAAAGCAGCCTTCCTAAAAATTACACAGGATAATCTCACTCATTTTCCTGATTTAAACTTTACTCAGTTGTACTCAACTACTTGCAGTTCCTGAACTGCACAATGTTATCTCATGCTCTCATACATGCTGATCCCTCTCCTGAAACAAGCCAACCTTCCCGCCTTCACTTAATTTTTTGGTTTTTTTTTTTGAGACGGGTCTTACTCTGTTGCCCAGGCTGCAGTGCAGTGGTGCAATCACAGCTCACTGCAACCTCAAATTCCTGGGCTCAAGTGATCCTTCTGCCTTAGCCTCCTGAGTAGTTGACTACTGGCACACGCCACTGTGCTCAGCTAGTATTTTATGTTTTGTAGAGACAGGGGTCTTGCTTTGTTTCCCAGGCTGGTCTTGAACTCTTGGTCTCAAGCAATCTTCCCACCTCAGCTTCCTGCTGGGATTACAGGAATGTGCCACCATGCCCAGCCTCCTTAATTCCTTAATTGGTCTTTCAACTCAGTTTAAGTAGTACCTCCTTTAGAATATCTTCTGGGATTTGCCCCTCCAACACTGCCCCCACTTGATTTAGATCCCTCCCTTCCTAGTACTCTCATAAACATTCTAGCATACCTCCATCATAGCATTTATTAATCTGCACTGTTATCATCTGCCTTTCTGTCTTTACCAAATACGTGGCTCATGCAGACAGGGACTATTGTCTTATTCAGCTTTGTATCATTAGCACATGAGAGACATTTAATCACTAAATTCCATCTTCCAGACCATCCTATCCTATACTACTCTCAATTTTCTTTTCTTAAATTCTGTTTTCCATATCAATATCATAACACTAGAAATCATAATGTACTACACCATTGTCTTTCTTGTATCATTTTTTAAACCAATTACTCATGTCTTATGTTCCTAGAGATACTCTTGGGAAGAGGAACTGACTCACAATACTTTAATCTCCATAAGACTTCACCACAGACACTATGTAGTAATAGTTATTGACAATAATTTAAGATTATATAATCAAGAATAATGTGACAGTTTACTGGTCTCATTGTATCACTGACTTTACTTATGGGTATGTGTACTTATTGGCTGTGTGATCTGGGCACTTCGCATCATTTAAACTTTGGTTTTCTCATTTGGATAAACAGGGACAATAACTGCATCACAAGACTATGAGTGGGTTTTACGGAAAATACCCTTTCATCTCTGGAACACATGCCTAATAGAGCCTATAACATAGCAGACCCTGAAATATTTGTCAAATAAATATTTAAGTCTATATTTCTTGGTATGAAGTAGGTAGATGAGTAATTAAAAAGAACAAAAATTTAACATTTGTCCTGATCATCAAATAAGTACTACCTATATCAACTTTGCAGAGGAATTTCTCATTTGAAATTTTGCTACCAAAGAGTTACGAGTATACGTGGAAACTTCAGAACAGAACCCTTCTCTGGAGTTACTGATCCTACTCTGAGAAGTACAAAATTTACCTTAGTTATTTTAAATCACAAAGTAATTTTAAATTTAATTGAAGCCAAGCTAGTACCTTTACTTATCAGAAAGTGAAAGCTGGGCATGGTAGCTTACATCTGTAATCCCAACATATTGTGAGGCTGAGGTGGGCAGATCACTTGAGGCCAGGAGCTTAAGACCAGCCTGGGCAACATAGCGAGACCCCTTCTCTATTTATTTAATAAAAAAGCAAAAGTGGGAGCAAGGAAATGTCCAGTGGCTAGACCATCTGTGGTAGACTTTCTGTGAACGCAATGGACATAGTAAGAACTTTTAAATAAGAAAGTCAGAGACACAGCTGGGCAGATCACCTGAGCCCAGGAGTTTGAGACCAGCCTGAGCAACATGGCAAAACCCCATCTCTACAAAAAATTAGCTGAGCATGGTGGTGCACACCTGTAGTCTCAGCTACTTGGGAGGCTGGGGTGGAAGAATCAACTGAGCCCAGGAAGCTGAGGTGGCAGTGAGCTGTGATCGCATTATTACACCCCAGCATGGGCAACAGAGTGGTGAGACTGTGTCTCAAAAAAAAAAAAAAAAAAAAAAAAGGCTCAAATCCCAGACCTCCTTCTTACTAGCTTTATGTCTAAGCAAATTCCTAAAAGTCTTAGCTTGTTTCCTTGACATAAAACTGGATACTTAAAAATCTTGCAGTGCTATTGAAGAAATTAAACATGATACTGAAAATTCACTGTGCAATGGTTGGTATATAGCAGGAATTGAACAATTAAAGTTCCATATCAAGGGACCATAGATTCAAGAGAATTAAAAATTCTTAAAAGAATTCCTTCACATTTTGAATAGTTGGGACCAAGAGATACTCACAGAGATTCTGGGCTGTCTTTGAATCCAACACCTTTAACTCTTTTACTTTTTTCTTTTGCACAGATTTCTTTTCTTCTCCACCTTCTTGATCCTTCTTGGCTAGCAGGGAAAAGATTAGAAAAGCATGATTAAAAGTAAGCCACCTCTGTGCTTTACCAAGCAACTACTGTCCAGCGTGAAATGGCCCCTCACTTCCTCTCTATTATAATGGTCTATTGTATTCCTTCAAAACTAACCTCCTCTTCAACCAACCACCCTTTTATTACTGAACCTCCCCCAACTCTAATAAATATCTCATTTTCATTTCTTCAATATTTATCAGTAATGCTTTCCTACCTACATCCTATCTACTTGCAGGGATCAGCAAGCTGCCTGTAAAGGACCAGATAGTAACTATTTTAGGCTTTGCAGGCCATATGGTCTCAATTATTCAACTCTGCCACTGTAGCATGAAAGCAGGCACAGACAATACATAAATGAATGGGCATGGTTGTGTTCCATTAAAACTTGATTCACAAGAACAGTTGGTTAGTAGTAGTTCAGCAGTCCCCTTCCACCATGTTATCCTTCCTTTTGTGCCTATTTAAAAATCCAACTTATCTTTCAAGCTCCATCTTTTTTGTTTGTTTTTTGAGACAGCATCTCACTGTGTCACCCAGGTTGGACTGCAGTGGCGCAATCATGGCTCACTTGCAGCCTTGACCTCTTGGGCTCAGATAATTCTCCCACTTCAGGGTCCCAAGGAGCTGGGACTACAGGTGCAGGCCACCACGCCCGGCTAATTTTTTTATTTTTTGTGGAGATGAGGTTTCACCATATTGCCCAGGCTGGCCTCAAACTCCTGGGATCAAGCAATCTGCCTGCCTCAGCCTCCCAAACTGCTAGGAGTACAGGCATGAGCCACTGTTGCCCTACCTTAAGCTCCATCTTGAACATGACTTTCTCTAAAAAAATTTTGTTTTCTCAACTGCCTATGATTGAGGTAAAATATACTTCTGCCTTCTGCATTCTTTTCAGACTATCCAAAGCCATCATATTCTTCCCTTCTCATGAAACGTTCCCTGATAAATGATACTCACTCTCTGCTTTGATAAACTTATTTTCATGGTATTTGTTATCTATATCTCATCCAACAATTAATTATTCAATGTTTTGTGACATTGCATACGTATTATCTTGATCTTTTTAAAGCCTCTGTTATTTAATAAGTGTGGATATTTCTCATCCCACCTAGATTTTGAACTTCAAGGGCATGGGCAAAACAGTATTTCATTGTATCACTCCCTTAATGGCTCTCATGATAGTAACATTCTCTAAAAAATGGTTGATGCTGGCTATCCAAGGAGGGTTGAGCAATACATAGGAAAAAACCAAGTAACTATTCTGGACAGATATAATTGTAAAATACTTTGTACTATAGTGTAACTTGGTATCAAATTTTCAGAAAGTCATATGGGAATATCCCCGAAAGGAGAGTCGAGAAGCTGACAAAGCTAGCTGCCTCTGAGCAGAGGAATGGGGTGTTTGAACACGACAGTGGGAGGAATACTTTTGAACACAACCTTTTTATACCATTTGAATTTTAAACCACATGAAAAGTATTACCTGGTACAAATAAACAAGAATTAAAACAAAAAAGTTACATACAAAAGGTACAAAGAACTATAAAACACATTCACTCTTGGCTGGGCACAGTGGCTCACACCTGTAATCCCAGCACTTTGGAAGGCTGAGGTGGGCAGATCACTTGAGCTCAGGAGTTTGAGACCAACCTGACCAACATGGCAAAACCCTGTCTCTATAAAAAAAGTTCAAAAATTAGCCGGGCATGGTGGCGCGCACCTGTAGTCCCTGCTACTCAGGAGGTTGACGTGGGAAAATCACCTGAGCCCAGGAGATTGAGGCTGCAGTGAGCTGTGATGGTGCCACTGCACTCCAGCCTGGATGACACAGTAAGAACCTGTCTCAAAAAAATTCACTGTTTTGGAGCTCAGTAGTCCCAGTTTGAGGAAGAAAAATACTAAATACACAAAGATTAATTATCTCAATAAATATTTATTGAGTACCTATATGTGCCAGGCTCCATTCTGGGCAATGGAAATAAAAGAAGTGAACAAAATAGAGAAAGATTCTTGCCTTCATGGAACTTACGTCCTAACAAAAATAAATAAACTAGACCATTTAATAGATAAAATAGTATACTATATTATCATAGCTGCTGTGAAAAGAAAAACAGGGAAAAGGATGGGGGATTTGATGACGGGGGCAGTTTACAATTTTAGAGGGATGGTCAGGGAAGATCTCACTGTAAGTGACATCTGAGTAAAGACCTCTTAGAAAGTGAGGGAGCAAGCCACATAAACATCCAGGGGAAAGGGGCAAAAGCATTCCAGGCAGAGGCAATAACAAATGCAAAGGCCTGAGATAGAGCATGTTGGATGTGTTGTTGAAGGAGGAGCAAAAACGTCACTAAGGCTAAAAGTAGATGCAATGAAGGGAAGAGCAGGAGATGAAGTGAGAGAAGTAGGTAAAGACAGATCACATAAAAAAATAGGCCTGGCATGGTGGCTCATGCCTATAATCCAAGCACTTTAGGAGGCCTAGGTGGGAGGGTCACTTGAGTCCAGGTGTTTGAGACAAGCTTGGGCAACATAGTGAGACCCTGTCTCCATTTAAAAAAAAATTTAGCTGGGCATGGTGGCACATGCCTGTAGTCCCAGCTACTTAGGAGGCTGAAGTAGGAGGATCACTGGAGCCCAGGAGGTTGAGGCTGCAGTGAGCCATGACTGTGCCACTGCACTCCAGCCTGGATGACAGAGAGAGTCCCTAGTCTCCAAAAAACGAAAATCATATAAAAAATGAAAATTGGCCAGACGCGGTGGCTCATGCTTGTAATCCCAGCACTTTGGGAGGCTGAGGCGGGCGGATCACCTGAAGTCGGGAGTTCGAGACCAGCCTGACCAACATGAAGAAACCCTGTCTCTACTAAAAATACAAAATTAGCCGGGTGTGGTGGCACATGCCTGTAATCCCAGCTACTAGGGAGGCTGAGGCAGGAAAATCGCTTGAACCTGGGAGGCAGAGGTTGTGGTGAGCTGAGATCGCGCCATTGCACTGCAGCCTGGGCAAAAAGAGCAAAACTCCGTCTCAAAAAAAAAAAAAAAAAAAAAAAAAAGGGATGAAAATGTCATTTTTGTGGAAGATATGACTATATATAGCAATTCAAGACAACCCAAGGAAGAACTACAAGAATTAATCATTCAGTAAGGTTGACAGATAAAAGACAAGCATATGCACTTCCAGTTCCACCAAAATGGAGTAGCTTCATGTAGAGGAAATACTTAAGACAGTTATATTTAAAAAGTGAGGAGGGCAAAGAGACTTAAATGGAAAAAAAAGTTGCTACACTTCACTCAACCTGGTAAAACACTGGGATAGGTTATGTATTAGACTGGGATAGGTTATATACGTATATTGTAATACCTACAACAACATCTAAGAAAACTATATAAAGCAATACACTCAAACACTGCAAATAAATCAAAATAGAATCTTTGTTTTTGAGGGGTTTTCTTGAGACAGGGTCTCATTTGGTCACCCAGGCTGGAGTGCAGTGGCTCAATCATGGTTCACTGCATCCTCAACCTCCTGAGCTCAAGCAATTCTCCCATCTCAGCTTCCCAGGTAGCTGAGACTACAGGCATGAGCCACCATGCCTGGCTGTTTTTTTGTTTTTTTTTTTTTGAGACAGAGTCTCGCTCTGTCACCCAGGCTGGAGTGCAGTGGCGCAATCTTGGCTCACTGCAAGCTCCGCCTCCTGGGTTCACGCCATTCTCCTGCCTCAGCCTCCTGAGTAGCTGGGATTACAGGCACCCACCACCACACTTGGCTAATTTTTTGTATTTTTAGTAGAGACAGGGTTTCACTGTGTTAGCCAGGATGGTATCAATCTCCTGACCTCGTGATCTGCCCGCCTCGGCCTCCCAAAGAGCTGGGATTACAGGCGTGAGCCACTTCGCTCGGCTTTTTGTTTTTTGAGACGGAGTCTCGCTCTGTCTCCCAGGCTGGAGTGCAGTGGCACAATCTCGGCTCACTGCAAACTCCGCCTCCCAGGTTCACACCATTCTCCTGCCTCAGCATCCCAAGTAACTGGGATTATAGGTACCCACCACCATGCAACCTCCGCCTCCTGGGTTCAGGTGATTCTCCTGCCTCAGCGTCCCGAGTAACTGGGATTACGGGAACCCACCACCATGCCTGGCTAATTTTTGTATTTTTAGTAGAGACGGGGTTTCACCATGTTGGCCAGGCTGGTCTCGAACTCCTGACTTCAGGTGATCCACCTGCCTCAGCCTCCCAAAGTGCTGGGATAACAGGCGTGAGCCACCGTGCCCAGCCCACCTGGCTAACATTTATATTTCTTGTAGAGACACAGTTTCGCCACTTTGCCCAGGCTGGGCTGGGCTCAAGCAATCCACCAACCTCAGCTTCCCAAAGTGCTGGGATTATAGACATGAGCCACCACACCCAGTCAATAGTTTTTCATTAAAGATTTTTGCTACCAAATTCATAAAAAATATTGCTCTATAGTTTTTTCTTATGATGTCATTGTCTGATTTTGCCATCAGGGTAATACTAGCCTCATAAAATGAGATGTGAGCCAGGCGTGGTGGCTCACGCCTGTAATCCCAGCACTTAAGGAGGCTGAGGCAGGCAGATCACTTGAGGCCAGGAATTCGAGACCAGCTTGACCAACATGGTGAAACCCTGTCTCTACTAAAAATATTAAAAAATTATCTAGGCATGGTGGCGCACACCTGTAATCCTAGCTATTTGGGAGGCTGAGGCATGAGAATCACTTAAACCCAGGAGGCGGAGGTTGCAGTGAGTGGAGATTGCCCCAGTGCACTCCAGCCTGGGCAACAGAGCAAGACCATGTGTCAAAAAAAAAAAAGAGTTGTCAAATATTCTATTTCTTGGAAGAGTTTGCAAAGAATTAGTGTTAATTGTATTAATTCTTCATTAAATGTTGGGTGGAATTCAGCAGTGAAGATATCTGGGCCTTTTCTTTTTGGGTAGTTTTGTTTTTTTTTTTGTTTTTTTTTTTTGGTATTTTTAGTAGAGACAGGGTTTCACCATGTTGGCCAGGATGGTCTTGATCTCCTGACCTTGTGATCCGCCCACCTCGGCCTCCCAAAGTGCTGGGATTACAGGCGTGAGCCACCGTGCCCCCAGCCTTTTTTGGGTAGTTTTTGACTAATGATTCAATCTCCTCACATGTTACAGATCTATTCAGATTGTTTATTTTTTCTTGCGTCAGTTTTGGTAGTTTGTATATTTCTGGGAACTTGCCATTTCATCTGGGTTATCTAATTTGTTGGTGAACAGTTGTTCACGGTATTCTTTGTAATCCTCTTTATTTTATTTCTGGAAGTTTGGTAGTAATGTCTACTCTTTCATTCTGATTCAAGTCTCTCTTTTTCTTGGTCAATCTGGCTAAAGTTTTATGAATTTTGTTATCTTTTTAAATAATAAGCTTTTGGTTTCACTGATTGTCTCTATTTTTTTTTTCTATTCTCTATTTTGTTAATTTCCTCCCTAATTTCTATTATTTCTTTCCTTCTGCTTGCTTTAGATTTAGTTTGCTCTTCTCTTTCTAGTGTCTTAAGGTTGAAGGTTAGGTTATTGATTTGAGATCATTCTTCTTCCTTACTATGGGCATTTACAGGTCTAAATTACCCTCTAACCAGTGCTTTCTGTATATCTCATAAGGCATAAGGTTGTTTTTTTTCTTTTTTTTGAGACGGAGTCTTGCTCTGTCACCCAGGCTAGAGCGCAGTGACATGATCTCAGCCCACTGCAACCTCCGCCTCCTGGGTTCAAGCAATCCTCCTGTCTCAGCCTCCTTCTCGAGTAGCTGGGATTACAGGCACATGACACCATGCCTGGCTAATTTTTTTTTTTTTTAGACGGAGTCTCGCTATATCGCCCAGGCTAGAATGAAGTGGCACAATCTCGGCTCACTGCAACCTACGCCTCCCGGGTTCAAGCGATTCTTCTGTCTGAGCCTCCCAAGTAGCTGGGACTACAGGCGCCTGCCACACGCCCAGCTAATTTTTATAGTTTTAGTAGAGACGGGGTTCCATCATACTGGCCAGGCTGGTCTCGAACTCCTGACCTCGTGATCCACCTGCCTCAGCCTCCCAAAGTGCTGGGATTACAGGCGTGAGCCACCACACCCAGCCTAAGTTTTGTATTTTTAGTAGTGATGGGGTTTCGCCATGTTGGCCAGGCTGGTCTCGAACTCCTGACCTCAGGGGATCCACTCACCTTGGCCTCCCAAAGTGCTGCGATTACAGGCATGAGCCACTGCACCTGGTCTCAGGAAAATTTTTAAACAGACATGTCACCAGCACTATCACCTATCAAAAGACGCCATTTCAGGCCCTGTGTGGTGGCTCACGCCTATAATCCCAGCACTTTGGGAGGCTGAGGTGGGCAGATCACCTGAGCTCAGGAGTTCGAGACCACCCTGGGCAACAAGGTGAAACCCCATCTCTACTAAAATACAAAAAATTAGCCTGGTGTGGTGGCACTCGCCTATGGTCCCAGCTACTCTGGAGGCTGAGGCATGAGAATCGCTTGAGCCCGGGAGGGGGAAGTTGCAATGAGCTGAGATCATGCCACTGCACTCCAGCTTGGGCTATTTCATCAAATATATGATGGCAGCAATTATAAAATACACACTATTTTATGCACCATTAAAAATGAAAGAGTCCTGCCAATGAAACTATGACATCCACTGTGAGAAACATCATGATTTCAGAGATGTTTAAAAAATCATATCAGCATTTGACAAAATTTAAAATCCTATTCATGATTTAAAACTCTAGGTAAACTTGGAATTAATGGCAACTTCCTCAACCTGATAAAGAACATTTACGAAAAATTTACAAATAACTTTATGCTTAATTGTGAAAGATTGAATTCTGAGACTCTAGAAACCAGGAACAAGGTAAAGATGTTTGCTCTCACTACTCTCTAAATTATATTTCTTTATATATACTTAAGGGCTGTGCACAGTGGCTCATGCCTGTAATCCCAGCACTTTGGGAGGCCAAGGCAGGTTGATCACTTGAAGTCAGGAGTTCGAGATCAGCCTGGCCAACATGGTGAAAGCCTGTCTCTACTAAAAACACAAAAATTAGCTGGTGGTGGTGTGTGCCTGTAATCCCAGGTACTCGGGAGGCTGAGGCATAAGAATCGCTTGAACCCGGGAGGCGGAGGTTCTAGTGAGCCAAGATTGTGCCACTGCACTCCAGCCTGGGCAACAGAGCAAGATTCTGTCTCAAAAAAAAAAAAAAAAGAAAGAAAAAGAAGAAAGAAAGAAAAAGAAATGAACAACTAGAAAGAGAAATAAAGTACCATAAGACAAAAGCAAATAAATAAATAGAAAAGAGAAAGAAACACTTCAGTTACATTTCAGTTATGTGAACAAAAGTTACGTGACCCAACTGTATGCTAAAAACCACAAAACACTGATGAGAGAAATCAAAGACCTATATAAATGGAAAGATACATGATGTTCATAGAACATAAAATTCAACATTGAAAGATGTATATTTTCCCCAAATCGATCTACAGATTCAACATATCCTTTCATCCTATTAAACGGAATCACCATGTGACCTAGCAAATCCACTCCTAAGGCATATATCCCCCAAAACCAAAAACAGCTACTCAAATGGATACAAGTACATGCACATTCATAGCAGCTCTATTCAAAATAGACAAAACGTAGAAATAGTCTAACTGTCCACCAGGCGCAGTGGCTCATGCCTGTAATCCCAGCAGTTTGGGAGGCCTTGGCAGGCGGATCATGAGATCAGGAGTTCGAGACCAGCCTGGCCAACATGGTGAAATGCCATTTCTACTAAAAATACAAAAAATTAGCTGGGCATGGTGGCGCATGCCTGTAATCCCAGCTACTCGGGAGGCTGAGGCAAGAGAATCACTTGAACCCAGGAGGCAGAGGTTGCAGTGAGCCAAGATCGTGCCACTACACTCTGGACTGGGCAACAGAGTGGGACTCTGTCTTGGGAAAAAAAAAAAAAAGAAATTGTCTGTCTGTCAATTAATGCATAAACAAACTGTGGCATATGCAATGGAATATTATTCTGCCATAAAAAGTAATGAGCTACTGATAACATGATACAATGTGGAGAATTCTCAAAAACATCATGCTAAAGTGAAAGAAGCCAGACACAAAAGTCACATATATTATTTCACTTATATGAAATATTCAGAAGAGGTAAATCTATAGAGACACACATAGACTGGTGATTGTTAGGAGCTAAAGGGATGGAGGAATGAGGAGCAACTGCTTAAAGTGTAAAGGATTTCTTTTGGGAGTGATGAAAATGTTTTGGAACTGGATAGATATGATGGTTGTACATTATGAGTATACCAAATGCCACTAAATTGCTTGCTCTAAAATGGTTAATTTTATGTTGTGTGAATTTCATCTCAATAAAATTGTTTATTGTCTTACATGTTTAAAAACTAATTCAATTGGTGAAACTTGAATATGGATTGTATATTAGATAACAGTATCCTATCAATGATAAATTTTCTAAATGTGATAATTACACTGTGATTATAGAACTTGTATTTAGAAGATGCATGCTGAAGAATTTAAGGGTAAAAGGTCATGCTGTTGGTACTTCATCTCAGTTTAGTTACAAAAAAAAAAAAAGAAAATGTTCATAGTAGCATTATTTATAATAGCCAAAAAGTGGAAACAATCCTAATGTCCATCAACTGATGAATGGAAAAAACAAAATGTGGTGTCATAAAAAGGAATGAAGTGCTAATACATGCTGCAACACGAACCTTGCAAGCATCATGATTAGTGAAAGAAGCCAGACACAAAGGGCACATACTTTATTAATTATATTGACACAACATGTCCATGACAGGCAAATCCATATGATAGTAAGTAAATTAGCAGATGCCAAGTTGGGTGGAATGGGAAGTAGGAAGTGGCTGCTAGTGGATTCAGGGTTTCTTGTAAGCGTGATAAGAATGCTGTGGAATTAGATAGTGGTAATGGCTGGACAACTTTCTGAATACAGACTATCCCTGACTTAAGATAATTCAACCTAACAATTTTTTTTAGCTTATGATGGTGCAAAAGCCATATGCATTCAGTAGAAATTGTACTTCAAATTTTGATTCAAAATTCATTATCAACATTATAAAACTGGCTTTGCGTTACATTATTTTGTCCAATTGTAAGCTAATATAAGTGTCCCGAGCATGTTTAAGGTAGGCTAGGCTAAGAAAGATGTTTGGTAAGTTAGGTGTTATTAAATGCATTCCAACTTAACAATATTTTCGACTCACAATGGCTTTCAGGACATAATTCTATTGTAAGTCAAGGAGCATCTGTACACACACAAAAAATGGGATTGTATACTTTAAAGATGAATTTTATCATATGTGAATTATATGTCAATACAATCAATAGATAAATGTATACATGCATATAGACAAGCATGCATCTATACAACGGACCATAGAACTAAATGGAAAACCTAAAACTACCAAACATCTAGAAGAGAACAGGGGAAAATCTTCACAGCTTTGAGGTGGTAATAATTTCTCAGGTAAGACACAAAAAAAAGTATAAATCGGCCGGGCGCGGTGGCTCACGCCTGTAATCCCAGCACTTTGGGAGGCTGAGGCAGACAGATCACAAGGTCAGGAGATCGAGACCATCCTGGCTAACACGGTGAAACCCTGTCTCTAGTAAAAATACAAAAAATTAGCCGGGCGTGGTGGCGGGCACCTGTAGTCCCAGCTACTCGGGAGGCTGAGGCAGGAGAATGGTGTGAAACTGGGAAGTGGAGCTTGCAGTGAGCTGAGATGGCACCACTGCACTCCAGCCTGGGCGACAAGAGTGAGACTCCATCTCAAAAAAATAAAAATAAAAATAAAGAAAGAAAAGAATACAAAACATAAAAAGAAAAATTGATGAAGCAGACTTCATCAAAATTAAAAACTTCTGTTCTTTTGAAGCCATTATTAAGAAATGAGAAGACAAGATTGGGAGAAAATATCTGCAAAACACTTATCCGATAAAGAACTAGTATACCCAACACAGATTAAAAAGTTATGACTAGATCATAAGAAAACAACCCAATTTTAAAAAATGGACAGATTTGGAAAGTCACTTTACCAAAGAAGATATACAGATGGCAAATTAAGCACAGAGAAAGCTGCTCAATATCATCAGTAAGTCATGAAAACTATGTACTAGGAATTAAACTCATTAGGAATTAAAACTACAAAGTCTAACCTTTTAAAATCACTAAAAACAAAACCAAACAAAACTTATGAGACTTAAGTGTTGGTGAGGATGCAAAGCATTTGCAACTCTCATACATTGCTAGTGGAAATGAAAAATGGTACAGCCACTTTGGAAAACAGTTTGGCAGTTTCTTATACAGTTAAACATACATTTACCATACCATATGACCCAACAATCTCATCCCTAGGTGTTTATCCCTCCAAAATGAAAATATATTTGTCTAGACAAAATCCTGTATGCAAACGTTTCTATCAGCTTTATTCATAATTGCCAAAAACTGGATACAACCCAGATGTCCATCAGCCAGTGAATGGACATAATGGACATTATGCTAAAATCAAAGAATCCAGACTGAAAAGGCTACTTAGTGTATGATTCTACTTATATGACAGTCTGAAAAAGACACAACTGTCAGAAAATAGATCAGTGGTATGCCAGGGTTTGGCAATAAGGAGGAGGACTGACAAATGAACATGAAGGAACTTTTTGGAGTGACTGTGATTATATGGCCGTATACATTTGTCAGCCATATAATACTGTACACATAAAAAGGGTGAATTTTACTATATATAAATTATATCTCAGCAAACCTGACTAAACAAATTGTATCTTCAAGGCCAATACAGTAGGATAAAGCTAAAATAACTATAATAGTGTGAGAACAGCTGGACACAGTGGCTCATGCCTGTAATCCCAGCACTTTGGAAGGACAAGTGGTAGGACTGCTTGAGTCCAGGAGCTCGAGACCAGCCTAGGCGACACAGTCTGTCTCTACAAGAAATAAAAAGTTAGTCAGGCATGGTGGCACATGCTTATAGTCCCAGCTGCTTAGGAAGCTGAGGTAGGAGGATCCCCTGAGCCCAGAAGGCTGAGGCTGCTGTGAGCTGTGATTATGCCACTGTACTCAGCCTGGGCAACAGAATGAGACCCTGTCTCAGAAAAAAAGCAACAACAAAAAACAGTGTGAGATGATGAGAGAAGAACACATTAAGCAAATAAAGAAATAAAAGAAATTCCATAAACAGACATATATTTTAGGCTTTGTGGACCATATATTAATAGTTTCTGTTGCAACTACTCAACTCTGCCGGCATAATATGAAAATAGTCATTGACAATGACAATAGAATGGCTGTGTTCCAATAAAACCTTATTAACAAAACATGTTGGCCGTAGTTTGCTGACTCCTGGTCTAACCAATAGTGTTGGGACGACTGGCTTTCCATTTTAAAGGAATATAGTAAGATCCTAATTTTATGATATTCACAAAACTAAATTCTAGATACATTAAAAATCTAACTATAAAAAACAGAAATATAATCTTGAATAAATGAAAACTTCCCTAAGAATAACAAAAAATCAAGATGGTATAAAGTAAAACATATGAGACTCTGGGGCCGGGCACAGTGGCTCATGCCTGTATCCCAGCACTTTGGGAGGCTGAGGTGGGCAGATCACCTGAGGTCAGGAGTTTGAGCGCAGCCTGGCCAACATGGCGAAACCCTGTCTCTACTAAAACTACAAAAATTAGCCAGGCATGGTGGCGCATGCCTGTAATCCCAGCTACTCGGGAGGCTGAGGCAGGATAACTGCTTGAACTCAGGAGGCAGAGGCTGAAGTGAGCCAAAACTCCGTCTCAAAAAACAAACAAACAAACAAAATATGAGACCAGCCAGGCGTGGTGGCTCACACCTGTAATCACAGCACTTTAGGAGGCCGAGGCAGGTGGATCACGAGGTCAGGAGTTCAAGACCAGCCTGCCCAACGTGGTGAAACCCCGTCTCTACTAAAAATACAAAAATGAGTCGGGCATGATGGCAGGTGCCTGTAATCCCAGCTACTTGAGAGGCTGAAGCAGGAGAATTGATTGAACCCGAGAGGTGGAAGTTGCTGTGAGCTGAGATCGTGCCACTGCACTCCAGCCTGGGCGACAGAATGAGACTCTGAAAAAAAAAAGAAAAAAAAAAAAAGAGACTCTCCTCCTTAAGCTGGGAGCACAAAAGGCTATATCCTTAAAGTTGAATAAAACAGGCTCACAGCTGAAAGCCTTAGAAAGACTACACTCTAGGAACAGGGTGAAAGAGGTAGATCAAGCTTTTCCAAAACCACAACCACGTCTTGGCACAGCTCAATTCCTGACTGGATTAACACAATCAGCCTCTACTATTATCTGTCTAGAGAGGAAAGTGTGACTTCTCTTTTCAGAGAAAAGTAACATCATCTGGAGTTTCCACCATTGTTATATGCAATGCCTGGGCATTTAATCAAAATTACTAGTAATGTCAAAAGGGAGGATCATTTGCCCAAAGTTCAAGGAACAAACCAATAGGAACAGATTCACATACAACTCAGACATTACAGTTTCCCAAAAAGGACTTTAAAATCACTCTGGTTAACATGTTCTGGAATATAGAGGAAAAAATAAAAATAAATGAAGACGGAGAAGTTCATCAGAGAAGTAGAATTTACTTTTAAAAAATCTATGAACATTCAGCCAGGCGCGGTAATCCCGCACTTTGGGAGGCCAAGGCGGGCGGATCATGAGGTCAGGAGATCAAGACCATCCTGGTTAACACGGTGAAACCCCATCTCTACTTAAAATACAAAAAATTGGCCAGGCACGGTGGCAGGTGCCTGTAGTCCCAGCTACTCGGGAGGCTGAGGCAGGAGAATGGTGTGAACCCAGGAGACGGAGCTTGCAGTGAGCCAAGATCGCGGCACTGCACTCCAGCCTGGGCGACAGAGACTCCGCCTCAAAAATAAATAAATAAAAATAAAAAATAAAAATCTATGAATATTCTACAACTAAAAAATATTAATATAATTGAAATTAAAAGCTCAACAGATGGGTTTAACAGTAGACATAGTAGAAATGGGTGAACTGGAAGACAGTAACAAAGATCCAAACTAAAAGCACAGAGGTTAAAAATGGTAAGAATGAAAAAGAATGTAATGGACAAGTGAGACACATTGAAAAGGCCAATGGTCCAACATATGTATAACTGGAGGCCCAGAAAGAGAAGAAAAATTGGACAGGAGCAAGATTTGAAGAGAAAATAGTTGTGTATTTTTCAGAAGTGATGAAAGCCTTCAACATACAGAATCAAGCAGCTCAGAGAAACTCAAGTATAAATACAAAGAAAACCACACCGTGGCATATCATCATAGTAAAACTGCTAAAAATCAGAGTTAAAAAAAAAATCCTTGCTGGGTGTGGTGATCCAGATGATTCACACCTGTAATCCACTTTGAGAGGCTAATGTGCGTGGATTCCTTGAGCCCAGGAGTTTGAGACCAACCCAGGCAACACAGTGAGACTCCATCTTTACAAAACAACTAAAAAATTAGCTGGATGCGGTGGTGCACGCTTGTAGTCCTAGCTTCTCAGGAAGCTGAGGTAGGAGGCTCACTTAAGCCTGGGAGCTCAAGGCTACCATGAGCTATGATTGCGCCACTCCACTCCAGCCTGGGCGACAGAGCAAGATCTTGTTTCAAAAAAAAAAACCTCAAAATAGCAGGGGGTGGAACATATTATCTTCAAATGAAAAACAATAAGACTGACAGTGGAATTCTTTAAAAAAAAAAAAAAGAAAAAACATCTTCCAAAATATGGATGAAATAAAGATATATCCACAAAAAAACACAATTCATTAGCAGCAGACCTGAACTAATATAGTAAAGGGAGTATTTATTCAGGCAGAAGAAAGAAAAAATTATCCGAAGGAAATACAAAAATGTAGACAGGAAGCAAAAACACTAGAAAGGTGTTTCTAAGTGACTACTGGTATTACAAAGTAACAGTAAAAATATTTGTGGGGTTTAAAGCACCTACAGAATCAAACTGCATGACACCAGTAACTCAAAAGGAAGGTACATAACAGAGCTAAAATGTTCCAGCCTGGGCAATAAGGGCAATAAGGTTGAGACCCTGTCTCTACAAAAAGTACAAAAATTAGCAAGCATGGTGATGTGTGCCTGTAGTCCCAGTTACTTGGGAGGCTCAGGTGGGAGAATCACCTAAGCCCGAGGAGGCTGAGGCTGCAGTGAGCCACAATCATGCCACTGTACTCCAGCCTGGGTGACAAAGTGAGACCCTGCCTCAAAAAAGAAAAATAAAAAAAGAAATGTTGTAAAGTTCTAGCATTATCTAGAGGGTAGTAAAATTATAATTTGTATTAGACTATCATAAGTCAAGTATGTATATTGTAATTTTTAAGATACTCACTAGGAGGATAGTAAAAAGGTATATAACGACAGGGGAAATGTGAAATAATACAGTTCTAAATTAATCCGTAAGAGGGCAAAAACAGAAAAAAGAACATAAATCATGAAAATCAAACAGAAAACAAATAGAAATAGGGTATATATCAACTCAAATGGATTAAATATATGAAAAGACTAAAACTGTCAGACTGGAGTTACAAAACATACTAAATATGTGCTGCTTATAAGGGACACACCTTAAATAAAGACACAGATATATTGAGAGTAAAATAGTGGAAGAAGATGTACTAATCAAAAGAACAATAATCAAGAGAAAACTGGTGTAGCTATACTAGTATCAGATAGAGATATCATCTCTAATAACTGGCATGATACATACATTTCATAATAAAGGGTCAATCCTTGAGGAAAATATAATAATTCTAAATCTAAAAATATCCAATAATTTAGTTTTAAAATATATAAAGTTAAAAATTGAGTGAACTAAAGGCTGAAAAAGACAAATCCATAACCACAGTGGAAGAATTAACACCCGTCACACAATACTAATAAAACAAGCAGATAAAAACTTGGAAAGGACGTAGAAAATCTGACCATATCTAACAAAGTTAACTGACATGTTAGAACAATGTACCCAATAATACTAACATATCTTTTTTCATATGTATACAGCATATTTGCCAAAATTTACCATATATGGGTAAAAGCAAGCCTCAACAAATTTCAAAGGATAGAAATAATTCAAAGTACTAAGCTATCAGTAAAAAGATAACCAAAAAATACCCAATTATTTGGATATTAAGCAAATATATAAATAACTCTGGAGTCAGGTAAGAAATCACAAAATAGAAAAAAATATTTTGAATGGAATGAAATCAACACATCACATGCAACAAATGGAACTCATAAAAAGCACAAAATAAGACGGTAGATTTAAACCTCAATATTTCAGTAATTACATTAAATGTAAACAGACTACACACTCTGTATTGGTTGAGACCAATGGTGTCAAGTGGATTAAAAAACAAGAGTCCAAGGATATGCTGTTTATGAGAAACATCTAGAGCAAGGATACAGAAAGGAAGAAAAAGTACAGCTATACCAGGCAAATTCTAACTAGAAGAAAGTTGTCCAAGTTGCATTCACATCAGACGAAAATAGTCTTTAAGGTAACAAAAAGCAGTATAAAAGATAAAGAGGGACTTTCTATACTGATTAAAAAAAAAAGTTTAGTTCATCAGGAAAATGCAGGATTTTTAAATTTGTATGTACCTAATAACATTATCTTAAGATAAATAAAGCACCAAAAATGTATAACCTGAATCTAATAATGAGGACACGAGACAAATCCAAACTGATGGACACGTTAAGGTCACAAAAAATAAAAACTGAGGAACTATAACAAAGAGTCTGACTTCATTTTTTGATGTTTAACTGCTGACAGCTCACCTCTTCCTCTTTCTCTCATGTCCTATATCTGTACATAAGCCAGATGTAAACCTTACCTCTTTTTCTTTCTCCTAAGTCCCTTATCCAGGCAAGCTGATATGAAAGTCTAGATGTTCCTTCCTTGGGAATCAGCAAGAAATCCAAACTAGGTAAAGTCCGCTCTTGTGTAAGAACTCTCACCCCAGCCCAAGCCCCTAACCACAATAAAAGCCCAAACGAATCTCCTTTCCCTGTTCTTTCTTTTCTTTTTTTTTCAAGACAGAGCCTCACTCTATTGCCCAGGCTGGAGTGCAGTGGCACAATCTCAGCTCACCTCCACCTCCCAGGCTCAAGCAATCCTTCCACCTCAGCCTCCTGAGTAGCTGGGAATACAGGTGCACACCACCATGCCCAGCTATCCTTTCCTTGTTCTCTACAGTCATTTCAAACCTGCTTGAGAGGATTGCCCTGCTCTCCTGGACCTCAATTATGTTAATAAACCTTTTCATACCCTCTTGTTATGCATGTAACACGAATAGTCTTAACATCCAAACCAAATTTTAAGTGGGGGTCTATAATGCCCTTGCAGGTGACCATAACAGGAACTGTTCCCAATTAAATGAGACTAAAGATAAAAGACAAATGAATGCAGTACATGATCCAGGACTTTTTTCTATAAAGGACATTATTGTGACAATTGGTAAAATCTGAAGAAAGTCGGTAGATTAAATAACAGTATTGCACTTATGTTAATTTTCTAACTTTGACAACTGTACCGCATTTATGGACCTGTTATTAGAAAACACACTGGGCCGGGCTCAGTGGCTTATGCCTATAATCCCAGCACTTTGGAAGGCCAAGGAGGAAGGATCACTGGAGCCCAAGAGTTCAAGAAGAGCCTGGGCAACATAGTGAGACCACATCTCTACCAAAAATACAAATCAAAAAATTAGCCAGGTGCGGTGGCACACGCCTGTAGTCCCAGTTACTCAGAAGGCTGAGGTGAAAGGATTGCTTGTGCCAGGGAGTTCAAGGTTACAGTGTCACCACACTCCAGCCTGGGCAACAGAGCAAGACCCTGTCTCTTAAAAAAAAAGGCATCGTGTCTAACTTACCCTCAAATAGTTCAATAAAAAATACTATACTCACATACACATACATAAATAACACACACAGAGAGAGAAAAGGGTAAGACAAAGGTAAAATATTAACAGTTGATTTGGAATGTGGTCAAGCAAATGCAGGAAATTTTTTGTACTATTCTAGCAGCTTTTCTGTATGTCTAAAATTATGTCAATATAAAAAAATCAAAAGAAAAAATATAAAATAAAACCAAATAGTACAATGCCTACTCCATAAAGTGAGATATTTTGACTACTTTTCTCAGTAATTGATAAAACAAATAGAATACAGAAAATTCAAACAACACAATTAACAGACAAGAACAAATGGAGACATACAGAACACTTCACGTAACTGAAGACCATATACGTGTTCTTTCAGTGCACACAGAACATTTATAATATTTGGCAATATTCTGAGCCCTAAAGCAAAACTCTACAAATTTCTAAAGACTGAAATCACAAGAGCACCTACCAGAATGCAATTAGCCGGAAATTAACAAGAAATACAAAAAATCCTGAAAATTCCATGTGGTAGACAGAATAATGGTCCTCCAAAGATGTCCACATTCTAATTCCCACAATCTGGGAATATTGAACAAGCTTATGCAGCAGAAGAGACTTTGCAGGCATGATTTAATTAAGGATCTTGAGATGACAGGATTAATCTGGATTATCTGGGTAGGCTCAGTATAATCACAAGTTGTTTTTGTTGTTTTTTTTTTTTTAGAGTTGCAGTCCTACTCGGTCACCCAGGCTGGAGAACAGTGGTGCAATCAGAGCTCACTGTAGCCTTAAATTCCTGGGCTCAAGCAATCCTCCCGCCTCAGCCTCCTGAGCTGTCAGGACTACAGGCACATGCCACCACACTTAGCTACAAGGATTCTTATAAGAAGGAGATACGAGGACCAGAGTCAGAGAGGACATGTGATGACAGAAGCAGAGGTCAGAGAAAGAGATTTGAAGATGCTATGCTGCTGGCTTTAAAGATTGAGGAAGGGACCATAAGCCAAGGAATCTGGGCAGGCATTAGACATTGGAAAAGGAAAGGAAATAGATTCTTCTTTAGAGCCTCCAGAAGGAATACAGCCCTGCCAACATTTCGATTTTAGAAATTCTGGCCTCCAGAACTGTAAGATAATACGTTTGCATTGTTTTAAGTCACTAAATTTGTGGTAATTTGTTATAGGAACAATAGGAAACTAATACACTCAATATATATGGAAATTAAGTACTTCAAATCTGATGTGTCCTTATAAAGGAGAGGAAATCTGGACACACAAAGAGACACAAGGAATGCGCACACAGAAGAAAAGACCACACGAGGACACAGCAAGAAGGCAACCATCTGCAAGAGAAGGCGAGAGGCCTCAGAAGAAATGAAACTTGCTAACACCTTGATCTTGGACTTCAAGCCTCCAGAACTGTGAGAAATAAATTTCTGTTGTTTAAGCTACTCAGTCTGTGGCACTCTCTTACGGCAGCCCTAGCAAACGAATACACTTCCTATCAAGACTTAAGGGATGTGAGCCAGGCATGGTGGCTCACACCTGTAATCCCAGCACTTTGGGAGGCTGACGCGGGCCTATCACTTAAGGTTAGGAGTTCAAGACCAGCCTAGCCAACACGGTGAAAAAACCCTGTCTCTACTAAAGATACAAAAATTAGCTGGGTGTCATGGCACACGCCTGTAACCCCAGCTACCTGGGAAGCTGAGGCAGAAGAATTGCTTGAACCCAGGAGGTGGAGGTTGCAGTGAGCCAAGATCGCACCACTGCACTCCAGCCTGGGTGACAGGCTGTCTTTTTTTTTTGACCCTGTCTCAAAAAAACAACTTAAGAGATGTGTCCCAAACAATAATTTAAACAAAAACAGTCTCGGCCGGGCATGGTGGCTCACGCCTGTAATCCCAGCACTTTGGGAGGTCAAGGCAGGTGGATCACCTGAGGTCAGGAGTTCGAGACCGGCCTGCCCAACATGGCGAAACCCCAACTCTACTAAAAATACAAAAAATTAGCCAGGCGTGGTGGTGGGCGCCTATGTAATTCCAGCTACTCAGGAGGCTGAGGCAGGAGAATCGCTTGTACCCAGGAGGCAGAGGTTGCGGTGAGCCAAGATCACACCACTGCACTCCAGCCTGGGCAACAAGAGCAAAACTCTATCTCAAAAAAACCCCCCAAGAAAACATCGTCTCAAATGCATATATGACAGGGAAAAAAGACTAAAAACTAAAGAGGTAAGTACCTATTTAAAAAAATTAGAATAAGAATAATAAAATAAACCAAAAGAAAAATTTAAAGATAGAGACAAGAACAGAAATTAGTGAAATCTGTAGCAGAGGGGATTCACGAAGCCAACAGTTTTGGCTTAAAACATTTTTTTTAAGACCAGTTAAATTCAGTATTTTAAAACAAGAAAGAAAAACAGAGAAATCAGGCATAAGTAACTAACATCAGGAACAAAATACAGGACTGAACTAAATATGGCTCAGGCTCAAGCATTAAGAGGAATAATATCAGGCAGGGCGCGGTGGCTCATGCCTGTAATCCCAGTACTTTGGGAGGCTGAGGCGGGCAGATCACCTGAAGCCAAGAGTTTGAGATCAGCCTCACCAACATGGTGAAACCCCATCTCTACCAAAATACAAAATTAGCCAGGCATGGTAGTGCATGCTTGTAATCCCAGCTACTCGGGAGGCTGAGGCAGGAGAATCGCTTGAACCTGAGAGGCAGAGGTTGCAGTGAGCCGAGATTGTGCCACCGCACTCCAGCCTGGGCAACAAGAGCAAAACTCCATCCCCACCCGCTCCCCCCAAAAAAAGGAATAATATCATACAAAATATGTCTGCAAATTTAGATAAAATTGATAAATTTCTAGAAAAACATAACACATCAAAACTTATCCAATAAGAAAAAACCAGTCCTATAACCATAAAAGAACTAAATCGGTGATCAAAAATTTCTTCAGAGACCCAGATGACTTTACCAGCTATTATTTCAAACACTCAAGGAATAAATAATTCCACCAATTTTACGCAAAAAATTTTTCCACAGAATAGAAGTATATTTTCTCAACTCATGTTGTGAGGCTAGCATAACTTCACTATCAAAATGTGAAAGAACAGTATCAAAAAAATCATAGGTACTTTCACTCATAAACACAGGCACAAAATTCCTAATAGCAAAGTGAATTAAGGGGTATAAAATAAAAATAATAACAGATCACATTCAAGTTAGATTTGTTTTAGGAATGCAAAATCGGTGTAACAGAAATCAGTTAATATGCTTCCCACAATTACAGATTAAAGTAGAAAATTATATGATCATCTCAACAATACAAAAAAAAACCTGACCAAATTTAATATCCATTCAGAATAAATAGTCTTAGCATATTAGAAATCGAAGAAACTTCTTTGACAATGTGTATATATACCAAAAGCTACAGGCAAAACCCTTCAGGATGGTGGGTACTCTGAGTTGGGGGTGGAGGTTCAGTTGTAACTGGAAGGGGGGTACATAACAAAGGGCATCTTGGTCTCAGACCCTGATTACATGAATGTAAATTTCCTTTTAAATTTTTTGAAATTTAATGCTGCATAATGAGTTGTACACTTCGACCTGAAATAAAGAAGAACTAAGATACACACACACGTCCCCCTCTGATTACAACCATGTAAATGCTATATATACAGCACAGGCAAAGACTACAAGTGAATATGAACAAATTAAAACAGTTTGATTTGTTAACATAGTGTGATAATGTAACTATGTGTAAATTTTAAAAACTGTCACCAAACAGGAAACTGTGAGAAAGGTAAGACAGATATGGCTCTGGGCACCACCTATTTTATTTTCATATCCTTAGACAGGTAGGCCTGGTTCAACTTTGACGGTGGGTTAGGAAGAACTCCCACTGACAACCAGCAGTAAAGACAGGCAGTCAAATGTAGAACCCATAGAATGCTCCCATTTGCTGCCTTCCCAGCCTTCTTACAGGAATGGTGCACTAATTAATCATCCAGATACTAAAGCACCTAATATACAACCTTATCAATGCTTGGGTTCCAGCCCCCATTTTCATAAGAGCAAAGATGAGAAGTCCAGAACAAAGGCCTCATGCTGTCCCTCACCCTAAAAACAACATCAAGGGCTGAGTAATTTCAGTTTACAGAATTGTGTGAAATAAGGGACCAAAATAGGTGGGTATAGATAGCACCTTAGCACAAAGGAAAAGAGGAAAATTTTTTCTGCAAAGGCTGTGACTCTCAACAAACAATAGTAGAAAAGAGAGACCCTTACACCTAGCTATGTGGTTAAAAAGTGGCCGTGCCAGGATCCGTATTTCTAGCTGCTGCAATCCTGACCTATTCAGCAGATTCTAAACCTTTTGCTAGTGGGAACTATAGTTTCCAAACTAGACATGGGGCCAATCTAGTCTCCACAGACCAGACTCTACGAGTGTCCTGCCAGCCTTGCCAAGAAGCCAGACCCTGCTAATTCCCTTCTATCACCTGTGCCCTTCCCTTGGGCAAGGGAATAGACTGCTTGCTGTGGCTGCTGAAAGTCAGAGTCACTGACCCATTTCAGAAGTGGGAGAAGAATATTAAGCAAGAACTTTCATCTGATCATTTGCATCTAAGTCAGTCTCAGGGAGTATCTCCAAAAAGGTCAAGGGAAGGACTAGCGATATTATAATCCTGAAGCCATAAAGGACTTTTCACCACATCCCCCCCGGCCCCAACACAGTATTATATTTTTTCTTTCTGTAAAAGTCCATGAAGTGCTGTTAATTCATTGAGTCTTACCAGGGAGAAAGCTGCTACTTAAGTAAAAAAAGTATTCGGGAAAAAAAAAGCTGATACTCTAGAATCACCATAGGGATGCAGCTATTACACAGTGGCCAAACACAGTTGTCCCAAAGCTTAAAAGCTCTCCTTTAATTCTTAGAACGGGTGAGGCCCACTTCTATGACCATGTTCTCCGTTGACGGCAGTGTGCAAACTTTTCTCAAGACTTTGGGTAACAGATTATCACGTCAGGAGAAAAGTAAGAGTCCAGCCCTTTCTCCCTCTGAAGGTGGCAGGGCATTGCTCCTTCACTTGGTCACCAATAGCCTCTGTGGGAAATCCTAAAGAAGAGGCTCTGCTCTGGCAAGAAGGGAAGTCTGGCTTTGTATCTTCTCAGTCCCAACCTGAGAGATCTTCTTTTTATTTATTTATTTATTTATTTTTTGAAATGGAGTCTCACTCTGTCACCCAGGCTTGAGTGCAGTGGTGCAATCTTGGCTCACCACAACCTCCGCCTCCCGGGTTCAAGCAATTCTCCTGCCTCAGCCTCCCGAGTAGCTGGAATTACAGGCATGCGCCACCAGGCGGCCCGGCTAATTTTTGTATTTTTAGTAGAGACGAGGTTTCGCCATATTGGCCAGGCTGGTCTCAAACTCCCAACCTCACGTGATCCGCCCGCCTCGGCCTCCCAAAGTGCTGGGATTACAGGCGTGAGTCACCGCGCCTGGCAGAGATCTTTTTAAAAGAAATTAAGTCTATAAATAAATTGCAAAATAAAAAATAAAAAAGAGCATAAGAGAGAACCTATAGAGACATCAACCAACTGCAATGTGTAGACTTTATTTGGCTCTGATTCAAATGAACTATTAAAAAAAACAACTATCATAAGATAATTTGGGAAATTTAATACTAACTGGCTATCTGATGATAAAGAATTTTTTAAATGTGATAATGGTAGTAATTATCTTCTTTTAAAAGTCCTAATTTTTTTGACACACATTCTGAACTGCTTAAGGATTAAATAATATGAACAAGGATACATGTAAAAATAATGGGTGGCAAAGACAAAGTTGATACAGGTATATGAAACAAGACTAGCTGTTGATTAAGTTTTTTAAATGGGTGATGGACATAGGGGTGTTCATACTAGTCTCTTTACATATATGTGTGTATGTGTGCGTGCATTTTTTTCACGGTTTCAAAAATAACATTTTTTAAAAAAATTCAGGACCATTTCCCTAGAGTCCTTGGGGCATTTGATTCTTCCCAGACAGCTAAGTGAAAGGGGTTCCTTTTTTTCTTCTTTTTTTGGGGGTATCTTTTCTTATCTGATCCTATAATTAAGAAAACTGCCCTAAACATCTCTGTAGCAAAAACACCTAAACCCAGGATTAGAGTCTAGATGAGGCAGAGGGGATGCCCTGGCCTGCTGCCTCAAAAGCTAGCACTCTGTCACTGTTAGTAGGTGTCCGGCAGCCAAACCATTTTGCTCTGTGCTCCGCTGGCAAGGACTTGCGGCATCGATTGCTCAGGATGCAGGCAGCCTGCAGCAAGGTGTGTCCCTGATGAGCAACTGCTGAGTAAAAGAGTACGTAGCTGCGCCTCAGCCAGTCTCCCTCCCTCTGCAAACCAGACTCCTCCTTTGCCTAACTCCTTTTTTTATTCCTGCGTCACAAATACAAAATGGAGTTAGCTGGGAGCAAAAACAATCTGTCTAAAATGGCTGAATGCGGTGGGGAGTGCCAGACAGTAAAGCGAAGGGAAAGGGCACCCCCTGGCGGCCAAGATAGGGAGTCTGTTTTATGTTCTTCACTACTTTTGCATTTCAAACGAATCAGTCCTACAGAGTCCAAGTTAATTTTGTCACAAATCTTGATGTTGAGCTCTAAAATTCAACTAATAGAAACTGAGGCACAAGAAGGGAAAATAATTTTCAGTCTCTAAAGACAAAGGGCACAAGTCAACAGCCCTGAGTTGCAGTTACTGCTTGGTTATGATCAGTAATAGTTTCTAGGAGACAACAGAACGGAAGGGAGGTCCTTTTATAGTACATGATTCCCCAGCTTCAATAATGGACTAATGACCCCCGGAATCCCACCGCTATAGCCTGCACTTCCCCAGGAATTCCTGTTTAAGGCGTCTCTCAATGAAGACCACAAACAGGAAATGGAGGAGTGGGGAGTTGCCTGACATCCTGGAAACTACGTTCTTAAAGAACTGCAGGTGGGAGTAAGTGGGATAGAAAAATGGGCTTTTCAAAAACTGTTGAGAACACGGACTGAGTCAGTTGTATCCGCACGGCTGGAAGACAGGCAGCTCCACCTAACCTCACTCACTTACTCAGGACCAAAACCCTACTTGCTCTGCCCAAGATAAAGCCTGCAGCATTTGTACCTATTCTACAGGGAACACCCTCCATTATCTTTATCTTACGCTACACCTCCCTTGAGTAAGCCAAGTACCTATGACTAAAAAAGAACATGTAAGAAAGGTGGAAAAAACAGAAATTATCTGGAAAAACTTGTGGGTACAAGTCATTAATGGTTGCCACTACTTAAATGAGGCTGCACAAATACGCCAGTTTATCCAACGTCCCTAAAGTGAGATAATGGCAACACATACAACACAGGTGCACAAAAATCACAAGTTGTTAAAAAAAAAAAAAAAAAGACTCTGGCATCACTATAGTTTTCTCTGAAGAAATAGGGTCTTTGTGGAAGAATCTTAGATCTCTCAGGCATATATGAAAGATCAGAACACTTAATAATCTCTCCAGGAAATAACTTTCTGTGAGGGTAACATAGCTATGGAATTGCCAAGTTCACCTAGCATACAATAAGCCATGTCTATTAAGCACTACATCAACTCTCTAATTCTGGGAAGAGGAGACAGTAAGAGGGTCTTAATGTTAATATAAGTGTTAATATAAGAAGCTGCCCAAATGGAGGACTTCTGATTTATATTCTTCATGGTTGTAATATACATAAGGGATAAATTCAGCACTTTAAAACAATCACTAAGGTATACATTATAGAAGGAAAAAATATCATGCCAACCGAATAGCAGTTATCCCTGCCCAAAGGTAACCGTATCACTGATACCTTGGCCAAAATATACAACTATCTGCAAAATCCCACAGAACTAGACCATTACAGATGTGCAAGCTGTAAGGAGGGACAGGGCAAACTGGCATTAATGAACAAACCTAAAGGACAAGAACAAAGCCACACAGAATCCCAAAGGAAGAACCAGATGCTGAGAGTTATAAAGAAGGGGACAGATATAAGTCTGGAAGGGTAGCAGAAAAGCAGTATTAAAAATCTGGGCACTTCACCAAGCATTTGGTCTTTCAGATAATATAGTCATTGAGTTTCCCACAGATACTTTCCCAGCACACCCAGGATGGTGACTCAATTAGGGAGTGCTAAAAAGAGGTCTGCTTCTAGGATGTGGGTGGGGAAGGACTGGAAGGACAGGCACTATCCCAAACAAGGACTCAGGTATGTCAGCAAAGAGGACAGGTTTATGCAAGGAAACAATAGGCTAGAGGGCAGAAGAAAAGGCATTAAAATAAGGTACTAGAAATAAAACTCTTTTCCTGGATTAAAAAATGTTTTATTATGGGAAAAATTAAACATTCAAAAACACAATTATTAATCCCCATGCATACATCACTCAGTTTCAACAGTTATCCACTCGTGACCAATTCTGTTTCATCTACACCCCACTTCTAAATCCCATAATGATCCGCAATTATTTCTGTACACATCTCTAAAAGATGATGACTTTTTAAAAAATGCCATGAAACCATTATCACACTAATTTCCAGCTGTCTCAACTGTCAAGTGTTTTGTATAGTTCATTTGGATCAAGATCTAAATAAGTTCCATATACTGTACTGGTTGATAAAATTTAAAATTCCCTCTTAATCTATATGTTCCTCTCCATCTCATTTTTTCCCCTGAAATTTATTTGTTGAAGAAATCAGGACACTAATCACTGGTAAAAATCAAGAAGCACTAGCACAGTTACTTTACACTGTCAGTCACTGGAAGCAAGCACCTGAGGTTTCTCTCAACATGCCTGCATTCTTGCCACTCCCTTTCACTAAGTGCTGGATTTGAGCCCAATATATCTAGGCTCAAATTCTGGCTTGGTGTTTACTTGCTATAAAATCTTAACAAGCAAAGGACATATTAATTCTCTTTTATATCTCTCAATTATAAAACAAAGATAATACCAATTAGGCATTATGGAAATAATGTTTTGATAATTGGAAATAATAGTTGATAATCCCCTGTCACAAATCTGACATTAAATAGGTATTCATAATTTAAGACTGAATGAGAAGGCAAAGTACCTTCATCTTTTTTTTAGGTGCTCCAGATCAGTTTTAATCTCTGCTGTATCTCACCCACGCTAACCTAAATAAATACTGAGTAAACTGCAGAATTCTAAACCATTCTCCATAACAAAGGATTCTAGAAATATTCTGTTTTATTCAGGGTTGGGAAGGGAAGTAACAGGGTAAGAGCAGAACAAAGAGAACAGATGGAATAAACTCCCAGCCCCCAGCCTGAGCCTGCAGAGACAGCTGCTGGTTTTCGTCATACTGCTGTTTTTTTCCCTTCTTTGTTCCTGAGGTGGAAGCCAGGAAAGGGTGGGGAAAGATGAGGGGGGGAAGGGGTGGAGATGGGAGGACCGCCATCTCTGTTACTGAAAGTCACCTGATCTTCTCCTCCAATCCCTAGTCTCTGACCTCACAATCTGGAACCTGAGCCAAAATAGCTCAACTGCGCGCACCCCGTGGCCGAAAAGAAAAATGCAAGCAGAATAGGAAAAACGGGAAATTCTTGGGAAGGATTTTTGCAGTTTTTCTTGCTAAAAGAAATGCAAACACACACACAGGAGAGTGCCGTATCTTCCCATCTAATAGATCTAAAAGAAGAAATCACTGGCTCTAAGAAGAGTTGGGGTTATTGTAGGATCAGGAGGAAAGAATGGTTCCATCCCATCTTGCAGAAATGGGGTTACCAATGCCCTTCTGTTATATCACTGGGGTCCCTTGTCCAATGGTACTTAGAAGTGAAAAGAGTTTTGTTTTTTTTTTTTTTACATTGGAGTCTGTTTTTTCAAAAAGAAACTGTTAAGAGTGAAGTAAAGGATACTGTTACTTGCTTTATAGAACTGAATGCTAGTACTTGGCTTGGCAGACGAAATCTCAGGTCCAAGTACTTCTAGAAATCTAGAAGTGCTCTAGAATCTTCTCCAAGCATGTCAGACACTGAAATTTCCTTTTTAACCCTGTGTCTTTTTCATTATAAAAACAATATAACCACATTATAGAAAAATTAAAAGAGAAAGTATGTAGTACCCTAACAAAATCTCTGTTACAGTAGTCTGGTATATTCCCTTCTAATCTTTCACTAATGCATTTGTTTTTAATATGAAACAATTGTAATAAGGTGTACATAATTTGTTTCCTGCTTTTCCCACCAAACACTGAATCACAAGCATTCTTCCACACTGCTCCAAAGGCAATGGGCGAGAGTTCTAATACATGGAACAGTTACAGGACACTAAGTTCTAGAGCAATTCATCTCCAGAACAAAAACTGAAATGGAAGCAAGAAAAAAATAAGGTAGGCCACTCCTTTCCTTTAAAGACCTTTTATAGAGTAGCATCCCTTTGCTAGCAGTACAAAGATCTCCTCCTGTTCAAGTATCACACTCGAGTGAAGTCTGGAAGGTCCCCTGGCTGAACTTTGCAAGTCTCTCTTCCCCATATCATAATGGCTGTAAGCTCTAGCATAAGTTGCCATACATTTACAGAGCTGATGTGGGTAACTAACTCTTCAATTCATTGTTATGTATGAGTTTTTTTTAGGAAGATCAAAAGGACATGTATACATGCTAAGATGCAGTCAGATCAAATGGGTTACTGTAGCTACTGTTTCAAAAAAAAAAAAGAACAATTATTTCATTACTCTACTTTTGTTTTATCCTTGTGTTCATTATAAAAGTAATGCCTGCTTATTAAAAACTTATAATTTTTTTAATGAGGAAAGTCTCTGCATACTGATACGAAGACTCTCCAGGATATAGAAGCAAGGTATAGAAACAGTACAGATAGTATGTTCCTTGTTTTGGTAAGAGGAAGGACAAGAATCTGTATCAGTATTTGTTTATAACTGCACTTTTTAAGAAAGTCTAAAGGATAATCAAACTAATAAAAATGGTTACCTCTAGAAGGTAGGGGAGGGAGAAGGATGGCATGGATGAATACTAGGGTGGGAATGAGACTTTTTTATACTGTTTTGACTTCTGAACCACTTACCTATGCAAAAAAAAAAAAACAAACAAAAAAAAACAGATAACAGAGAAGCTGAAAGAAAAGCCCCAGAGGAAACATTCTGTGGAGACATCCTTAGCACTCCTTGCAAACTAGCCTGTCTACAACCTTATGTTTGGAGGGAGACTTGTTCAGCATCAGCAGCAAAGTCATTTCAGGTCCAACAATTCCCAAATAGTGTAAGGTCAAGGGATCCTCAAAACAGTGCCTTTTCCTTAAGGCAACAGTTTTGGGTTCTAGTATGTAGTAAGAGAGCACTGGATCACTCTTTTGTTCACCCCAATCCTTAGTTCTGCTTTGACACTTGCTAGATATCCCATTTCTTTGCCTAAACACATCTCTGATGTCTACCAACTCCAGGTCTCCATAGCAAGAGAATAACCAAGCTTGAACAAAAGTTATGTCTGTATAACTGTAACATTCTTCATCTTGATTTCTATCTCCTCCAGTTTCTCACAACTCCTTCCGTGTTGTACAAGCCCCAGTCCAGCACAATACTCTGCCCTAATCACTCTGCCCTCCATCCATCCTCTCCAGCAGAGTCAATCTCTAAGTGGTTCCGAGCTAGTTCACTGACCACAGAGGACTTCTTCAAAATGTCCTTCTAAGATGGCTACTGAGAAGTTTGGAAGATGGCAAGAAAAGTGCCTCTGAAACAGTGACTCCAAAATTGACTGCCAAGTCAACAGAAAATGTTGAATTGTTTCCTAATCAATCTCATATGACCTCCATAAGAACAGGGATAATACTTATATAATACCTATTCAGATACAGATACCAAAATATTATTAAGAGAACAGGTGAAGAGTGGCTTAATTCACACCATTAACATGTAAACATGTTACATGTTACAAACATGCTCCTCATGTAATCCTTATACTAAAGTTTGAGATTTACTGGTATCAACAGACATTTAAGGCTAGGAACTGACTGTACCAAGATGTTAGAAGTTTAAGTAATACTGACCCCCCAACTAGATGGTCTAAGTCTCAGACAATGACATTTAAAAGGACATTTGGTTAGAAATAAAATCTGGAATCCACAGATAATGGCAGATGGTACCTTGGACTTAAAAGATACCATTTCAGTCTATATGTTTCTAGAAAAGAGTAATACAGGCACACACTAAAGCTGGGATGGCTAGAAAGAGGCTCTAAAAATGAGACTAGCTGGGGATAATTAGGAGTTAACATATGACACAAAGGGTTGACTTTGACCGTGAAAATCTTTCTGCACCAGCATATTCTATCCAAGTTAGACCAGGGGAATTCCCTGAAGAAATGGATTCAGTATGTTATCTCAAGCTAGTTATCCATATATAATGTGGGTAGGTTCTATTATGCGCTTAAAGTAGTTTTTCAGCAGAAACTGAGACAGAGATGGGATTATGAGTGTGTATATAATGAGGCTACAATGAGCTACCAAGCTGATAAAATACAAACCTCTCTTTGAGCCCTCTCAAAGGAAGGCTATGCTTTCATGAAGGTATCAGACTAAAGAACAAAAACCTTTCCAGCCTCTGGACCCCAAAAAGAACACGAATATTGCTACTATTGAAAATACTAGCTGCAACAGGACAAGATCCTTTTGTAAAAGGGCAAGCTGTAGCTTTCTGCATAATTTAACTGCTGATCAGTCCTCCAAATAAATTTCCTGACAGGTAGAGGGCAGTATACTAATCAGCTTGTATTTGGAAAGGACAGAGGTTGCCTCTCTCTAACGTGATGACATCACTACCAAACGCAACAATGACACATCTAAAATAAAAGGGATCCATGTGCCATCTGGTGGCTGAAAGCAGTAAAGCACACTGCTAGAAATAAAATATCAAATTCCCACGGTTGAGAAGAAAATTAAAACTTAATTCCTTTACCTGATGATGCAGTCCCTTAAATCTCCAATAGTAAGTCTTCTGTGGAAACTACATCAGCAGCCTTCGCGCAATAGTTTTAAAGTTTTGCCCCAGTTTAGCTCTATACTCCTAAACACTGGCTGTAAGCAAGCAGCAGCTCCTGATGCCTGACCTTTGGTGCATAGAGTAAGAGAATGAAACTCAGACCAAAACAAACAAAATAACAAAAGGACCTGGAAGGCTGTCAGAAACAAAAGAAGAGTTTGACATGACAGATAACACCAAAGACAGCTTATTGCAAGGAAAAAAAGTAACAGAACCAGAAGTTTAAAACTGAAAGATACCTTTTAGGTTCATGTATCTCACTTTACAGATAGAGTCAAGGTAAGAAAGATAACCCCTGGTGCAATCTTATTAGTGGTCAGACTAAAACAACATATCACTTTTCCCCTACTAGACATTACCATAAATATTTTTTTATTTTTCGTGGAAGTATAAATTGCTACAATCTTATACCTAGCAACTTGGGCCCACAGATTTTATTTTTAAGAATTTACTGTGCAGAAATACAAGTTTGCAAAGACAATTAAAAATGGATGTTTCCTTCAGCATTGCTTGTAATAAAAAAATGGAAAACTTATTTGTATTATATGACAGAATACAACTATCAGAAATAATGACACAAATCTATATGTAAGGACATCGAGATGCTAAAACACGTTAAGCAAAATACAAAACAGTATATACTGTATAAGATCACACCAATTATATTAAAAAAGAAGTGTGTATACCTTCATGTTTCTGTAATTTTATTTTTAATTCCCTTGCCCCTTTTCCAGTAAAGTTTTATTCAAAAATTTACCTTTCTCACTTGAACTAAAGAAGAAAAGGATTTTCCCATTCCTTTATTAGAATAACATATGTATATAAAAAGTATGATTTAACCACAGTCACTCTGGGGGAGGACACCTTTTTACCCTGTATTTCCAGTGTATTCTACATATTTGTTAAAATGATGATAACAAATTAGTCCAGGAACTGGCTTTAGACAGGACCATGGTAACAGAGGAAGACAGAATTCTGCTAGGTAAAAGTAATGATGGAAGTCTTTAGAAGTTCCTTTTTCTGATTGCTTCAATTTTGTCAGTGAAGTAGAAAGAAAACATCCCCAACTGAGAATGAGGATGAGGGAGGTTTGGGCTGTTGAGGAGGAAAAAAAGGTGTGAAATAACCTTTAGGAGAGCAGGAAATTCAATGAATTTGTAATGCTTCAAATATGAGTGCCTGGCAGTATCAAGGGCCAAGCAACTTCACAAATTAAGCAGAGGAGAGTTGGGAGAAAGATCAGCCAGTGAGTTAGCAGGAAAAGTAAGTGTTTCCTGTCCTGAAAGCTAAGAGAAGAAAGTCTGTCAAAGGAGGGCCCAGTTTTGTGGTATTCTCCAGCCATGTTCAGTTGCACAGCTACAGGAGCAGGACAAAGACAGAAAAGGAATTAACCGGGATTGTGGTTTTGCCAATCGAGTATGAAATGAGAGAGATAATGGAAGAACAAAACCCAAGCGAATGATTATAATGATTAACCAAGAAATTTTAGCTCAGGGAAAGAGTGAAGTCATCAGAAAGTGAAGGACAGTGAAATGCTGGTAGGACAAATGGATTAGCGGGGCTGGAGGCCTGTTGGGGTCAGGATAGCAAAGGGAGTAAGGTAAAAAGATAGAACCTGGGTGGTATGACATGAGATCCTAGAACGGGGGAATGGTTGAGGTAGGATAGAGGACAAAATCAGTAGAAGAATTCAAGGAACTGAAAGGCCAGAATATTGGTAGGATCATGACCTTTTCGTATAAAAATTCCTAAGAATTAAGTCAGAGGTAGTATTGGAGTATAGAAGAGTGGATATGAGTCAAGAGCTAAATTGTTTGAGAAATGAGGAGTAACACGGGTGTCAGTAGATGACAACATGAAGAGAAAATGGGTGACATAACGATGTCATAAGATTTGAAATTGTTGGTTTTTAGGAATTGTTTCCTTTTAGTAAAGAGGCAAAATGATCTGAGAGTGGCAATGAATAACAAAGATTACATCTACCCCATCTCCAAGCCCACTGGGGTGAGGTCTATGAGAACAAAGAAAAACAATCACATGGGCTGGGCCTAGTGGCTCATGCCTGTAATCCCAGCACTTTGGGAGGCCAAGATGGGTGGATCACCTGAGGTGAGGAGTTCGAGAGCAGCCTGGCCAACATGGTGAAACCCTGTCTCTACTAAAAATACAAAAATTAGCCAGGTGTGGTGGTGCACACCTGTAATCCCAGCTACTCGGGAGGCTGAGGCAGGAGAATTGCTTGTGACCAGGAGGCAGAGGCTACAGTGAACTGAGAGCTTGCCACTGCACTCCAGTCTGGGCAACAGAGCAAGACTCCATCTCAAAAACAAAACAAAACAAAACAAAACAAAACAAAACCACATAAGCAAGCAAAAGGGAAAGTGGTATTGAGAGAAAACCAGGTTTCCAGTAGAGCAAAGTGAAAAAGGTTTTGCCAGTAATGGACCATGAATTCCAGAGGGTACAGTGGACCAGTTTCAGGAGCTTAGGTGGGATGGGAGGAGACAGAATAGGAACCACACAGAACCTTATCGCAATTAAACTATGGGAGATGAAGGATGACCCAGGAGTCTGGGGCTGCCTGTGGTAAGTGACATAAACCAAGATAAATGGCATAATATTAGATCCAGTGGATTAAAAGAAAATGGTGATGGAAAGGTTGGGGTGTAGAGGGGTATATGAGGGGGCAGTTTAGGTTCCTTTTTTATATCACTAGTGACAGTGAGATGACAACCTGGAGGAGGTATGGTACTTTTTCCATGTGAAGAAGTTCTGGAAACCCCAGATAATAGGGATAGATTTATATTTTTAAATCACAAGGGACTATTATCTTGATATTATAGAACTTCCCAATTTCTTTGTGCTAGTAGTCTGACCCTACTCAAAACCCAAGAGAAGCTAAGTAATTAAAAGGTAAGACTCCCAACAAGTGTTCACTTGACTAGTACCTCTAGTCCTAATCTTACCGATTTGAGTGGAATAAGAAACTGATGGAACAGACATCTTTCTGCTAAGAGACTCACTGAACAAGGTAGAGCAGGCTGAGCTCTCACAAAACCTTGCTGCTAAAGGTTAAAGCTGCAGAAGCTACAAAAATTCACTAATAAAGATGCAACTGGGTGAGTGCCACCTAGTGGACAGAAGAGATATCACAGGGAAAAAGAAAAAGACCCTCAGATTCTTTTTGGGAAAGGGGCTCCTGCTGAAGCCTGAAGCAAGAAAATTATGTCAGGGCAGCAGACAGGTAAACCTATCTGTTACGGCTAACAGTTCTGACTTCTGGAACAACAGTACTGGACCCACACAGTCAAATGCTAACTAGAATACTGTTATTTTTTAATAAAATTCTCAATTCTTAGTGAAGGTCTTTTTAGCCAGAGTTTTTTCTAAATTACTGCCATTAAATATTTGGAGAACTGTTCTGATGCTCACAGTTCACATAACACACCTCTTACTTTAACAAGTCTAATGTTCCATATTGTTTCTGGAAGGAAGGAATAAACCTAAAAATAAAAGTCACTGTACTATTTATTTAAGACATGAGTTATCACTCACCATGCTATGGTTCAAGAGGTGGTAGTGTAATGATCACATAATCAACAAAAGACAGCGAAGAGAAGAAATGGAAAATGAAAAACTAGTTTATCTTGTACATACAAATAATGAGCTGCCTAAGGCTACTACAGCAATGAAAATGCTCCCTTGGAGAAAATGAAACAAAAAAAAAAAAAAAGAAATTTAACTATTGGACCTATTTCCAAGAAATTCAAAAAGAGTCAACAAAGACTCCTTGCTGATCACTATAAGGAAAGTGAGAATGTGAAAAAGGACCAGAAGTTTTATGGCACTGCCTATCAAAAGTAAATTCAAAATATTCTCTGGCAGGGAATAAGTTAACTGAGTAAGTAAATACCTCATTTATGGGAAACAAAGCCTTCAGAAACAAGACACTAATCCTTAAAAGAGAAATAATGTGTAAAAGAATCTGGAGTATAATATTCTAGGACCAGTTCCTGTCTCTCAGCTCTTCTCTTGTAAAAAGGCACACATATTCTGCTTCAGAATATGTGTAACAGGAGACTTTTCACTACAGGAGGCAAATGTGCAGAGTGAGGCAGGTGCTTTCTTCAATGCCCATTCTTGGAGGGGCCAGTAGGTATACCGAAGGTTTTAGGTATCAATAAAACATAAGGGGGATACAGGCATGCTTAACAAATAGCAGAGTTGTGTTTAGCAAGCAAGAGAGGAAATAATGCAATATGATGAAAACCCAGTGTCCAAATAACTTCTTCATCAATACTGGCAACCACCTGGACTGAAATCACCTAAGCAGTGCTTCTACTAGATAAACATGTCTTATTTCTTCAACTGGATTAGTTTTGCTAGAGTTGAATACAGTCAGAATATGCCTTCTCTTTTATAACCCTAAATATCTAGTATCTCACTTACTTTTTTTAATCTATTATTGTTCCCTTTTTTCTACTCAGTCACTGCCAATTCAAGGACATTTGCGTCTGAATGAATGAAGTGGTTCCTGAAGGCGGCATATCCCCTTTCTTGCAGCTTTTGTCTGGATCTAAGCTTTCAGAGGCTCTTAGGGCAAGTACATACACACTTCCTAAGAAGTAGAAGGCTAGAGCAAGGACTTTGGAGTCACTGTTTGGAGTCTGAATTCTGACACTTTTTATACAGTTTGGAAAAAGTTATCTAATCTATGTCACTACTTCATCTGGAAGATGAAATATTTACAAGGTTGATAATGAGTAGTTATCTATCATTTAATTATATCATCAATATCAAGACTATGAATGAGAGACTTGGTAACTGACACTGGCTTCAGCATTCAAACTGAACTGGTTCAATATTCAATTCAGTATTCAAGAATTACTTTTAAAAAGTAGTAAGGATGGCCGGGCACAGTGGCTCATGCCTGTAATCCCAGCACTTTGGGAGGCCAAGGTGGGCAGATCACCTGAGGTCAGGAGTTCAAGACCAGCCTGCCCAACATGGTAAAACTCCATCTCTACAAAAATACAAAAATTAGCTGGACATGATGGTGGGTGCCTGTAATCCCAGCTACTCAGGAGGCTGAGGCAGGAGAATCCCTTGAACCCGGGAGGCGAAGGCTGCAGTGAGCACGATCGCGCCAGTGCACTCCAGCCTGGGCGACAGAGCAACACTCTGTCTCAAAAATAAAAATAAAAATAAAAAAAATAAAAGTAGTTAAGGATGAAGATCTTTTTCTGAAATATAAATACTAGAGATGTTTAAAGCACTGAAGTAAAGTATACTTGCTGTCATACTGAGGAGATCTGGGTCTTCTGAGTGCTTGCAATTTTTGAGAGCTTGAAATTCCTTATCTGACAAAAACCTAAACTCTAAATAAGAAGCACAAAGATCTTTTACTAAAGTTTTCTTTTTATTGGCCTTTTGTGACTAAGGGGGCCACTTTGGTATTTTAAAAAATACTACCATATCCCAATTCATAATGAGAATATAATGCCAAGGAAGACCACTAAACTGTATAAAACCCAACTAGAATTAATAGGAATACAAATGCACCAAATAAAAAGATGGGGATGGGGGTGGGGGGAGAAAAGGGGCCCAGTCAGTATTCATTTGCAATGGCACTAAAAGTGCAGAGCCCAGACTCAAGAAAGAAACTTATGCCAGAGGCCAACATAGGGATTCTGTGAACTTACAAATTAGAAAATCATTTAATTTTGACTTTGTCAACTAGTCTTTATTGATAGACTAATACAGTATATGTGGTTACCATCCCAGTATTTTAATTAAGAGAGTGGAATTAATCCCTTAGGCTGGACTTTGGCATGGAAGGTGACAATTTTCTTAGAGGAAAAGGCCATTTTGACCTGAATGACAGGGCAACAAGACAGATCTGAGCATTATGGTCTTATACTCCTAGATACACACACACACATATGTAACTAGGGGCCACCAAGGCACCTCACAATCTGTTAGACTCCTTATTAGAACAAAGTGCAGCCTGTTTCCATCAGATCACTTAAGGAAAAAAAAAGGAATTGCCTTTAAAAATACTAATTGACTAGGGGGAGGTGGGGAAAATAAATGCTCCAAAGTTGCACTTAATTTTCATCACTAGGGTCATAGTAAGCCTCTAAACAAACAAAAATGCTGGAAGAAGATAAAAATATGAAATTATTGGGCTATAATTGTCATTATACATGACACAATCTTTCAAATACTATCTCAGGGGAAGTAACTATAAGTACCCTATCACAAGGTAGCACAAAACCACAAGAATTAGGAAGTCAAGAAAGAAGAGGGCAAAGTAGATCAGCTCTTGTAAAATAAAAGGAACCATATGAAGGCTAAAAAAGAAAATCAAGAATTTATATAGAAAAAATGGACCAGAAGTCAAGACTCCTGGTTCTGATCACATAACCTTGGGAAAGCTACCTAACTGTTCAGAGTCTATATATGCTACAGAATGGAGATGATACACATCCTGCCTGTCTCATAAGGCTTCTCTGCATATCAAATAGGGTCATATATGTTAAGGCACTATGAAAATTGTAAAACAGCACAAATGTAAGGTAATAGTATTATTGCTTACGTTGTCCCTCACCTTCTAAAGAGATTAAGTATGTGGTAGTTTAACGGGAAGCAAACTTTCCTCCCTATTAGTTAATGCCAAAGCTATTGGTCATTTTGAACTCCAGGGGAGGAAACAAAAACAAAAAACACCTAGCAAAGACAAGTCAACCCTCAATCTCTGGTCTCAGTTTTCTAATGAGAAATTCCTTTATATCTATTTCATCTTTTTCTCTAATATTCAAGAGACCAAACTAAAAGGCTCTTTTGTATTCTTACCTTTGGAAGCTTCAGGAGCAAAGTGCCAGGAGGGAGAAGGCATCCAATATTGGAAAGAAATGGAAGGAAGAAAAGGAATCACATATGGTTCTTGTTACTGTAGACAGTCACTCAGTCACCCAAACTGTTAAAGACTCTTTCCAACCCTTATTAATTATGTACTTAGAACTGGAAACTGCACCTTAAGGCAGTGCCAGAATCTGTTCAAAAGTATCAAAATGGGCCCAAATCAAGCTCTGTCACTTTAATCTCATATCCCTAACAAGTTATACTGATACAAAATACCTACATACAACAGTTCTCTTTCCCAAACCAAGTAACTCCATAATATTTAATACAAAAACATCTTTTCTTTCTTTTGAATGGGAAAATCCATCAGTCTTCCATCCAACATACCCTTTCTATCTTCACCCAGGGAAGGGAAGGGAATAGGAAACCTAATGAAAAAATATTCTAAGCCCTACACTGGACCTTTGCATCAAAGAGGAAGGTACTCACTCTTGGTCTGGGCAGAGAAGGTAAGGGTAAGTTTGGCGAAAAGTTCATTGTTCTCAAAGCGGTCCTCCTTCACCTTTGTCCAGAAGCAGTCCTGGGAGAGGTCCTCAGCCACAAGCTGTGGATAAAGGCAGGGTGTTAAGAATTAGTAAACTGAGCCCTGTACTTTCCGTCCTAGAAAACGGATGAGGCTGTAAAATAGGTGGCTGGCTGATTATCAGCAATGTCTTACTAGAATAAGACTAACTTGAGGCACAGAATAGCTGCAGTGGGATTAGGAGAGAATACTTCCAGTTCATCTGTTAATTGGTGATTATTCAAGAACTAGATTCATATATATACTACGTATCCTCCTCCTAACTCCAAATCCTCTAGCTTCATAACCATTAAGGCTTTATTTCAGAGAAGTCTTGCTCATCATTAAATTTCTCCCACCAGTTTGGCTAACTGTGCCAAATTTGCTCATTTTATGAGCAAATCCCTAAGGTCCTTTATATTAACTTGGTTTCTAGAAGAAAAAGGCTAACTCACTCAGAATCACAGGCATCTCAAACACATCATGGGAACAATACTGTGCATGCAAATATGGCCTATGTAGGCCAGGTGTGGTGGCTCACGTCTGTAATCCCAGCACTCTGGGAGGCCAAGGTGGGCGGATCACAAGGTCAGGAGTTCGAGAGCAGCCAGACCAACATGGTGAAACCCCATCTCTACTAAAAATACAAAAATTAGCCAGGCATGGTGGCACACGCCTGTAATCCTAGCTACTCAGGAGGCTGAGGTTGCAGTGAGCAGAGATTATGCCACTGCACTCCAGCCTGGGCAACAGAGCAAGACTCCAACTCAAAAAAAAAAAAAAAAATGGCCTGTGTAACTCACATCCTGCGGAATTGGGATAGGAGAGTGGATTCATAAATCCATGACTTTGGGATCAGCACAATTATCAGTAGTTTGCAGACTGGTGAATGACTATTATCAAACTGTGTGTTACCATGGTATTCACAGCCTCAGAGAAAAGGCAAAAAACATTAAGTTAAGATTAAATTCAGAATACAGGGTTCACAGAACTCTCCGTGGTGATGTATGGAATAAAGAAGATGCCTAATATCTCCTGAATAAACATAAGCATGAGTGAAGCTTAAAGATAGAAAGATGAAAGCCTTAAGGCGTAGCCCATCCATGCACAAAATACAAAGTAGAAAACTGAAACTGTTTCTTAAGATTGACTGGTGGGCCGGGCGCGGTGGCTCACGCCTGTAATCCCAGCACTTTGGGAGGCCGAGACGGGCGGATCACGAGGTCAGGAGATCGAGACCATCCTGGCTAACACGGTGAAATCCCGTCTCTACTAAAAATACAAAAATTAGCCGGGCGTGGTGGCGCGCGCCTATAGTCCCAGCTACACGGGAGGCTGAGGCAGGAGAATGGCGTGAACCCGGGAGGCGGAGCTTGCAGTGAGCCGAGATCGCACCACTGCACTCCAGCCTGGGCGACAGAGCGAAACTCCGTCTCAAAAAAAAAAAAAAAAAAAAAAGATTGACTGGTGAAGAAATAGACAGAAACTCTTACCTTGGACCAGTTTGGCCTCCGGAGCTGCACCTCTGGCTTATAAAGCTTTTTGGGGGTTAATCCAAATGGCAGAACTGGGGCTGCAGGAACTCCAAATCCAAATGGGGGAGGTGGAGGCATACCCATTCCGGGTGGAGGTGGAGGAATGCCAGGGCCTCCGGGAAATGGAGGAGGTGGAGGGATTCCAGGACCACCAGGAAGAGGGGGAGGAGGAGGTGGCATTCCTGCTTCTCCAGGCAAGGGAGGAGGTGGGGGGGGAATTCCAGCACTCCCAGGCAAAGGAGGTGGTGGTGGGGGGATTCTAGCACTCCCAGGCAAAGGAGGAGGTGGGGGGATGGCAGTACCTCCAGGCAAAGAAGAGGGTGAAGGGATGCCAACACCCTCAGGCAAAGGAGGGGGTGGAGGGATGGTAGCATCCCCAGACAAAGGAGGGGGTGGAGAGATAGCAGTACCTCCAGGTAAAGAAGGGGGTGAGGAGATGCAAACACCCCCAGGCAAAGGAGGTGGAGGAGGAGGAGGAGGAGGAGGAGGAGGAGGAGTGGTACTATCCCCAGGAGCAGGTGGTGGTGGAATAATAGTGCCAGAGTCACCAGGTAAAGGAGGGGCAGGGGGAACAGGAGCACGACTAGGAACAGAAGGAGGTACAGTAATAGCTGCCGCAGAGAGGGAAGCCATTTCTTTCTTGGCATCTTCCAGTTCCTTTGTCAGCTTGGCAACCTACAGAAATAACATCAATGTGAGTACTTCTCACCCCACTTCAGGGACTACTGGGACTGGAAGGAACCTAATAAACTACTTAATCCAAACTTCTCATGTTACAAATGGAGGAACTGAGAGGAGTCAGAGAGATGACATGATCACCTAAAGTCACACGGCTTGGCAGCAGAGCCAAAACTAGAATTCAGGTTTTCATGTTCTTAGTTCAGCATGCTTTGTATTAAGAAGACAATTTCAACCTTTATGTTAAACCCTCCCTTGATTAGAAAATGTAAAGGTCAAGTAAATTAAATGTTCTAGTTATATAACTAATATATGTGCTACACAGATGATTATATAACCACATAAGTAATCAAGTTATCAGACATCAAAGATCATTTAAGTATTTACTACTGCAGAGAGAGTGTGTAAGGATAAATCTGTGCAGAGGTGACTAAAATAACAGGAAATTAGTCAATTTTTAACAGTTTAGTTTTTATTCCTAATTTATTAGGAGACTTATTACTTTTATTTCTGGGTGGTAATGAAACTTACTTTATTCTTAATGTTTTTCTGTATTTTCCAGATTTTCTGTCTTATGTATTACTTACCCCCAACACAAACCAAAAACCAGTATATTATTTTTAAAATATGCACCATGTAACTAGATTACCTATTAGTAGCTGAACCCTCCCTAGGAGCGAGATGACTGACTCCTGTTCCAAGCCATGTGCATCCTGAGGTTACAGGTCATTCTGCCTTCCCTGCTCAGGCATTACCTCTCCTGTGAGCTGGGACACCTCTGCTTCCAGGTCCTGTTTCTCTGTGGCAATTTGCTGCTTTTCAGAATGCAGTGCATCTTTTTCTCCCTGAAGATCTTGAAGCTTCTGCTCAAAGTCACTTTCCATCTTTTTCATTTCCACCTGTAGCTCATGTCGGGCTGTTAACTCTGAGTCCAACTAGAGAAAAAACGAATCAGGCTCCCAGCAAGCTCTCCATCTCAGTAAGAAGCACAAGTATTATTACCCATAATTCTCCCTACCTCCTCTTTTGCCTGGGGGTGCTGGAATCCCCCCACTGCCTCCTGTTCTGGGCCAGTACTTGATTTACAGAGCTCATAAATCCAGGCCATGCTCGGGGGAAAAAAGCACCATGATTCTGACCTTAAAATCAAGGTTTGGCTGGGCGGAGTGGCTCACACCTGTAATCCCAGCACTTCGGGAGGCCGAGGCAGGTGGATCACCTGAGGTCAGAAGTTCGAGACCAACCTGTCCAACATGGTGAACCCTAGCCTCTACCAAAAATACAAAAATTAGCCGGGCATGGTGGTGGGCACCTGTAATCCCAGCTACTTGGGAGGCTGAGGCAGGAGAACTGCTTGAACCCAGGAGACAGAGGTTGCAGTGAGCCGAGATCGCGCCACTGCACTCCAGCCTGGATGACAGAGTGAGACTCCGTCTCAAAAAAAAAACAAATAAAAATAAAAATGAAAATAAAACAAGGTTAAAGGAGAGGGGAATCAGTTCATTTCCACAGATTCCCTATTTTTATAGTTAAAAAAAATAAGATTTTAAAGGTATTTAACGAGGACGACCATGGTAGTACAATCCCAATATTCTCTAGGATCAAAAACCTATTAACCACAATAAACGTTCTTAAAAACTGAAGAGAAAAAGAGAACTCAGACATCCTCTAGTTCTATTGCTCTAAGGACCCCAGTTCCTATTGTTCTAGGGGTAAGAGGCCTAAAATGCCAAGCAAACCTGAGAGTGCCATTACTATTACATGAGTATCATCTGTCTTTCTTTTCCTGCCCAGTAGCCCAAGAACTGAAAGTCCACCACTAGAGCTCCCTATGAAGACATCCATATCACTTTCTCCAATGACTACCCTATACTGGAAAGGTTTCCCCTGGGAACTACACTATTGGGTGCTAAACGCTTCCAAAATACCACAGAGGAAAACTGTCTCATAGATCAGGAAAATAATAATTCTCAAAGAAAGATATACTCAAACACATGTCTTTGGTCTCTCATATGCACCTTCTTTTCCAGCTCTGCAGCTTTGGCTTCAGATTTCTCCACCTTTGTCTTATCAATCATTTGATCTGAAAAGAAGAAGAGTCAGTAAGTAAAGCTCCTAATTCTCTTGTTCTATTTCTTTCACACTACACCCTTCCAAAGAACAGTCTTTTTGATCATTTTTATTATCTTTCTTAATGTTCTGCACTAGACAAAGAAATGGAACTTTCAGTTAAGTTCAACATGTAATCTGAGTGTGCGGTAAGGCCACCATGCTGGGTGGCAAGAAGAATGCCTATGAGTGATATTTTTGACTCTCTGAGACCACCAGGAGTTCCTGCAAAAGGTGCTGGTGTGTGTTTTATCTAAAAATAAACTAAAGACCTATAGATTCCTAGCAAAGATGCTGGTTATGACCTAAGAAAGGACAAAAATAGAACTATCTGGGGACTGGAAAGGTATCTTCTCTGACATTTTCACTGAAACAAGATGCAAAATGAAAGGAAGAAGCAATACTTGGAGGAGCCAGATAGAAGAGTATGCTTACCAATTAATCCCTCAATCTCAATCTGGAGGTGCCGGCACTTGAAGTCAGGATCAGCCCCGTTCTTGTGCAGAACTATCTGGGAAATACATTCTTCAATCAACTTATAGTACTGAGGTCTACAAGAGAATAAAAACAGGGTCATCAAAGGAAAATCAAAATATAATTTTCAGAAGTATTCAGGACCAAGAAAACGTAATTGCTCTGACAACTGAGAGACCTGGAAAAACTTTTGTAAAGTTAACACAAGTATTGCTGCCATGCTAAGAAAACTCCTTTTTCCACATCAGCTACCCTACCCTATCTACTTCAAATAATCAAAACTTCTTGCCATCCGCTCCTAGTGCCAATACTTTCCCATCTAAAAATTTGCGTTTGATCCTTCCTGTGATGGATAGTGCTATTGCTAAATCTATACTTCCAGGAAACTAGAAAGAATTTTAAATTGCCACTTCTGTTTGCTAACATCTTCATCCTATTTACCTACTCCCCTCCAAAAACAGAACGGCATTTCACCTTATACACTCTGACCTCTGCCATAGGGATGCCTTTGAGTTGGATTAAAGAAATAAGACAACTTCCTTTATATCGGTGACTAATGAACCCTAATCTTGGGTCTTTGTCTTTACATTTTCCTTTTACAGAACAATCTTTGAATTTAAGGAATTCACTCTCTCCACTTAGGCTCAAATTCAAAACTTCTCATAAGCACAGCATCTTACCTGGCCTCATAGTCATTTCGGACCAAGAGTAAGTGCTGCAGGATGGAAAGGAAGTGTGGCTCTGCCTTTGAATCCTTCACTGTGTTTAAGAGAATCTGAAAGACTTCATTAAAGTCAGTGGAAAAGGGAAATAGGCTAAGGAAAGCAAATATGCAGAAATTATGTTTGACAGGTGGCTTATTTAACTCTTGAAAAAGCTAGGGAAAAGTAGCAAGACACCACTTCCATTCTACTGGCTGTTCTTCCTGTAAACATCACCAGAAACTTTAAGCTTTCTAAAACGTCCTTTAAGGGACCAGTGAATTGGGTGGTACTATACACACAGAGGATTCCTAGTAAGTACTTGGCTTGAAGATCAGGCAGTAGACAGAAAATAAGAGGTAACTGCCTCAAAGTCACTTACTGAAAATATTAACAGGTAACTAAATTACTCCCTCTGTCAGTCCAAACATCTCTAAAAGCCAGTTCTACATCTTAGTAAGCTAAGCTATCACATTCTAGGAAGTTTACACTGATTTTGATGGCTTCCATGCTCAACAACCCTCAGATCACCTTTACTGACTTCCCTGATCTATGATAAGCTAAGTAAAGCCAGCGCAATAAAAATACACCTGCCTTATTTAATGAGAAGACACATAAGCCTGATGCTCTGTTCTGAGTCATCATCTCCCAAACCATTCCACACAGGGATCAGGGAACTAAATACAATGAATGTCTCATCTGCCTTGAACCTAGTCAGCAAAAGGATATTCCATCTCCATGCGAATGTCATCCAGCCGTCCCTTCAGGTCATAGGAATCCTCTTCCCCTTGTTCATCAAACACATTTAGTTGCACTCTCATATCTTCATTTTCAATCTCTCGAAGGTCCTGTCAACAACAAAAGTAGAAGTCAGGGAACCCAAAAGTATCCTCTGTGGTTAGAAACCTAAGCTTTTCAACCTGGTTTTTAATTGAAAACCAGAATTATCCCCGGGATTATTGGGGCTGTAGAGCAAGAAGGAACCAGTCTAGCCTTTCTAATGAAGTGTAATATCTTACCTGCAACACCTGATGTAGCCCCAAACGCATCAGTTCACTTCTGATGTGAACTCGGAAGTCAAGTTCCTCCGCTGGTGTGATGAGAGCATTGATCAGCTGTAGGCATCCAACCTAAAATAAGAAAATTCAGCAGCTATGTCAATGCTAACTCCTGGAGATCAAGAATCCATTTTCTTTACATGCATTCTTAGGTCCCCAATACAACCTGAAAGATACAATACAAAAACTCTAAAGATGACTTTTCTACTATAGCAATGAGACCTGGTTTGAGTACAGATCCGGAGAGCCTAAACTCTAAATGGTTTCAAGGATTTGAGAGTATATGTTATTGTAGGTCTTGGTTTTCCTAGATTGTAAATAGATATCATGCCTTTTTCCATCTCATAATGAGGAAAACAGTTCATTCTTTACCTTCTTAGAAAGAAGGTTAATCATTTTCCCTTCATAACAGATTCTGAAATGTAAAATATATAGTTGGGAGGCACTCCATGTATTTTATTAAAAGGTCAAATGAATTTAAGTCTGTCCATCTTGAATTCTATTCTTGGGCCCAGTTTCAGGGGATATACATGCCTTCAGTGCAATAGTGGTTCCACTTTTTAATCCATCCAGCAGCGGCTGGAAACGTTCCACTTCATCCATCTCAGCTCTTTCTGTCATTGCCTCCAAAACCCTTTCATTCCTGCCCAAGAGAAAGGAAACGGAGAGAACTTTCCAGGTACTGTGACACGGACACGTATAATGAGTAAATTACACAGGGGCACAGACCGATTAGGAAACAGGACATTATCAGTGTTCCGGATTTCTCACATTATTATTCTCACCACTCAGTTTCCAGAAACTGCTGAAAGCTAAGGACCATCTCTTCAGGGAAATGCATTCCCTACAATCCATCCCTAGGCTCCTGTCCATAAATACCAAATCAAGTCCCCTATTCAATGAAGTATAAATTGATACAACTTTTGGAGGGGCATTTAACAGTACTAATCAATTTCTCATGCATGTAACATATAGTCTACTTCTAGAAATGTATCCAACATATGGGCATAAATGTGAAAGAAGATATGCACAAGGATGTTCACTGCAGTATCATTTGTAAAAATGATCACCTAGAACAGATAGTGAAATCTGCTTTAAAAAATATCTGTAAGTTGGCTGGGCGCAGTGGCTCACGCTTGTAATCCTAGCACTTTGGGAGGCCGAGGCGGGCGGATCACAAGGTCAGGAGTTCGAGACCAGCCTGGCCAATAGGGAGAAACCCCATCTCTACTAAAAATACAAAAATTAGCCAGGCGTGGTGGCGGACTCCTGTAGTCCCAGCTACTCGGGAGGCTGAGGAAGGAGAATCGCTTGAACCTGGGAGGAGGAGTTTGCAGTGGGCCGAGATCGCGCCACTGCACTCCAGCCTGGGGAACAGAGCGAGCCTCCGTCTCAAAAAAAAAAAAGGAAAAAAAAAAAATCTGTAAGTCCAGCAACAGGGGAATTGTTAAATAAATTATAGGCCATACATACATGTATATGGAATACTAAATAGCTACTAAAGATAATAAGGTAGATCTGTAAGTACCGACATAGAAGAAATGTCCAAGATCTACTATTAAAAAGAAACAGGTTGAAAAGAATGATTTAGCTTTGGTTAAACCAAATCCCTCTTCAATAATAAAAATCTATCCTATATATGCAGTTAGTTTTATAGGCATAAGTGTCATTCCTCAGCTCTTAAGATACTATCTTTTGCGGTGGCAGATGTCTAGAATCAAGGGAACGCAATATGTTTGTCTATGCTTAGGAAACGTTCTATGAGACTATACCATGCCATTAACAGTCATTCTCTTTGCAGAATAGGATTTGGCAAAGGGATGAGGCAGTTAAATTTTACTTTATATACTTCTATATCGTTTGAGTTTTAAAAATAACATTGTGCCACTTCTGAATTAAAAAAAAAAAGAATAGTAAAAAGAAACCCTCATCCTAGACAATACAGATATTAATGGAGATATAGGAGACATTTTGCTATACCTCTGATGACCAGTGGAACATTCAGGATAGCACCCATCACTTAGGAATTGTTCTTAAATTTTAAGATGCTTAGTGTTCACTTCTGGGAAGAAACACAATCTTACCTAGTATTTATGACCGAGAGGACACCCAACCAACTCAATTGTCCTCTGAACTAAGAGAAAATGATAAAATTGAAAATGGAGAAGAAAAATTATTCCAGTCACATACATGTCCTCTGGCTGCGGTAGAATACAAAGAGCAGAAAGCAGCTTAGCTGCATCAATCATCATGTTGGGAACAGCAGGATCCATGGCTCTGACCAGCAGTAGGATTCCTTCTTCTGTCTCCAACATGGTCTTGATTCCAAACTGGTAGGACCAAGAACAAAGAAAGGAGGCTGAAAGACGAAAGCATCTAACTGGGGGACAAGTTTACGGGTTGTTATGGGTTGAATGGTGTCCTCTTAAATTCCAGTGTTGAAGTCCCAACCCCCAGTACCTCAAAATGTAACCTCATCTGGAAATATACTCATTGCAAATATAATTAGTCAAGCTACAATGAAGTCCTGCTGGGGTAGAAAGGGTCCTTAATCCAATATGACCAGTGTCCTTATAAAAAGAGGAAATTTGGATATGGATACATACAGAGGGAGAACACCATGTGATCACATAGGCAGAGATCAGGATGATGCATCTACAAGATAAGGAGTGCCAAGGATTGCCAACAAGCTACCAGAAACTAGGAGGGATATGGAACATATTACCATATACAGCTTCAGAAAGAACCAACCGTGCTGGTACCTTGGATTTTGAAATTCTAGCCTCTAGAATTGTGAGATAATAAATTTCTGTTAAGATATCTAATTTTGTGGTACACTAGCAAATTAATACAGGGGTAGAATACTTTTCCCAATATAATTAGAGATGAACATACCAAAATAATTTTCTAGGAGGCACAACAGAATTAGATGTCTTCCAAGAATAAAAGTCTTTGATTTATATGTTTCTTGTTAATTCTCTCCCCGCAATCCAATGGAATAAGTTAATTATAACAAAATTAAACAATGAGGAAGAGAGATTTGTCCTCAGAGGCACAGGACTGTGGGCTCACTAGGTTGAATTACTAAACAGACAAAAAGAAGATAAAAATGGAGCAACAGTCTAGAAGAAAAAAGAAACAGGAAATAAAGCAAATATTGCAGAGACAATAACTACAGGTCAGGAAATTCAAGAATTAGCAAAAGAAAGTAAAGAAACAGGCCGGGCGCTGTGGCTCATGCCTGTAATCCCAGCACTTTGGGAGGCCAAGGCGGGTGGATCACAAGGTCAGGAGATCGAGACCGTCCTGGCTAACATGGTAAAACCCCGTCTCTACTAAAAATAAAAATTAAAAAAAATACCCGGGCGTGGTGGCGGGTGCCTGTAGTCCCAGCTACTCGGGAGGCTGAGGCAGGAGAATGGCATGAATCCAGGATGTGGAGCTTGCAGTGAGCCGAGATCGAGCCACAGCACTCCAGCCTGGGCAACAGAGCGAGACTCCATCTCAAAAAAAAAAAAAAAAAAAAAAAAAAAAGAGAGAGAAACAAAATTGAGCCTGTCCTCTGAAACAGAAGTTAGAACTGAGAAAAAAATATCCACAGAAGCATGTATATGTGGCAATGAAAAACAGTTATGATACTAAAAGAGAAAGCTAGAAGTCCTGAACCTCATATTCCTAGTTCCTCTTTTGGTTTGCCAATAGAAGAGAAAGAACAGGCGTCCAGATGGGGTTTGGAATGAGAATGGGAAAAATCTCACCTTGTTGTTCATAAAAGCTTTCAAGCAGCGAATGATCTCATGCTTGTTCCGGCTATCGTAACTCCTGTATATAGAAGACATAATCAGTGAGGTCCCTTTATTCTCTACCCCTTTCCCATTTTTAATCTTGCAAACAAGGTTCTTAGGAACAACAGCCCCATCTAGCAGATGAGTAAATTTTAGGAAATAGCACCTTGCCCAGAACCACTGAAGAAAATAGATAACTGAAGAGGGATCTTCACCATCAACAAATCTGGCTGATCCTCTTGTAATCCAAGAATTTAGTATTATATTAAAATCTTCTTTTTAACTCTCCCTAGGCTCCTAAATGCTAAATTCTATCAGGATAACATCCCATCTATTGCTGCTTGCCTTGCTACTAGAGGTTTCAAGTCTGAGAAGATATATGTAGGTCTTGGCCATGTTATTATTTTGTTTCAGAAAGATTCCAGGAAGTACTCTGCTTCAGGTTGGCTTCAAGGTAGCCTAAGAGAGTCCAAGGTATACCTAAAATTATTCCAACCTTGAAGACTGTCACAATACTAGTCCCAAGTATATTATAAGACTTCCAAATGGATATTACCCAGACCAGATTACACAGCAGCACTAAATCAGATTTTATTTCCAGATTGAAAAAGAACCAGTGCTGGGAGACTAATATTCTGTGGTATGTATTGAACTTATCCAACATGAAATTTAAGTTCCTCCTCCCTTTCCTGTATCTATAATCATCATTCATCCTCTAGCCACCACTATGATAAACCCCTTCTTGGCTAACAGTACATTCCCCTAGCCCACAACTTTACATTTAACTGCTACTTTCTCCTTCAGAGCAAATAGCCAAGTCCCCTGTGACTCTCCAACTTGAAGTTGCAAAGACTTGGAAGTCCTCACCCAGCAGTCTCTTCTTTCTCATCATGAAGTCGTTTAAGAATGTCCAATAAGGAGGCCAAGCCTTCAGCACCAAATGTTTGCACCCAACTGTAAGGAACAGAGAGAGGCAATGCAATATCAAACCAATAAATACTTATTTGCCAAACAAAGTTTATCCTGACAACTTACTACTCCCAATTCAGACTATTCTCATGCTTCCCTGGCTCCTTTGATCTTCAATCACCACCAGTGAAGTCCAACATTTGGCTCCTACTCCTGTTACCTCCTCAGAATCCTCACCTGACAGGGTTGTTGTTGAGAGACACACGAAGGGACTCCAGGCAGCTGAGCAGAGGCATATCCCGCAAGCCTGACCTCAACTCCTGAATATACATCATGGCAGACTTAGAGCTCTCCTTCTGGCTCATGCCCTAGACAGAAGGCATAGACAGAGATTAGTAATGGTGGACCCAGTCATAAATTAAGGACTAGTATTAGTCAATAGAGTTTATACTTTATTTTTATTTTTTATTTTTAGCAGAGACAAGGTCTTACTACGTTGCCCAGGCTGATTTCAAACTCCTGGGCTCAAGTGATCCTTCTGCCTCAGCCTCCCAAAGTGCTCAGATTACAGGAGTAAGCCACCATGTCAGGCCACGTTTATCAGGGCAGATACCCATCTCACATACCACCAACATAAATGAGACTTAGAACTGCCTATCCCATTCCCTATATTTACATACTTCATGAAAATTTAACCAGGCAAAATGTATGTAAGAACGGTAACTAAATAAGACAGTAAAAAGTGAACAGGCTTATATAATGGAATGAAACAGAATTGATGCAGACATAAAATGTTACATAAAATTGGCAAAAAAAAAACAGGTCCAAGACAAGGGCACAGTCTCCCATGTCATGGGTACCTGTCCCAGGACTCACAGCCTTGGAGGTGTACAAGTATTGGGACACCATCTCCCTCTTGATGATGATGTCCTTCTCCCTCAAAGGTTGCTGTTTCTCCTCATTCAGGTTCATATCCAGCTAGGAGAGGGAGAAAAAAGAGAAAAAACAAAATTGCCTCAAATTCTTTACAAATTTTTAGTGTTTAATATTAGTATGCTTAGTGAAGAGTTGAGCATGTAAAATGCTTAAGTAAATAAATCTTTTTGATCCCTAGAAATTTAAGCTATTACAGCTGATGAAAATTCCTCAAAGATAAGTATAGTTAACATTTTAGTATAAATCTCTATAGACATATACACACTTTTTTTCTCTAAGAAAAATGGACTCAATATAAATGAAAGATTTATTTTGTATTATTGAAAGAAAACCACACACAATGCTTTCTGCATCAAGGATGGACCTTAAAAATCTCTTCAGACTGAAGCACTGGATGAATGGCATAATCTAAACACAAGCAAAATCAACAGCAACAAACTCTGCACCAACTCTAGGGCCTACAAACCCATTACCCCTGGTTAACTCAGTCCCTGTACAAACTCCTTTCCCACGAAGAAAGAACTGGAAACTCTATGATAAAGCAGAGGCCCCCTGACAGACATAATCTGATGTATGTTTGGGGAAAGGCTCTGCTTGATCTTTCTACATATATAACAACCATGTGTCCAAGCCTAGTACCTTGGTGTGCACAAATTTAGCCCTAATAATTCCAGAATGTTATTTGAATTGAGAAAAATATGGATGGGGGGATGTATTCTGTTTCTTCTGCAAGCAGCAAAATTAATCTGAAGTTTCTGTGACTTAATTCCTGGTGGGTTTTTTTTTTTTGAGACGGAGTCTCACTCTGTCACCCAGGCTGGAGTGCAATGGCACAATCTTGGCTCACTGCAACCTCCACCTCCCAGATTCAAGTGATTCTCCTGCCTCAGCCTCCTGGCAGTAGCTGGGATTACAGGCGCCCGCCACCACACTCAGCTAATTTTTGTATTTTTAGTAGAGACGGGGTTTCACCATCTTGGCCAGGCTGGTCTTGAACTGCTGACCTCGTGATCCACCCACCTCGGCCTCCCAAAGTGCTGGGATTACAGGTGTGAGCCACCACTGCCAGCCAGATGCATTTTTCCTCTTGCAGATAAACTGAACACAGAAGTTACAAAATGGTGGCCCTCAAGCTAAGTCAAACCCAAAGATAAAATGTTTCACTTGGCTAGCTCAACATTTTAAATCTGGGGGACCTTACATAAAGATACAGATCTCTAGTAAAACAGCACCAAAGGATTCATCCATCGAATTTCATGTTGTGGGAAACTCTACAGGTCAAACAAACGGTTTTTTCAACAATTTTTTTTTAGTATCAATAGTAAGGATAAAAGAAAAAGAGGTGCAGTGGCTCATGCCCGTAATCCCAGCACTTTGGGAGGCTGAGGTGGGTGGATCACAAGGTCAGGGGTTCGAGACTAGCCTGGCCAACATGATGAAACCCTATCTCTACTCAAGCTACAAAAATTAGCCGGGCATGGTGGTGTCCACCTGTAATCCCAGCTACTCAGGAGGCTGAGGCAGGAGAACTGCTCGAACCCAGAAGACGGAGGTTGCAAGTCTTGCTCTGCTTGCGACAGAGCAATACTCCATCTCAAAAAAAAGAGGAAGGGAAACCTATAGTTTAAATGAAAATTGAGAATACCAGTACAGTGGACTATATTTGGAATTGTGATTTGAACAAACTGGTTTTTAAAAAAATGACCTAATTGGGGAAATTCAAATAGTGACTAGGATATTTTATGTTATTCAAGATTTATTATTTTTTTAAAATTACGGATTGCTGACTTCTTTTGAAAAATAGAAATATCTGGCACTACTAGGCAAGTATTCCCAACTGGAATGCAACCACCTACTAGAACTGAGTTGTGGCTGGCTTTTCTAACAAAAATGCCAAAAGCCTCTCTTCAATTTGCCACATTCCCCACTTCTTTTGCCATCTTCTATCTAGCCTGCTTACCTTATTTATACTACCTGCCTGGCCCAAGAGACATTTAAACTTGCAATCCAAGGCCAAGAGATTATCTTGACAGACCATACTCTTAAGACTCTTAATGCACTTGGAATATTAAGAGACAAACTGAAAGATTCAGTGAAAAATAACAACAGTAGTACCAGTTGAGTGCTTACTATGTACCAGGCCCTGTGCTAAGGATTTTAAACCTAAGCTTTTAATTAAGCTAGGCCTGCCACTAGTCTCTATTTGAATCTGAGATCACATATCTATGCAATATACAGGTCTTAGGAAATCTTGTACTCATCAAAACTTTCCAAGACTTACCACTAATGGACACTCACTGAATATCCTCCTTATTCGGTGTTCCTCACTGAGGACAACAAAGTAAGTCACATGCACATATACTTTGTTACTTAGCTGACTTCAGACACAATCTTTAAAGGTCTTCTAGCAATTCTATGTATTTTCTTTCCAGATTCACCACTATACAGGACCTTGAGCAAATGATATTCCATCCTCAGTTTCTCCTTTATACAGAGTTTGTTGTGAATACCTCCACACTTTATCTGCTCTGGCTTAACCCAAAGGTGGTCTCCATATTACCAACTCTGGTACACAGGGTTAGATGGTCCACTACGTCTTTGTGGCTAAAGTGTTGCTGGGCAGAAGACCATGAACAAGACAGTGATCGGATGTTTCCAAGCACAGATTCCAATTTTATGAACTGGTATTTGTATATTTAGTCCCTAATTATGGGATTAAAGGGTTAATATTAAAAAGTTCCATGTTAAGCCTGGAATTCTTTGTAATAAAGGGCTAGTTGGGAATTATGCACCAAAAAGAGCCCACCATGTCCATAAATGCACAGGAAGAAGCAACATTTTGGGAATGGGAAACTTACCAGCATCTGTTCAAAGAGAACCAGCACTTGTTCATCTGAAACATCTTGCAATGACTGTGCTGTGGGATCATCCCCATATGATGCAGAAGAATTTCTATGAGCAGAATTGGGCTTTTCCTTCTCCTTCTTAATTCTCATGCTGGTAAATCTCTCCAGCTGAGAAACAGAAAAAAGCATTAGCAGTGATCCATTTTCACTTACATAACAAGCCACACATCAAATTCTTTACCCCTTTAACCTCTTACACAGGCATGGTTCCTCTGGTTCACAAGCAGTTCAAGACTCTTCTGACATGAAAAGAAGAAATCAGTCTTCCTCCTATCTAACTTACCATACTGACTCTGTACTCTCATCTATGTTCAAAGATAAGAGGACCAAAGTATTAAGATTTCAAACCTCTTTAAACTAGAAGAAACATTGTTCTTGATCTCCCCTGCCATTTCTAAGCCTTGTAGTAGTACGGAACTGAAAGCCTCTCATGACAGAGTTCTATCAATAAAATGCCCTTTGTTTCCTTCTAGCTACCCAACAATAAATGTTGCTAGGACCCCAGAGGATGTCTCCCTTCAAGAGGTATTACTACAGATTTTAATAGATACAAGCCAAATAGGATAAATTTGTCCTTAAAGTCAGGATTCATTCCTTTCTCTTTAATTTGTACACTCCAAAGCACTTGTGTAATGTAGGCAGCAAAAGTTCAATATATATTCTTCAAAATCCCCTTTGCATGACATCTCGTCAGCAAAGAATACAATGTACCTCAGGGGTATATATGCCATCTCTCTGCCAAACAAATGCTAACAAGCCATTCCTCAAATCTCAAATACTGATGCTCAAATCAACAAGAGTCACCAATAAGCAACAGCTTATCAGCTCTCCTTGTTTGAAAATAACAGTAATTATCTGTAAGTATTATAGGGCTTCAAGTGATATGAGTGGCATTCAGACTGCAAGTCAGCTTTGAGTTTAAAGAGCATGCCTAACTTCGGAAGATAATGAAGGTCCACGGAAATGCATGCAATGGGCCAAACACAGCAAAGAGTTAGGAAAAAAGCCTTGAGATACTGAGTAGAAGCCATATCACCACTATAAGTTACAGAAAGTCAAAGTTATGAAAACTGGTAAATATGATAGTGTAGGCAATGAGCTAGAACATGCACATGCTAAACAAAATGTCCTTACCTCATCTGCCATGAGCCGCTTCAGAGTCTAGGAAACAGGAAAAAGGAGGGAGAAGAAAGAAGAGAAATCAGTGAAGTACAAGGAAACCTCCCAAACACCAGACGGGTTGGGGAAAAGAGGGAGAGAAGTTGAAAGGATCCAAGCTACTTTCTGCAAGCTAATGATTTCTGTCAAAGTATTCCTTAGCACATTCCCTCAAGTAAGGGGCAGGAAGAGTTTGAAGGTCACTAACATATGACTCTTAAAAAGGAAAAAAAAAAAAAAAAAGAAGATGATGCAGAACTGAACAGAATCCGAATCTGATGACCGATACACTTATAAGATATGCTCAACTTCATAGTAAATGAGGCAATGCAAATTAAAACCACAGTGAGATATCAATTCACACTCCCAAGACTGGAAAAAACTTTCATGTCCGTCTAGTCACAGACCAACAGGAACTCTTGGTGGTACTATAGAATGCTATAGCCACTTTGGAAAACAGTAAGGCATTGTCCAGTAAAGTTAAAATATGCACATGTACTACAACGCAACACATCAATTTCTATGTTATCTACCCTGCTGAATTTTGCATATACGTAGTGGAATGTGTATACCAAGAGTGTTCATAGTAACACTATGACATGTAAAACAGAAAACAATGCAAATGGCCATCAAGAGTAGAACGGGTTTTCTGATCCGCCATCTGGATATATTGGAACCACCACCAAAACACAAATTTTCATAAAAATCCTTATGGGGGAGGCCATCACTCTTGAGGTTGAATCCTTGGATAAAACAGAAAATATAAAGGCCAACATCCAGGATAAGAAAGGAATTCCTCCTGACCAATAAAGACTGATCTTTGCTGGCAAGCAACTAGAAGGTAGATGTGCTTTGTCTGACTACAGCATTCAAAAGGAGTCCACTCTTCATCTTGAGACTTTGTGGTGGGGCTAAGAAAAAGAAGTTTTACACTACTCCCAAGAAGAATAAGCATGAGAAAGAAGGTGAAGCTGGCTGTCCTGAAATCCCATAAGGCCAATGAGAATGGCAAAAGTAGCCACCTTCGTTGGGAGTGCCCTTCAGATGGATGTAGTGTTACAGTGTTTATGGCCGGCTGGCCACTCTGACAGATATTATTGTGACAAAAGTTGTCTGATTTATTGCTTCAACAAACCAGAAGACAAATAATTGTGTATGAGTTAATGAAAGATGTGAACTAAAAGAGTAGCGTGGACAAATAAACTGGTATATTGGTACAAGGAAAGCAATTTCACAAAGAAAGTGAATGAACTTACAGCTATTCATAAATATAATATTGAATTATTATTTCATTTACATTCAGTTCAAAAACATGTAACACTGTATTATTTGGTATGTAAAATTATTATATAAAGGAAATAATCACCATAAATGTCAAAACAGTGGTTACTTGGGGTGGGTGGGGTGGGGTCGTGATTGGGGAAGGGGACAAAGCAGCTTCTGGGGTGTTTATGATATTCTGTATCTTGACATGGATCATATGACTGTCCAGTTTATAATTATTCTGTATGTTTTACATTCTCTTCTGTATACATGTTATACTTTACCCCTCCTGCCCCCCCAAAAAAGTCTGAATGAGCAAGTCTGGGAAAGTGTGAATTTTTCTTCATCCTGCCTAATTTTAAACAATATTTCTTTTTCATTAATGTCCTTAGACGAGTATAGTAAATCTTTTTTTTTTTTTAAAGAGACGGGGTCTCCCTGTGTTGCCCAGGCTGGTCTCGAACCCCTGGGCTCAAGTGATCTGCCCGCCTCCGCCTCCTGAGTAGCTGGGATTGCAGGTGCATACCACCGTACCCAGTTGGTAAATGCTTCTTGAATAACCTTCCCCAACTAATGAAAAACTGGTTCCATTTCTGCCACAAAGCTATTTTTCCTCTTTCATGGACAAGAAAAATCTACATTATTATGTTCACGTTCCCCATATAACACAATTCAGTTCAATCCAGTGTAAACTGTGAATGTATACTTTGTCCATTTTTCACCAACCTGGTGCTTTTGAAATAAAATAAAACAAACAAGCAAACAAACTTTGACCTCCATTGTCCAGAATAGGTCAAGAGTCCACTGGCTGAGGGCTAATCACTCACCCAAACCATGAGAATCTTGCCATGAGAAAGGGTCCACGGAATTTAGTTACTTCATGTGTTCTGATTATGTAATAGAAGCAAAGCAGAAGGATGATGAAGCAGAAAGCACCACCCAAGACAACCAACAACATAGTTCCTTTTGTCACCACCCTAAGTCCCTTGGCATATAGAAGGTGAAACAAGCACAAAAGGGATGAGTGCATACAATTTGGGTTACCGTAGCCAAGGTTAAACTTATTTGCTCCCAGAGTCATTGCTTCCAAAATCTTGTCCCCCAAACTCAAAGAGTTCCCTCAGAACCAAGCAACAAGCAAACAACTCTAAGATAGATGTAATGTAGATAACAGAACCTGCGTCTAAAGAATTAATGGCAGCTGAATTGTTCACAGCTGAAGCTTAAGTTTAAAAAAAAAAAAAGGGTGGGGGGTAACCAGCAACCTGTTCTTTCTGCCTACAGACTCTTGATTCGTCTCTCTTCCATCCATGTCTACTAGCACTACCTAAGTTCACACCATTATTGTCTCCTGTTTGATTTACTCCAACAGCCTCCTAACTGATCTCCCTGCCTTCAGTCCCATCTGCCCCATACCACATCCATTCTCCATACTATATCCAAGAGGAAATCTTTCTAAAATGCCAAGCTGTCCATGTTATTTCTCCATTGAAAAGCCTTCAATAACTCTCCGCTGCCCTATGTTAAAATCAAAATTCCTGTGCATGGCATATGACTCTCCTGGCTTTTCCCCCCAGTCTCATCTTCTCAGCAAACTCTCCACCTCAGACTCCATCTTCGTCTCCAAACAGATGACGCTGCCTCAATGCCCCAGACTTGCCCTAGGCTGCTGCCTCCTCAGCCTAGATTGTGCTTTCACAACTCCAACAGGCCCTACAGAATGATCCCTCCTCTAAATGGATATGTACCTTTCCTTGTGTTTCCATAGTAAAAGGCACTTGCCTGTCTCACAGCACTAAAAATGGATTACAATTGTCTTCTGATTGTCTGTTTCCTCTACCCATTTCCAGACTAAGTTACTTGATGGCAGAGCCTGTAACTTAAGTCATTATATCTCCTATGAACAAATACTATAATCTAGGCTTGCTTCCCTAAAATATCAATCCCTGGAGAAACTCTCCAAGTCTATTACACCTCTTCATTATATCAATGAAGAGACTGAAGCCCAGCCAGGTGAAGTAAATTACTGAGGTCATATGATTAGGGGATGAGTTGGATACAGAACTCAGGCATCCAGACTCCAAAGCTGCCAAATCTTTGCATTCCCCAAATTCTTGTGCCTTTTTCCTATTCAATATCCACTAACTCTCGCCTTTAGATGGAAAAGGAAGGAAGGGAGATGGGGATATATATATATATATATATATATATATATATGAAGGAAGATGCCAGTTTCCCTTGCTTTCCTAGGGCATCATCAGAAACAGATTTTATCTTAAAAAAAAATTATCTGCCAGGCACAGTGCCTCACGCCTGTAATCCCAGCACTTTGGGAGGCCGAGTCGGGTGGATCACGAGATCAGGAGTTTGAGACCAGCCTGACCAACATGGTGAAACCCCATCACTACTAAAAATACAAAAATTAGACGGGTGTGGTGGCGCCTGCCTGTAATCCTAGCTACTCAGGAGGCCGAGGCAGGAGAATCACTTGAACCCGGGAGGCGGAGGTTGCAGTGAGCCGAGATCGCACCACTGCACTCCAGTCTGGGTGACAGAGCGAGACTCTGTATCAAAAAAAAAAAAAAAGAAAGAAAGAAAATTTAAAAAAAATTACCCATGTTTTAGTGTTCAATTTGGGGAAGGACAGCAAACATGATCCACGAGGGAAAAAAAGCTGCATTTCCTGAGCTAGTCCAACAGAGGGCAGCAACAACCAGCAAAGTGAATCACAGCCCAGTCAGTACAAGCAAAACGGTTTTAGAATCCAATACAACACTCAAACAGCAAGCTCAATTATTAAAATAGAAACCTGCTGCTACAGTATATTCAGAGTGTATTGTTTACTTAGTTAATACTATGTGTGTTCTTACAGATTCTATGTTGGCAAACAGCTTTGTTCAGTAGTCATTTTTTAATTGTATCATTAGTTGTGTGTATTCTCTGAAATATAGAATAAGTTCCTAGATCATGACAAGTTAACAACAACAACAACAACAACAACAACAACAACAAAAACACAGGAGTCCAGGGAGATAAATGCTACTGGAGCTTTATTTATGTATTAGGTCTCAGATATCCAAGATTCTTAAAATTAAGTCTCTAATCATCCTACCTACATCTAAATGCATCCACTTTCATCATTCTCCTTGTTTGCTGTCAATTCTCTTCTGGTCCCAAACCAAACCCTTACTGTCCTAGGCTGGCTGTGGTAAATATCTCACTTCCTGGCCCTTCTATTGAGTCCTCCACTAAACATTAGCACTTATACCTTTAACTACAAATATAGATACTGAAGGAAGCATAAATACAGAATGAATTTTTTTAAAATATCCAAATCTGGCTTAGGAATCCAGATTAATAGGAACTTTCAGGTAAAAGATGTCAGACTGAACCAAAACATCTAATTTCTCTCCTTCTTGAAACCTCACTAAACCTACAGAAAAGGTGTTTTTTAGAAAGTAAGAAGTGATGCAAGGAAAGAGCCTACAAGGTTGGGAAGAACAAAAGAGCAACTGCAAATTTTGAAGACTGGGACTAGAAGAACTAGAGGTATTAAATCCAACACATTACAGAAAGCTGAGTCCTAAACCGGAAAGAGCAATAACCAACCCATTACACTTTAAGGATCCTCAAAAGGCTTAGGAATAATTGGCACCAGATACCTATGGAAATGGGAGTTAAAGGAGGGGGAGGCTAAAAATAAGACTGGTTGGAAGCTGTTTAAGAAGCAGTTAGATCCCTAGATCATACCCCACCCCTCAACCATGCCATTGGGAAACTACCCTCCCTTCTTCCAGCAGAGGTCTGGAAGTTTGTTCTCAGAAGAGGGTAAAACGGAGGGTCTCTGGATTGGAGGATGCCAGGGTCCCTATACTAAAAAGAAAAGTAAACCTAGGCATAGTATATACTGAGACACTCAGCACTTTTCCCCCTCTAGTCTCTTAGAGCCCCAGCAGCCTGGCCTTTCCCCTTGAGACAGAAGGTTGGAAGTGTCTTCTCTGGGGAATCAACTTAAAGCTTGTGACATAGTCCAAGTAGATCACTTCAGAGCTCCATTGTCCAACATGTACCACTAGGCACATATAATTGTACAGCACTACTAAGGTGGCTAGTGTAAGTGAGGAGGAATTTATTACATTTTATTTAACAAAATTTAAATGGCAAATAAACTTACGAAAGAAGCTCAACATCATATGTCATCAGGTAAGTGTAAATTAAAATAAGATACCACTACATACCTACTAGAATAGCCAAAATCCACAACACGGATGATGCCAAATGCTTGCAAAGATGTGGAGCAAGAACTTTCTTTTCTTTTTTTCTTTTTGAGATGGAGTCTTGCTCTGTCACCAAGGCTGGAGTGCAGTGGCATGATCTCAGCTCACTGCAACCTTCTTCCAGGTTCAAGCCTCCCGAGTAGCTGGGATTACAGGCGCATGCCACCACACGTGGCTAATTTTTGTATTTTTAGTATGGGGTTTCACCATGTTGGCCAGGCTGGTCTGGAACTCCTGACCTCAAGCGATCTGCCCACCTCGGCCTCCCAAAGTGCTGGGATTTATAGGCGTGAGCCACCGCACCCAGCCGAGCAAGAACTTTCAATTCATGGCTGGTGGGAATGTAAAATGGTACAACCACTTTCGAAGAGTTTCACAGTTTCTTATAAAACTAAACATACACTAACATAAGATCCAGCAATCATGCTCCTTGGTATTTATTTATCCAAAGGAAGTGAAAACGTATGTCCACACCAAAAACCTGCAGAGAAATGTTTACAGCAGCTTTATTCATAATTGCCAAAACTTGAAAGCAACAAAGACATCCTTTAGTAGGTGAACAGGTAACTAAACCATGGCACATTCAGACAACAGAACATTATCTGTTGTCTTAGTGCTAATCTTAAGGGCATACTGCTAAAAGAAAGAAGCTGAACTGAAAAGGCTACATATGGCCGGGCGCGGTAGCTCACACCTGTAAACATGGCACTCTGGGAGGCTGAGACGGGTGGGTTACTTGAGACCAGGAGGTTGAGGCCAGACTGGCCAACATGGTGAAAACACCGCCTCTACTAAAAATACAAAAATTAGCTCAGCATGGTGGTGGGTGCCTGTAATCCCAGCTACTTGGGAGGCTGAGGTATGAGAATCGCTTGAACCTGGGAGGCAGAGGTTGCAGTGAGCCAAGATCGAGCCACTGCACTCCAGCCTGGGTGACGGAGCAAGACCCAGTCTCAAAAAAAGGAAAAGGCGGCCAGGTGCGGTGGCTCATGCCTGTAATCCCAGCACTTTGGGAGGCTGAGGCAGGTGGATTCCCTGAGGTCAGGAGTTTGAGACCAGCCTGGCCAACGTTGTGAAATCTCTTCTCTAATAACAATACAAAAATTAGCTGGGCATGGTGGCGGGTGCCTGTAATCCCAGCTACTTGGGAGGCTGAGGCAGGAGAATCACTTGAAACCGGGAAGCAGAGGTTGCTGTGAGCCGAGATCACGCCATTGCACTCCAGCCTGGGCGACAAGAGCGAAACTCCATCTCAAAAAAAAAAAAAAAGAAAGAAAAAAGGAAAAGGCTACATATTATATGTACCCAACTATATGACATTCTAGAAAAGGCAAAACTATGGAAAAAGTAAAGAGAACTGTGGTTGCCAAGGGTTGGGGGAGGCAGGTAGGGTAGGCAGGTTATGAATAAATAGAGCACAGAGGGTTTTTAGGGCAGTGAAAAATACTCTGTATGATACTATAGTGATGGATATATGTCATTCATGGATTGTACAACACTAAGAGTGAACCCTAATGTAAACTATGGACTGGGTGATGCTGATGTGTTAATGCAGGCTCACCAATTGCAACAAATGTACCACGCTAGTGGGGGATGTTGACAATGGGGGAGGCCATGCGATATGGTTTGGCTCTGTGTCCCCACCCAAATCTCACCTTGAAATGTAATCCCCATAATCCCCATATGTCAAGGGCGGGACCAGGTGGAGGTAATAGGATCATGGGGACAGTCTCCCCTATGCTGTTCTCATGATATCAAGTGAGTCTCATGAAATCTTATGGTTTTGTAAGCATCTGGCATTTCCCCCGCTTGCACTCACTCTGTCCTGCCACCCTTAGAAGGCAAAGCAGAAGGTGCCTGCTTCTCCTTTGCCTTCCATCATGATTGTAAGTTTCCTGAGGCCTTCCCAGCAATGCAGAACTGTGAGTCAATTAAACCTCTTTCCTTTATAAATTACCCAGTCTCAGGTATTTCTTCATAGCAGTGTGAGAACGGATTGATACACCATGCACGTGTGTGGGCAGCGATATATTGGAAATCTCTATACCTTCATCTCAATTTTGCTGTGACCCTAAAACTGCTCTTCAAAAAAAAGGCTTAAAAAAATTTTTAGGGACTGGCTGTGGTGGCTCACATCTGTAATCCCGGCACTTTGGGAGGCTGAGGCAGGTAGATGGCTTGGGCCCAGGAGTTGGAGACCAGCCTGGGCAACATGGCAAAACCTGCCTCTACAAAAATATTTAAAAATCAGCCAGGCATGGGCCAGCCGCGGTGGCTCACGCCTGTAATCCCAGCACTTTGGGAGGCTGAGGCAGGTGGATTGCGAGGTCAGGAGATCGAGACCATCCTGGCTAACACAGTGAAACTCGTCTCTACTAAAAAATAAATACAAAAAATTAGCCGGGCGTGGTGGCACGCGTCTGTAGTGCCAGCTACTCGGGAGGCTGAGGCAGGAGAATCACTTGAACCCGGGAGGCAGAGGTTGCAGTGAGCCGAGATCGCACCACTGCACTCCAGCCTGGGTGACAGAGCAAGACTCTGTCTCAAAAAAAAAAAGTAATAATAATTAGCCAGGCATTGTAGCGCTTGCCTGTAGTCCCACCTACTCAGGAGGCTGAGGTGGGAGGATCAGCTGAGCCCCCAGAGGTTGCAGCAAGCTGAGATCACATTGCTGACAACAGAGCAAGACAATCTCAAAATAAATAAATAAATAAATAAATAAAAATTTAGCGTCTCAGTTGAGATGTCTGTAAATGTAAAATAAACACTGCAATTCATAACAATATAAAAAAGTAAAATATTTCATTAATAATTTTTATATTTCATTCATATTGAAGTAATATTTTAGATATATTAATTTCACGTTTCTAAAACTAGAAAATCTAAACTTACAATGTGATTCACATTAGATTTCTATTGGATGGTGCTGTCCTACAGCAAAGCAACCAGCTTTCAAATCCTACCCACGCACCTAGAGTTTCCAATCTGCTTTGTAATCCCTCATTCTTAAACATGAGTAGACAACCCAGGATTATCAGACATCTGAGGAAAGATCCTAACATGAGAGAAAGCGGGGCTGGGGGAAGCAACTTGCCAAATAAACAGTATGCAACAAGAAGAAAGATGTTCTAAAAATCATTAATATCCACAACAAACATTCAGAGGAAAAAGAGGTCATTAGAAGTTTAAAATACAAGAACAGAAATGAAAACTCAATAAAAGGACTGGAAGAATTAAGGAAATTCCCCAAAAAGTACAGCAAAAAGATAAGAAAATTAGAAGACCAGTTTGGGAGGACCAATATCCAAATAATAGGAGAAAACATAAAATAGAGAGCAAGTTATCAAGGAAATAAAGAAAATTTCCCAGTATTGAAGGATAAGTCTCTAGCACAAAGGACAAAAATAGATTATTCAAAGGCATATAATGGTGAAATTTCAAAACACCGGAATACAAAGAAAATCCTACAAAATTCCACAGAAAGGATGAAAACAGGTCATATACAAAGGAATCAGAGCAGTTCTGGGTTTCTTAACAATAATATCAACAGCTGGGTGGCAATGGAACAAGGCCTTTAAAAATCTGAAGAAAAATAATTTCCAAACTACAAATCTATACCCAACAAAAACTATCAATCAAATGTCAGCTTAGAATAGACATTTTCAGACATTTAAGCTTTAAAAAATCTGTTCCCATATACCGCAGGAAGCTACTGTAGGACATGCTCCACCAAAATGAGGATGCAAACCAAAAAAGTGCAAGACTTGAAATACAGGAAATGAAACCTAACACATGAGGAAATTGAAGGAAATCCCGGGGATAAAGGTTCCAGGATGACTGTATGTGCCAGGTACAGAGAACCACCAGCTAAAAGGGAGCAATGAGACTTGAGCCAGACCCTTGAAGCCTGTCATCACCATCATCTGCTTTTGTTCTGGCTTTTAAAATTCACAACACCTGGGTGAATCTGACCCAGATGGTTGGCCTGTCTGGACCATATGTTAACAGTTTTTTTCTTTCCTTCTCTGCTCTACTACCTGGACTGTCAAGGATACTCATTCCCACACCACAGAACTTTCCCGCTTTGACTTATTCAGGAGACCCAGAGGTTGCATATGGTAAGCTCAGAAGCAGAAAATACAGAGCAGTGTACTCCCTCAACCTTATTCCTGTTGAATGTCTAGTACTTGGCCCTCACTGCAGGCCTGCCAGATGCTCAACTGTGGTGAACCCTGTTTCCCAGGCCTTACTTATGTCCTGGCCAAGTGATGTCCTTAAAATCTAGGTGCACTCGTAAACACTCACAGAATCTGAAGCTGGGCTATGACTCTGAGATGGTATTCAGTTTTTCTCTGCCTGGAAGACTCCATCTAACAGTGGCAATGCCAACTTTTATACACATGTTAGATTTTTGTTTCTTAAGTTTTATCTATTTCATTTATATGCAAATAATTATTAATGAAAACAAAATATTTTTAAAGGGGCAGAAAAACATTTATTCTATAGGAGTTTTTATGCAATAGAATTAGATGACTAGATAAATGTCTAAAGGTCATTAGCTGGTACAGGAAAATAATTTAATAGAATTGCATGTATTAAAATGAGCTTCTCTTCTCCAAAAGATTCTCAGTGCTATCAAATCTTACTTAAATCAATACAAATTGCTCAAAGGTACAGTACATCAAAAATAACAGCATCAAATATAAATATATTTGGCTGGGTTCTTCTCTGCACTAAGACCATCCATCAACATAAAAATTAAAAGCTGTCCCTTTACTCCCCTTCCAGAGAGTAATTCAAGTTCTGATTCAGTTACCACATCCTAATGTAATATGTGGTAAGATAAATCTTTTGGTTACCATCTACAGGAAATTAGAAACTTCCTAGATACTTTATAGTTTATAACAACAACAACAACAAAAAAGTCAAAAGACCCCAAGGTATTTATTCCCTGTAAGGTCAAGCTAATTAATAACTTAATGAGTTTGAAACACCCTGATTAATTATTATCAGAAAACATAAATGAAGTTTAAAACTTATTTTGCATATCTGGATTTGTTCTTGCAGTGGTGGTGGTTGTGTGTATTAATACTTCAGCTTTTTAAAAACGGTCCAATGGCAGTCTTCTGCACAGAGGCTCCCTCTGTTTGCTTAGTAACAGAATTCAATCTATTGTAAATTCAGGACACAAGAAAACTCATCCAAGAGACTGATTCACCTCTACTTGATTCTCTGAATCTTTAACTTTTCACTTTAATCAGAAAAAGGGCCCAGAGAATACTCAGACAACTAAGCATGGTCTCTTGGCACAGGATGCTCATGTAGCCAAGCAAAAGGTAATTGGGTAGTTCTTAGCAGCAGAGAGGTTAGCAGGGATCTAAAAAGAGAGTATGACTAAACATTACTCTGAACACAGAGTACATTCTACATAGCAAAAAGTGTTTCTAATTCCTACTTCTGTGCTTCACATGGACAGTTAATCATGGACGGTAATTGCAAGAACCATGTGGCCAGCACACGGGAAATATAAACCCACACTGTAAGCCTGTATTTCATTACTTTCTAAAGATTTTGTTAAGGCTAAGTTGTAATAGACAACTACAATTATATTTGAGTTCTTGGCTAAATGGACTACCACCAGAACAGCACAGCTGAATGCCACTTGGTCCTTACACTCTGACGATTCTAGGAGGCCCAGGATCCCTGGGAACTACAAAGGTTTTTGTGTTCTTGGCTCACTGCAACCTCCACCTCCTGGGTTCAAGTGATTCTCCTGCCTCAGCCTCCTGAGTAGCTGGGATTACAAGGCACCTGCCATCATGCCCAGCCAGGTTTTCTTATATGTATAATCACAACACAATTCACTAACTCCCTCGGTATACACTCCTACTTCTCTCTTTTCTGACATCCACCCTTGCTCATGGGCTAATTTAGTGTGAGGAACATGTTTAATGTGATAGGTGGAAGTCTAAGATGTCCCCCAAGATTGCTAGCCTGATGTACACACCCTGTATAATCATCAGGACTGTGAATATGATAGGATATCATTCCTGTGATTAGATTACATTTTAGGCAAAATTGACTTTTTTTTTGGTCTATGTTTTTTTGTTTGTTTGTTTGTTTTTGAGACAAGGTCTCACTATGTTGCCAGGCTGGCCTTGAACTCCTGAGCTCCAGCAATCCTCCTGCCTCAGCCTCCCAAGTAGTGGGGCCTACAGGCATATAGCACCATGCCTGGCTCAGGCACAACTGACTTTTAAGAAAGGGGAATCATCCAAGTGGGCCTGACCCAATCCCATGAACCCTTTAAATCTAGAGGTCAGAGACACAAGGATTCAGGATGCCATTTCTGGCATGAAGGTGGAGGGGGCCAAAAGGCAGATTATAGGCAGCCTCTGGGTACTGAGAACAGTTCCCCGGTGACAGACAGCAAAGAAATAGGAACCTCAGCCCTATAACTGCAAGGAACTGAATTTGGCAAACAATTTGAATGAACCTGGAGGCAGATTTTCCCCCAGAGCCTCCAGGTGAGAACTTAGCCCAGCCTGACATTTTGATTTCAGCCTTGTGATATTCTGAGATCCCAGATACACAATCCATGCCAAACTTCTGACCAACAGAACTATGAGCTAATAAGTGTGTTTGTTTTAAGCTAGTAAGTTTGGGGTGATGTTATAAGCAATAGGAAACCAATACATTAAGCAAACTGCTGAACTCTGGAATTTATCTAGAACTTCGCTAAAGGAAAAGGCTCATGAGTCCTGATTTTTATTTCTGGCTTCCTAGAAAACTACAAGTATGATTTTGAGCAAACATGCTTAATTCTTCATGCTTCAGTTCCCCCATTTATTAACCCCCCACATATACCTCTTACGACCACTGAGGTCATAAACAAAATGGAGTGGTGAGAGATCATTCTGTAAAGGCAAATGTGCTACAAGACTTCTTGTAAAATACACACCTGAAGATAGACTAGTGGATGCTTTATGCCAACAGTATGGCATAAGGAAAAAATCTATTCCTTGTCTATAAATCATATACTTAGCCACAATTCTTACACAAAAATAACTAAAGGACTCACTCAAGCCAGGTTCTAAATATTTTATACTAGAACTGCCTTTTTTTTCTTGTCCTTTGTAGGAACATGGATGAAGCTGGAAACCATCATTCTGAGCAAACTATTGCAAGGACAGAAAACCAAACACCGCATGTTCTCACTCATAGGTGGGAACTGAACAATGAGAACACCTGGACACAAGGTGGGCAACATCACACACCGGGGCCTGTTGTGGGATGGGGGGAGAGGGGAGGGATAGCATTAGGAGATACACCTAATGTAAATTACAAGTTAACGGGTGCAGCACACCAACATGGCACATGTATACATATGTAACAAACCTGCACGTTGTACACATACACCCTAGAACTTAAAGTATAATAAATAAAAATAAAAAATAAAAATAAAATAAAAATAAAATCTTAGACACAGAAAAAAAAAAAAAAGAACTACTCCCTCTTTTTTGAGATGAAGTATCACTCTGTCACCCAGGCTAACGTGCGGTGTGATCTTGGCTCACTGCAACCTCCGCCTTCTAGGTTCAAGTGATCTCCTGCCTCAGCCTCCCGAGTAGCTGGGATTACAGTTGCACACCACTATATCTGGCTAACTTTTCTATTTTTTTAGTAGAGAAAGGGTTTCGCCATATTGGTCAGGCTGATTTTGAATTCCTGACCTCAAGCGATCCATCTGCCTCAGCCTCCCAAAGTGCTGGGATGACAGGCGTGAGCCACCGCACCGGGACTATATTAGAACCTTCTTAACAGATCATTTGTTGTAACTTTTTCTGTGAACCAGACTAAATTGCATGAGGGCAAAATCATGTCTTATTCAACTGATGTGGCCCACATTTTAATAAATAAATTTTAAAATTAGCATCACTACAGGTTTAGGAGCATCATCCGAAACAGTATATTTATTCTTTCATTACTCTATTCAAATTGAGAAAAGTAAGGAAAAGTTTCAATTCAAGGTATATGACAGTACACTATGATTGTTACGAATAGCTCAGTAAATCAAACCTTCAAGAGTAATGTCTTTCCTTATGAATGAGACCAAGGAACCTTGACTGGAGCCCACAGGACAATAAGCCCTCAATAATGACAAAGTCTACCTATGGGTAAAATGGGAAATAAGTATCACTACAGCCAAAAATAATTTCCTTTCATATCCTAATCTACCTACCCAGAAAGAACAGGTAAGGTAAGGCATATGTCACTTAGAATCATGCAGAACAGAGAGATAAGGGTCCAGCTCTGATTAATTTCTTTATTCAGGATTGACACAGTTCCTTAGGGTACTGAGGCAACAGAGGGTCATAATAGGATCTTGAATTCAGTTACCATTGAGGCCTGATCTAGCTTTGCCACAAAAAAAAATTTTTTTTTTTGAGACGAAGTCTCACTCTGTTGCCTATGCTGGAGTGCAGTGGCGCAATCTTGGCTCACTGCAAGCTACGCCCCTGCGTTCAGACCATTCTCCTGTCTCAGCCTCCCGAGTAGCTGGAACTACAGGCGCCCATCACCTCACTCGGCTAATTTTTTGTATATTTAGTAGAGACGGGGTTTCACCGTATTAGCCAGGATGGTCTTGAACTCCTGACCTCGTGATCCACCTGCCTTGGCCTCCCAAAGTGCTGGGATTACAAGCGTGAGCCACCACGCCTGGCCTTTGCCACAAAATTTATCACATTTCCACTAAAGGAATGTAAAGTCAGGGTAAGCTTTTAAAAATCGACCACAGTTTCAGTCTTCCTATCTCTAGGGTTCTGTTGTCTCAGAGGACTAGTATGAAGAATAAATAATAAAACAGATATAAAGCACTTTGTTTTGCAAAGTACTTTGTAAAAGTTAAATAATATATGATGGAACCACTGAAACTGGCTAGTTTCCCTTCTTCAATTCCCACTCCTTAAACAGAAGTCAGTCAGAACTAAAGAAAATGAAATAATGGACAACTTTAAATGCACAGAAGAACTTTCCCTTCCATTTTCAAGGAATGGCCCAAAGACAACAGCAATTGAATCAACATTTCATCTAGCATTTACAGAGAAACAAACTAGATTCTGACATCACCACTTATTGGTGCCTGCAGCCTACACAGGCGTTGTGTAGAGTTGGAGTACCCACTTCAAAAAGAAAATAAAGGAAAGAAAAAGGGTACCTCAGAGGAAAGGAAGTCTAGAAGAGGGGCACAAAATGACCAGGAATTTAAAAATATAAACTATAAACCTAGAAAAGCTAAATGTGTTTAAGGGAAAGAAGGCTGAAGATTACCTAGCAGTCCCCAGAAATGGAAATGATAGGCTCATGTTCTCCATGACCACTGAGGAAAAAGTGCTGAAGGATTAGGTAAGACTGTAGCAGCTCCTCCATTTGGTTCAGAGTGCCTCAGCAGCCCCACAGCTAAACTAAGCACTGGAGAGTTAAACTCATTAGTTCCACAATGTATACATATATCAAAACATCATGTTGTATACCATAAACAATTTGTATGTCAATTATACCTCAATAAAGCTGAGAAAACATAAATAAATAATAAACTTGTTAGAATTCATACAACAGCCAACAAAGGAAACATAGTAAAAGACAGTCCAATATCTTTTATTCCTAATTAAAAGAGTTCTATCAATCTACCCCTGCCTTCCAAAATCAGCATCTTTTTCCTAACCCCACCCGGGAACAATGAAAGATTCTAGGCAGTGGCCAGTGTCAAGCACAAGTTAGAAATGCCGTATAAAGAACAGTAGTAACTGTAGTCCATTCTGTATTTCAATAATTTGCTTATAAATTTGAAATAATTTACTTATAAATGTAAAGCAACTAACTTAATGTCCTGCACAACTGTCTAAAACTGTTGGTGAGTCTGCTTTCCAATAAACCTTATTTCCCAATTATAATTAAAATGAGGGGAAAACTATCTTAATATTAGAATTGGATCCTCTAACAGGTCCAAAGTATCACTTCTCTAATAGTTCAAGAAGGCAAGTACCTTGGGGAAAGGGAAAAAGTAACTTTTTGCCTACAGCTCAGCTCATCCTAAAGCCCTGCAACTGGCAGCCGGCATCCTAGGTAGTTGATAGCCCAGAGGGAAGGAGGAAAGGCCACGCTGGTATCACTATTCCAGCACAGCAGAACAGGTAGAAACCGGGCTGAGGATGCTGCATTCCTCCAAGTCCATCCATACAAACTGCCAGTCCTTGCACTATAAAGCACACATGGTTTGGGCAAACAAGCTGCCAACAGAGAAAGTGCTCAGAGTCTGGAAGTCCTACTTTCCTATCAAGTATCACAAGGTGTAGCAGGCACACCGGTATCTTCTGCTGTTCAGAAGGTGAAAGCCAGCATGCATAGTCTGTCATTTGGTGACAGAACAGTAAGCAAAGCTTCCTTCCTTTCAAACATTCTAAGGTTCCAATACAACTTTTGAATACATATACAGGAAACAAAACATAATGTTAACCAATTTTTCCAAAATTTCAACATATTTCTCAAGCTTCAAATATTGATACTTGCTCTTCCTTTCTTACTAGGCCTCTCCCTCTGCTGCCTAAGCTTAGAGAAGACTATGATCACTCCTTTAAAAAAAGGGGTGTTGTCCATTCATTTAGAAATAGTCAGTGACTCAGGAATGCTGTTTCCCAATCGCCGTAGCAACTGTCTTCTCCTCCCATGTTATGATGTGAGTAGCAGGACATCTACTCTTCCTCAAGGGTGGGCATGTGTGTGACACACCCAAAGCCTAGCAGACAGCAGGAAGTTTCTGCAACTGCTACCGCTTCTACATACAGGCACCAAGTATGAGGACACCTTGTTTTAAATCCCATTCCTAAAGTCCTTTCATTTCTAAATAATCTCTTTTTTGTATCCTCACACCACTCCTGAATACCCAGAAATAATCCTACCCCTACTGACAACCGCTTAACTAATCCAAAAATTATACTACTACTCAATAAGCCAGACTTGATCCTACGAAACCACAGAAAATATTTTTTGGCCCGGTACACATTCAGAATAAGATTTTGAAAAAATCTTAGGGAGGAGGGGAGATGAGCATGAAGATGAAATCTTATTATTTCTCTACCACCAGAAATATAAGTGTTAAAATAAGGTTGTTCTGATACTTCTAGCAATTGTACTTGTGTTGAACTATGTTCTAACACAAACACACACAGAATTTCATGCCAAAGTACTTAGGATCTAAAGAAACTTCCATATATCATGTACTGTTCTCTTTGGTTCTAACCATTAAAAAAAATTAATTTCTGAAAAACAAAGTATGGGACTGTTTTACTCTTTTTATATACATTTGTATTTTCTTAGAAAAAAACTATCACTTTTAGAATACACATACATTTCCATTTCAAATTAAGGTGGCAATTTTCAAAGATTAGAAAGCTGGAAAATTTTTATGACACTATTTTAAAAGCAAAAAACATCTGTAAACTATAAAGGCAATGTTGTAAAAATATTTGTGCATAGAGATAATGACTAAAATATACAAAGACTGTAAAATAAAAATGAAAAATAGAAATTTAGGGTTCTTACGTATTGTTTCAAAAATATATATGTGTTTTCAAAAAAAAAGCACACACAAAAAATCATTAGCACATCATCTAAAAGCAAAACATCATCATCCAATTACCATAGGCAAAATGCCTATCAGTATTTACTCTTCTCCAGTGGTATTTTGCTTAAGGAAACACTCCTGACAAGGCACAGTTACAAAGTTTAGGTATGACAATGCAATGTGAGAAAGAATACTGAGAAGAATATTAGTGGAGTCTAAAACCTAGGTCATCTAATTACACGACTTTGAGCAACTTAATACCACTAGGCCTCAGTGTCCTCCTAATTTTAAGAGGCTGGGTCAGATCATTTCTAGGGTCTCTTCCGACTCCTTAAAGACTATACTTAGGTACTACTGCTCTTTTTGAGGGCAGCCCAATGCCTGCTGCTTGCCTGATAATACATATCCTACAGTGGCTTCTCACCACTTCTTCTTGCGGTTTCAATCACAGGAAACAGACGTCACCCACAGACCTAGAAGTAAGTAACGAACAGCCCTGGCGGATGCAAAGAGCTGCCAACTAAGACCAACTCCCATCTTTTAAAAATACAAGAATCAAGAAAGAAATCACTAGAGACCTCTAAGCCTGACACACATCTTTCACAAAAACTAAGAAAACTAAAAATATCCCTCTAGGCCCCATGCAAAATGAAATAATTTTAGAATAGTCCAAAACTATTTTGCTTCTATTGCCAAATGAAGGAACTGAAGGAATTCTTATAGCTCTGGGTGGGAGTATATGTGCTTATGAAAAAAATGGTGCACTCCTACTGCCACTAGTACTTTTTGTGGATATCCAGACATACCCTGAGGACTTGAAAACTCTTCCTTGTTCTCTTCATTTAATACTCAATGTAAACCTTTCTGTAGCCATTAAAGATCATATTAATAGATTCAAATAATATGGGAACTTAGCAATTATTCACTTTAAATGTATGTAACAATCCCTAAGGGCACTGAGTCAAATCCTGCTTTCATTTTTATTTATTTATTTATTTTGAGACAGAGTCTCGCTCTGTCGCCCAGGCTGGAGTGCAATGGCACAATCTCGACTCACAGCAACCTCCACCTCCTGGGTTCAAGCAATTCTCCTGCCTCGGCCTCCCGGGTAGCTGGGACTACAACTGGGCACCACCACGCCTGGATAATTTTTGTATTTTTAGTAGAGACGGGGTTTCACCATGTTGGCCAGGCTGGTCTTGAACTCCTGGCCTCAGGTGATCTGCCCACCTCGGCCTCCCAAAGTGCCTGCTTTCATTTTTAATAATAAAAGTTGATAGCCTTACACTATGTAAAATAACATAAGAGTTTTTTTTAATCCTACAGACATGTTCTTTCATTAAACACAAGTCAAAACTATCTCTCCAGAGATGAATAATAATCTCTTCTCAACAGAGTTCTTCTGGTCACATATAGTTACATTAGTGATTCTCTCTGCCCCATAGTTACTTTGGTGAGAGAGAATTAATGTTTTCAAAACTGTCAGTCTCCTATATTAGATCACAGAAACAGAGAGCCTTGAAAATAATCAAGATTCCCAAGGCTATTAAAAAAAAAAAAAAAGGAAGCAAACCTTAAGATGAGAAAAAAGAAAAAGATTCCCAAGGTTAACATTAAAACTAAAATATAAAATACATAAAGGATATTAACTAACATGAGCTAAATACTACCACTACTCTTAGAAACCTTACAATCTAGATGGGAGATAAGACCCCAAAATAAGATATAAACATATATTTTTGCATTCAAGAAAGACAGAAGAATACTTCAAATAAGTATGCAATCAAAAGCTAAATCGTACTGTATTAAAGAACATTTAGAAGAAACAACAGGGCCCAAAGATAGACTCAGATTGTTTCAACAATGGCATTACCTATCTGAGCCCATAATTTTCTTATACATCCTTGAGATCCAGCTGAAGAGTCACGCCTTTTAAAATCTAATTTCTGAAAGTCTAAAAAGATCGATGTATTAAAATTGGTAAGGACTGAAAATCAAATAAACTTAACTTTTTAAACTCCATCTACGTAGCGGAAATAACTTGCTGAAAACTGACCTTAACACTATTCCTTCTTGGATATTCCAATGTACTTACTGTCACCACCACTTATCACATGGCCAAAAACGGACATCAACATGTATTACAACCTGTTACAAAATGTTAAATTTCAATCCTGCTTTCTGCAGGTTTTTATAGAAAGGGAACCTTAAAGCCCTTACCAGGGATAAAATAATTTCTATGAAGTGGCTTTACCTTTCTTAAATGGTTCTACTAAACCTCATATAATTGCTATAATCAGGCCATTTCTCTTTACTACAGCCACATATTCACACCTAAGCCTTTGTTCTACTGCTCCCCATCTCATGAATTCTTTCCCTCTCTACTCTGCCAAATCTTGGATTTTATTCAAGGCCCAGTCATATCCCCCATCTTCTAGGAAGCTAAGTTAACACTGCCCGCAATTACATTCTGGGTCATTTACAGTATCTGGGGCATTAGCAGAGATGTTAGAAATGATTCATAATAACCCCCTAATTTTACAAAAGATAAAAAGATGAAGAAAAGTAAAATAACTTGCTTAGAGTTCACATGGTTAATTAGTGGTAAAGACACAACTAAGCAGCTACATATGGAAAGAATAATTCAGACAGGGTGGGAGATAAAGGTTCTATTTCTAGTTTTAAATTTGGACAGATCACTTGTCTAGTCAACATTTCTTAATCTATAAAGTAAAGGGGTTGATAGCTGGGCCCGGTGGCCTGTGCCTGTATCCCAGCTACTCTGGAGGCTGAGGTGGGAGGACTGCTTGAGCCCAGGAGTTCCAGGCTGCAGTGGGCCATGACTGCACCACTGCGCTCCAGCCTGGGCAACAGAGTAAGACTCTGACTCTTAAAAAATAAAAAATAAAGGGGTTGAATTAGATAATTCTTAGCATCCTTTTGACTCCAGCATTCTAAGATTTTGAAACTTAGGCCTTCTGTCAGTCCAATAGCCTTTCCACTTAATTCCCTCACTTCTATGAATTTCTACAGCATTTAAAGTCTAAGATCACAGCCTTAGAGCTTTTTCTATCCCTCTTTTATAGACGTGGTTGAAATTACAATTTCTTAAAGAGCAAGAACTGAACCTGATAGGACAGTCTCATGACTTCTTGGTCAGTCTTTGGATCTAGAGTAGATACATGTAGACTCAGGAAATCAACAGAAACTCTTCCCTACTCCTCACCACTAGTCACCAGAAACAAATCCCAGTTCCAGGTACTTGGACCTCTGTGGCAATGTCTTAATTATTAACCACTGGCAAATAACTGCCAGGTCTAAAGAACAAACTTCAGCAGTTCCCAGACTCAGAAGAGATCCTGGTTATTAGCCATTTGCAATCATTACAACAGTCAAATTTCAGGAGCACAAACAGAGGTCTTTAAGAATACCAAACGTCAAATTTAAAATATAAAAAGGATAACTATAGAGACAGTCTAGTAACAGCTTCCCCCTTCCTGTAACATTGTTACCACTACTTGTGGCTCTCAGCAATTTAAACAACTAAAACTCCTGACAGGTGATGATGTTAGAGCTGTTCTACTTACAAAGGAGACACAGTTACATTAAAAAATAATAATTTAAGCATCATCCTAATAACGCATGAGCCAAGCGAAAGATAGGTTTTGCAAGCACTGTAATAGCTATTTTTTCATGCCTAAAAAAGGTTTAATTAAGATTCTTCCAATGGCTTCAAAGTCTAAATTACTAAATGCAAAAAAAAAAAAAAAAAAACAGGCATTTAGCCACTACGCTTTTTACATCTAAGCCTAGTACTTTTTTCCTGCCAACTGAACTCTAGGAGAATCCAGTTCATTTTAATAGACTGTAGATGACCAAAGAACTCTAAGGGAATACCACCAAAATTTTCTAAGAAATTCCTAGCAGTGAATAGTTACACTGCAGTCCAGTTTTACACTGCAGGCACAAAAACTGGACACACATAAACTGTCAGTACAATGTAGTGAGTAAGTCCATGAGTTTTGAATCAGCTAGGCCTAGGTTTGAATCCTAGCTCTGTCACTAACTAGTTCTATGTCTTCAAGCAGGCTGCTTGATCTGAGTTCCAGTTTCATTACCTATAAAATGGGAATAATAACAGTACCTATTTTATAAGGTCAATGTAGAGATTAATGAGATAATAAATCTAAGGCTCTTTAGCACTGCACTAGGGATACAGTTAAGTATGCAACAAACAACTGCTTTTATTACTGCTACTGTTGTTATTCCCTATCCTAGTCTGGAATGAATTAATTTTCCTTATCTATAAAGATGCTAAACATTCATTAATATTTAGAAACAGGAAGACTGGCATTACACAATCTGTAGTATACTGAATACAGGAAAACAAAAGGTTGCTAACACCACCACCTAACAAGAAAAAAATGCTTCCACGATAAATGGAATGAAAGTCCCGAAATCCTCAGAGTATCAGAAATGTTCTCTGTTGACCACAGGTGACAATTTATATCCCAAAGTGAACATGTGGAACTCACATATGCATGATAGAAAAGAGGGAAATTTAAAAGCTAAATCTATACAAGTTCTAGAAGAAAAGAGAGAAGCCGAGCACAGTGGCTCACACTTGTAATCACAGGGCTTTGGGAGGCCAAGGCAGGAGGATCACTTGACGCTAGGAGTTCGAGACCAGCCTGGGCAACATAGTGAGACCCCATTTCTTTCTTTCTTTCTTTCTTTTTTTTCTGAGTTGGAGTCTCGCTCTGTCGCCCAAGGGTGACATGATGTATGGCTCACTGCAACCTCCGTCTCCTGGGTTCAAGCAATTCTCCTGCCTCAGCCTCCCAAGTAGCTAGGATTACAGGCACCCACCACCACACCCGGCTAATTTTTTTGTTTTGTTTTGTTTTTGAGACAGTCTCACTCTGTCGCCAGGCTGGAGTGCAGTGGCACAACCTCGGCTCACTGCAACCTCCACCTCCCAGGTTCAAGCAATTCTCCTGCCTCAGCCTCCCGAGTAGCTGGGATTACAGGCACGCACCACCACGCCCAGCTAAGTTTTGTATTTTTAGTAGAGACGGGGTTTCACCATGTTGGCCAGGATGGTCTCGATCTCTTCATCTCGTGATCCGCCCACCCTGACCTCCCAAAGTGCTGGGATTACAGGTGTGAGCCACTGTGCCCAGCCCAATTTTTGTATTTTTAGTAGAAATGGGGTTTCACCACATTGGACAGGCTGGTCTCTTGGCCAGGCTGGTCTCAAACTCCTGACCTCGTGATCTGCCCACCTCAGCCTCCGAGAGTGCTGGGATTACAGACATGAGCCACCGTACCCCGCCTAGCGAGACGTCATTTCTACAAAAATAAAACATAAAAAAAATTAGGCCAGGTGCAGTGACTCATGCCTTAATGCCAGCACTTTGGGAAGCCAAGGTAGGAGGATCACTTGAGCCCAAGAGTTCAAGACCAGCCTGGGCAACATAGTGAAACCCCACCACTATAAAAAAAAAAAAAAGAAAAAGAAAAAAATCAGCCAGGCATTGTGGTGCATGCCGGTAGTCCCAGATACTCCAGGAGACCGAGGCAGCTGGATTGCTTGAGCCCAGGAGGTCGATGCTGCAACTGAGTTGTCATTGCACCACTGCACTCCAGATTGGGTGACAGAGTGAGACTCTGCCTCAAAAAAAGAAAAAAAGAAAAGAAAAGAAAAGAAAAATTAGCCAGGCATGGTGGTCCCAGGTACTGGGGAGGCTGAGCCCAGGAGTTTCAAGGCTGCAGTGACCTATGATTGTGCCACTGCACTCCAGACCAGGCAACAAAGTGAGATCCATTCTCTTTTAACAACAACAAAAAACAAAACAGAGGAGAAAACCTTAGCGACCATAATTTTAGCAAAGATTTTTGAAATGTAACACACAAAACAAAAATGAAAAAAAATTGGACTCCATCAAAATTAAGTTTTTTGGTTCTTCAAAATACACTGTTAGGAAAATGAAAAGACAGCCAGAAGTGGTGACACACGCCTGTAGTCCCAGCTACTTGTGAGGCTGAGGCAGGATTCCTGAAGCCCAGGAGATTAAGGCTGCAGTGAGCCATGACTGCACTACTGCATTCCAACTTAGGCAACAGAGTGAGACTACCATTTCAAAGACAGAATGAAAGACAGACAAAAGAAAGTCAGACAGACAAAAGAAAGACAAAAGACAGAAAGGAAGGAAGGAAGGAAAAATCATGAGCAGATTCTTCACGGACGATACATAGATAGCAAATGGGCAAAATCTTGAACAGATTCTTAAGAAAGATATATAAACAGCAAGTAAGGACAAGAAAAGATGTTCAACATCATTAGGGAATGACAAATTAAAGCATACTGCAGCTGGGCACAGTGGCTCACGCCTGTAATCCCAGCACTTTGGGAGGCCCAGGCAGGTGGATCACCTGAAGTTAGGAGTTCAAGACCAGCTTGGCCAACATGATGAAACCCCATCTCTACTAAAAATACAAAAATTAGCTGGGTGTGGTGGCAGCCTCCTGTAATCCCAGCTACTCAGGTGGCTGAGGCAGGAGAATCCCTTGAACCTGGGAGGCAGAGGCTCCGGTAAGCCGAGATTATGCCACTGTACTCCAGCCTGAGCGACGAGAGTGAAACTCTGTCTCAAAAAATAATAAATAAATAAATAAATAAATAAAGCATACTGAGATATCATCACATACCCACTAGAATGGCTAAAATTTAAGACTGATCATACTAACAGTTGACAGGAAATTGGAACTTTTACACATTGCTGGTAAGAATGTAAAATGAAAACAGTTTGGAAAACAGTTTGAAAACAGTTTGGCAATTTCTCAATTAAGCATAGATCTACCAAATGACCCAGTCATTCCACTCATGGGTACTTACCCAAGAGAAATGAAGACATATGTCCAGCCCAAAAAGTTGTATGAGAATGTTCACAGACAAAAACTGCACTCCCAAAACTGGGAACACCCCAAATGTCCATCAATAGGGTAAATGAATAAACAAATTGTGTAAATCCATACAATGTAATAGTACTCAGCAATATAAAGGATTAAGCTATTGATATATGAAAGACCACACATCACAATAAAAGAAGCCCCAGCAAAAGGGTTCATACTGTATGATTCCATTTATATAAAATTCTAGAAAACACAAACTAATCTATAGTTACAGAAAGAAAATTAGTGGTAATCTGGAGATGGGAGGACGAGGATGGGTGAGAGGGAGGGATAACAAAGAGAGAAGGAGGAAACTTGAAGGTGACTGCTATATTCATTATCTTGACTATAGAAATGGTTTCATGAATAAATATGCAGTTTATTGTATTTTAATTATATATCAATAATGCTGTAAAAATAGAGATGAAGGGTATCTTTTCTACTTGATCTTAAAGTTCTGACACTGAAAATAAAACACAGACAGATCTGAGATGTAAGGCCAACTACCAACGTATGCTCTTTGGTTTTCTGTGACCTTCAGTATCAAAAATGGTTTATAAATCATCCTGTCTTGGGTCCTTACAGTATTTTAAATCTTAAAAGAAATTACAAATCCAAAGCCTTCAGATGACACTACTCACAAGACAGGAAATAAGTCACAAAATCAGAAATCCAGAAAATTATACAGGACACCATAAATTCTACCTATATTTGCCACCCTAACAAAATTCCCAGATAGCTACTAAGGACCAGTCATATCCACCACCAAGGATGGAATTTTCCCATCCTCCATAAGAGAATGTTTCCTTTAATTCAATTCCATTATGCTAACTCTCATTTGCATCCCCTTATCTGTTCTATCCCCCGCCTTGGAGGAAAGAAATTTAAACAAATATTTAAAGGGCAAACTGACTCTCCCTAACTGTTACAGAGCCAAGCAATAGAGAGCCAATTTCTTCAATCTTTTTCCTTTCAATCTCACAGCTTCTAGTATATCTGTTCCTTTTATATAATCTCTTTCTACTACTCCAGCCATTCCCAAGATCCTAAAATTTAGTAAAGAAAATGTAGAATCCAAAATTTCTGCTCCTCTTCCTCCACTTGTTCATCCAATTTCCACCTCTTAGCCCCCTGATGTTTCCAACCTACAACTGCAGAAGTGACTGTTGCACTGAGTGGGTGTTTGGACTTGATGACATTTAAAGTCCCTTCCAACTCTGAAGTTTTAAGGGTACCATTCACAGTAAGATTTAATAATGGATGGAAGTAAGAATTTCAAAGTTGAAAGAACAATGAGAGTTATCTTGTAATCAGTGGTAAAATTCATTAAAATATTAGTCTATTTCTCTTTTCCTTCAGTAATTCTTTTACTTCCTTAAAAAGGGTTTCTTGATCCTAAGAAACGTGTTAAAAAAAAGGAGAAATACAGTAAAATATGTTCATAGTAATTATTCTTTACTTTTCAATTTTAGCTTAAAAGTTTTAAGAAATTTTATTATCAACAGCTTCTGACTGCCCCTAATTCCCCAAAGGCCTGGCTATTCATAGCGCTCAAATCAGCCCCCACGTAAGTAGGAAAGGAATAAAAACACAGGGAGGAGGTGACAGGCAGCCAGGCAAGGGGAGAGTGTGGCTTTGTCTCACCTAACCCCAAGGAGGGGCAAACATCCAATGCTTTGCTGGTAGCATAAAATGAATTTTTTGCCTACTGCTTTCAAACAAAGGTAATTGAGAAAAGGAGGCTCAATGAAAAAAGAAAACCACTTAAGTAATACAAAGTTTGTTTCAAAATGGGGATGATTTTTGTAGCCATAAATAATTTCAGCTACTGGGACATAAAAAGGGATATATAAACCTGCATATACAAACTCTTTGCTTCTCTATAACATCTAGTATTTATCAATAAAAATTATTTTAACCTGTTCTTCTAAATCATATGTGACATACAACTTATCTTTTAAATCTCTATTACATTTCATGGAAGATATATAACACTCCCTGAGAATAGCCTGGCAATACATTTATAAAATACCAAGGGCCTTGGGGAATAACAAAAGGTGATTCTAAGACACAGGAAATAAAATTATTCTGACCCGTGCACCCATCAACAAAATTAAATCATGTCTCACTATTTTCTTAGCTTTCATAATAAACATAATTTACGGGTCATAAAATTTTCAGCTTTTTAAAAAAATTTACCAACTCTCCCAAGGCAGAGATTTTAATTCTAAGGCATTCCCTCACTTTCACCTCCTGTGAGGGAGAATTTTCTTTGAAAAAGTACAGGTAACCATACCAAGTAGACTCATGATCTGTCCTTAAGACAAGGCAGGAAGAATGGCGGAAATCTTTAAGCTACCATTCTGTCATCTCAAACATCTCACTAACGTTCCTGTAGGCTCCCCTCCCTCTTTCCAAACTATATAATCCTTGCGTTCATCATCTGTTAAAAAAAAAAAAAGGTGTACAAAGCGCTCTGTATATTTTTCAGTTTTCTGCAAACTTTTGCAAAGCTCTCTGTATATTTTTCAGTTTTCTGCAAACTTTTGGATTAAAGTTAATGTTTTAAGAGGATATAAGCAGAAATCTGCACGAACAACTCCACTTCTTTCTGCCTGGCATCCTTTAATTTGTCTCCTTTTGGACAGGAGTCTACTACTAAACATTTATACTCTATTACTTTGCATTTAGAAGACCGTGTAACTGCAACATGATCATAACTCAATATAGGAATCCAAAATTAAACTAATTTTAATAATTTTAATAATAGTAAAAATCATTCTCTTGGCCGGACGAGGTGGCTCACGCCTGTAATCCCAGCACTTCGGGAGGCTGAGGCTGGCGGATCACGAGGTCAGGAATTTAAGACCAGCCTGGCCAACATGGTGAAACCAGTCTCTACTAAAAATACAAAAATTAGCTGGGTGTGGCGGCGTACACCTGTAATCCCAGCTGCTTGGAAGGCTGAGGCAGGAGAATCGCTTGAACCCGGGAGGTGGAGGTTGCAGTGAGCCGAGATCGCGCCACTGCACTGCAGCCTTGGACACAGCAAGACTCGTCTCAGAAAAAGAAAAAAAAAAAAAAAAAAAAAGGGCCGCACGCGGTGGCTCACGCCTGTAATCCCAGCACTTTGGGAGGCCGAGGTGGGCAGATCACGAGGTCAGGAGATCGACAACATCCTGGCTAACACGGTGAAACCCCGTCTCTACTAAAAATACAAAAAAAATTAGCCAGGCGTGGTGGCAGGTGCCTGTAGTCCCAGCTACTGGGGAGGCTGAGGCAGAAGAATGGCATGAACCCGGGAGGCGGAGCTTGCAGTGAGCTGAGATTGCACCACTGCACTCCAGCCTGGGCAACAGAGCGAGACTCCATCTCAAAAAAAGAAAAAAAAAATTCTCGCTAATGCTCCTAGTTAAATCAGGAAGCAATATTCTCTCTTACAATGCATCACTTTCTCGATTATATGAGAGTGCATACAAAGTCTATTAAATGTAAGAATACTCTGCAGCCTCCTAACATCCCGGTTCTACTTATTCCCCTTACGTATATTTTGGAAATCAGTCTATTTGACACCCACATTGATCACTGCTGAAAAGTCAGAAAACCCTCTGTTCACCTAAAATTTTTATTTTCCTTCATCTTAAGGACTTGTGAAAGGAAATGGAATAATGCCGGAGAAGGGGTATGCTCATGGCCCAGGAGAAGACAGACTCATGAAGAACCAAGGGGTAATACCAGGCAGCCTGGCTTCAGCCACTCACTGTCAGCACGTCTAACAATCATGTGTTTTTAAAAGATGATGCCCAACCACTTTTAAACTGAGGGTCCATCTCCTTTCCACACAAGATGCCTCAGAGGGTAAGAGCAGATCTCAGACAATTTGTGAGCTCTGTGTTCTCACCAGTTAATCCGTATTTAGAACCTGCATAAGCCAGGAAAGGTATGTAGCAGCTAAAGGAATTATAAACCCTCAAATGCAAACAACCTTCGGGCACACTTAGTCCAAACCAGTGCAGTTTTATACAGTACATTCTTAATGGAGTTCCAGAGGACACATACTCTAGAAAAGGTGGAGGCGGCGAAAGACCTTTGAGTTCAGTTTTAGCCTATAGTTCAAGAAAACTAAGCCACGGGTATCAAAAGCACACCAGCAATCTCGCCCACTCCACCCACCCACGTATACATACACAGACACAAAGAGAAGTGGATTGCAATGCTCCTCCTCATCTCTCATTTCCACAGAGTTCTCATAAAAGGAGCAAGAGGAAGAAAGAATATTCTGATGCCTTGAGATAGGTTACATTTGGCAATAAAAGGGTTAAGCAGCACTACTTTCCTAGAAACCTTCCAATTCCGTAGCTACTAATGCAATTTTCCTCATTACCTGAGCTATTTAGTTTTAAAAATTCAGCAGATTAAGGGTTAAGACTAACACCGCAGAAAGAAAAGAGAACTTGGTTCAGCTCCATCCTCTCTAAAGCAAATACCTACAACCCTGAGCCAAATCCATTAAACATATAGAAGACTTCATGGACATTCCAAAAGACAGGTGAAAAGGGGTTGAGCTTCCTCAGGTTTCTCACCTTACAGTACCACACACATAGTAGACTTCACAAGTTCGTGAAATAATTGTTAGATAAAATAGAGTACATATAAAATTCTACTCAAGACATGAAAACAAGTCACTGAGGTCACCACAAGTCAGCAGCAATAGCTGGAATTTGGGTGAGGAAGGTCAAACAGTACTCATGGAAATAAAATCAAAACAAAAAGATACAGAAATAGAAGGAATATGAGCCCTAGAACTTAAGTTTTGGAAGGAAAGCTAACGGGGGGGAGGGGTCAATTCTTATCCTAAAGAAACATACAAAAATGCTGCTTTAGTCACCAAAGAAGGAGGGGGTGTCAATACCCTTAACCTTATATTTCTAGGGGGGGAAAAAAAGATGTTCACCAGATAAAAACAGATGGTTACTGACATCTCAGATATCACTGGAAAGGGCAGTCCAGGAGCACTTGGTCTTGCTAGAAATAGGAAGAGATGAGTCACTATTTTAATTCTATTTAGAATTAAACATCTAACCCTCCAGGGTTAACATCTCAACCCTCTAGGTCATAAAACAACATTTTCTTCCTGTTTCCATCGCTTTATCAGTTTTCTTCCCAAATTTGTGGAGCTGGGTCAAAATGTTGGGAGGTGGGACTAAGAGTTACAAGCCATTTGTTTAGTAGAAAGATACACTAGTGTAAGGGCATAAATACCTGGAAGAGAAGACAAAAGAGCTACAGTTATAACTAGCTATTATAATGATCATCAATATCCAAGACTTTTCCTCTCCTGGACAGTGCCCCGTATCTTACAAAGCTTTTATAGCAAAAAAGCAACCAAACGGCTCCCTGGAGAGAGGCGTTGGTGTGGGCAAAAGGTAATGAAATATGATAGGGTTACATGTATATCACTATTCCTTCACTCGGATTGAAAGTAACTGGCACTTGAGGAAAGCTTACTCTTCTACAGGCACGCAAAGGGAAGCCGATAGTCGCCTTGGGGCACAAGAGGCAGTAGAAAAGGAGTAGAGGAGACGGTTATCATGGGAAATGTATAAAAAACAATTCAATTACAAACTTCTTGAACTCGCAGTCCAACTTTCTTCCCACAGGAGAGGTTTATCACCATCCTAGGTCAAGAAGGGCACAATCATGAGAGTTCTAATCCTCTGAAAAGTGATAAGCAACAGGGCAAAGAGAGAGGTTCTCTGGAGAGAGGAATACTGGTAAACAAATAAACGTCATGCCCCAGTGACCATAGGACCTGGGCAGGAGCCCATTCCTGTAATCGCAAGGACAAACGTCCAAAGAAGGAGTTGGGGGTAGGGCTCAAGTCAGGTAACATTCCTCAGGGGAAGGATTATCAAGTGACACCGGGCGGAGGGCCCACGGGGGACTGGGCGGGAGGAAAGTTAGCAGGTAAAAAGGATGAATCATGGAGAAGGAAGTGACCTTTAGGAGAAGGAAATACGAGAATACCAAAAAAGGTGTAAGGTTAAGAAGAGAAAATGGACCCAGAAGAGGGGACCAAAAAAGAGGAGGCGTGTTCGGGTACTGGAGGAAGAAGAAAGGAAGTGAGGCTGAGAGGGGAGAGACGGGGCTGAGAGCCGGCCGGGGATATGCGGGCGGGAGGGCAGAATGTAAGGGCTGGGGAACGAGGGAAGCCCCGAGGTGGCCGGGGCAAGAGCCGGGTGGGATTCCGGGGCTTCCCGAGGTCCCGAAGGGAGAGGATGTCGGGCTGCAGAGCTGCGGACCGAGCGAAACGAGGAAGGAAGGCGCGGGGGCGGCTCCCCAAAGCCGGGCAGGCGCCCCAGGGGCCGGCTGCAGGGGTCCAGAGGGCGGTTACGGGGCCAGGCAGGAGCGGGATGGGAGGGACACTCACAAATTTCTTAGATTTGCCGCCGTCGCCGCCCGCCGAGGGCAGCTCATCTGGGCTCCGGCCCTTCTTCTTGTCCCGGGTCCCGCGGCCGGGCCCCAGGCTCCCGCCGGGCGGCTCCATGTCCCGGTTCACGCTGGCCGGCGACCCCGCGCCTACGCCGCTCCCGCCTGGCAGCTCCGCGCCCGCCGCCGCCCAGTCGCTCTTTAGCCAGCCGCCGCGCCCCGCCTCATTAGCATGCCGGGCTGCGCGCGCCTCATGAATATACAACGACGACGCCTCGCTCCCGCCCGCCTGCCCCACTTCCGCCCGGACCCGCAGCCCCTACCAATGGGGGAAGGGAGAGGGGCGGAGGGAAGCCGCGGAAGCGCGCTACCTGCCCAGCGGACCTAACCATTCGGACCCACGTGGGGGGGGGTGGTGAGTGGGCGGTGCAGCTCTCCGCGGCCGCGGCGGAGAGCACCGCCCCCTGGCGGTTGGAGCAGCGCAGGCCTCTGGCTCCCACGCAGCGCCCACGTGGCTGTACAGCCTGACAGCCTGGACCCTCTCACATCCCAGACCAAAAATCGCGTGAGACCATTATCCTGGCAGAAAATTAGTGACAGGTTTTCCAAGAGAATGCAGTTTTCAATGTGTGCAATACCCATGGAACACATGAAAAAAATTATAGTGATAGCCACCATGTTTTGAAAGCAAGGTAGCAAGAACAGAGCTCGGTCCAGGGCAAGCACTAGACTAAACCAGACTCGCTCTGGAGTTTAATTTCCTAGTTCGAATTCCAGGTTAGGTACCATCTAATTGTTTCTAATCAGGACAAACTAATTATTGCCAACATGTGCCTAAACAGCAATAACAGTTACCACTTAACCATGCCCTTTGCTCTCTGCTAGGCACTAGGCAAACACTCTACATGTATTTTTCTAAGTCCCCACAGTCCCATGTGATAGATTCTGCTAGCCTCACCATTTTATAAATAGTAAATTTGGACTTTTGAGAGTTGAAGTGACTTGCCCAAGAACGCATAATTGATATAAAATTTAAACCCAGCTTAGTCTGATTTGCTGCCAAACCCTATGTTTAACCAGGATTCCCCACTGACATAAACCAAACATGAGTGAAAAGAATGAGTATTCTCCAAGAGTATATTCTTTGCTCTTCTAGCATGACTTTCTCCCTAAGCAATTTCATCCATTCTCCCAGCTACATCTGTCCCTTGTGTGACAGTTACGTGGCTACCAGTCGGCCTTCACAATATGGACTGAATATTCTTGACCACAGCTAGCAAGATTTCAAGCATAAGTTCCTGAAGGGCAGAGTCAGTGACTTACTTACTCTAGAGCCCCAGTACCTAGTCAAGGGCCTGAGATATACCAGGGACTCTGCCAAGCTGGCTGGCTCCTAAATTTGGCATTCATCTCTCTTGTGGTCCAGACCTTCTGATGGTGATCGGATAGAATGTTACATAGAGCTGTCCATCCCATACTTCAAACTTGACTTAGTGCTGAGCTTTCCAGACATTTTGTCTAAAAAGTCCAAAAGCTACTTTCTAAGCTAGTGTTGAGAACAGACAGAATCAGAGAATGGAGGGGAGGAAGTGACCCATCTATCAGTCCTCTTTCTTGTATCAGTCTGTATCTGCTACAATATTTATCATACTACTGACTGGAATGTAAACTCTTCTAGAGAAAGGTTCATGTTTGTGGCTACTACAGTATTTAGCATTGTTCTTCACATAGACAGATAATGGGCAACTTCTTCTGTCAGGCACTGTGCTAAGCACTTAACATGTTTTATCTCAGTGTATCTTCACCAACTAGCATCACTACTCTAAACACCCAGATTCAAAAACCTGAAGTCATCTTCTACTCCTCTCAAATCTGCCCAGGTTTGTCTAACTCTTAACCAAAATCCTCTATTAACTTCTTATATTTACAATAATAAATGTAGAATACATACACAGGGCCTAACGTAGGATAAGTGCTGAATGAATGTTAACTATGCTTTTATTACATGCATCATCATGCCCATTTCCCTCTCCTTTCATAAATAGGAAACTAGCAAGAATTAACATTCCTAGAAAGGCGAAAGGTACAAAAAATACCGACTTAGTTTATTGGATAAAAACAGTGGTAAAATGGACATAAAGCCAAAAGTGAGAACAGAACATTTTCATATCCTCCCCACACTTGAAAACATACTTCCCATCATCTGGGATTCAGGTGTTAGGGAGCCAGAGCCCCTTCCAAATCTCTCTCTCTTCATCTTCCCTGGAAGCAAGGGGAGGAAGAAGTCAGAACCCAGGGGAGGAGGAAGTCAGAGGCAATCTCAGTCCTTGTCTACCCGTTCATCCCTCAAAAATCTCTGGGTTCGAGGGAAGCAGGGAAGAAATAAGGGGCAAGGGGGGCTAGGGACTGGCCTCCAGGGCCCACTGCCAATAATGTCCCAGATAGCTATCCTTGTCTGTATCTCATCCCTAATAGGTACCATTGTCAGGCCTTGGGAGAGAGAGGAAAAGCAGGTAGATGGTTCGAGAACCAAATGTGGTCTCCAGACTCTTTCCCAGAGTCAGCAAAAGCCCTGGGGTGACCCCCAGGACTCTAGGAGCCACTCCTTTTCCCTCCAGCCCAACCAAGAGGTGAAAAGAAATTCCTTGGGACACAGCATCCCAAGCCACTCTTAAATCTCCACATCGCTTTCCTTGTCATTGTCATGGTCTCCATCATAGAACTCATTGGGTGCCTCTGGCCTGCAAAGCAAGGGGAGAGAGGTCAGGATCTCACTCTAAGTTCTAATCTTCTCCCAGCACCCTTTTCCAAAGCCATTTCTCAGGCCCCGTTGAGAACCACTCCTCCTCTTGTTGGTAGAGACTGCTATTCATTCACCCATTCACGTATCAAATAAACATTAAGGAACTACTCTATACAGACACTGTCATAAACCTTAGCAATACAGTAGAGTAACAAGCTGGACAAGGTTGTCTATCCTCAAAAAGCTTACCTAATAAATGAGACTAGTAACTAACAAAGTAAATAAATATAATAATTTCAGATGATGGAGAGTACAATTAATAAAATGAAGTGATAGGACTGAAGGTGATGAGAGGAAAAGGGTGAAATTTCAGACAGGACTATTGGGACATAAGACCTAAAGTCTGAGGAGGAGCTAAGCAGGCAAAGACTTCAGGAAGGCCATTCCAAGCTGCAAGAAAACCAACTACAGAGGTCATGAAATGGAAAGAGACTGATGTATTCCAGTAAGAACAAGGAGGCCAGGACAGCCGGGAGCACTGTGCATGGAGGAGAGTAGTTAGAGATGAGATCCTGGATGTAGGTAAGGGCTAGCATGCAGGACCTTTTTAAGCCACAGTCAAAATTTTGGATTTTCTTCTAAGTGCAAGGTAAAGGAGAGTTTTAATTTTAAGAAGAGTGACGTGGTATTATAAACCCATAGTGAAAGAATGGATGTGAAAGCAAAACAGGGCCCAACAGGTACTCAATATTGGTTTCTTTCTTTTTGAAAAAGTATTCTCAAAAGCCGGGCGTGGTAGCTCACACCTGTAATCCCAGCACTTTGGGAGGCCAAGGCAGGTGGATCACAAGGTCAAGAGATCAAGACCATCCTGGCCAACATGGTGAAACCCCGTCTCTACTAAAAATACTAAAGTTAGCCGGGTGTGGTGGCACATGCCTGTAATCTCAGCTACTGAGGAGGCTGAGGCAGGAGAATCGCTTGAACCTGGGAGGCGGAGGTTGCAGTGAGCCGGGATTAGCCACTGCACTCCAGCCTGGCAACAGAGTGAGACTCCATCTCAAAAAAAAAAAAGAAAGAAAAGAAAAAGTATTCTCTGGGACACAGAGAATTGAGAAAGTCATCAAAGAGAAGCTGAGGCACTAAGCCAGGAAAGGCCTTATCTGCATGGTGAGCAATGTCTCAGTTACTTCTAAGTGCACAGGGTTAAAGGTGTGGAGTCAGAGAATCAGGTTGAATCTCAGCCCTGATCTTTAACTAGCCATGTGACCTTCAGAAAGTTACTTAAGTCTCGCCGGGGGCGGTGGCTCACACCTGTAGCCTGTAATCCTAGCACTTTGGGAGGCCGAGGCAGGCAGATCACCTGAGGTCAGGAGTTCGAGACCAGCCTGACTAACATGGAGAAACCCCATCTCTTCTAAAAATACAAAAAAAATTAGCCAGGCGTGGAGGCTCATGCCTGTAATCCAGCTACTTGGGAGGCTAAGGCAGGAGAATCGCTTGAACCCGGGAGGCAGAGGTTGTGGTGAGCTGAGATCATGCCATTGCACTCCAGCCTGGGCAAAAAGAGCGAAACTCCGTCTCAAAAAAAAGAAAGAAAGAAAGTTACTTAGACTCTCTGAGCCTTAGATTCCTCCCGTGTTAATCTGAAAATAAGAGCCATCAGAGTTGTCTGATGGCAACAGAATGATCATATATATGTTGTAATAGATAGCACTTAGTAGTGTCTGGTGCTTGGCAAACCTACAAAAAGTGGTAACTCTTCCTATTTCTACTCTGCAAGTCATATGCAAGCTGGAGCTATAGGCATCAAAGAAGAACAGAAACTCAGTGGGTGGCCTGACAGAGAGGTAGGGCTTAGGAACAGGAAGAGGCCTGAGGCTTCTGCTGGCTGTGACAGGGCTTGGTATTATTATAATGCAGAGACTAGGTCCAGATGCCAGCCTGGAGCTATTGATAAAAAACCCAAAAGGAAGAACTTAAAAACAGGTTTTACCAAACCAAACCAGACAATGAAAAGCAATTTCCAATAGTCCTGGAAGCCCTGAAGCCAGACACTTCCAGATGTTCAGACACTTCCTCACTCAGAAGGGATCGGGGGATATCCTTGGAGGAAGAGAGTTGCAGAGATCCCCAAGAGTCAGAGCAGTAAAGCCCAGGTCCAGAGGAGAGATTCGGAGGCCTGAATTCTAAGACAGAAGCAGATTCTAGAAGGGGCTGAGAAGCCCATCAGGCTCTGCAGCAGAGCCGGCTCAAACCTCTAACCCTGCGTGGGAGCAAGACAGCGTGTCCCACAAGTGTCCAGCTGTGGTTATCCCTCAGTCATGTAAGGAAATCTGTTCCCCATTAAGTGCATCTGTTTCTGCACTTCTTGGTTCTGTTGTCTTTCCCTTTCATTTTTCAGCAAAGTTTTGGGATTAAAAAAAAATTCCATCCTATCCTTTTTCCCCCCTAATTCATTCCATCTACAAATATTTTGTATGTATCTCAGAAAGATAAAGACTTTTAAAAAAAAAAAAAAAACATAACCACAATGCAATTATCCCACCCGAAAAAATTAACAGAGCAAAGAAATCAAAGAGCCTTAGAGAGTATTACGCAGGCAGTGACCTGTCCAGCTCAAGACCTGGAAAGACTGAGAAAAATGCTGGCAAGACTATAGGGTGCTACAGACTTTCTGGACGGCAATTTGGCAGCAAATATAAAAAATTTTAGGCCAGGCTCAGTGGCTCACGCCTATAATCCCAGCACTTTGGAAGGCTGGGGCAGGAGGACATTTGAGCCCAGGAGTTTGAGACCAGCCTGGGCAACAAGGCAAGACTCCGTCTCTACCAAAAAAAAAAAAAAAAAAAAAAAAAAAAAAAAAAATTAGCCAGGTGTCGTGGTGCACACCTATGATTCCAGCTACTCGAGGGGCTGAGGCAGGAGGATCGCTTGAACCCAGGAGTTCAAGATTGCAGTGAGCTATAATCATGCCACTGTACTCCAGCCTGGGTGACAGAATGAGACCCTGTCTCAAAAAAAAAAAAAAAAAAAAAATTAATGCACACAGCCTTTGACCTAGCAGCAACCATTCTACTATCTAACCCACTCAAACAAGAATGCAAAGATGTATAATGTAAGGGGGTTCATTGCCACATTATTATTGTAATACCAAAAAAATGGAAAATAATCTATCCACATAGTAAATTATTATACAGCTGATAAAATACTGAAGCAGATCTATATTAGCTAGCTGAAAACAGCTATATGATGTAAAGCAGCATACGTAGAATGACCCTATTTGTATTTACGAAAAACCAAAAACCACACAAACTGTAAATGAGTGTATATGTGTTTGTTTATATGTACATACAGAATAGTATATTTGCAATCTATAGAAAAAGGTCTATCCAAAACAATAAAAACTATTAACAGTGGTTACTCCTGTGGAATAGGTCTGGGATTGTGTGAACGCCAACACCATATTTTGGTGCTGTTTTAAAATTTTGCAATAAATACGTGTTACTTTTGTCATTAAAAATAACAAAGAAAAGAGTGAGGAAATTGTAGCAGACTAAAGGAGGTAAGCCAGAGGCAATTAAACTAATACCTTCCCATTTACTTTTTCCCTTTTAAACCTCCCCAGCAAGCCTATTGAAAGTAGGCTGAAGTCCCTGCTCCCAGACCTGCTATAGTTCTCCTCAGGACCCCTCTCCTCTGCATCAGCCTCATCAGTCCTGTCATAGGTCAGGAGGTCTGCAGGCACGTCATGAATCTGGACACTAGGTGCATGGTTCAGCATCTTCAGGTTTTCAAAGATTGTCTGGCGGATCTGGTCCAGATACTGGTTGGAAATGAGGAATACAGAGTGAGCAGTTTCCAGAGATTCCCAGGACATGGAATCTCCTAGCTGCCTTTTACCCCTACCATACTGGTTTTCATCTCAGTGGTACCTCTAGTTCAGGTCCCCCAACTGATAGCTCTCCCTCCCCACCAACCCCAACTGCCTCTACTTTAAACTGGACTGCCTCCTAGTCAATAACAGTGACTGTGATGGCTTAGAACTTCCTTCTCTTTGGTTTTTCCTACTTCCCACATCTTTGACCTCTCCTGGGCTCCACCTTTCAGGAGAAGTTTGTGCTCAGCTTTTCTGAGCTGCTGACCTGGCGTGAGTTCTGATTCTCGATGCGGGTGCTGACATCTGGATGAAGTGTGAAGTCTGGGGCAAAGTACTCGAAGTATTCTTGGGGAGGAGAGGAGAAAGTATGGCTCAGACTGAGAAAGGCAGCTAACAAGACTTCCCAATCTTTTTCCTTCCCATCCAGAGCACCTACATAATAGCTGCCCAATCTCTTCCCTGCTCTGAGCCCAGGGGTTTAGTCTGCAGAGCTCTGAGAGTGTAAAATTTCCCATGTGCCTTCAAACCAGGTCATTCTGGAATCTGGTGAGAATGGCCTTCCTGTTATGGGGGTGTTGTGGGGTGGTCCTTACCACTATAGGGAAGCTCCTCACTAATGGCCTCTTCTACCAGCAGCGATGTCTCATATGTCCTGAAACCAACCAGCAGAGGGGAGCAGGCTGACCAAGTGGGCTGAAGGACCCATGTGGCCATATCTGAGGGACACCCTAGCTCACACTGGACAACAGGGGAGGAAATCAGGAGAGTGCTCACCAGCAGCGGGCAACATTTCGGACAGTATAACCACCACCACCCAGCACGAGTAGAGGGATATTGAAGCTCTTGACATATTCAACGCATTCCCTGTTAAAAGGAACCAGAGGAAGATGTGGAGGAGGTTATCAAAAGACAAGGTAAATACCTTTAGGTATTGCCTGAAAGGAGCACAAGAAAACTATAAATGTTCTAAATCTTTATCTTGATAGTGAAATTCATTATGTTATACCCTTAAGATTTGGGTATACTTTATATGCTGTGTCTCAATAAAAATTTTAAAATAAAGCACAGTCCCCCCTCTGTTCTGCTCAACACCCTCCCTGGCACCCTGCCTGCTAATCAACTATTCTCATCAACCCAAGTTCTGTCAATTCTAGCCTTGAAAATATAACTCACGCCCGGCGCGGTGCTCACGCCTTTGTAGTAGTCCCAGCTACTCAGGAGGCTGAGGCAGGAGAAATGCTTGAACCCAGGAGGCAGAGCTTGCACTGAGCCAAGATCGTGCCACTGCACTCCAGCCTGGGTGACAGAGCAAGACTCCATCTCAAAAAAGAAAAAAAAAAACATATATATGTGTGTGTGTGTGTGTATATATATATATATACACACACACACACACACACCTCTCAGATCATCTACTTCTCTCCATTGCCACCCCCTCCACCTTAGTCTGGGCACCTAACCAACACCATGGCTTCCTAACTGGTCTTTCTACTTCCATCTCCATCCCCCCTACCCAAACCTTTCTCTATTCAGCAGTCAGAATTGTCACTTTCAAACACAAATTGGATCATGTCACTTTCCTGCTTAAAATCCTTCAATGGTTTCCCATCATCTTTGGAATATAATTCAAACTCCTTACCAGGGTTTAAAGGCTCTGCACAATCTCACCATGGCCAGCTTCTCGGACCTCACCTCAACAGACTGAAGTCCAGTGGCACAATCATAGTTCACTGTAACCTCAAACTCCTAGGCTCAAGTGATCCTCCTGCCTCAGCTTCCTGAGTAGCTAGGACTATAGGCATGCACCATCATGCCCAGCTGATTTTGTTTTTTATTTTCTGTAGAGATGGCTCTCACTATGTTGCCCAGGCTGGCCTCAAACTCCTAGCCTCAGGCGATTCTCCCACCTTGGCCTCTGGAAGTGTTGGGATTATAGGTGTGTGCCACTGGGCCCAGCCCTCAGAGCCTTTTGTGGGCCTTTGTCCATGCTTGGGTCAGGCTTCTCTCTGCTCCTCTTATGACTCACTCCTTCTTAGTCTCCAGGTCTCAACTCAAATTTTACTTCCTCAGAAAAACTTTCCGAAACCATGCTATCTCAAGTAGGTCCCCCATTGTATCCTGTGTCTCAGCTTTCTTTTTTTCTTTCACAGAATTTATAAGAATCTATTTATTTCATTTGATTATTTATTTTTTGTCTGTTTCCTAAACTGTAAACTCCATGGGAGACTCCTTATTCCATCCCCATGATGTGGTATGATGCCTGGAACATAACAGGTGCTTAATAAAAATATATCGTGAATGAATGACCATCTAGGGAACCCTGTTCAAGATGACATTTCTAGTTCAAGTACAATTTGTAGCTATTTTTGATTTCCAAGAAGAGGTGAGGCCCATTCCCCAACTACCCCCACCCACGTACTGAAGTCCAAGGCCACTTAAAAACCTTGGGGAGAAGAAGGAGAGCAAGTCTCACCCATGCCCTCGGATGCTGAGGTTAAAGCAGCCCAATCGATCACAGCCCAGAGAGTCAGCTCCACACTGCAAAAAGCAAAACCCCAGGAAAGTGCAGTGATCAGAACTGATCAGAACATCACAGATACCCCTTCCACCACCAACCTAAAGAACCTCCTCTTCCCTTGCTCTCTTTCCCCAAGCCCAGGCAGAACACTCCTGAGGAGGAACTGACAGTATTACCTGGAGCACAATGCACGTGGGTTGGTAGAAGTCCACTACCTGGTTGATAACCGGCTGGAAAAGGTGCTTGTAACCTGGGAGAGGGCCAAAGATGGGCACCTGGCACCCCAAGGGGATGGGGAGACAGGGAACAAAAGGAAAAAGGGGGTTGAGCGAGCATGTAGCCCAGGAAAGGGGCCACCCAAAAGAATCAAATCACTGGTCTGAAACTTCTGGAAGGGATCCCAGACTGCTATGAGTGACTGATGAAAGCCAATGACTTTTCCCAGAAAAATGCACATACACATGATATGTTGCATACAATTTCCAGAGATTCATGGTCCCTCTGAAGGCCATTCATCCTTAAGGACAACTGGCCCAACAGCAGACAATACCAGGCAGAAGAGGTTATTTCAAGGAGAAAAAGAAGGGGCCTAGGGAACAGAGGGAAGACTTCGGTACTTACTCTGGTCATCAATGCCATCCCGCAGGGGCACGTTCAGACAGTAGTAGCGGCCACTCTCTGCCCCGACTTCATACATGTCACCTGTAGGGAAGTGGGTGGTGGTAGCCACACATGGGAAGCACCCACAACCCAGCTGTTTCAGCCCCAATCTGCACTCTGGGAGCCTCTCATTCCATCTATGTAGCTTCACCATAAACTCCCTAGAGCCACTAAATCTCTTGCAGCTTGCATTCATTGGGCAAATAGTTTTGGGGGATCCACTCTGAGCCAACTGTGTACTAGGCAGTAGGGATGCAGCAACGAATGGAACTAATGAAATTTACGATATCCCACCACGCTTATATTCTTAGGGAATAGCCATGAGGAGGAGGGAGGCAGTAAACAAAACAAAACAAAAAACCACAATAAACACAAATAGCAGTGAGTGTTCTGAGGGAAACAATGAGGCTGATGTAACAGAGGAATGGGGAAGGAGGTGATTATGATAACTGGAGTGGTAAGGAAAGGCTTCTCTGAGGAGGGGACACCTGAGATGAGACTAGAAGGCTGAGAAGGAGGCACTCATAGTAAAGAGCTGAAGGGTGCAAAGGGGAAAGTAATCCCTATTCCCATACCTGTGCCAGGGAAGAAGTAATTTCCGTATTTGTGGAAGGACACCGTCATGACCCGGTCAGTGAGGTAGAAAGCTTCTTGAACCCCGTCACCATGGTGGATGTCAATGTCAATGTAGAGCACCCGAGGGTGGTACCTAGAGGGAAGCCAAAGCCAGGGTCTGAGCTAGAAGTGAACCCCCCAACCCACTCCTCTCAAACACCGGGTCTCGAATTGTGAAGAGTCTGCTTCTGCCCTGGTCACCTGAAACTTAATGTCACCAGTTCCCTAAAGGCAACTGGGGGCTCCAGCCTAGAGGCTAGAGGCAGGGACAGGAGAGGGATATGCAGAGAAGGCTGAAATGTGAGCAGGCAGTAGGGAATCTGCAGCAGTGGAAGAGGCAGCCTGAATAAAGCATCAAGAACTTGGGAGAAGCTAATCAGGGAGGAGGGAGGTCAAGGTCAGGGTTGAGACTGAGAGACCTCCTCAGCCAAGAATCCCGTAACTGCCCCCATCTCCTCCTGGGCTACTTACTTGAGCAGCTCCAGGATGCCAATCACAATGTCGTTGACATAGCAGAAGCCAGAGGCCTATGGCAAGACAGTGGTCTCATAAAGAGAAGAGCAATTCCCCTCCCAGCTGCCCCCCACCATCATCCTAAACACCTACCCTAGGATGGCCACTGTCTTTCCCATCACCTCCTCACTCACCTCAAACTTCTTGGCATGGTGCAGACCACCAGCCCAGTTAATGGCAATATCACAGATCTGAAAGACAAACACCTAAGTCACAGTCCTTCCTGCCCACCCCTCAAGCTGGGAGCCCAGGATCAGGGTTAAATCCCGAGTCCAGGGATCCAGAGGAAAGGAAGAACAGGACTCGGGACTATGTCACCTTGTTGTTCAGCTGGGTTGCTCCTTGCAGAGATGCGCCTGTGTAACGCGAGCAGAACTCAAAGAGCCCGGGAAACACTGGGCTGCAGGGAAGAGGAACAAGTTGGAACCCTCCTGCCTCTGTCTGGGCCCTTCCCATATCTCCCTCCCCATCCTAGATTCCTCCAATCTCCATTTTTCAAGAACCTTCTCTCCCTCTCCTACACACGTGGGCTATCTGCAAATTTATTCAACAAATATTTTGGACCAAACCATGTACCAAGCCCTGTGCAAGGCACTGGATGGGAAGTAAAGAAGCACTTAACTGTCAGGGAGTTTGTATCCTAGCTGCGGAAAGAAGCAAGCAGCTTCCAGGTACTCAAGTACAATGTAAAAAGGAAATCAGTTGAAAGAAAACATGAGCTCTGTTTTTCTTAGTCTTCTCAGTGTAACAAATTTTAGCATAATGTTCAATAATATTTTTCAGTCACATATTTTAAAGAAAGAACTGTATACCTACATATGTGAAACAGTGATGAGATAACCCACGAAAAGCCTGTAGCACAGTATACAGTATCCGCTCAGCCTTTAATAAATGTCAGCTATAATTATTACCATTGTTATTCTTTATAAAAAGTAAAGGCTTGAAGCCAGACACAAAAGCCTACTTACTGTATGACTCCATTTATGTAACATTCTGGAAAAGGTAAAATACAAGGACAGACATCTTATCAGTAGTTGGCTGGATCTAGGTTGCAGAGAAGTTATTAACTACAAAAGGGTGAGTGACCTTTGTTGGGTAGTGGAAATTTCCTGTACCTTGATACCTTTTTTTTTTTTTTTTTTGTAGAGACAGGGTCTCACTATGTTGCCCAAGCTGGTCTCAAACTCCTGGGCCTAAGTGATCCTCCCGCCTTGGCCTCCCAAATTGTTGGGACTACAGGTGTGAGCCATCGGCGCTGGCCCTATACCTTGATATATTCTATCAAACCTCTCAGAACTCTTACACCTAAAAAAGGTTAATTTTACTGTATGCAAGTTATACCTATATAAACCTGACTTTTTAAAAAGGAAAGGCTTAGGCAATCCCTAGTTTTAGGTCTCAAAAAAAAAAAATAGTGCAGCTGATACATTTGACCATGTGAAAAACAGAACTGTAGGGGTTTTTTGTTTGTTTGTTTTTTGAGATGGGGTCTTGCTCTGTCGCCCAGGCTGGGGTGCAATGGTGCGATCTCGGCTCACTGCAGCCTCCGCCTCCCGGGTTCAAGCAAGAATTGTAGGGTTTTATAGTTTCTCAAAAGGCTTGGAAAGAATTAGTGATTAATACCAGAAAACTAAGCAAATGAAAAAATAATGCAATTGTCAGCTCCAGGAAAAACAAAAAGCTTTAGAAGAAAATAGATTAAATCACACTACACTATTTGGCTTGATAGTAAATGAATCTTTCAGAGTTATAATAATGTAAACACAGAATACTGATTTATTTTTAAATTACTATGAAGCTGAAAGGGGAAAGGAAGCCAATGTGATGGTGTAAGAAGACTAAATGCTCATATCCCATACTAAAAGCTTAACAGATAATGCCTAAAATTGACAGACGAAGAAATAGCAATGAGAGACAATACAGGAGGGGAGTATGATTACAAGCACCGATTCTGGAGCTAGACTACCTAGGTTCTTTAACACCTACTAATGATAGTGAGGTTGTACAAACTGTTTAACCTTTCTGTGCTTAAGTGTCCTCATCGGTAAAAGGAAACAATAATAGACCCTGCTTCATAGGGGTTGTTGAGATTAAATAAGCTAATGGCTGTAAAGCACTTAGAACAGTACCTAGTATATAACAGGTATTACCTAAGGATTACAGATTAGTAATAACAGTCAATTAATATTATTATTTAGAAATCCAAAGGTAAATACCAGAAGACATAGGGGAAAGGAGCTGAAAGTGGCTGTCACTGGGCAGAGGGATTTATGGGTGAAAAGGAGAGGTCTGGAATTTTTTTTTTTTTTTTTTTTTAAGACAGAGTCTCACTCTGTTGCCCAGGCTGGAGTGCAGTGGTGCAATCTCAGGTCACTGCAACCTCCAACTCCCGGGTTCAAGCAATTCTCCTGCCTCAGCCTCCTGGAGTAGCTGGGACTACAGGCACGTGCCACCACACATGACTAATTTTTGTATTTTTAGTAGAGATGGGGTTTCACCATGTTGGCCAGGCTGGTCTTGAACTCCTGACCTTAGGTGGTCCACCCGCCTCGGCCTCCGAAAGTGCTGGGATTACAGGCGTGAGCCACTGCGCCCGGCTTGGGACTACTTTTTTATTTTTTTCATTTAAAGGCCTATAGTACAATTTGGCTACTTATGTTAGAATACTTTGAAACCAATCAGAAATTCATTAAACAGAAGAAAAATTCCTGATTCTCATCGGAAATACAGATAAGCACAACTGTAACTTGTTTGACAGGAAGACTGATGCAGCATAAATAGCCCAGAGATAGTATTCTAATTAGCATTCCCTAATCGCACAAAGAGCATCTACGGGACCCCAGTGTGGCGTAAGGGCTGACCCTGTATTCACAGAGCTAGAAAGTGAGCTCAGAAATAACAGCAGGAATACTAACAAAAAAACAAGAAACCTCCCCAAACAGCATGTGACTGAACACCAAATGAGCAGTGCAGTGTGTGCAAGACAGAGCTCTATGGGCTGGTGTGGTCAAGAAAGGTTTCATGGAGATGGTGTGAAGGCTGAGAAGGCCTTGAAGAGGTTGAATAGAGAACTAAGGGCATTCCAGGAAGGCATCCTGTGCAGCTGAGGTGTAGGGATAAAGTTGGAAAGGTGCCAATGCCAGCCTAATGAGTTGGCCTCTATCCTACAGCCCTGGCTGCTTCTGTCATTAAGATCTTTCAGGAAAACAGATTAGTGGTTTAAAAACCCGGGATCTGGATCATGCCCCCTCCAATGACCAGTTATGTGACTACGGCTAAGTTACCTAGATATTCCCAAACCTCAATTTACTTATATATAACATCAGAAAAAGGTCTATTATAATACATCTAAGGATTGGTATGAGAATTAAGTGGATTTACCAGCAACCCTTGGCATAATACCTAGCAGAGTAAGCACTCAGTAAATGGTAGCTATCATAAGAAATTCTACAGGATCAACAACCTGGTTTCTTCAAGAAATAAATTCAAGGGGGTGACAGAAAAGCTACAAATTAAAAGTCTTAAGAGACATATCAACCAAATGCACTGTATAGACCTTGTTTAGATCTGGATTTAAATTAGCTACAAAATAATTATGAGACAACTGCAGAAATTTGAATATTGATCCCATATTTGATGACATTAAGGAATCACTGTTAACTTTTTAGGTTTGATAATGATACTATGTTTTTTTAAAAGAGTATCATTTAGAGATACATAATAAAATATTTATGGATAAAAGGATATAACATCTAGGATCTGCTTTAAAACAATCTAACATGAGGGAGTATAGATGAAGTAAGAGTGGCCACTTGCTCAGCTGGGTGCGATGGCTCACGTCTGTAATCCCAGCACTTTTGGAGGCTGAGGCTGGTGGATCACCTGAGGTCAGGAGTTCAAAACCAGCCTGACCAACATAGTGAAACCCCATCTCTACTAAACATACAAAAATTAGCCAGGCATGGTGGCAGGCGCCTGTAATCCCAGCTACTCGGGAGTCTGAGGCATGAGAATCGCTTGAACCCAGGAGGCAGAGGTTGCAGTGAGCCAAGACTGCACCACTGCACTCCAGCCTGGGCTACAGAGTGAGACTCTGTCTCAAAAAAAAAAAAAAAAAAAAAAAGAGTGGCCATTTGCTCATAAGCGTTGAAGCTAGGTGATGGACGTATGGGAGGTCACTGCACTACTTCACTTTCAGAAATTTTTGAAATTTTCCCTAATAAAAAGTTTAAAAACAAAAGTAAGTAGAATTGAGCAACTGGTAGCTGTGATGGTTACTATTTTTTCATGGATATAGAGTAGAGTGTGGCTTATCTTTGTTGTCCACTCTCTTCCCCAGAGGGTCTAACCCTGACTCTTCTATGGATGATACAAGCTCAATGTAAACCTAATGATATCAAACCACTCCTTCGTTGTTTTTTTTGTTTTTTTAACTGCCCATAGCCCTCTTAAGATCCCTTGCTTTTTAAAACACTTTGATAGCTTCCCTCTACTCTACGGGTAAAAACCCCAATTCATAATAGAGCTGTTTGCTTTTAAAAGGTCCTATTTCTTTAGCCTCAATTCAGTTCACCTCCTCTTCATACTCTGCACTTGGCCTTTTTTCTGTTCCTCAAATGAGTCATACTCAGTCCTACCACAGACCCTTAGCACTTGTCCCTACTGCCTGCTATACTTCTCCCCTCACCCTCCAACCATCTTTCATCTGATTACTTCTACTCTTTTTTCAGATCTCAGCTCAATCTTTACTTCCTCTAGGAAGGCCCCACCGACCAGCCACTCCACCAAGCTAAACAATCCTCCACGTATACACTCTCATAATCTGTCATACACCTCCTCTTTATAAGACTTAGCAAAAATACGATATTAAAATTTTGTTTTTGTTCATCACTGCATTCCCAGCACTTAGCACAGGGCCTGCCTAGAACAAGTGACCAATAAATATTTATTGAATAAACAAATAAAATGAATTATGATGCATTGACAAGTAGGCCCCCCTTGAGATCTTCCCACTGCTGCCAAAAGACCTCACTGAAGGGCTTGGCATTAAACTGTTAGACATCAAAACTCCCAGTCCTCCCTCACCAGTCATCGCCTACGTTGAAGGCATTAAGACTCTTGGTGAAGCCTTGCATATTGGTGGGGCTGACTCTCTGCAGGAAGTCAATGTAGTCCTCGGAGTGGAAGCGGCACATGTCATGTTGGGAGGCCTGGTATGGCTTGAAGACCTCGGGATGGAGACACAAGATGAACCCAGGCAGGGTCAGCCCCACTCCACAGGCTCAGACCACCCATACTGAACCCAGTCCTGGAGACTATATGAAGCCAAACATAGCATTCCCCTCATCCCACAATCCTTAAGTCAGTAGAGAGACTCCGATTAACCAGGTAAGTTATTACAAATGAGCCCCCTGAAGACCACTTCTTTTCCTTTCCACCTCCAGCTCAGCCTATCGTACCTTCTCAACTTTGAGCCCTGATCCACCTGCCCTGTTCCTTGGAATCTCCTATTCCCAGTTCTCTCCATGCTCATCTCCTCCCCCAAGCTCTGATTCTGTCCTCTTTCCTCTGGATTCTTCTTTCTGGAGTCAAATATATGGGATATATGTCAACTTTCTAATTAAAATCAAAGATTTATTATCTTTGGAAGGTCAGGGGGATGTGTCACACCTCTTTGAAAACTGCACAAGAAAGAGCTTTTCTTCTCCCAGAAAATGCACACAGGTACATACAGGCAAACAATCTCAAGGGATATAGATTCCTGCACTAACATCACCTCAGTCTTTTCTATGACCAGTCCATTTGTCTGTGCCTTGGCACAAGCAATGAACATTCATTCATATTGTTCACTAGTTTCCCTAGCAACACATAAAGCCTGGGTTTAGCTGTTTTGTCTTATTTTTTCTTTTGAGACAAGGTCCTCCCTGTCAACTCAGGCTGCTGATCATAGATCACTGTAACTTTAAACTCCTGGGCCCAAGCCATCCTCTCGCCTCGGCCTCCCAAGTAGTTGGGACTACAGGCACACCCACCGCACATGGCTACTTTTTTTATTTTTATTTTTTGTAGATGTGGGTCCCACTGTGGCCCAAGCTGGTCTCCAACTCCTGGCCTCAAGCGATCCCCCCCATTTCAACCTCCCAAAGTGCTGGGATTACAGGCATGGGCCACCACGCCTGGCGTGGCTTAACTGTTACTATCCCATATCACAGCCATAAATTCCAAGCTGGGAAGACAGCATGTGTATGTCTGGTAGATGAAAAACTGGATAGCGATTAAGCAGAACCATGTAGAGGTATTCCAGGCTGAAAAAGGAATATCTAAAATATCGCCTCTGTTCCACACGCACATACACATTTACAAAGACGGCAGCATCGTTCCACCCTGGAGCCCTAGCTCCTTGGAGGTAAAGAAAGGTGGTAAAAGAGGAGTGGGAACTGAGGGTAAACCTCACACCCTGATACAGTGATATCCGCTCCCCTAACCCTAATTCCTGAGGCCAAGGCCCTATCCACACTCTAAAATGCAGAGGAGGAACACACCTTCTGTCTTCAAACCAGCCCCACATCACGCTAACCCTAGGCCAAGGGCTAGTGTGCCTACAGTCAGAGGGTGGCCGACCTGAGGTGAGAAAGTACTTTCCATTAAGCAGAGGACGCCACCCCCAACACCCTGCACTTTCAAGGTACTCCTGGTGACTTCTATCCAGCTCCCCGATACTCTAGGGGCGGGTCGCACTTCATGCACTCAGTCCAGCCCACCTATCCCTACGGCCACAGCTCGCCCCACCCCCCAACCCCCGGCCGAGGCGGCGGAACTCACGATCATCTTCTTATAGAGACCGTAATGCAGGACCAGGCTATGGGTCAATGCCAGGCGATGGGGCTTCATAGGGTGTCCAGCTCCTGGGGGTGGGGAGAAGAGAGTTCGTCAGCTCTCACCCCTGGAGTTGCAACCCCGCCTCAAAACCTCCGTGTCCCAACCCCTCATGCATATCCCTGTTTCCTCACCGTAGTGGAAGTTGCCCACGTCGGGGTCGTAGAAATAGGCCACGGTCTTGGCCATGGTGCCGGCGGGAGCAGGCCCCGCACCTCCGCCGCCCGCCGCCCGCGGCCGCCGCCAGCCCCTCCCCGGCCGTGCGTGCTGCGCAAGCACGTAGCCGGCCTCTGCGGAACTGGGCGTTGCGGCCCCGCCTCCATCCACACCCAGGCCACGCCCCCAGGGGAGCTCCGCCCCTCGCCCGGCTCAGCTCTCCCGGTATCTGGGGCTTTGAGCGTCCCGGGTTGGGCAGGGAACTGGCAGCATAGCTCCTAGGATGCGAGGGCCATTTGTCTCCGGCCGGGGGTCAGATCCTCGGGAAGCCGAGCCATCCCATCCAGCCGCTTGCCCCAAACCGGGCGCAGGCCGTGGTCACTTCTCTAGGAAGCTCCGAAGATCCCGCCACTCCGTCCCTCAAAGGTGCGGAAAGCCGGCTTCCCCCAGCCCTCGGAGAAGATTCCTGACTCTCCGCTCGGTCGGGGCATCTGAGGGCAGGAGCTGCGCCAGGCGTACCGGATAGACCAGTGGACAACACCCACGCCGGACCGCCTGTCCCCTACCCGGACCCAGACTCGGCGCCGCACATTGCCCCGGGGGGGCCCGGCGCAGTCACGCGCGCGCAGAGCTCACGCTCTCCGCCCCGCACACCTGCGCTCCGCCCCCTGGTCCTGGGCCCGCGACGGGTGAAGGCATTTGGGAAGCCAGGGCGGCTGCGGAGGCGATCTCCCTGACCCAGGGCCGGAGTTGCCCGGAGCCTGCCACCGCTCTCAGCCAGCCCGCATCCTTCTCTGTTCTTCCCTCCCCCCGCCTGCCACGGCGCGGGTATCCGCAGCCACAGCCCGGGGCCGGTGAGGCGGCGAAGGGGGAGGGGAGGAATCAAGGGATGAGCGCCGGAAGGGCGTCGGGGGCCCTGAGCCGCACTAGGACGCCCCTGGAGCCGGAACCCCAGCAGAAGCCGGAACCAGAACCAAATCACCGGTACCGGGTCGGCCAGGTGGTCAGGGTGGGAGAAACCAAAAAGGGAGAGGGGTGCGGGAGTACTGAGAGGAAGGGGCTGCAGAGGCCTGGCTCAGGCCGGCGTGGAGGAGGTGCGGGCGCTGACTCAGGCAGGATTTCTGCTCCCGCCGCCTAAGAATGCCGTCCCATCTCGTGCTGCAGTGTCCTTGGGAGGGACAGAAGCGCGAACAAGCTGGAAAGGGGAACGCTCGGGGCGTCGGGGAAGCGGGACCAGGGTCGTGGTAGAGAGCTTGCGTTGCCGCTGACCTCTTGCCGAAAGGCGAAACAGCACTCCTGGCCCGGACAGCTCCCTGGTTGGGTAGGGGGTGGGGCCGGACCTCAGCCGGACGTCTTAGACGTGCTTGTTTCAGATCCTGAGGACGGCATTCCTACCCCTCCCCCATTCCCAGCTGCAGCCCCCTAAACCCAGGAGGCGCCCTGGCCCGCGCTCGCCCCCCAGGGCCTCATGTCGGAACCACAGCCTGACCTGGAACCGCCCCAACATGGGCTATATATGCTCTTCCTGCTTGTGCTGGTCTTCTTCCTCATGGGCCTGGTAGGCTTCATGATCTGCCACGTGCTCAAGAAGAAGGGCTACCGCTGCCGCACGTCGAGGGGCTCTGAGCCTGACGATGCCCAGCTTCAGCCCCGTGAGTGAGGAGCCTGGAACCCTGGCTCAGTCACCTTTCACCCTTCTCCCCACACCTCTGCCTCCCTGACCAACAGACCCAGGCCAAATCCTGATCAAACCTGCTCAGGAAGCCTAGTGATGCACTCTTGAGTTAGCAAGTGGGGTGACACCACTCTGAAAGCAAAACTAGAGAAAGCAGCATGGGCAGGAACGGTCCTCTGGATGGTAGTCTTGGGCTTGCATTGGTGTCCCCATCTTTTCTGGTCCCTGAAATGCTGAGGTCCAGCATGATAGCAAGTAGGTAAAAGGGTATGTCCTAAGCAATAAATGATGGGAGCCACCAGGTAATATTCCCCCAAAGCTGACTCATTCCTGCTTCCTTGCCAATCTCTTTCATCCTTCAGCTGAGGACGATGACATGAATGAGGACACAGTAGAGAGGATTGTTCGCTGCATCATCCAGAATGAAGGTGGGTCTAGCATAGCCCCTTGCTCCCTCTTCTCCAACCTTCTCTTGCCCTGACCTCCACCTCCACTGACTCCCTCTTTTCCTTCTTCCCTCAGCCAATGCTGAGGCCTTGAAGGAGATGCTGGGGGACAGTGAAGGAGAAGGGACAGTGCAGCTGTCCAGGTGAGCTGGAAACAAGGGCCAGCATGACTTAGCTTGCCTTGGAGAGTATCCTCTCCTCCAGCACAATCCTCTCCCAGCCTCCTTGCATGTATGGGGTTGGGGGAAGGGCAAAGCTGGCTAACTTATAGGAAGAAAGTTGTTTTGTAGAAATCGCGATTCCTTCAAACCATCTCTCTCATCTAGATATCATCAAGCCTAACATTCACCTCTAGTGCCACTCCTTTGGGTTAAGCAGTGTTCTTTTTAGCAAACAGCCCTGGGAGGAAGAACATATGGTCACTAACATCTTAATATTGAGTTTATTAGATAAAGACAAGAAAAAATGGGGCTTGGGGAAATTGGGGCTTCTGGGGTTTTAAGGAGCATGCTGAAAGAACGTAAGAAACAAAACATGAAGGGAAATGGAAATGTTACCCTCACTCCCCTCCTCCCTGCTGTCCAGTGTGGATGCCACCTCCAGCCTGCAGGACGGAGCCCCCTCCCATCATCACACAGTGCACCTGGGCTCTGCAGCCCCTTGCCTCCATTGCAGCCGCAGCAAGAGGCCTCCACTTGTCCGTCAGGGACGCTCCAAGGAAGGAAAAAGCCGCCCCCGGACAGGGGAGACCACTGTGTTCTCTGTGGGCAGGTGGGGCAGGTGCTCCAGGGAAAGGGGGGCTGAGGTAGGGGGCCCAGTGATCAGGCACCTGATCCCAAAAGTGGGCCTTGGCTCTTTCCTCCTGGACTGGGAGCTCCGGCAGAAGTCAGGCTACACAATGTGCCCCACAATCTGAGAAGGCCTCCCCTACCTTAGGCCAGAGGGAAGTAGCCACCAAACTCAGGATGTCCCTGGTCAGAGGGGAGGGCCAAGCAGCCTCTGAGTTGTGGTCCTAAACCCCAGTGTTCCCTCCCCTCCCAGGTTCCGGGTGACACACATTGAGAAGCGCTATGGACTGCACGAACACCGTGATGGCTCCCCCACAGACAGGAGCTGGGGCTCTGGTGGGGGACAGGACCCAGGGGGTGGTCAGGGGTCTGGGGGAGGGCAGCCCAAGGCAGGGATGCCTGCCATGGAGAGGCTGCCCCCTGAGAGGCCACAGCCCCAGGTCCTAGCCAGCCCCCCAGTACAGAATGGAGGACTCAGGGACAGCAGCCTAACCCCTCGTGCACTTGAAGGGAACCCCAGAGCTTCTGCAGAGCCAACACTGAGGGCCGGAGGGAGGGGCCCAAGCCCAGGGCTGCCCACTCAAGAGGCAAATGGGCAGCCAAGCAAACCAGACACTTCTGATCACCAGGTAGGAAAACACAGCCGGGACTGCACTGGGCTGGGCTCTTATTGCTCTCTACTCTGGGGGGCACTGATAGGACCTACTCCTGGTCTCTCATTGTTGACCCCTCCCCTTTCTCTCAGGTGTCTCTACCACAGGGAGCAGGGAGTATGTGAGGTGAGTCTGCCTGAGCCCTAAATGAGGTAATCTCATCTTCCCATCACCTACTTAAACTATTTAAGCCTTTCGGCTCCCTGAACCCCCCGAGTAAACTGCAGGCTTAGCCTTTGCTATAAATCCCTTGGTTTGGTGGTGGAGGTAGGGAAGGTCCTGGAGCCCCAGGGGAAAAGCTGGACACAGCTTGAACAGGAAGCAACAGTGTTATTCTTCCTCTTCTCCAAGTCTCCTTCATTGTGCTGATGGACTACCAGCTGGCAGGGCCAGGGGGTGGGTGGGCGTGAAAGCCCTCCCCTCCACTGGACAGCACTGCCCCCCAGCTGAGGGACCAGCTCTACTTCCACCTGGAGTTGCACAGTCTCAGGCTGGGGGCCTCAGGAGAGGTCACAGCCCCTCAGTCTCTTCTCCTTCCCCTGCCTGCAACAGGCTGCCTGCCCCGCCTTCCCCAACACCTCGCTCCATATGATAGAGCGTGGCAGCTGGGAGCAGGCCCCTGCCCGTGGTGGGCCCCTAAAGCAATAGCACCGTAGGCCCCCTGCCCTCTTAGCACAAGAGGCCCAGGCCCTGGCCTGGCCTTCGTGCCCTTTATTCATTGTCAATAAATCCGCTCAGACCATTACAGCTGCTTCGCATCCTGGCTCCAGCTCCTGATTCCCAAGGCCTGTTCCTCTCCCCAGCCCAACCCCAGTGACCCTGGCATCCAGAGTGGGGTGGGTCATGGAGCCAGGGTGGGGAAAGAGGTGGGCCAGAACTACTAGAGACCTTGATGGATGGTTTCCAGCCCCAGAGATTTCAGGCATTTCACCACCCTAGATAGGGTCATGACAGAAGAGAAGGTAGTTCCGGTCCTAGAGATGATAGAACAATGGGAAAAAAAGGAGTGGGTTCCAGCTCTAGAAATGGGAAGGGGCAAGTTTCCACCCTTGGAGGTGAGGGTGGAAATAAGGGCGATTCCAGCTTTTGGCTGTGTTGCTCTGGATCATTGATGGTGTGGTCTGACAGCTTGAAGATAGGGACAGCAGCATCACTGGGGGTCAAGGCTTCCCTGGCCTTCAGGTGAGGGGATCTGGGTGGCCAGGATCCGGGGCTTTAGCCGGCGGGGGAGGTGGTGGACGCATCTGTAGGGAACACACAGTTAGTGCTCCAGAGTTCTCCCTTAAGGGTATCCCTGTCTATTCCCTCAGCCCTGCAGACAAAACAGGACTGGTTGGAATAACCCCTCTACATACAATCTCCTCCAAGGCAAGGGCCCTTACCGGCCTGAGTCGAGGTGCCATCATGTCCAGGAACCCAGGGAAGTCCAGGGCTTTGTCTGGAAATAAGAACCACAAGTCAGTCTTCAGACTTTGTTTTGTTCAATGCTGTATCTCCAGCACTTAGGACAGTGGCATTCTATAAATATTTGTTAAATTAATGGTCACCATCCTAGACCATAAAATCCATCACTCTATCCACTGTCCTCAACATTTATTGGGCAACTGCTGTATAATCAGCTCTGCTCAAGGTACAAAACTAAGGGAGATAGGATGCATAGTGCTCCCACCCCCAATGGCTGTCAAGAAACCAATAATGAAACCTCAACAAACACAATAAATGACTAAGTGCTAAGTCATGCAAAGTGAACTTGGGGTGGTGGAGATGGTGGTAACTCCAGGGAGGGAGACTCCTTGTGGACAAGGTGGAAGTACCAGAAAGTTTTAGAAAAGGCAGGCATTCCACAGCCATAAAAAAGAATGAAATCATGTCCTCTGCAGCAACATGAATGGAGTTGGATGCCATTATCCTAAGTGAACTAACTCAGAAACAGAAAACCAAATATTGCATGTTCTCACTTATAAGTGGGAGCTAAACAACGGGTACACATGGACATAGAGATGGAAATAACAGACTCCCAGGACTCCAAAGGGGGCAAAGGTAGGAGTAGAGGCAGGGGCGAGGGTTGAAAAATTACCTATCAGGTACAATGTTCACTATTTGAGTTACAGGTACACTAGAAGCCCAATCTCCACCAGTATGCAATATATCCATATGACAAACAAGCACATGTACCTCCTGAATCTAAAATAAATAATAAAATAAAACTGCTATAGACATTTAAAAAAGAAAAAAAGTGGGCATCAGAAAAAATAATGATACAAAGCTAGGTATCTGGACACTAGGAGCAAAAGGTGCATATTGGGAGGACACCGTGAGAGAAGTTAGCTAATTTTTAAAATAATAACAGTGACTGCATACTTACTGTGTGCCAGGCACAATGCTGTGTAGTCCACAGGCATCTTTTTTAACTCTCATAAGAATTCAATAAGCTAGTACCTTTTCCTTACCTCATAAAGAACATAAACTGAGGCCAAGACAGGTTCAGAATCCCACCACACACTTGGAGATGACAGAGCGGGACCTGAACCAGTCAGCCTGGCTCCAGAGCCCAGGCAAGTGCTCTCCACCAAGCAAGATGCCTGAAGGCACGGAGAGGACCAGAGCGTGACCTGGGAGTCCAAGCTTCCTCCTTCTTCCTGTCTGTTAGCCTCCCAAGGCTCCCAGTTCCTTCCACTCACCCCCAGGCAGGACAGGTGCAGGGGGCCCATCCAACACAGAGGTAGGTGCAGGTGGGGAGAAGCTGGGAGGAGAAGGGGACGGCAGCATCTGGAGGTGGGGTGGGCACAGAGTTATTCCTGGCATGTGGGGAGGTTTTACCAGCTTTTCCTCTCATCCCATCTCCAGTTCCTTCCTCATCACTTCTCAATACAGGAAGTGGCCAAATGCTTGCATTCGGTGGGGGGGTGTAGCTGACAAATATTTCAACAGCCAATATGTATTGAACGCTTATGTTTACTATGTCTCAAGTGTTCTGCTAGCACTTCACGTGTACCAATTCATTCAATCCTCACCACTACCCCATGAGGTAGGCATTTTTAATAATATGACTCCTATGTTAGAAGTGAGACCCAGGTTAAGCCAGCTGTCCAAAATCACGAAGCCAGTTATTGGCAGAGTGCTGGCTAGAACCCAGTTCTCCTGATGCCCACTCCTATTCTCTTTCTGCTGTATGTATATACATTATAACAACAGATATCTTATATTGAAACACCTTCTGCATTCCACTGCACTAAAGGCTTTGCCTCGGCGGGGCGCAGTGGCTCATGCCTATAATCCCAGCACATTGGGAGGCCAAGGCAGGTGGATCACCTGAGGTCAGGAGTTTGAGACCAGCCTGACCAAATGGAGAAACCCTGTATCTACTAAAAATAGAAAATTAGCCGGGCGTGGCAGCACGTGCCTGTAATCCCAGCTACTCGAGGGGCTGATACAGGAGAATCGTTTGAACCCGGGAGGCAGAGGTTGCGGTGAGCTGAGATCGCACCATTGCACTCCAGCCTGGGCAACAAGAGCGAAACTCTGTCTCAAAAAAAAAAAAAAGAAGAAGGCTTTACCTCGATTATCTCTAATTATGACAGTGAGCCTGCTAAAGTAGGTATTATCCCCATTTTACATGTGAAGAAACAAGCTCAGAGAGGTTAAATCATTGCCCAAGTCATACAATAGAAATTTGAACTCAGATCTATCCAGCACTAAAGTAGGACCCCCCAAACTCCTATGAAGGCTGCCTTGGTTTCCCTTTTCCCTGCCCCCCCATAGGAGATGGGAGGCCCAGGCCACTGTAGGAGGTAAAACTGGGGAGCAGAGGAGGCATTAAGATGAATATGAGGCTTTATTGGGGTGGGAGGGTCAACCCAGAGGTGCCTGGGGAGTTCAGGGAGAAGGTAAGCCTCACCTGTTCAGGGTCAGAGAGTTCAGGTGGCCCTGGGGGGCCAAGCAGCTCTTCCACCAGCAGGGAGGGGAAGACCCCAACACGGCCCCCAAATTCTCCCCTCCAGAAGCCGTCATCTACTCCATCTTGGGCCCGGGGCAGCAGACGGATGAGTGCCCCCTCAGGGAAGCTCAGCTCCTCTGCACTCTGTCCGGTGTAGCTGTACAGGGCCTGTGCCAGGAATGCTACAGAGGCCCAGGAGAGACGGTGAGAGGGAGGTGGGTAGCAGTGCCCCAGGACCATGACACCCCAGGGCTACAACCCCTAACAATTTTTCTCCATACCCAGGGTCCTCTAACCCAAAATTTCCCTTTCTTACCTGTGGGCTCTGCCCCGCAGGGATTGTCACTGTCTTGGCTGCTCTCTGGGAGGGAGAGGTCCGGGAAGTTGAGATATCGCTCAGGGACAAAGCCTACCTCGCCGTGCTGGTTCCGAGCCTGCTCACCCAGCAATGTGAACAGATATTAGACTTACCTCAGCAGTCCATGACCCTGGCTCTCTTCTACTCAGGCTTCTAGCTTTGCCTAGAAGGGTCTATGGAGGCCACAGAGAAGTCCCTCCTACTGCCCCCAACCCAAGGTCAGAGCCCGGGGTCCCATACCCACCTTGACCCATTCGTCAGCATCTCCCTCCTCTATGACCTCCAGCCACTCACCCTCCGTGATTGTCAGCTCATCCTCACGCCCTGCCTGGGCCACACACGAAGGATTCAGGACTTGGCTGTCCCCCACCCTTGCCCATCAGAGGTCCCCACCCCCATTCATACCTGATAGCGAAATACCACGTGTGCAGGGCAGGGGAGGGCCCTCGTGGCCAGGGCTTGGGGGGCAGGCTCCTCAAAGAGCTCTCCCGTCTCCTCACATTCCTCAAAGTCAGAAAGCTCAGCATCCTCAGCCTAGAGGGGCAAAGAACAGACCTCATATGGGGCCCACTCTCAAGCACTGGTTCTATCTCCCACTCTTCCATCTTTCCTCTAAAGGACACCATGGATCCTCCAAGGCAGGTGCACCCATCCACTCACCATGTACACAACCACAGTCACCACAGAGCAGGATAATACTAACAGTAATAGAGTTACAGTAATTGAGTGCATACTATGTGCCAGGTACAATGCAAAGTATCTTGTGTATATTGTCTCATTTAATCTTCATAATGACCCAGTGTTAATAGTTTTGCACAACTATTAACCTCACTTTATTTACAAGGAAACTGGGGTTCAGAAAGGTTAAGTCACTTTTCGAGATTGCACAGCTCATAAGTGGAGTGGCTGGTACTCAAAGCCCTTACAGACTGCCCCAGAACCCTACTTCTTAATCATTCTATTATGCTCATAATAAAAATGTACTGAGGACTCTATGCCAGAAATTATGCAAAGAATGATATATGATGATTTCACTTAAGCCTCGTAATAACCCTTTGAGTTAGGCACAACTGTGATTCCAGTTTTATAGGGTTTGCCTTCCACTGGAGTTTTTCCCTTCTAAGTAAGGATGGGTAGTGTTGGGGGAGGAGCTCACGGTTGGAGAGAGGTCCCTCTGGGACAGCCGAGCCTCACTGAGCCGCCGCTCCTGCTCCACCTCATCCTGGGCCTGGGTCATGGCTGGCTTCAGCCAGCGCTCCACATCTAAGCCAGCCCCCTGCAGCAGGGCCAGCCGGGCAGCCCCCTTCACCTGGCTCACCTGCCATGGGGAGGAAGTAAGTTAGTGGAACCTGGCTGACGGCAGTGTTTACTCTCTGCTTCTCCCTTCCTTCCTCCCACCATCAGAAAGAGGAGTAGAGGGAGTGGGGCTTGCCTGAGAAGGTGGGATCTCTAACCTCAGGGGTGTGCCTCACCTGTGCCCGGCGGATGCTCTCTCGCACTTCCTGTAACCTCTGTTCTATGCTTGGAGCCTCCCGCTCTGAAGCCTGCTGCCGCCTCTGCTCCAGTCGTTGCAGTACCTGGTTGGGAAGGCAGAGAACAGGGGTGGGTGGAAATACTGTGGGGCATGACTTACTATGGGACTGGTACTTTGCTAGTTGCATCACATACATTATGTCATTTAATCTTCCCTATGAGGTGGGTGCTATTATTGGCCCTACTTTAGTGATGAGGAAATTGAAGTCCAGAGAGGTTAAGTCACTCCCTTACCTGGGGCTACAGAACTAGGAAGCAACAGAAGAGAATTTGAACCTATGTCGGTCTAGCTCCAAAAACTGTGCTCTTAACTATTGTGCCACACTGTTACCTTAAAATACCTTTCCCTCCCCTCTGTAGCTCCATGACACCCTCAATGGCTCCAAGATCCCCTCTCTCAGCTCTTCTTGCTGAGACAAGAAGGTGCACATGACACCTGTGCCCCCCCACCTCACCCGATGCCCATGGTTCTGGATCTTGTAGTCACGGGCAGCTCGGCTGGTCAAGCGCTGAACCTCTTTCTCCAGGCCACTCTTGCCAGCCACGCCTTCTGCTCCCCACTCCAGGACACACACCTGAATGGGTCAGGGGGTGCTGTGAGGAGGACCTGAGGCTGCTCCTTCTCTCCAGTTCCCTCCTTTTTCCACTCTATCTTGACCTCCAAGGACAAGGACAAAGAGAAAGGGGCACATGCCTACAGTCATGGACACAGGTAATGTGGACACAGAGATACAGAGCTTCAGAAATGGGATCCAGGTCAAGGGACAGAGGTAGAATGAAAAGGATGGCGCAGTCAAGTGACTGAAAGGTGGACTGAGGTGTGTTTTTTTGTGTGTGTCCTGTTGGGAGGGAGGTGAGCTGGAGTTCTGAAACCCCCTCTCCACGGTGTACACTCACTAAGTTAACACAAAACAAAGATAATGGAGGAGGCCTAAATCATAATCGCCTTTATATGTGGCCTGGTTCCAACAAGCAGGAAGATCTCACCTGATCAGTCCCTGCTGGCTGAAACTGCTGAGGTGGGGTGGGGGAAAATACACCAGGCTCCTGAAGAAACAGCTTCAGGTCTTGCTCCCAGCTTACCTAGGGGTTGGGAAAAGTCAAAGTCACTCATTCACTGACTCACTCTCCAACCCTGTCCCTAGCACTTCTTGGAAGAAAAAGGACAATGTGTGAAGCAAAGAGGGCTGCATTGGGAGGGAAGGGTAAAAAGGATCCCCGGGGAAGCTCTTAGAGGCCACAGCCCTCACCTGGGAGGTTGTCTGCTCCCCGCGGTGGGCATGCTCCAGGATGACCTCTGCGGCTTCCAGCTCAGTGTGGCTCAGGGAGGTCAGGGGGTCCCTCAAGTGCTCTGACAGCTCACTGACCAGGGCCTAGAGAGAACCCCAAGATACTGACACCACCCTTCCCCCAGACCTCTACTGTAAAATAGGCTCGTTCCAGATTTGACAGGTGATGGGCATGAGGTATAGGAAGGAGAGAAGAAGACATTCTTCATGAGAAAGGCCCTCGTGTGCAGAGCACTTAGAAGTTTAAAACACGTTCACATCCATTCTCTCCTTTGAGCCCCACTAGTGCTATAAGATAGGCAGAGAAAGGGTTATCCCTGATGAGGAATCTGGGGTTCGGAAGAGTTTAAGTGTACTGTACAATGCCATGCAGCCAGCTAGGAGCAGAACCAGAGTGCATGTATGTATCATCTACTCACTCTAAACAGACAAGATCCCCTGCACCACCCACTGTCATGGGGATCAAGAAGCAGGGGGAGGTCCTCCTTTCCCTCCCTGCTGAGGGATAGGGGTGTCTGGGTTAAAACTGGCCTTGAGCAGAGCTGGCAGTTCCTCCTGGTAGTAATGGTCGAGGTGGGCATTGGTAGCCACCAAGTTAAGCAGGTACTCATTGCGGGCTGCTTGCAGCTGCTGGGAGTACTGGGCTGACTGGGCGGACAGCTAGGAGGGTAAACTGATGTCAATAGGAAGCCCTAGACCCCCAGAGTCCTTCCAAGACCAATTGAGAAGCCAGATCCAGAATGGATTCTCACATTATTGAGTGCTTACTATGTGCCTGGCACTACACTAAAAATGTTGCATACACACAACTCCTGCTCAAAATCTTCTAGTGCCTTCTGCACGCATTTAAAATAAAATCCACTGTTCCTTACCATGGTCCACCACGTTCAATATGAGCTGGCCCCCGCAATCTCTCTGACCTCTTTTCAAGCGCTTGTTCCCTTGCTCACAGTACTCCAGCCATACTGGCCCTCTCTCAGTTCCTCGAGCCTACAAAGTTATTCCCACCTCAGACCCTTTGCACTCACCATTTCTTCTCTCTGCAATGTTCTTCCCCTAGATCTTTGCAAGGCCAGCTCCTTCTTGACAGTTAGGCCACCTATTCAGAGAGGCCTCCCTCTAAATTCTACCCCCTTGTTATTCTTTATCATAGTACCTTGTTTTATTTTCATCTTAATCTAAGTATTTATTTGCTGTCTGTCTCTCTTAACCAGACTGTGAGGGCAGGAACTCCATTGGTAGTGTTCTCCACTGTATCCATAATGTCTAGAACAGTGCCTATTATATACAGATCCTCAATAAATGCATATTAAAGGACTGAAAAAGAAGGGTATTCTCTCCATTTTATAGAAGAAAATAAGGCTCACAGAGATCAAGTAAATTAACCAAGGTTACCCACCCAGGAAGTAGGAGAGCCTGGATTCAACCCAGTCTTTCATACATATGCACCTATGTTCCAAACCACTAGACTACTCTGCCTCCCTCTTCCCTGCCCCCACTCATGCCCTCATCCCTCGAACCTTGGTGCTCAGTTTCTGGAGACTGGTCCGAGAGTGGAAGATCCCATGGTCACTTCGGTTTAGCCTGTGCAGATGAGAGAAAGGAGTCAGGCCCACCCCAAGTGGGAGAATATGAGATCAGAGTCAGGCCCAGCTTTGGTGACTTGGCTCCACCCCTAGACAGCCCCACCTCCCTGTTCCCCAACCTTGGGCTTCCTCACTCTCCATGACCCCACCTGGCCTGGACATCAGCCGCCTTCTCCTGTGCCAAGGCCCACACACGTTCCCGCTGCCCATACAGCTTCCGACTTCGGCTCAGCTCCCGGACAGACTGCAGCACCTCAGCCTGCGCCCTCTGGAGGTTCTCTGTTCCCTATTGGGATGCATACACAAAGTCCTTACCTAGACCACCTTTGGTCCCAAGCCAGCTCTTCCTTCACCCCAACCTCTGAGCCATACCTTCCTAAGCACCTGCTCCTTGGCGCTCCGCCCTGTACCCCCTGCTAGGTCACGGTATCGGTCAGACGCCTGGAGTCGGGTTTGGCCCCCAGCCACGGTGGCATCCAGCAGGCAGCGCCAGGCACCGAACACTGTCCTGCCCCTCCCCAGAGAAGGTCTGTGTTGAGGAGGAGAGCACTCCACAGCTTCATGAGACCACCCCCACCCCCTGCCCCCTGACCAACACCATGGGAGACAGAGTGCTTTCCCATCCTCCCTTGTCTGGGAGCCCATCAATCGATCAGCCCATTAGCTCAGCCACAAGCCTCACTCCTGCCCTCCACCCCACCCACAGTGTCCTTGCTGGGTCAGCTCCTCTGCTGCTGCTGTGTCAGCTCTACCTACAGCTCACGTGCCTTCCCCACTTGCTAGGCCTTCATCCCCACAGGTTCCTGGGGCTGAGCTCCCCATCACTTTTTGGCCTCTGTGGCCCTCCCCCTCCATAGGGCCCACCTGCTGTCCATCTCACCGCTCCGGTGCCCTTCCCTCTTCAGGAATGGGCCAGCCAGTTTCTGGAGTGCCTGGTGAAAAAGCCATCACAGAACCAAGTTCCCTTTCAAAGACCCACCCCAACTGGCAGAATATGACATCAGAGTATAATCATACCATTCTTTGGGTACATTATGTGCCACTTGCTTTGCTAAATGCCTTATAGTCATTAATTTGTTTAATCCTTACAACAACCCTACATGAAGGTAAGGTATTATTATTATTCCCATTTCACAGAGAAAGAAACTGAGGTCAAGAAAGGTTAAGTAACTTGTCCAAGGTCACATGGCTATAATTACACAGCAGGGATCTGACACCAGTCTGCTTGACTCTAGGCATCTGCTCTTGACCACAATAGGGATAGGTATGGACAGACATTACTGGTGATATAAGAGAGGCTGGAACAAGAGGTAAGGTCCAGAGAAAAGTCCCATACCTGCCCATACTCCCGTTCAATGGCTGCCCTCTGCTTGCTGTAGGATCTGCGGAGATTGCAGGTCGGGGGTGAGGTGGGGGATAAGGTTATGTTTGGTCCTGTTCTCCCATCCTCAGTCCTCTACTCTGGGCAGGAGGGAGCGGTTGGGGGGAGCCAGGTTCCTAGAGTGTAACTACACCCAGAGGGAATGGGACTGATGGGAGTCCTTGAGATCACCTCGGGCAGCTGCAACACAGGAAACCCTCACCTTACTGCCCCGGGCCCCAGCAGGATCCTCCCCACCCCAGAGGTTCATCTGTAGGCTTAGAGGTGAAGACTGATGGGGGCCTGGGTACGATGTCTGCCAGCCTTCCAACAGGTCTGGAAGAGGGAGAGGGATTCTGCCCTAAGGTTGATTGTGGGGTTGGGGGCAGTGGTGTGGAGTCAAGGGCTTTGAGGGAGGGTTCCTGTGTGTTTATGTGGGTGGGAGGGGGTTGGGAGGGGTTAGGTGGGGGAGCATTCCTATCCAGTATCTGGAGAGGCCAGGCCTAGGGTGAGGGCTGTGGATGGGTCGGCTGGGGAGCTCTTGGCCCCTGTTCCTCCACCCCAGCACATGTATATTGGGGAGAAGTGGCGCACAACGACGAAGGTGAGTGTAAATGAAGGGGGTTGGGGGAGCTACCTGATGTCCTCCAGCAGATCCGCCTCCCTCTGCTGCCAGGTCTGAAGGATGCTCAGCTGTTCCAGGAAGCGAAGCTTCACCTCCTGGGCCGGCTTCACCTGTGGGGGCAAAGAGAGGATGAAGACCCCAGCGCAAGGACCTAAAAAACACTCCGCGCAGGGAGCGGTGAGGGGGCGGGGCCGGGGGGGTGCTGAGCTCTTTCCTCTGTTACTTCTGGTTTGGGGTCTGACCCCTTCCGACTTCCCGTCTCCTACCACAAGTCGGATGCCCCCTTAGCTCCCTCCGTTCCCCCAGCCCGCCAGGAGTCCCCATTCAGGGCCAAGCTCACTTTTCGGGGCGGCGGCTGCATCTCCGCTCCAGCAAGGCGGTCAGCCACTGGACTCCGGAACTGGAGGAAGCCCCGCCCACTATGGAGCCCCGCCCCAGGCCAGGTCAGGCCCCGCCCTCTGCCCGCCCACGACTTGTCCGGCGACGTCGCAGGGCGCGGAAGCGAGAGGGGGCCACCGAGAAACTAAACCTGTTACTGCTGCGAATACGCCGGCAGGGTCCGGGTGGCGGGGCGGGCGGGGCGGACGCAGCGTCCGCTGGGCGGTGGGAAGAACCCCAGGCATCTGAGTCAAGACGCCTAAGTTCTATTTGTAGTGTAACCACTGATTCAGCCTGTAATTATTGATAATTATTCATTTGCATATGTAGATCCCCAGTCCCCGAGCTAATGATGAGGAATGGAGAGGAATTCAGTGTGTGACCAGGGAAACTGAGTCACTGGGCACCTGAGCAAAGATGCATCTGACGAAGAGAGGGCTGGTCCCAGACCTTTTCCTAATTCCCGCTTAACTGGAAAAGCCAGCGTGAGCGGGGTGAGAAAGATGCCTGGATCCAGGAAGGAACCAGGCCCAAAGGGAAAAAGACTTGGCCCCACTGAAAACTAAACGATACCAGTGAGTCGGCGAGAGCTGGGAGATGCGCAGGAAGCCCCTGCCACCTTTAGGATCTTCCAGCCCTAGCACTGCTTCCTGAGGAGCCTCTCCCCAATTCCTCATCCTCCTCACCTAAGCTTCTTTGGCTCAGGCACCTGTCCCAGTACCCCTGACATGTCTCAAAACTCCAGATTCACATTCCAACTCCCCACTGACACCTCTGCTAGTATATCTAATAGGAACCTCAACTTTTAAAGCTTTTAAACCTCCTTCAACCTGATCCTCCCCCCGTAACGTTTTAAATGGCACCGCATTTCCTCCAGTCAGTTAAGTCAGAAACCCAGAGTCAATGTGCCTTCTCCTACCCCTACATTCTATCCATCAGTAAGTCCTACAGGTTCTATTTCAAACAACAATAAACAAACAAAAACCTCTTGATCCACTTCCCTCAATTTCCAAGACCACCATCCTAGTCCAAGCCCCCATTATTAGACTTCTGGTCTAATATCTGATCTCCTTGCTTCCACACTGCCCTCACCCCAACCCACTGTTCACACAGCACTCAGAGTGATCAACCTTTTTTTTCTTTTTTAAAGGGAAATAAGATCTCATAATTTACTTGCTTAAAATGCACTTGCTTCAGAATAAAATCCAAATAGAATCCATGGCCTTCAAGGCTACGCATGGAAGACCCTGCTGGTCTTTCTTACTTCAGCCTGTACTCTCCTCCCACTGTCTGCTCACTGTGCTCCAGCCTCTTTGCTGTTCCCTCAGTAGACCAAGTCCCTTCCAATGCAGAGTTCTTCATGCCTGCTTTCTTTCTCCAGAATCTCCTCCTTCCAGCGTTCCATCTGTCGCCTCCAACAGCTTCTTTCCCTTACTTTGCAACTCTTCACAGATGCCTTCCCCATCCACCCATCCAAAGACCATCTCCACAATCACTCTTTTTTTTTTGAGATGGAGTCTTGCTCTGTTGCCAGGCTGGAGTGCAATGGTGCAATCTCGGCTCACTGCAACCTCCACCTACCAGGTTCAAGTGATTCTTCTGCTTCAGCCTCCCGAGTAGCTGGGATTACAAGCACGTGCCACCACAACCAGCTAATTTTGTATTTTTAGTAGAGACAGGGTTTCACCATCTTTGCCAGGATGGTCTCAAACTCCTGACCTCAGGTAATCCATCCCCCTCAGCCTCCCAAAGTGCTGGGATTACAGGTGTGAGCCACTGCGCCTGGCCTCCACAATCACTCTTCAAGCTCATCACTTTGGTTCAGTTTCTTCACAGCACTAAACTCACTTGTTCAAGTACTGGTTTATGTGTTTATTTGCTATTTTCTGTTCCCCTCCACAACGGAGGATTCATAAGAGCAGGGGCCCTGTTTGTTTTGTTCATGCTATATCCCCAGACCTGGCACCAATTAGGTGCACAATACATATTTGTTGAATGAATGAATGAGAATGGTAGTCTTTTGGTTCCCAGGTTTATTGACAATTACTCATCTATTTTTGACTCCCCGAGTCCCAGCTCCCAAACTCGCTCTCCCTACTCCAGGCTTCACGGTAGTCCCAGAATGTAGGAAGTGGGACAGGATAGACTTTAACATCACCCAGGCCTCTGGTTTCCAAAGCATTTTTTTTCTTTAATGCAGTAAAACCATTCCTTTAAAACCCAAAATCTCTCATGGAACCCCTACGTATCAAATATATAAAGCAGGAGCTGCCCTTGTTCAGGGATAATATGTGGGGCTTATGGCTCTAAGAAACACAGTTTGACATTCACTGCTCTCCTTACTTCAGTTACCTCATGGTATAGATAAATGGGCTGGGCCCAGAGAGGGGCCATGACCTGTCCTGGGACACGCAGCCACTGAAGCCTTTAGTCCAGTGCTCCTTCCACAGCACCACACTGGATTCTGGAGTCTTTCCAGCCAGGGCAGAGGAAGCTGCAACAGTGCCACGATAAGAGTTTCTGGGTCTTCTGGTACCTACCCTCTCAGACTGCTGGTCCTAGGGTCATGTGAGGGGCTGGCTGGAGGGTGGACTGGAAGTGCATGGGGGTTGGGTGGGGAAGCCAGGTGTCTGTGTTGGAAGGCCAGTGGGGCTGGGGGATTGGGGGCTGGATGGCTGGGAAGGACTTCCCAGGCCTGCAGTGGTCTCTCCTTTCCTCAGGATGAGGCTGCTGAGCTCCTGGAGCAGCTGTTCCTCTAGGGACCCCCGTGCCTGGGGACTGCTCTTTGAAGGGGGGCCTGGAGGGGGCTCAGGTGGCCTCTCCTCCTGGCCAAGGGTGCTTGACTTGGAGAGAAAGGGTTGATCCAATGACTTCTGGCTGGTGAGGGGGTTCTCTGGCTTCACTGTCCACTCCCGTGTGGTGGAGAAGGAGGTAGAAGTGTCCTGGATCAACTCAGGGAAGGCCCCTACTTCCTCATACACTGGCTCCTCGTACACAGGCTCCTCCAGCTCCTCTTGCTCCTCCACAGACCCCTGGGATGACTTCATTGGCTGGATGGGAATGGAATGGCAGGAGTGGGCACATAGTTAAAGTTACCAGATTATGAATCACTAACATTTACTGAGCTCTTCCTCTGGGCCAGATGCTGTAAAATACTTGGCATGTATGATTCTGGAACAACCCTGTGCAGTGGGTTACACTGAGTCAACTGAATGCAAAGGGGTTAAGTAAGTTGCCCAGCATCACATAATGAGTGAATGGTAGAGCTGGGGTTTGAACCCAGGTCTGTCTAACTCCAAAATGCATTCACTTCATCACTTTCCTTCTATTTCACAGATTCTGTGACAACTTTTTCCTTTTTTTTTTTTTTTGAGACAGAGTTTTACTCTTGTTGCCTAGGCTGGAGTGCAGTGGTGCGATCTTGGCTCACTGCAACCTCCGCCTCCCAGGTTCAAGTGATTCTCCTGCCTCAGCCTCCCAAGTAGCTGGGATCACAGGCATGCACCACCACACCTAGCTAATTTTGTATTTTTAGTAGAGACGGGATTTCACCATGTCGATTAGACTGGTCTTGAACTCCTGACCTCAGGGGATCCACCCACCTCAGCCTCCCAAAGTGCTGGGATTACAGGCATGAGCCACTGTGCCCGACCTTTCTCCTTTTATTACTGCATCTTACATCCCTCATTTTCCTCATTCTTTCTGGCCTCCTCTCTCTCTCTGTCCTGTCCCTCTCCCTCTCCCTTTTCCTCGCTCTCCCTCTCTCTCTCTCACACACACACACACCCTGATGGCCTACACACACACACACACACACACACACACACACCCTGATGGCCTACACACACACACACACACACACACACACACACACCCCCTGATGGCCTACATGAGGAAAACAGCACACCCGGGGCTCAGGCAGCACAGAGGAATACAGGGTTGACAGGCACACCGCTGGAGCAGGCACAATACTCACAAAGAACATGGACAGGGTCCTCCGGTTGTGTAGTCGCCGCTGGACACAGGTGGGGTGGGGACAAGGGGAAGGAAAGACATAAAGACACAGTGAGGACTAGCAACAGGAGACAGGGGTGGGGAATGGGGGTGAAGAAGGCAGAAGGGAGGGGGACAGTGAGCATAGGGTGGCACCAGGCTAGCAGGCACACCACTGCCTACTGCAATGTGACAAGGGCTACACGACAGGAATCGGGTTGGGGCAGGGTGGGGTGCCTTACCAGGGTCTGATTGGCAGAGAGGAGGGTGGCTCCACTGTCATCCCCACGGATAGGCAGCAAAGGCATAGTGCCAAACTTCTGACGGGCAAGGTCAGAGGAGGAATGGCGTCGTAAGACCACTGGCTGCTGGTCATCGTGCTGGTGGGAGCGTGAGGGGTTGGCATCAGTGGGCATGAAAGGCACTGAGGAGGACAGCTGGGCCCCAGGGGGACCACAGACCCAGCCCTCAGCCTTTTCTTTCCCCTCACCTGGGCTTTAAGGATGCTGGTGGTCCAATCCCACATTTCATCCTCGTCAGTGCAGGACAAGTAGCTGGGGTGATCAGAATGGAATCAGAGGGAGAGAGAGGGTCACAGCTATAGGAATGGAGCATACAAAGAGGGAAGAGAAAAGACAGGGTGCAGAGGTGGGCCAGAGGAGAAGCCAGGGCAGGAGGTACTCACAGGTGCATCTTCTCTAGTATCAATGTGAAGCCCCACCTGGGAGACAAAGAACAGTGATGGGGCAGTCAGAAAGGGCAGGGGGGTGAAGGCAGGAAGGCCCTGGAAGTGCGGGCTGGGGAAGAAAACTCACGGTGTTGGGGGCTTTAACTTCTTGCGGATTCCCAGGTAGACCTTGGCACCTTCCAAAGGCCACTCCCGTTCTGGTTTAGAGCTCTGAGAACAGAAACAGAGTCAGCGAGATGGAGAGATGAGAGATCATGGTTAATGAGGTCAAGACGTCATGGAAGCAATGGGGTCTGTGGTCACAGGGTCACAGAAGTCGGGGGCAGGGAAGCAATGAGATTGATGAGAGTATGGGCTGTGGAGTCAGAGGGTGGGTGCAGTCATGGCTCCTCTCCATGGCCACCCAGCATCCCACACCTCTGGCCCCAGGGCCTCACTTTCTTCTCCTTGAGCAGCAGCAGGCAGCGGCCACGCAGCAGAAAGAACCTCTCCTGGAAGCGGCTTCCCAGCAAGCGAGGTGGCTCCTCACGACACCGCAACAGCCCCACCCGTGGGCTCTCACGTCGGATACCTGGGCATAGATGGGCAATCCTGGGTGGAGGATGCTAGGGGAGAGACCTGGGGGATGCTGGGCAGAGGAAGGAGGCTCACCTGTGAAGAGGCAGCCAGCTTGGGCCAGGGGGACTTTTTTCAAGAGCAGGGAAGCTGAGCAGGGCTCTGGGAGCTGGCACCATTGTAAAGCCTGCTCTAAGACCTTTTCCTTGGGATGCAGTGGCCGCTCTTAAGGGGAAAGGTGAGGGTTTATATATCAATCAGAATATCCATACTAAGCCCCCAGCTCTCACCAGTCATTCATTCATCCATTCAACTATCCAACCACAGACATTTATTTTTCACTGTCTCTATGCCAGGAACTGTGCTGGCCCTGGGATACGGTGGTGAGCATGATACACATGGCCTCCCTTCACAAAGCACACAGTCTAGTGAGGGTACAGACAAAAAAATAATTGCAGACAAATAATTGCTTTGCAAGAAACAATAAACTGAGCAAGCAACAGGACAGCAACTGAGATAGGGTAGTCAGGCAAGACCTTTCAAAAGTGGCACTTGAAGATGAGACTCAGAGATCTGAAGGATTAGGAAGAGCAAGCCATGCTAAGATTGGGTGGTAGAAGATTTCAAGCATGACAAAATGCAAGAACAAAGGCTGGCAATCAGGAAAGATGTATTTGGGGAACTAAACAGCCAATGTAGCTACAGCAAAGAGGATAGATACGAGAACAGGTGATGTGAGATGAGGCATGGAGGACGCAGGGGTCAGACATTCAAGGCCATGTGGGCCATGGTAAGGGACTGGAATGATACTTTAAGTTCAATGGGAAGCCACTGAAGGGTTTTAACCATAGGAAGGATATGAGCTGATTTATGCTTGAAATATTCACTTGGCTGCTGCATGGAAAATGGATTGTAGGGAGGCAAGCATGGAACATTGTCCAGCTATCCCCTTTCTGGGGCCACACATTTTAGTGGTTACTGTTGACAGACAAAAACATAATGATGACTTCAACTAGGATGGTGGTAGCAGTGGAGATGGAGAGAAGTGATTGATTCTAATGGAATCGACAAGACTAGTTGGTGAGTTGTGTATGAAGATGACACAAAGGGAGGAGTCCCAGAGGACTCCCAGGTTTCTGGCCTTAATCACTGGGTGAATTGTGGTACCATTTACTGAGTTGGGAAAAATTGGAGAATGGCCTAGGCTTTTTTTTTGAGGAAAGGGGACTAGACATCATCTAAATTGGTCTTAGATGTTTTACATTTGAGTTGCTTGTCAGAAGTGGAGGTGTTGAGTAGGCATTTGGATATGTGAGTCTGGAGCTGAGAGGAGAGATGTGGGCCAGATATACAAATTTGGGTGTCAGGTTATTAATGGCATTTAAAACCATGAGAATGGGTTAATTCATCCAAGGAGAAATGTAGATAGATGAGAGAAAAGGGCCTAGGATTGAGCCGTGGGTCTCTCCAACATTTGGAGTCTGGGCAAAAGAGGAAGAGAAGCTCCCTTTAAGGTAGAAGGTAAACTACGAGCTTGTGGGGGTCACTAAGGCCAAGATGGAAGAATACTGAGAAAGAGGGAGTGAGTCAACTGTGTTGAATGTCCCCTCGCATGGATGAGTGGATGAGTCATCCATGAGTTACCATTCATATTTGGTAACATGAAGTCACTGATGACCTTGACCACACAACCACACACACGCATATACACATGCATGAACACACAGGCGTGGTCATACTCACCCAGCTCCCCATGCTCGCGAATCTCAAAAGTCACCCACAAGTCCATCCCAGCTGCTGTCCCCCGCATCTCCAGTACCTGGTTAGTCAGCTCCTCAGCAGTCAGGGTTGGGGACACCTGGGGTCAGGGCAAGAGCAGAGAATTCATGCTGGTCAGGCTATTGCCCCTGGAACCTCACTATCCTCTTATTTCCCCTCCAGTCCCCTCAGGACCAACCTTCAGGGTGACACAGTTGTCTGGGAGCTGCTGCTCTATATAAACTTCCATGATGAGGTCTCCAGCCTGAGACAGCTGAGGGGAGGGGTAAAAAAGTCAGAAGGGCAAAAAAAGGGTGCAAAAGACATCAAAGTCAGAGGGTTCCTCGTGTTGCCTCATAAGTGACTCTTCCAACAAAGGTCTCCTCCCAACCCCAATGTCACTCAGGCTCTTAAAAGGGAGACCTCTGGGAGTGGCAGAACTGCATCTTTAGGCTGCACATGTACTTCCCAAGGCATCATAGTGGTTGGGAGGACAGATGTGGAGTCAGACTGCCTGGTCTCTCTGCCACTCGCTACAGGGTGACCTTGAATAAATGACCCGCTGAACCCGTTTATTTGAAAAAAATGAGATTACCTACTTCATGGAGTTGTATCATACTAACATGAGATTAGAGATGCTTGGAATATAGTAAGTCCTCAGCTATGTTTGCTATTATATTTATTATTATTATTCTCACTGCTTTGTCTGACTTTACTAACTCGTCCTTGGATCTCTTACACTTAGTAGTATGGTCTCACTTGATGTTCCCACAGAAAACCAAAACCAACTATCCAGTGCCAAGATTATCACCAGGAAGAATCCTCATGGTGGAACAAATGGAGCAAACCCTAACCAAACCCCACTCCCCAAAGCACTTCTCTCATTGGGTTCCCCCTGTCTCCCAAAGAGCTGAGTGCTAGTGTCCAGAAGGACAGGCTGGAAACTTCCTCAACTGGGCAGAAAGTCAGCTTCCTGTCCTGATGTCTCCTCCTGCCCCATTCAGGAGACTAAGGTCAGGACGAGTTACCTGCACGTCCTTCCAGGTGGTGATAAGACTGACCTCCAAGTCAATCTGAGCTACCTGGTCAGAATCGATCTGTGAAAGAGCCAAAAGAGAGTGTTGGGGTGCTGGAAGAGGATCTGCCGGGAAGATCTCAAGGCCAAGGAGGACCTGTTTAAGAGGGCTGGAGGCCAGAAGAGCTAAGAACCAAGGGGGTGAGGATGTTGGAAGTGAAGTTGTGGGAGAAGAAGGGCCAGGGCTCTGGGAGGTAGTTCCTGGTATAGCTGGCCACCAGAGGCCTGGGCTGGGGGCTTGTTGGGGTGATCAGGATCCAGAGTCTCTGGGTCCTGCAAGGGTAGGGGAAAGGGGTTGTGGGTTAGGGGTCAGGAAAGCCTTACATCAAAGACAGAGATGTAGCCATCAATGAGCTCTTGCAGCACTCGCACCTCGTGCTCCCCTCGCCCATCCGTCTGGAACACGCTGGGTGCAAACAGCAGAGCCAAGTTCCGCGTGCACATCTGGTTTAGAGCCGCACATTTCTGCACCCTGCAGAGGGGTGCCACGGTCTTCATCAGTGTAGCCACTCATTCAGCAAACACTTATTGAGTCCCTATTGTATGCCTGGGCTAAGTGCTTGGAATACAGCAGTAAGATAATATTGGCCTCAAGGAGCTCCCAGTCTAGGGGAGACAGATAAGGCAAGAATCAGCAAACTTTTTATGTAAAGGGACAGATAGTAGACATTTTAGGCTTGCAGGACAGACAGTCTCTGTTCTAACTCTCAGCTCTGTTGCTGCATCATGAAAGGAGCTATAGAAAATATATACATGGGCCGGGCGCGGTGGCTCACGCTTGTAATCCCAGCACTTTGGGAGGCCGAGGCAGGCGGATCACGAGGTCAGGAGATCGAGACCATCCTGGCTAACACGGTGAAACCCCGTCTCTACTAAAAATACAAAAAAAATTAGCCGGGCGTGATGGTGGGTGCCTGTAGTCCCAGCTACTCGGGAGGCTGAGGCAGGAGAATGGCGTGAACCCTGGAGGCGGAGCTTGCAGTGAGCCGAGATTGCGCCACTGCACTCCCGCCTGGGCCACAGAGCAAGACTCCGTCTCAAAAAAAAAAAAAAAGAAAATATATACATGAATGGGTGTGGCTTTACACTTTATGTACAAAACTTTATTTACAAACATAGGCAACAAGCTGGATTTGGCCCATGGGCCTGTAGTTGACCAATCCCTATAATATAGTATATTTTTATTATTTATTTATTTTTATCTTTTATAGAGATGGGATGTCTCACTATGTTACCCAGGCTGGTCTCCAACTCCTGGGCTCAAATGATCCTCCTGCCTTGGCCTCCCAACATGTTGGGATTACAGGTGTGAGCCACCATACCTGGCCCCTGTAATATAGTATAATCAGTGCAATACAGAAATGGCTTCTCCCCAGAATTGCTCAAAGGCCTGTCTCCCTAACAGATTGGTAAAGGTAGATGTGCATCTTATTCATTTTTGTGTTTCTTATATCTAACCCTTTCCCTGACATCGCATAATAAAACAAAATAATATTGATTGCTAACCATTTCTGAAGGCTTATGACATGCCGGATGTACTGGCATGTACTATAGTTAAGAATTTTATGAATTTTAACTCTTTTTGTTCTTTTTTTTTCCTTTTTTCTTTTTTCTTTTTTTTTTTTTTGAGACAAGATCTCCCTCTGTCACCCAGGCTGGAGTGAAGTGGTACAATCTTGGCTCACTGCAACCTCCACCTCCTGTGCTCAAGCGATTCTCGTGCCTCAGCCTCCTGAGTAGCTGAGATTACTGGTATGTACCACCATGCCAGGCTAATTTTTGTATTTTTAGTAGAGGCTGGGTTTCACCATGTTGGCCAGGCTAGTCTCAAACTCCTGGCCTTAGATGACCCGCCCACCTTGCTTCCCAAAGTGTTGGGATTACAGGTGTGAGACACCACGCGCCCAGCCTTCATTTAACTCTCTCATAAACTATGAGGTGGATATGATTCATTACATCATCCATTACTTCCTTTTAGAAATGAAGAAATTGAGGCCCAGAGAGAACAAGTAACTTACCCAAAGTCACACAGCTAGAATGACGGCACCAGATTAAAGCCTAGGTCTGCCTGATCCCTCAAATCCATTCTCTGAACCTTAGTGCTATGATACCTTCACTTAACAACTGTTTGTGGAATGAACAAATGAATGAATGAATGAATAAATGAATGAAAGTGCAGGGTCAGATTGAAGTGAGGAAGGGTTCTGCAGAGGGTCTAGCCATACTGACCGATAGAGATGCCCAATGAGGGTGGCCAGTGTGCGGCGGTTGACCCGCGGCAGGCAGCCAATCACATCTTTATATTTCTCCAGGCGCTGATTCTTCTGGGGCAGCTCTGGGGATGGAATGGAGGAGGGTTGGGGAGGACCCGGGAAGAAAGAGTGGCAGCTGGTACAGAGGGAGGGATTTTTAGGCACAAATGCAGGATGGATGTGTCTCTGCCCCCTTCCCACCTCCCCCTGAGCCAAGTCTCTGGATGATCCCCCAGGGTGGGAAGTGATGGGGCGGAGGGCTGCCAAACCATGGATTCTGGTGGGGGAAGGCAGAGATCCTGGTTGGGCCTTGGCTCTCAGGGATCTTAGGAATACCAGCAGCCTCCCTCCAGCGAGGCAGCAACCGTGCAGAGGTCACAGGGTCATCGAGCTCACGAAAGAAGCGTTTGAGTGTGTCAGTGACATCCTCCACAAAGTGCTCCCCTGGTCGGAGCTTCACCGACCGGGCATCCCGACGGAACTCAGCCAGGAGTCTCAGGCTGCGGGCACGAGCGCCCCCTTTCCGGTATACACCTTCCAGCCGGAGCCCTGAGGAGAGCCAGCCGTCTCTGCTCACCATGGTGCAAAGGCTACCACCACCCACCACGGCCCATCTGTGGCCTCCCTATGTGGTATGTGGCTGATGGGGGCATGGGATTCAGAGAGGAGGAGATCTATGCCTCCATGTTCTTGATTCTCAGGTCTCTGCTGGAGTCCTCATCCTCAGAAAGTCCTTCCCTGACCTCACTGTCACAAGTACAACCCCCATCACACTGTATCTCCTCACCACTTTTATTTTTAAATAGCACTCTCTGAAATCACTTTATAGTCCACCCTTATTATCTGTGGATTCCATATCTGCACATTCTCCTACTTGCTAAAAGTTATTTGTAACCCCAAAATCAATACTTTTGGCATTTTCATCATCATTTATGAACAGAGTGAAGAAAAATTTAAGTCCCCTCCCCAATGTGCATGTTCTTACTCTAAACAAGTGTATCCTTTTAATGGTATATTTACAGCCATATTTTTGTGCTTTTTGTTGGTGACTTCACTGTTTAAAATGGCCCAAGTATAGTGCTGAAATGCTGTCTAGTGTTTCTACGTGTGAGAAAGCTGTGACATGCCTTACAGAGAAAATACATGTGTTAGATTAGCTTGAGTTACAGTGCTGTTGGCCTTGAGTTCAGTGTTAACAAATCAAACAATATATATAAAATAAGGTCTCTTTACACAGAAAAACACACAAAACAAGGATACATATTGATCACTTGACTAAAATGTTATTGTAACCAGAGGCTAGCAGGAAGCTAACCCTGTATTTCCTCTGGGGCAGTGATCCAGTATTCACTAATTAAATGTTTGCAGTGACTTAGAGCATAACTACCACAAATAACAAGAACAGACTATATTTGTTTTCTTATTTATTACCTAAGAGATGGGTAATAAATAAGCTTCCTAGGACCCTCCTAGGACCCACCCTGCTTACTGCCATATCCCCAGTGTCTGACACACGGTAGCAGCTCAACCAATGTATGCTGACTAAACAATGGTGGTGCAGGAACCTTGGAGGGGAGGGGATGAACACCCAGATTCTTTCTTTTTAATTGAGACAGAGTTTTGCTCTTTCACCCGGGGTGGAGTGAAGTGGTGCCATCTCAGCTCACTGCAACCTCACCTCACAGCAATTCTCCTGCCTCAGCCTCCTGGGTAGCTGGGATTACAGGCACCCGCCACCATGGCTGGCTAATTTTTGTATTTTAATAGAAACAGGGTTTCACCATGTTGGCCAGGCTGGTCTTGAACTCCTGACCTCAGGTGATCCACCTGCCTCGGCTTCCCAAAGTGCTGGGATTACACACTTGAACCACCACGCCCGGCCCCATATTCTTTCTTCAGGGCTTTCTCACTGGGCCTCTGACTTATTTCCTCCTTCGAACACGAGAGAGGCTGAGAAGAGGATAAGGATGTAGCGAGTGGGGGAGGTCACTGAACAAGGCCACTGCCAAGGCATGGAAAATGTTATTAGCCACTGACTTTCCATGTCCCATGACTAGTAACAATTATGTGTATGTTTGTGGAGGCGCTGTTTTTTTCCTTACAGTCAGCCCTCTGTATCCATGGGCTCCACAACTGCAGATTCAACCGACATCAAAAATATTTGGAAAAAAACCCCAAGATAACAATATAACAACAACAAAATACAAATAAAAACAATACAGCATAACAACTATTTCCACAGCACTTGCATTGTATTAGGTATTATAAATGATCTAGGGATCTGCCCACCTTAGTTTTCTGTGAATTTTCCTTCTTAAGAGTCCAGCCTTCTAAAGAGGGTTCACAGGAGAAATAGATTCTTTTCGGTCCTTATTTAGGATAAAAAACTTACAAAGGGCCAGGTGTGGTGGCTCACACCTGTAATCCCAGCACTTTGGGAGGCCAAGGTGGGTGGATCACCTGAGGTCAGGAATTTGAGACCAGCCTGGCCAACATGGTAAAACTCACCTGTACTAAAAATATAAAAATTATCCAGGTGTGGTGGGGCACGCCTGCAATCCCAGCTACTTGGGAGGCTGAGGCAGGAGAATTGCTTGAACCCGAGAAGCGGAGGTTGCAGTGAGCTGAGATCATGCCACTGCACTCCAGCTTGGGCAACAGAGCAAGACTCCATCTCAAAAAAAAAGCAAACAACAACAACCAAAAAAACTCACAAAGAATTATGGGGGCCACTTGCACAGCTGACCATTTAAGCCCAGAAAACCTCCCACACAGAATAATTCTGCTTAAAACTTCTGGGAATGTGCTGCACAGCTCAGCTCTCACCTCGCAGCTGCTCGCTGTTTGCCATGGCTCTGTGTCCTCAGTCACATTTTCAGTGCTCCTCCCCTACTCCACACTCTGACGAAACTTCTGAACACTTACTACATGCCAGGCCCTGCGCTCAAGGCTTGACAGGCATTGTCTCACTGTCACAATTATCCTGGAAAATGAGGACCGTTGGCCCCATTTTACAGATGATGGAACTGAGGTTCAGAAAAGCAAAGCAGCCTGCCAAGAGTCAAATGACCAGCTGGGGTCCAGCTGCAGTTTCTGGAGGCAAAGCTCTTCCAGGCTGTGCTCACGTTCCACCCTGGCTGTGCTCACGTTCTCCACCCCCTCATCACCCCCACCCCCCACCCCCATTGGCTCAGTACCAGCCAGTGCCTACTCACCATGCTGGGTAACAAAACTGATGCAGGCATCCACGATGATGGGGATGTCACCCCGGCTCATCTGCTGCTCCTGCAGCCCTGTGCCGCCCCCACCAGCCGCGCCCCCAATGGCTGCGTTCCATGCCGTGAAGTCCAGCCGGCCCTCTCCTTGCAGATACAGGGTCCTGAGACCCCAGAGGCCTGAATCAGAGCCAGCTCCGACAGGCCCAGATGCATGGGGACCAGACTTCCCAGAGCCACCAGCAGAGGGCAGCAACACCCAACCCAAATCATCCTGGAGCAAGGGAAGAAACTTTGAGGAAGTGGGCAATGGCCCAGCAGGCCAGGTTGCAGAGTATGGGCTCTGCTCCAGGAAGGGGAGCCCCAGGTCAAGGGCAGGGGCAATTTACCTTCCTGTCTCCACCAGGACCAAATGCTCTTTCTTATCTGGGGTGTCAGCTGCAGAAACCACACCTGGGAGGAGAATCAGTGGACATTTTCATGATTATCGTCTTCATTATAGAGACTATTATTTATTAAATGCTTAACGTGCATAGATGCCAGGCTAGGAGCATTACAAAAAACGTTCAGTTGAATCCTATGAGTTATGTACTATTATTCCCATTTTATAGGTGACACATTAATCTCAGAAAGTTTAAGTAACTTGCCCCAGATTACTTGCTATAAAATGGCAAGGCTGAGCACAAACCCAGGTCTCTTGTTTCCAAAGTCCTAAAATATTATCTTACATTGTTCCTCTTTTAGGAGAAAGGAAAGCAGTGAGGGCACCCAGTCCCCTCTCCCAGGACCCAACCAGCAAGTGATTCCAAATAATAATAATATTTATAGACCGGGCGCAGTGGCTCACTCCTGTAATCCCAGCACTGTGGGAGGCCAAGGTGGGTGGATCACCTGAGGTCAGGAGTTCAAGACCAGCCTGGCCAACATGGTGAAACCCCTTCTCTACTAAAAATACAAAAATTAGCTGGGCGTGGTGGCGGACACCTGTAATCCCAGCTACTTGGGAGGCTGAGGCAGGAGAATTGCTTGAACCTGGGAGGCGGAGGTTGCAGTGAGTTGAGGAGTTGAGATCATGCCCTTGCACTCCAGCCTGGGGGACAGAGCGTGACTCTGTCTCCAAAAAAAAAAAAAAATAATAATAATAATAATAATAACAACATTTATTGAGCACTTAAAAAATGCTTGTCAGGCTCTGCGATACATGTTTTAGATGCATTACCCTATTTGAACCTCACTACAACCCTCTGAGGAAGGTGTTATTATTGTGCCCATTTTAAAGATGAGGAAACTAAGGCACAGAGAGGTTAAATAACTTGTCCAGGGATATACAGCTAGGAAGTGATGAAGGTGGGGTCTAAAGCTGGGCAGTTTCCCTTCAGAGCTTGTACCTGAAGCCACCATGTTCTGCTGTTTCCCATAAGAACCCCCAAATAATAAAGGTCTGCTTCCATGCACCCGCATGGCCACCCTTCATCCCTGTCCCCCCAAACCTCCCCGCTTACTGATCTCCTGTAGCCGCCGCAGATGCACCATGTCCTCAGGGGCTGGGGGGCCTGGGCCCGGCGCTGAGCACAGGAAGAGGTGGTCACCACGAAGGAGGCCAAACCCTGACAGCCAGAGACCAGGGGCCGGGGCTGTATGGGAGGGGGACCGCAGCCATAGGCGGCCCAGCCGCAGCAGCCCGGGGCCCAGCAGCTGGTGGCAGCTCAGCGGGGAGAACCACTGTAGAGGCAGGGGGAGGACAGGAGAAAGGGGGATGGGGGAAGAGACAAGGAATAGGGGAGAGAAATGAGAGTGACCGGGGTAGCGAAAAGCAGAGAAAAACATGAAGAGAAAGCAGAAGAAAAGCAGGAATGAAAAGGGATGCGAGAGAGCAGAGGAGACAGCCAAGGAGGAGACATGAGATGGTTGGAGAAAGACAGGAAAGAAATTCAATTCAATTCAATTCAGTTTGCTCTCCCCAACATAAAGAAGACCCCTGTGTGGCAGCCTCATGCCCTTAATTGAGGTGTGGGTATAAGAAAGAATACTCATTCTTGTGCAGTGCCGTGATCATGGCTCACTGCAGCCTCGACCTCCCCCAGCTCAGGTGATCTTCCCACCTCAGCCTCCTGAGTAGCTGGGACTACAGGAGCATGCCATCACACCTGGCTAATTTTTTTTTACTTTTTTTGTAGAGATAGGGTTTTGCCATGTTGCCCAGGCTGGTCTCGAACTCCCACCTTGGCCTCCCAAAGTCCTGGAATTACAGACATGAGCCACTGCGCCCAGCCAAAAAGGCATACTCATTCTTTATAGCCAAAAATGCTACACCTGAAGACTCATGATGCCCTGGGAAATCCCACCACCCTAGGGGGCTGGGGAGAAGCTTCATAGAGGAAAGGATGTTTGAGGTTGACTGCAAAGCAGTGCTTCTCAAACTACCTGCAGTAAATTGCAGTAAAGGACCAGGGTTTTTTCCTTTTTCCTTCTTAAAGTCCCAAGCTGTCACTAACCAATAGTGTACTTTCTTTCTTTTTTTTTTTTTTTGAAATGGAGTTTTGCTCTTCTCTCCCAGGGTGGAGTACAGTGGCATGATCTCGGCTCACTGCAACCTCTGCCTCCCGGGTTCAAGAGATTCTCCTGCCTCAGCCTCCCGAGTAGCTGGGACTATAGGCGCTAATGTCTGGCTAATTTTTTGTATTTTTAGTAGAGACGGGGTTTCACCATGTTGCATGGCTGGTCTCAAACTCCTGACCTCAGGTGATCCACCTGCCTCGGCCTCCCAAAGTGTTGGGATTAGAGGCATGAGCCACCACGCCCGGCCAGTACTGTATTTTCATTAAAAATAATATAAGTGGCCAGGTGCGGTGGCTCAAGCCTGTAATCCCAGCACTTTGGGAGGCCGAGGCAGGCAGATCACCTGAGGTCAGGAGTTCGAGACCAGCCTGGCCAACATGGTGAAACCCCATCTCTACCAAAAATACAAAAATTAGCCGGGCGAGGTCATGTGCGCCTGTAGTCCCAGCTACTCAGGAGGCTGAGGCAAGAGAATCGCTTGAACCCAAGAAGCGGAGGTTGCAGTGAGCCAAGATCTCTTCACCGCACTGTAGCCTGGGAGACAAGAGCGAAACTCCATCTCAAAAAGAAAATAATAATAATAATAAAAATGAGTTGCTAGAAAATCTGGATGAAAAAATGAAGAATACAACCCGACCCGCTTTTTTTTTTGAGACAGGGCCTCACTTAGGCTGGAGTGCAGTGGCATGATCACAGCTCACTGTAGGCTCAAACCTCCGAGGCTCAAGCAATCCTTCCACCTCAGCCTCCCCAGTAGCTGGGACTATAGGTGAGCACCATCATGCCTGGCTAATTCTTATTTTTTGTAGAGACAGGGTCCCAGGTTGCTCTCAAACTCCTGGGCTCAAGCAATCCTCCCGCCTCAGCCTCCCTAAGTGCTGGGAATTGCAAGTGTGAGCCACCACCCCTGGCCCAAGCCCTTTTTTTATAATTAGATTCAACACATAAAATTACTATGTCAAATTGCTATAAAATATTCTAAATGCTTACTCTCAAGTTCTGTGCTTATCCTGTCATGGACCATAACACATAGTCCAGGGGCTAGTATGGTGTGACAGTCTTCACAGCACCCTCCGGGTAGCACTGCCTTAAAGGATGGGATAGCTTTTTGGAAAGTGTAGATAATAATGAGAGGAGACTTAAACCTGGTTGGGAGGGCCACGACAGAGCCCTGAAAAGATATGGAGACAATGTGTTAGTGTGAGGAGTTGTAGGAGACCTGGGAGAAGGGGGTCAAAAGCCAGAGCAGTGGAGCATTTCCCATACAGGAGTGCCGGATGCTGCAGAGATGACCTGGTGAGGCTGGGAGGCAGCCTTGGCCTTTGGAAATGGGAAGGCACTGGTGACCTGCCAGGTAGCAGTTCAGGAGGGCATGGGCAGAGGAGGGTAGCTGCAAGGGGTCAAAGGGGAACTGCAGGCTGCACACGACTTTCTGACGCATTGTCAGGAGGGAAAGGAAGGCACCAGGGTGAAAAGTTGAAGATGGAACAGATCTTAGGGAAAAGCTGTCTTAGGATGGGAGAGACTGTCGTCATCATCGTCATCATCACTACCATCATTATTATTTCAACGCCCACATACTGAGGGCTTGCTGTGTGTGGGCCTCACATGTCATTTAATCCTCAACCCTAGGGGGTGAGTCTTTTACGCCCACCCTACAGATGTGGAAAAGCTCACAAGGCTGAGAGTTGTGACTCAAATCCCAGGATGTCTGACTCCAGGGCCTGAATTTTCAGTTTTGGGAATGGCATACAGGAGAGAGATACTGGCTTATCTAAGAATGGAGAAGCTGGGAAATATGAAGGTAGCTTTGCCTCCGGGCCTGCTGGAAAACTGGAGCAGAGGGTGGGTAGTGGGAATCAGAGCCAGCTTCTTCGTGGGAGGAGGCATTGGCACAGTGAGGTTTGGGCCGTGAGCTTTGCAGACAGAGGCCTGAATTTTAGTCCTGTGCTCTGCTGCCTCCTAGCTCTGTGACCTTGACCAAGTGAATTCGTAAACTCTAAAACTTAGTTTCCTTATACTTAAAACCTCACCTCAGAGAGTGGTTGTGAAAATTAAATGAGATATCGAGTGGGCAGTGCTTAACACAGGGCCTGGCACAGAATATGTGCTCAGTCACCCTTAGCTGTTAGTGGAAGAAGTGGCTGTAGGAATAAGAGAGGAGAAGATGGGAGCACGTGGGGACAAGGAAAGCATGAGATGCTGCAGAGGGCGCTCTCCTGTCTCACCTTGCCCACAGCACTAGTCCAGGCCTCCAGACTGTCAGCTCCATCTGTGCCAAAATGCTGGATCCTCCCCCCAGCGAGGATGAGCTCAAAGGAAAAGGGGAACCTGGAGAGAAGATGAGGTCAGGGAGGAGGATGGGACCAATGAGAGGGCTGTCAGGCTGGAGGTTGGGAAGAGAAAAGGGGGAAGCTCAGTGGTCACAGAAGGGCTATTACCTGTCACCTGGGTCAGTGGGTGGGGGGCTCACACCCAGACATACAATATCCTGGGGCTGTATGAGGCTGAGGGGTTCAGGGCTGTTTTCCGATGCAAACATTTCCAGAGCTGCTCCCAGCACACACCAAAGGCGCGGGGGAGCTAAGGCAGAGGGAGATAGTCAGGGAGCAGCAGACCTCTGCCCCCACTGTCATAGTTCCAGTTTACCAGATATTTATTCTGTGCCAAGCCCTTTGCCCATATATGATCCCATGTAATCTTCACAATAACCCTATGAGGTGTTATACTCAGTCCTGTTTTGCAGATGGGGAAACTGAGGCTCAGTTTCAGTAGCTTGCCCAAGACACATAGGTAGGAAGTAGCAGAGCTGGGATTTGACCCAGACAGTCTGACTTCAGAACAGATGCTCTTAACTATCACCCAATGCTGCCACTTGGCATGGTCCCTCTCTCACCCCCAGGACCCCAGCCCATTCCCAGGCATGGCCCCACTTTCCCATCCCAGCCCTCTCCTCTTTGTCCCTCTGCAGTACCCTCACACCCATCCACTTTCTGTCCCTGTATCCTCCCATCCCTTGGCTCCCCCTCACCATCCCGGCCCCTGCGAGGGGGTGAGGGTCCAGCTTTGTTGCTGACGGGACTGCAGTACAGGAAGCCGCTGTAAGTAGCACGCACCACCACCTCATTGTACACACCAGGGGAGGGGTCTGCAAGGGGAAGGGGAAGTAGTCAGGTCAACCAAGTGCAACGGGATAACCTGACCCCCTCTGGGGAAGGGATGAAATGGAGAAAGACAGTGGGACCTGACTCCACTGCCAGCACAGCCAAGTAGAGCCCAATGGAGCTGGATCCCTCACTACCCAGATTGCAGAAGAGAGAGGCAGGGGGTAATGAGACAGGGAGGCCTCTGGCCCAGCCCCTGCCCACTGCCTCTCCCTACCAGCCAGCCAACCAGGCTCTTAGCTCTGGGTGAGCACCTCAGGGCATGTACCATCCTGTAAGGGTCTCAGCCCCCTGGCCTGACCAATGGAGATGAGTGTCACTAAGCTGATCACTTCTTTGAGAGATCACACTGTCTCCAGGGAGACTAGTCCTGACCTATGGGTCGGCCCTGTCAGGGGTGGACCAGCACTAGCACCTGGAACACCCAGACCCTCCCCAGCCATGACCGTCATCAGCTATCACATGACATCAGGAGATAGGCCCTGGAGGATCTGAGGGTTTGGGAAACTGCCCAGGCTGGGCCATTGTGATCAGCTAATTGGGGCCCCTTGGAAGAACTGAATCATAGGTTGGGTCTGAGAATTCCTGTAGGGGAGAGAGGAGGCACTTGGGGGAATGACCTGAGGGCAAGAGGCCAGGGCAGCTGCCATCAGGGGCTGGGGGGAACCAGGGCTCCTCGCCTTCAAAGGCCTCAACACAGAGGAGCTGGGTCATGTTCTTCAGCAGGTTGGGTCTTGCCACAGCTGCACACAGTGCCTGCAGGGAGGGAAGGGCCTCTGTCAGCCCCAAATCCCAAACTGAGAGCACTGGGGACAGTCGTATCATCACTAAAAACAGTCCCCACCACCCAAGTCTAGGCATTCCAACTCCAGAGAGTGTTTCCTGACCCCCCCACCCCAGATCACCCCTGCTCTGTCCCTCCTACCTGGAGAAGCTGGCTATGATCTGGGTACTGAGGGTGGGGCTTCCGGAAGAGACCCAGACGGTACTTTCGGGAGATGAACTCTCCCCGGGGGCCAGGGGTCGCATCTGGATGTAGTCCCTCACCTGGGGGTAGGGTCCCTGCCCAGAAGCGGTTGGCACGATCATTTCCCAGGACAATGAATAACTGTGGGATGACAAGGGACAAAGGCAGGTGACAGGAACTCAAGAGTCCTCAGATGTTCCATTCCTGTCCCCAGGCTGGCCCAAGGCCTGCTTCTGGACGCTCCCTTCTACGCCTCCCACCTTCTCCCTCTTCGCCCGCTCACCTGTACTATCTCATTACTCCAGACACTCGTGTCCAGCTTCAGGCTCTGCACCTTGGAGATCCCAGAACCCAGGGCCCGGTGCTGACCTGTGAGGGTGTGAGGGTGTGTGAGGGTGTGTGAGGGTGTGAGGGGCATGTGGCACGGGTACCCTGAGCCCTCTAGTCCCAGCCCTCCTGTTCCCCACATGGGCTTGAGGCCATTCCTCACCTGCACACTGCTTGCAGATGACCACCCCCAAATTGACAGCAGCCCAATCTGGGCGGGAGGACCCACAGTCCGCACACTGCCGGTTGGCCCGATTAGACCAGATCTTCTCAGCCACCTCGTAGTCAGACAGGGTCTCGGTTACTGCTTCCTGCAGAGCGGCCGCCCAGCTCTGCCGAGCACCCCCAGACTCGGCTGTGAAGCTGAGGGGTGGACAGCCAGTCCATGGGCATGGACCTACCTGCCATGTCCCATCCCCCTGGCTCTTCCTGCAGGAGCCACCACAGGCCACACCTGGGGCAGCCCAGACCCTTCTGACATCTTGACCTAGCTCACTGGACTACCATCTGTGCATACCCTCTGACGTCCTACTAAAGAGGCCTCTAGTCCTCTGCACCCTTGTGCCTCCCGCAAAAGTCCCCCAGCCTTGCCTCCCACTGGCCCAGGCCCCACCTGAAGCAGCGATGGGGTGTGAGCAGGTCAAAGCTTCGACTCTTGGTCTCCCGGACGCTGCAGCCCTGCAGTTCGATGAAGCAGATCCCGATGCCCAGAGAGAAGGCCTGGTGGGGTCAGGGGGTGGGCATCATGAGGTGCCAGAAGGGACTAGTTCAGGCCCCTCAGCCCTGGCCCGGCTCTCCTCACCTGCTCACTCTTGTACAGTGCCAGCTCTCCAGGGCTCAAGGCAGCAAACACCTTGGCCTTGTGTCCACGCAGCTCCAGCATGCCCGTGCGGAGGGGTCGGGGTGGTTGGGGGGGCCGGGGGTGGCCCAGGAGGCGCTGCTCCTTCAGACAGGACTGCAGCGTGGAGCACCACATGTCCCGCTGAGCTGGTGGGGATGGAGAAGCAGGTCAGTGGCTGTTGCTCACACAGCCTCCCTCCCTCCTGCCCTGACTCAGGGGGCTGTGGCCCTCACCCTCGCTCTCTGTGCGGAACACGAACACCCTCTGGCCGGTGATGACCTGGAACTTGTTGTCCTTGCTGCTGCGGGTCATCTCAATGGCAGTCAAAGGTATCACACCCTTAGGGAAGGGGTCCTGGAGAGAGAGAGCTCAATGACCCATGAGGACAGGAACTGAGCCATGTGTGCCAGCCCCTGGGTCCTGCCCCAGATTTTATAAGATTGGCATTAAATCCACAAGCAGTGGGTACAGCTGCTAAGCCAGCTACTTTAAATGCTGACATCAGTCATGCAGTCACTGCCCCGCCCACACACACAATGGACTTCCCTCCTTCCAATTCTGAGCCCCTCTCAGCCCTCCCTCTCCCTCATCTCCATATCGTCACATCTCCCAGCCCCCCACCTTGTCACTGCCAAAGTACATCAGACTCCTCCCATTGAACTGCACAAAGCGTCTCTGGAAGACATAGTTTCTGAGGAAGGAAGGAGCCAAGATCAGTGTTTGAGGTTGCATGGGGTTAGGGGGATCATAGGGTCTGGGGGCACTTTCCCGCGCAACCACCTCCCAGCCTCTCTTTTCTCCCTCCCTTCCCCTCCCAGCACCCACCCCTGAGGGGAGAGCTTGTCTAGCCAGCCACTGAGCAGGGGCGTGAGGCGGTCTGCCGTGAAGGAGAAGCTGGCATAGGGTGAAATGAGGTCATCACTGGTCTCCTCTGTTTCCAGGGTGGGCGATAAGAGGGTGGAGTCTCCAGGTAGCTCAAGGCTGGCATAGCCAGCATCCTCCCGTGCCTCCAGATCCTGTCTGCTGAGCCTTGTGGGGGCCAAGACAGGGAGGGACACACATTAGACAAGTACCCCGGACACCCTCTTTGTACTTTCTCCATCCTACTCACATCACCTAAGAATAGAATGCCTGGCAGGTACTGGATCTGATTTTCTTTTCTTTTTCTTTTCTTTTCTTCTTTTTTTTTTTTTTTTTTTTTGAGATGGAGCTTCGCTCTTGTTGCCCAGGCTGGAGTGCAATAGCGCAATCTCGGCTCACCACAACCTCCACCTCTCGGGTTCAAGCGATTCTCCTGCCTCAGCCTCCTGAGTAGCTGGGATTACAAGAATACGCTACCACGCCTGGCTAATTTTGTATTTTTAGTAGAGACGGGGTTTCTCCATGTTGGTCAGGCTGGTCTCGAACTCCTGACCTCAGGTGATCCACCCGCCTTGGCCTCCCAAAGTGTTGGGATTACAGGCGTGAGCCATCACGCCCAGCCTCTTTTGAGACAGGGTCTCTCTCTCTCTCTCTGCTGCCCAGGCTGAGTGCAGTGGTGCAATCATGGCTCACTGCAGTCTCAAACTTCTGGGCTCAAGGGATCCTCCCACCCTGAGTAGCTGGGACTACAGGCATGTGCTGGCCACCACACCTGGCTAATTTTTTATTTTATTTTTAGTAGAGATGAGGTCTCGCTATGTTGCCCAGGCTGGTCTCAAACTCCTGGGTTCAAGTGATCCTCCCACCTCGGCCTCCCGAATTGCTGGGGTTACAGGTGTGAGCCACTGTGCTCAGCCTGGATCTGCTTTTCAAACAGGGGAATAGGGAGGTTCAGAACCCTTAAGATTGGCATGGGGCTGCTTTCCTGAGCATACTTGGAATTTTTATTGGGAAAATTTCAGTCCATCTTCTTTGCCGTTAGTATGACTTGGATGGAAAAGACGGGGAAGGGCTGTGTAGATGGCTCCCTGTCATGGTTGCCCATGGCTAATCAATATGTCTTGACTCTTTGTCCAAAACGTTCTTGACCTCTCCCTGGACCAAGGACCAAGTTCCCATCAACTCTCACCAGGGTGATGCAAATTCCCTAACTGGCCATCTGCTTTCATTCTTGCCCTCCCTCCCACACTTATTCTCCCACAGGCACCAAAGTGTTCTTTTACAAATGCAGATGAGACCATTTTACTCCCTTGCAGGAAGCCCTTCAATAACGTCCCATTCGCACTTAGGTTAAACCCAAATTCCAATGGGCTGCAAGAACTTGTACAGTGAGGCCCGTAGGCCACTCCCCTGACTGCATCCTGTGTTGCCCTGGCCCTTGCTTATAGCCACATTCTCCTCCATGTTTCAGAGCCTTTGCACACGCTCTTCCCTCTACCTAGAACTTGCCGCCTTCCATGCTTCCCTGGGCTGCTTTTTCTCATCCTTCAGGTCTTTGCTTATGTCATCTTCTCAGAGAGGCCTCCCTTAACTAACCTGAGTAGATTCCTCTATTATTCTCTGTCACTTTCCAGGGGTTCTCAACCTCAACAGCACAAAATCACTTGGGAAACATTAAAAAATATCAGTACATGGGCTCCACACCAGACACTTAAATGTGAATCTCTGGGAGAGGGCCCAGGCACTCATAGTTTTAAAAATTCCCCAGCCTAAAAAAAATAAAATAAAAAATAAAAAAGGCTGGGCGTGGTGGCTTATACCTGTAATCCCAGCACTTTGGGAGGCCGAGTCAGGCAGATCACAAGGTCAGGAGTTCAAGACCAGCCTGGGCAATATGGTGAAACCCCGTCTCTACTAAAAATACAAAAAAAAATTAGCCAGGTGTGCTGGCGGGCGCCTGTAATTCCAGCTACTCGGGAGGCTGAGGCAAGATAATTGCTTGAACCTGGGAGGCGGAGGTTGCAGTGAGCAGAGATCGAGCCACTGTACTCCAGCCTGGGCAACAGAGCGAGACTCTGTCACAAAAAAAAAAAAATTTCCCCAGCCTATGATACAGCTAATGTTGAAAACTGCTACTGCAGCCTCTGTTTCCTACTTCACTGAGAAATTGAAGTAATCAGATAAGAACCCCCACAGACTCCCAGTGCCATGTTTACCCAATTTCACGCACATATTCTGCCTTCCTCCTGTGACTATAATAAACACTCGTGTCTAAAGCCAGACCCTCCTCTGTGCCCTTAATCCTATTCCTCTCACCTACACAATCACTTAGACATCCCTCACTCTCCTCTCCCCTACATAACTGTCCCTCCCTACCAGATCATTCCTATTCACCTACAAACCTATATAACATTGCATCCAATAAAAAACTCTTGTTGGACAGGTACGGTGGCTCACGCCTGTAATCCCAGCACTTTGGCAGGCGGATCACGAGGTCAAGAGGTCGAGACCATCCTGGCCAACATGGTGAAACCCCGTCTCTACTAAAAGTACAAAAATTAGCTGGGTGTGGTGAAGCGCACCTGTGGTCCCAGCTACTTGGGAGGCTGAGGCAGGAGAATCACTTGAACCCAGGAGGCAGAGGTTGCAATGAGCCGAGATCACACCACTGCACTCCAGCTTGGGTGACAGAGCAAGACTCCGTCTCAAAAACAACAAAAAAACTCTTTTCTTGACTCAGCTTCCTCTAGCAACAATAGTTCCAACTCTCTGCTCTTCTTTGCAGAAAAATTCCTCAAAAGACACTGTCTGTACTTTTCTATTCTCCCTTAAAACCCACTCTCATCGAGCTTTCACCCCATCACTCTGAGACTGTACTTGTCAAGATCCCCAGTGACCTCCAATTCCAAGGGTGAATTCTAAGTCCTATCATACTCAGCAGCAGACCCCTCAGCAGCGTAGGACACAGCTGGCCTCTCCCTTCTTCTTCTACATTTTCCTCACTTTGCTCCTATGACATCACATTCTCCTGGCCTTCTACTTTGCTATTTCTCTTCTGTCCGTTTTGCAGATTCTTCCGCTTCTCCCAAACCTCTAGATATGGGAGTGCACAAGGGCTTTGATCTTGGTCCTCTTCTCTATCTGCACTCACTCACAGCTCTATGCACCCATCTAAGTGCTGACAACTCTCAAGTTTAGGTCTCCAGCTCCGACCTCTCTCTAGACTCTAAGCTCGTCTACCCAGTGGTCTATTTTCACCTCTTCTTGGAGGCATAACTTACACCTCAAATTCAACACATCCAGAACTGCACTCCTAATCTACCCTCTCCTCCCAGCTGCCTGAACACAGTCTTCCCCATCTCAGACCGTGGCGGCTCCAGGAACTTTCAGGTGCTCAGGACAGTGCTATCCAGCAGAAGTTAATGCGAACCAAGTATGTAATTTTAAACTTTTCAGTAGCCACGTTTAAAAAAATTAAAAGAAACAGGTGAAATTAATTTTAATAATATATTTTATTTAACCCAATATATCCTAAACATTAACATTTTAGTATGTAATCAACATAAAAATTACTATTTTTTACTACATAAAAATTCTGTAATCAACATAAAAATATAAACATAAGATAATTTATGTTTATATTTGTTATATTCATCCAGTATTGCTTTTTCTCATATTAAGTCTTTGAAATCTAGCAGGTGTTTTACATTTATTGTGCATCTCAAAGGATACTAGCCGCATTTCATAGGCCCAGTAGTCACATGTGGCTAATGGCTACCATACTGGTCAGCACCAGCTCAGATGGAAGCCCTCAAAGTCATTCTTGACTGCTCTTTTTTTCTCACATCCCAAGTTAATCTGACAGTTTGCCTTCAAAATAAAGCCACTTCTCATCATCTCCACTACTATCACTACACTCTGAGGTCTCTCACCTACATTACTACAAAAACCTCCCCACTGGTCTCTCTGCTTCTCCTTTGGCCCCCTACAGACCACTCCCAACATAGCAACCAGGGGGATCCCTTTATAAAGTCAAAACCCCTCAATGGCTTCCCATTTCACTTAGAGTAAAAGCCAAAGTCCCTTATCTGGCCCCTTGTTTTTGTTTTTTTGGTTTTGTTTTGTTTTTTGTTTTTGTTTTTTTTGTTTTTGTTTTTGTTTTGAGACAGGGTCTCACTCGGTTGTCCAGGATGGAGGGCAGTGGCATGATCTTGACTTGCTGCAACCTCCGCCTCCCGGGTTCAAGTGATTCTCCTGCCTCAGCCTCCCTAGTAGCTGGGACTACAGGTGTGCGCCACCACCCCCAGCTATTTTTTTTTTTTTTTGAGACGGAGTCCTGCTTTGTTGCCCAGGCTGGAGTGCAGCGGCACAACCTTTGCTCACTGCAAGCTCCGCCTCCCGGGTTCACGCCATTCTCTGCCTCAGCCTCCTGAGTAGCTGGGACTACAGGCGCCCACCACCACGCCCGGCTATATTTTTTTTGTATTTTTAGTAGACACGAGGTTTCACCATGTTGACTAGGCTGCTCTCAAACTCCTGAACTCAGGTGGTCCGCCAACCTTGGCCTCCCAAAGTGCTGGGATTACAGGCATGAGCCACTGTGCCTGACCCTTATCTGGCCTCTTTTACCTCTCTGACTTCATCTCCTGCCATTCCTCCCACCGTGGCTCACCTGCCCCAGCCAAGATGGCCTGGCCTCCTCACTGCTCCTGGATCCCTTTGGGCACACACCCGCCTTGAGGCCTCTGTTCCAATCACTTGCCCTACCGGGGCACTCTTCCCCAGTTATCTTCATGGCTAACTCCTTCACCTCCTTCAAGTTTTTGATCAAATGTCATCTTCTTAACGCTCCGCTAACTGTAAATGAAAAATTGCAGTCCACCCATTTTGCCCCCAAGCCCTCTTTTTTTTTTTCTTAGTCACTGCTACCTCCACCTCTCCGGTTCAAGCAATTCTCCTTCCTCAGCCTCCTAACTAGCTGGGATTATAGGCGTCCACCACCGCACCTGGCTAATTTTTGTATTTTTAGTAGAGACGGAGTTTCATCCTGTTGGCCAGGCTGGTCTCAAACTCCTGACCTCAGGTGATCCGTCTGCCTCAGCCTCCCAAAGTGCTGGGATTACAGGTGTGAGCCACCATGCCCGGCCAACCCCCCAGCCCTCTTACTCTGCTCTATTTTTTCCATGGCACTTAATACCTTTTAACGTTCTATAGTATTTAATGTATTATGTTTATTGTTAATAGACTATCTCCCCACAAGGGCAGGGATTTCTGTGTACGCTGATCTATCCCAAGCATCTACATCCGGTGCATGATAGTTGCTCAATAAATATTTGTTGAATGAAAAAATGAAAAGCACTTCTCCTGGTTGGGCACAGTGGCTCATGCCTGTAATCCCAGCACTTTGGGAGGCCAAGGAGGTAGGATCACCTGAGGTCAGGAGTTCGAGACCAGCCTGGCCAACATGGCGAAACCCCATCTCTACTAAAAATATAAAAATTAGCCGGGCATGGTGGCACGCACCTGTAATCCCAGCTACTCGGGAGCCTGAGACAGGAGAATCGCTTGAACCCAGGAGGGGGAGGTTGCAGTGAGCCGAGATTGTGCCACTGCACTCCAATCTGGGCAACAAGGCAAGACTCCGTCTCAAAAAGAAAGAAAGAAAGAAAAGCACTTCTCCCAATTTTCCATTATATGACCATTGGTTTGTCTACTTGTTTTATTCCCTGTCTGTCCCACTGAGTCACAAGCTGCCTGAGGGTGGCACTAGGTCTGTGATACTCATCCTGTATCTTGAGTGCCTGGCTGGTGAATACTCAATGCACATTTGTTGAATAACTGGATACATGGCCGCCACCGACTCACCTGCTCCTCCCTCCCACCACTTCCCTATTTAGTACTCACCTGTGTTCAGCCCTGCCCTGACAAACACCTCTGCTCTCTCTTCTGTCGGGGGCTCCTGGAGTCCCCACAGGTTGGACACCATAGTACAGGCAACCAGGATCCATGATGTGCACTGGCAGGAGGAGAGGGGAACGCACAAGGAAGAGGAGATCGCTGGGAGTGTATGAGGTCCTGCCGGCACTATCCCTCTCCCCCAACCCGTGATAACCCAGTTACCTGTGCCTGTTGTGGGCCTGAGGGCAGGGGTGGGGGCAGAGATTTGGGAGCTGTCTGGGGCCCTGAAGGGAAAGGTCTATTGGTTACTTAAGGAGAGAGGAGGAAGAACAAGCCTTCATGCCCTGCTCCCCGCCTCCGTCCCCCTCATGCTCTCCTCCCCACTCCTCCCAGCATCAGTCCCTAGGGAGCCAACTCCACTCACTTGTCCTGAGCTGCCTGTGCCCTGCCTCTTGAGTCCAGGCCGAAGTAGATGGAATTAGGCATCATCTCCACAGTATTTAGGGCTGAAGACTGCTCAGAGGAGGAAGTGGGGAGAGGAGGAGGCCTTGGGCTGGGCTCTGGGCTCCTGGACACTCCTGGTCCCCCGAGGGCTGGGCTCAGCCCAGGTCTCTGAGTGGTGGCAGGGCCACTGAGTCCACCAAACACGGTCCTGGGCTTCGGCACGGGCTTAGGGGGCTGGGCTTGCGGGGCTGGGCTGGGGGATGGTTCCATGGCACTATCTGATTTGGGATCCAGGGAGCCCTCTTCGGTGCCTGTCTGTAGCAGGCGTAGAATGCGTTTCCGGTGCCCTGTGGCGCTGATGCCCAACTGCTTCAACTCCTCGTGGCCCAGGCCCCGGGCTGCACCTGCTGTAGCCAGGCCATGCCGTCGGAACGTGTCTGCATACTGCTCCAGGTGCACCGTGGCCAGCCACACAGCGATGTCCAGGTCCTGAGGGGCAGCCATGGGGGCTCAGGCCATTGCTGGGGGGAGGGGCAGGGTGAAGGGAGGGCTCAGGCTGAGAATCCCCCTCTCTGCCCCAGAGTCTGAGGCCTGGACAGTGAGCACCAGCCTCCAATCTTCCTCCAAAGAAAGATGCTGAAAGGCCTGCGATCTGGAAGCAGAGCCATCCCAGAACAACAGCAATGGCTCTCTACTTAGGGAAGGGACTTCATTTGAAGTTAAGGAAACTGAGGCCCAGAGAGGGGAAGGGGCTTGCCCCAGGTTCACAGTAAGTCAGTGCTAGAGTTGGCCCCTCAGTTCCTGCCCACCCTGGGTCTGGGTCAAAGCTCTGCTCCTGCCTGACTGCACATCCAACTGAGTAAGCATGGGACAAGATGCTAGAATGCTGTGGGTCAGAGTGGGATAGGGAGATGCAGAGGAGGGGCCAATGATGTGGCCAATCAGCTCTGGAGTAAGGTAGGGAGAGGGGCAGCCTAGATAGGAGGAAGGAGGTGCAGACGCCCCCTCCCTCTTGTTTCCAGAGCCGATGTATGCAGGCCTGCCGTCCTAATCCTGGTTGTTCCCAGTCCCTCCTCCCCTTCCACCTATTGTCTCTGCTCAGACTTCCTTCCTGTCCCTCCAGCCCTGGCCGCCTCCACATCCTGCCTGCTTTGGTCAGGCTGCCGGGAGAGCCCTAACCAGTCCTAATGTGTGGGGTCCCGGCCCTGGGTGGAGGCTAATTGAAGAATAAGGATGGGGATGCCAGAGAGATGAGGCCTGACCTCTGGTCAGGGGTACTCCAGAGGCTTCTGGACTCTCTGCCCACCGGCAGCATGTTCACATGCTGTTCACCTGTGTGTGCACATGCCCTGTAGCGATTTGGCAGTGTGAAATGCCATCCCCCCACCTCTGCTTTCTCCAAGCCTTCCTTTTCTGAGCTTGCCTTTTCCCTGCTCATTCCCTTGGGCTCAGGTCTCTGTGCTCTGTCCCCCTTCCACCAGCCTGACCCCGACCCTGACCCTGGTCTATTTCATAGACCTGTCTCTAATTCTGTGGCCCCTGAGTTTTATCTCTGCCTTGTCACTGTCCCTGCCCCATTCCATCTCAACCTCTCAATTCTTCTTTGTCCCTCTCCTTGTCCCACCCTGTTTTGCTCTCTGTTATTAAGCTTGTCCTTGACTCAGTCTACAATTCTAACCAGATCTTGAGTTGTATCTGTGTCTCTGTCTGCCTCTGAGCCTGGGTTTCTGTCTTCCGCCTCGGCCTAGGCTCTCTCCCTGTTACTCTTGTGCTCTGTCGGTGACCAGGACGCCCTCTCCGTCCCAGCATCACTGCTGGCCTCCCTCTGCCTCTCTCCAGCTGGGCCTCATTCCCAAGCCAGGGCCCGCGTGCTGAGCCTCGGGCCCTGACTCAGGGCCCGGTTTCCCGGTGACTCAGGCCGGGCTCGACAGCACGGGGCTGGGAGCTGAGGTGCTCGCGGGACAGGAGTGGCGGGGGCGGGGCGGGCAGTGGCGGGCAGCGCAGGCTGCGACGAGGGAGGGGGCGAGGAGGGATGGGGCAGAGGCCGGGCAGCAGGAGGGAGGGGCGGGTCGTGGCAGGGATGGGGAGGGCCGCCGGCGCCGAGGGGGCCTGGGAGCCCACGAAGGCCCTCGAGAAGGTGATGGGGAGGAGTCTGGGAAGCAGGGACCCGGGGGGCGCGGGGGTCCTCACCTCACTACGCGGCCGCCGTCCGCTCGCGGGTGCCCGCCGCTCGTCCGAGGTTCTGGGTCCCGCCGCGCCGGCCCCGCCTCCCCTCTGCCCTCCCTCGACGGGCCCAGCCCCGCCCCGCCCGGCCGGTTCCCTCCGCGGGGCCCCGGCCACTCCTTGTGCAAGCGCAGGCCTCCAAAGGGTTTGGGCTTCTTGCCCAACCGCCGCGCTTATCTCCGAGTCTGCCCCCAGTCTGCCCTCTCGCAGGCCGAGAAAGGACCAGAACACGTTGGGACGAAGACAACCTCAGGGAGAGGGACAAAGAGGCAGAGACCGGGACGGAGACTGGGACGGAGGTAGAAACTGAGAAAGGGAGAGTGCCAGGGACGGCTTTGCATCCTCTCCGCTGCTCCCATGCCCTCCAGTCCTGCCAAAAGGGAGGAGGAAAGGTCGAGCCCTAATCCCCCAGGGCACCTCTCCCACGCCCGGAAGGGTGGCTGGACCCTGGCAACCAGTTTAGTGTGGGGACGGAAGCTGGACATCCAGAATTGAGACTTGGCCTGGGCAACAAGCGCAGAGGCCCAGCAGAGGGGTACCCGTCTGTTTCTCCCCACTTCCATCCCCAAGGGCCCGGCCTAGGTTCCTTCGAGGGATGAAGGTCCGCAAGGCACATCCCTACTTCCAAACCAAGGTTTGGGGCTGCCTTTTTGGGACAGGCGGACGCCCTGCAAGCTCAGTGACCAAGCAAGCAGCTGTTTCATTCATGGGAGAAGCCGCCCCTTCTCCCCAACTCCCACCCTAAAATTTCAGGGGGGATGCCGGGGAGGCCTGAAGAGGAATGGCCCTTCTCTCCTTCGCTAATCTTGCCGGAACCCCGGTCCTGGAGCCTGTCTCCCAGGGGCGGAGGCACTTCCCTCTCTGAGCAGGACCAGTGTTTGGGTGTGGGGGGGGGGTGTTTGTGTGTGTGTGTGTGTGTGTGTGTGTGTGTGTGTGTGTGTGTGTGTGTGTGTATGTGTTGGGGGTGGCGGGGGCGCTGGCCGGCTGTGTTTTCCTGTTTGTATGAGAGGAAGTTGGCTGTGAGTCAGCAGACACAGGAACTGTCAGTAGCTAGGGGAAGACCCCTGCCTCAGGGGAAGAAGAGGGGAGTGGGAGGAAGTGGTTCCCACCTCTTCCAGCTGCCTCAGCTAGGGGAGGGACTGTCATCTTCAACCTACTGGAGCCCCACTTTCCCGGCCTTCCCTTTGAGAAAGAGAATTATAGTAATAAAATAATAATTGCAATAGCCATAATAAGGGCTACCAATTATTGAGAGCTGACCGTGCTCCAGGATCTATGTAAACATTGCTTTGCAAACTTTAATCCTCACAAATATCCCTACAAATAGGAAATTTTATCACCTCTATTTTACATATAAGGAGACAGGGAGCATTAAATAACTTGCTCAAGACTCTGCAGCTAGAAAATAGCCAACCCTCCAAGTCTATATCTATAACTACCATGCTCACCTACCACCCTGGACAGGACCCCTGCACCATGTCCTTTTTTTCAGATGGGCAACTGTGGTGGCAGTGAGAATGCTCCTCACAGATCTTACACTGTGAGGAGTGAAATTAACCAATGGCCCCAGCTGCTTCTCTCTGAAATCTAAGGCCAGCTTCCCACTGGGCTGCTCCCAGCCAGTGACAGAGCTCAGCAGAGATCTAAGGCAGACCCATTCCTGGGAGATAGGGGACTCCTTTGACAGCTGACTTTGGATCAAGATTTCCCAATGGCTTTGCTGAACTTTCCTTTGACTGGTGTTTTAGGATGCTCCTCTCAACCTTTATTCCTTCCCTCTCTCCTTCACAGCTCTCCTAGCTCCAGGCTCCCTTCCTCTCTCACAGGCATCTCCCCTAGTCAAATCCTTGCATTCTGCCTTGGCAGCTTCTTCTTTAAGGACTCAGACTAACCCAGCAAAATAAGGGAGCAGGAAAAGACAGTAAAGGGCACAGGGAGTTTTGAGGAATGGATGCCGGGGAGTTTGGGTCAGGGGCTAGATGCAAGAGTTCTGAACCTTTTTGTGCCATGTTCTCCTTTGGCAATACGGTAAAGTATGTGGTCTCATCTCAGAATAATATTTTAAAATGCATAAAATAAAATATATAGGATTGCAAAGGAAACCAATTATGTTGTAATACACATATAAAACCGATGTGATATAGTAATATATGTGCTTCTTTATTAATGCTTTAAATAAGATCTAGTGGTAGGTTGATACCTCACATAACTTTGATGCAGTGATGAGCATAAATGGTATTTCAAAAGATCTGCAATATTGTAATATGATATAAAAATATATGTGATTTCTACTGGTGACAAAGCCATAGTTATGGCTAAAATGACTGGTTTGTTGCTATTGTCATAATTGGAGGAAATGTTAAATTTCAGCTAGAGATTAGTGAAAGTAATATTCTTTTCCCATCCAAGTCCACTGACTCCAAGTTAAGGACACCAATGCCAGATGATGGGGCAGAGCCACAGAGAGGGAGACCTGGCTTCCTCCCTCAGACCCCACTTCCCTTCTTTGGCTCAATGATATGGGGCAGGTGGAGGCTTCTGGCCCCTGGCTTGTGTCTTCCTGAGTTCAAGCAATTCTCGTGCCTCAGCCTTGTGCCTCAGCCTCCCGAGTAGCTGGGATTACAGGTGCCTGCCACTACACCCAGCTAATTTTTGTATTTTAGTAGAGACAGGGTTTCACCATGTTGGCCAGGCTGGTCTCAAACTCCTGTCAGGTGATCCATCCACCTCAGCCTCCCAAAGTGCTGGGATTACAGGCGTGAGCCACCATGCCCGGCCGAAATTAGTAAATCTTAAATCTTAATCTTAACACATAGGACAAAAGGGACACTAGTGAGCAGAGGAAGAGGAAGAATGAAGCAATGAGGAGATGTGGAAGGGAATTCTTCAATAGCCCCTTCCATGTCTCGATTTGTTCCCCACTCAAATGATAGACTATTAAGCCACAATCACTTTGGAGGCCACTTTGTTCACCAAAAGTGGATGGTATGCAGTAATTAAGAACAAGGTCTCTCGGCTAGGCACTGTGGCTCACACCTGTAATCCCAGCATTTTGGGAGGCCAAGGCAGGAGGATTGTTTGAGAGCAGGAGTTTGAGGCCAGCCTGGGCAACATAGCAAGACCTCGTCTCTACTAAAAATTTTAAAATTAGCCAAGTGTGGTAGTGTGCACCTGTAGTCCCAGCTACTCAGGAGGTGGAGGTGGGAGGATTGCTTGAGCCAGGAGGTGGAGATTGCAGTGAGCCGAGATCGTACCACTGCACTCCAGCTTGGGTGACAGTGAGGCCTGTCTCTAAAAACAAAACAAAACACCACCACCAACAACAACAAAAACTAAAACAAAAGGTCAACAAAAAAACAGTCTCTAAAATAAAGCCCTGATGCCACCTCTACCAGCTGTGACCTGAGCAGATTATTCATCTCTATTTTGCCCTGTGTGCCTCAGTTTCCTTTTCTGAAAAAAGGAGAGAGAATAGTGCCTGACAGGGTTGTAAAGATTAATCTATGGAAATATATGGGTAATATGTGGAAAGGACCTGACATTCAATGAGTGCTCAAAGTGTTTCCTGTTCCTTGTTCCTATTTTTGCCAGTTACTTCCATGATAACTCTGGTATGCACCCAGCTTGCCTGTTTCTTCATCACTCTGGCATATCCCGTTACCTATTTTAATCAATCAGCCTGTGGCATCCTATTGCCAAATTAGACCACATTGTACCCCTTGTATTTTCCCCAGGGTCCCCAGTTGTCATCTTGTCTGTTCCATCACTTTTGTAACTCAATTTCCTGTCACCCCTGCAACTCCTGATCGCCTCCATGGTCTCCAGTGGCCTCCAGGTCACACTCCTTTCCTGCCCTTACCCTCTGGATGGTAAAAGGCACAGCCATCACCCACATTTGGTCCTGATGAGATGGGACAGGGCCTAGGGGGATGCCAAGGTGCAAGTTTCTTTTTATTTATTTATTTTTTTGAGACAGAGTCTCCCTCTGTCGCCCAGGTTGGAGTGGAGTGGTGCGATCTCGTATGACTGTAGACTCCGCCTCCCAGATTCAAGCGATTCTCCTGCCTCAGCCTCCCTAGTAGCTGGGATTACAGGCGCCCACCACCACATCCGGCTAATTTTTGTGGTTTTTTTTAGTAGAGACGCAGTTTCACCATGTTGGCGGGGCTGGTCTTGAACTCCTGACCTCAGGTGATCCGCCTGCCTTGGCCTCCCAAAGTGCTGGGATTACAGGCGTGAGCCACTGCGCCCGGCCGAGCATGTTTCTTACAGGAAGGAAGACTCCCATTCAATCCTTTCATTTATTTCTCATGTTTTTATTAATCATCTTTTCTGGACCAACCACTGCTCAAGGGTTTAGAGATGCAATGACGTGCTCAGCAGACTTTAGGGAACATGACCTGCTCAAGAAGTGAGACATTTATCAAACAACCCCCAAATAAATGTGTAATTACAAACCAAGATGAATTTTCTGAAGGGAAGCACTGTAAGAGCATATAACAGAGGCAGCTGACCTGGCCTGGGGGTCTGGGAGGCTTCTGCAGGGAGCTCTGCTTAAGTTGAGATCTCAGAAAGATGGGTAGGAGTTAAGCGGGATGGGAGGGAGTGTTCTAGGCAGAAGAACCACGAGTGCAAAGGCCCTGAGGTAGGAGTCAGCCTGGTGAGGAAGGGAGACAGATCAAAGAGACAGGGAGTTTGGGACCAGCTGAGACTGAAAGGATCTCAGGGGCCAGGCCATGCAGGCCCTTGGAGGGCTTGTATGAGATTTGGTCTCCATGCCAGGAGCCATGGGGAGCCAGGGAAGAGTTTAAGCATGGGGCAATAGACTCATGAATTTAGGTTTGAATTTTAGGAAGATGGCTGCATGGAGACTGGTTAGGGTCAGCACAGCCCTCCCTACCCCTAATTCCTCTGGCCTGAGGGCTGTGCCATTTCCCCCTAGACTCCAGAGCTACCCTCCAGGGAGCCCCTTCCCACTTCCCTCCTCACATTTTTGTGAGGATGAAGTCATCATTGAGGAGAGGAGGGAGTTCCAGGCCTCTACGCCTTCTTTATCCTGGAGAACTGGGGCAGCCCTGGGGTCAGGGGGAGGGAAGGAACAAACACAGAACACCTCCCTTCCCCTGCATCCTCATTCCCATGACTGGGCCCTGTCTCCTTCCACCCTAGGCTATTGACATGAGCTGTATTTACAAGATTTTTAATGCAATTTTACTGCAAAATGTTTTATAAAGGGTATCTAGTACTACAGCTAGTACTAACTCCCCTTAGGGCTTGGGGCAAGTCATCTCTCTTTGGGTCTCAGTTTCTCTATACATAAAATTAATGGCAGTGCTGTTTGATAGAATTTCCTGCAATGATGGACCGTGTTCTCTATTTGTGCTGTCCAGTATGGCAGCCGGTAGCCACATGTGGCCATTGAGAGGTTGAAATGAGGTTGGTGAGCCAGAAGAGCTGAATATTTAATTTAATTTAATTGTAATTAATTTAAATTTAAACAACCACTGGCTGCCAATATTGGACAGCACAGGCAAATCTTAAACTTTTTTGAGACTCTGGTGACAGTTATGGATCTCTCCCTAGAAAAACACCCTGCACCCAACTCTCAAAGACGAGGGCCCTTCCAATCCTATTTATGCATCCCAGGCAAAGCAGACTGTAGACTGCTGGGGCTCAGGTCCCTCATCTCCTCTTCCCTTCCTGCTGCCTTGAAAATGCTGAAATAGGGCTTTGCCTAGAGGCAGGAGAATGACAAGGATGACTCCAGGAATTAGCAGACCTTTGTTTAAAGCTTCTGGTGCACCACTGCACACATCTAAAGAAAGACAGAAGAGTGAAAGCAGGGGTAGGTGCAAGGAGAGTATTAGGGATATTTGGACATGCTCAGTCTCTGCCCTACCTCCCTGCAAACCACCAAATTGCTGCTGGGCCAGTCCTTTTTTGGACACAAAACTCCATCGGAGTGTGAGGCTGTACTCCAGATATGGGGTTGTGCCCTGGGCATGCAGTATTTATGAACTGGGGCTTTGGGAGTGACCAGAGGGGGTGGGGGGGGGGGCTATCTTAGTCCATTTGCATTGCTGTAACAAAATACCGGATACTGGGTTATTTATTTATTTATTTTTTATTTATTTACTTTTTGAGACAGTCTCACTCTGTCGTCCAGGCCGGAGTGCAGTGGCACTATCTGAGTTCATTGCAACCTCCGCTTCCCAGGTTCAAGTGATTTTCCTGCCTCAGCCTCCCAAGTAGTTGGGATTATAGGCATGTGCCACCATGTTTTGCTAATTTTGTGTTTTTAGTAAGGACGGGGTTTCACCATGTTGGCCAGGCTGGCCTCGAACTCGTGACCTCCGCCAAAGTGCTGGGATTACAGGTGTGAGCCACCGTGCCCAGCCAACCGTTTACTCACTCTTGATGTTTTCACTGTCCAGAGCATCTGTGGGTCAGACACTGCCCCCACCCAGGAATATGGAGCCCTGAAGGTGTCAGGAGAATGCACTCCCTGCCTTGCATGGATGCAGTTGTCTACTCCTTGGGAGAAAGATAATATTTTTCTCCCTTCTCACTTCTAGGATCTAATCACTCTCTCCCAGAAAACTCACTGCACAGACCCATTTACAGGGGGCAGTTTTCACTGGGACTTAACTTCCTACCCTCTGATCTCCCCACTCGATTTCTTGACCATGCCTGCCCCTCCCTCATTGCTCAGATGTCCATCTATACTTTCTCTCCCATCTGGAAAGTAGTTGCTTGGTTCCTGTCCCCCGGGGTCTCCATTTCTTTGGCTTCAGCAGAGATGCTGGACTGGTTAAACTCAGGCTCCAGTGGTGACCACAGTGTGGGACACAGACGGGGAAACAGCTTTCAGGAATCCCTTTGTCTTAGGTCTTTGAGAAGCAGAGCCTGTGGTCAGGATTCAGGTGGAAGCCCTGAGCTGAGGGAGAGGAAATGGAGGATGCAAGGTGAGACAGTGCGGTGCCTTCCTGTCCTGCCCTGCTTCACACAAGCCCCTCAGAGACACTGCTGGCTACTCAGCAGGGGTGCTCTCTCTCGGCACGTGGGTGGGACTTCTCCAGAAGGTAAGGAGGAAATCCACCTTGGAGCAGTCCTCAGCTCCCACCCATGACCTGTCTCCCATGGGTCAAGGTTCACCCCACAGAGTCACCTTCCCATGCTTCTGGGTTCTGTTACCCAGCCCTTGGTGGCACTTGGAAACCAGGTTCCACACTGTACAGTGTGGCATTTTATCTAAGTCTGAAAGTAGAGGAGGAGGTAGTGAAGGAATTTGAGAAGAAAGGTTCATGTCTCAGGGCAGCCCATTTCTCATGCCACTGAGATCCACTCAAGTCCTCCCATTATACCTGACTTCTATGCCACCCTACAGGGCATTTTCCCCCACAGGGACAAAGTTGCCCTCACTCTTTCCTCATGAGGGAAAGTACAGTCCACTGGAATCAAGTCCCCTTCCAGAAAATGCCAGATGTGGTCTTAAGGAAGATAAAGAGGAGAGGGCTAATGAAGCAAGCTACAGTCCCACTGCTGTAGCGTGTCTTGAGTCCATAATTGATATTCTCTCCCTCCTTCCGTGACCCTCCGCTAGCCCTCTGCAGATCTGGGCTACTTGCCTGATGAGATTATACAGACGTTCATCCCCAAGAGATCTGATGCCTTTGTTGCCCTGTCCTTTTAGAATTGTTGTTGAAGTTGTCCATTGGCAATTACTACCGGGTGGGAAGTTCCAAGAGATGCCACAGCGAATCCCCTGGCTGGGGCCAGACTCCCCGCCTTCATTGCATCTATGCACATTGTATCTACAGCCCTGGTTCCTCATGGCCATCAGGATCAATGGCCCTGGCCAGCACATTAATGCCCTTCTTTGTCTATTAGCCCACTAGAATGAGGAGCATAAGGTGGCCACGTGGCTGTCACAGCTTCCAGTTTAGTGGAAACTACTGTGTTCTTTCATATAAGTTCTCCCTTCCTGGCAACTAGAAACTCGAATTGGCAGAGCCACCAGTTTTGGGGACAGAAAGCAAATATTCTACAAATGTGAATGAGATGGGCCACGTCCACTTCCACATTTGACTCCAGGACTGGCAATTTCTATGTATAAGGAACATAGTACTGGTCAAAACAAATACCGCATCAAGGAGTTGAGGGCCCCAACCCACAGGTGTCATGTTCCTGCCAGTGTCTTCACTGAGCATTCAACAGGCTGTCCCCTTGTCCCATCAGGCTGGCAGCTTCTAGGTGATGAGGAGCAACCAAGCGAGCCCAATGACTCTGTTGATCGGCATCCCATACACCATATACAAAGATGAACTCAAAAATGGATCAAAGACCTAAATGTAAGAGCAGAAACTATAGAAGTCCTTGATGACCACATTATTGTACTTTTTTGGTAAAAACACTGTGGAAGACAAGCCTGAATCTGGAGCATGCACTGTTGCCAGTAAGAACGAATTACTGTCCCCTCCAGAGTAGAAAGAATAGGGTCAGTGTAACTGATCTGCAGCCAGAGGCTTGGCTGGTCTTCTGAGGAAGAGAGCCTTCTGAGGGAGGGCCCAGCACTGGTCTTGGCTGCAGGCAGGTTGAGTGATCAAAGTGGTAGAACTAGCTCATCCTTGGTGAGAGGGAGCCCATGCTGTTGGGCTCATACATAGCCTCCATCTCTGGTAGCATGACTACTCTGTTCAAGGGCTTTTGAGCAGGCATTCAGGGTAGACAGGGAGAGAGATTCACTCACCAGGCGAATCATTGTATCTCTGTGGAGCGTGTCCTGGCAAAAGATGCTCTGCTGGTTGTTTACCTGAGACCCAGAGGTTTGCACACTTGGTGCTCACTCTCAGTCCACCCATCTACCTCTTTCCTAGACCACTTTGTCACTTGCCTTTGGCTTTTGTTCCTTTGGGCTCCTGACTAGGGGACATTCACTATTCCACAGGAGCCAGGGAATTTGCACACTTGGTGCTCACTCTCAGTCCACCCATCTACCTCTTTCCTAGACCACTTTGTCACTTGCCTTTGGCTTTTGTTCCTTCGGGTTCCTGACTAGGGGACATTCACTATTCCACAGGAGCCAGGGAATATCCACAACTCAGGCTATTTGTTCGTTTAGAGAAAGCTAACGCCCAAGTGTACTGCTCAAAGCTTTGCACCCTGGAACCTCCCTTCCCCACTGTCCTTTAGGGCTACGCCAAGACGGCCATAATGTGGCAGCAATCCATTTCTAACTCTCACCAACATATCACACTGACCATCTGTGAACCAGGGCTGAGTCCCTTCCTCATCTAGCATTTGACCACAGGGAATTTGAGAAGGTTCTACAAAGTTTGTGACCCAATATGGCCCTTTCACTCCTATCTGCCTATGACTTCCTCTTTATTCCTGACTCATTGGGAAGTGGCCCCTCACCTCCAGCCTCTGATCTCCTTTCATATCTTTGCCAGACCAGGCCAGATGGGAGTGAGGCTGGGGTGCTGCCTGCGCAAGGCCTCAGCACCCTCACAGTAATAATAATGACAGCAACGACCACAGTAGCTGCTGCTGATGAAGTGCTCCTCATGTGGCAGGCATTGTGCTAATAAGCAGGACCAGGAAGAGGACGAAGAGGGTAAAAGCTTAGCCGACAAATTGTAAGGAGATCTCAAGGTCGTGCAAGTCGAAAGTCCTTAAAGTCCTGGTCCTGCTGAGAAGCTCCTAATAGATATTATCTTCTTTTATTCTCACAAGTAAATTTTATCACTCCCATTTTACAGATGAGGAAACTGATTCAGAGGTTAATTTGCCAAGGTCATACAGCCATATTTGACCCAAGCTCTTCACCACTAAGCTGTCTTAGCTCATTCACGTTAGCCTGGCCGCCCCGTGGGAAGTTCCCCTGCCCGTGATCCTCCGGAAGACCGCAGGTCCCTATGCCCACTCAGACAGCCGACTGTTGGGAGTCTGCAAGCTGGCGTGACTTTGGTGCAAGCAGCCGCAGGAAGAGGCTGCCGCCAGAGCGGGCAGGAAAGGGCGCGTTCCCACATATGTCCACTAGATGGCGCCCCAACACCGAGCCACTGAGCTCCAGCGGCCGAATGGACAGGCCCCCAGCAGGGAGGCGCTGTGCGAGACCCGCCCCTCTGTCCGTGGACACAGGTCTCCAACCCTCCGACGCTCTCCCTGATTTCTGCATCACCGATCCCCTTCGCTGCTACCCCCAGGAGATGGTCTCGGGGAGGAGAGACTTCCCAGGCTACTTGGGAGGGATTCTTCCTTCTTTCCCCTGGAACTGTCTCTTAGCGGTGCCCAGCGCTTCCCAGGGCCTCCGCAGCACTGCCTCTCCCTTCGTTCCCTTCCTGAATTCCCCAGGCCCTCCCTGTCACTCCCACTCTCTCAACTTCTGCCAGTCTTCTGAGGCAGGGACCATTAAGGCCCATTCCACAGATTTGGTGATGCAAATGCATGCAAATGTATGCAAATCGCCATGTAAAGGAGGCTTGCCACTGTGGTTCTAAGTGGCTGTCACAGCTTCTCTGACACCTGTTTTGGGAGACAGCTGCCCTGCCCCCTCCTCCTCGGTGTCTATCTGCTATTCGCCCCCCTTTCCTTCCTCCAAGGCTCTGGCCCCCTTTCCTTCAGCGACCCTGGTTGGCTTCTGGTTACAAAGGACCCTTGGGACTTCTCTCCAAACCCCCTAAAGGGGGCAAGGCGAGAAGCACATCTTATTGGGCACCGACTTTGACATCTGATAATTTCACCATTTTCTAGCTGTGTGACCTTGGGAAAGCAGGTTAACTTCTCTGAGTCTCAGTTTCATCGTTAGCAGAAGGGGAATGATAGTAGGCACCTAATAAGGCTGCGGTAAAGACTCTATGCTGCACTGCGTGTAAAGTGCTTGGCACACAGCCCGAGCATGGGAAGCATGTGGCTATCAATGTTATGATGATCACTGACCCTGTGGGTCATCGTATTCTGAGAACTCGGGCTTGGAGACAGAGATATGCAGGTGGACCCAGCTCAGCCATGTGCACATGTGTGCTCATCTCTGTACATGCGCGCGCACACACACACACACACACAGCTGACAGCCTCACGCGCTGGAGGGGCGCACGCGCGGGTACACACGCATTCAGAAACACACACAGGAGGAGGCTGTGGGAGGTGGAATCTGAGTCATCGAGACCAGAGCTGTGGGTGGTGCTTTTGTCCTGATTTCCGGGGCTCAGTGCTCCATTTCGAACAAGGAAATGTATGCGGATGGCACAGCTAACCAGCCAGCTGAAGGGCCAGTTGTGTGGACCCCTTTCTTGCATCAGCCCCTTCCCCAGGGTTGCTATTGTGCCAGTCCCAGCCTAGCTCTGTGTCATCTGAGCTTTTTCTTCCTCTGACCCTGCCCCTAGCTCCACTGAGGCCTAGTAGGTGGGACGGGGCAGGCCCACTGAGGTGATAGAGCAGGCTCTCAATGACGTCATAGAGAAGGTGATGCCTGCTGCAGCCGCTCGCTGCAGAATGCCCTGGGAGCTTGATGGACATAGTGAGGAAGAGGGTGTGAGGGATGTGGCATACAACGGTAGTTAAGAGCACTATCTTGAGAATAAGGTGAACCCCGGGTTGAAGTCCTGGCTCTGCCTCTGTGTGACTTTTTGCAGTTCTCTTAACCTCTTTAGGCCTCAATTTCTTTGTCAGTAGAATGAAACCAGTCATACCTAACTCAAAGAGTTTTGTGACTTTTCAATGAGATAATGCACATAAACATGTGCTCTGTTCAGTGCTGCATGGACTGAATGTTTGTAAGTGGCCATGATTTTGGATGATGCTGATTGAAGGGCAGCCCCACCCACAGCAGTTTCACGTCCTTCCTAGGAGTTGCCTCTCCTTCCACACCACTCAGGCCTGGAGGGAAGAAGAGAGGCAGTGCTTTTGGTGCCTGGGGTCTCCTGGGTCAGTATGGGCTAAGGTATCAATAGGTAGGTGTGTTGTCCAGCTTTTCTTCTCTGATTAGATGATTAATCAAGATAGGTCGGAATCACAACCTTGCCAAAAGGGAAAGAAAGATGCTGTGGTTTACTGTGCACCTGTTATATGGTAGGCACCATGGTGGGTGCTGTCCCACGTGAGCTCTCGTCAACCTCCCAACAGCTCTGTGAAATAGGTATTAGCATCTTCAAGGTACAACCCCAGAAGAAATGAAGTAACTTGCCCTAGGATGTATAGTCGGTAAATAGAGAAACTGGGATTCAGACCATCTCCCATTCCACACTCTCTACCTTGCCATATACATCCACAGTTTTGATTCCTGTGGGCTCCATGGATGTGGCAATGGGGAGGATCAGTTCCTTGGATGTGCAGCCCCTGCCTCCAGAGCTGCCCAAGTCTGCTTGGGCCTTAGAGGGGGAGGGGTCTGTATTTCTCCGCTCAGTCTCTTGAGAGCCTTGTGGGCAATGGTGGAGCTAGTTAATCACCAAAAGTGTCCCCAGGTGTTATGCTCTTGGCTCCTAGCCAGTGGTTATATGACATCAGGGAAAGGACACAGGTGCATGGAGGTTGGGGGCGGGCTAGGGGCAGCCTAGACACCTGCTGAAGGCTCGGTTCTGTGTCAGTGGGGGGCATGGGGATGGGGGGAGCAGCAGATGGATGGGGTCGGTCTGGGGCAGGGATGCTGAATCGGCTCTGAAGCCCAAGGTGACTCGAGAGCCTGCCAGGAAGAAGAAAGTGTGAAGGAGAAGGAGGGAAGGAGAGCTATAGTGTAGGAGAAACTGAGGCAGCTGAGGGAAAGGACAGTGGGGTCTCAGTGTGGTTGGCCAAGAGTGGTTAGTGGTGCAGGCTTTGGAGTCAGAAGGCACAGGCTCTTATTTCAATGCCACCGCTGATGAGCTATGTGGCCAAAGGCGAGAACTGTCCTCCAGTTTCCTCAGCTGCAAACAGGGTACAAATAGCACCTCTACAAATAGAAGTTCTATCCCTAGAACCTCTAGTCCTTCACCACCAGAACCTAAACTTCATTGCAGCCTGGCTGCCAACTAACCACCCATAGGACCTAAATCACGGACAGGGCCAGGAAGGACCTGCCTCAGACGGCTCCAGGGTCCGGCTCCCACCCAAGTCTAACCACACACTCAATTTTTTTCTCCAACTGATGGCCACCTTTTCCTCTGGGCCCAGGTCTAAAGGTCTACCTGTCTTGCTCATTGGCTAAGCATCCAGTGCATAGTAGGGGCTCCTACTATGAAAGGAGTAATATATGTCAAGTGGCTGATATATTGTTCAATAATTGCCCCTTAGCTGATTTCATTTCAGTGAATATTTCTAGAGCATTCACCCTGTGCCAAGCAAACAAGACTGAGTCCCTGTCCTCACAGATTGGTGGGTGAAGGGTTTAAGGGTGCAGTGAGTGTTACTGAGGTGACTACAGGCACATTCCCAAACCAGGGCCCAGGAGAAAAGGTGGCCAATGCTTGAAGGAAAAAACTGTGTGTGGTTAGGCCTGATTGAGATTTGGCCCCTGGAGCCTTCTGAAGCAGGCCCTTCCAGGCCCCAGCAGTGATTAAGGTCCTTGTGGCTGGTTACTCGGCAGCCAGGCCGGAAGAGAGAGCCGGTAATTAACAAGCTGGCACTCACACAACCACATGTCAGCACGCCCAAGCGCTGGGATAGCTGTCTGTCAGTCGTAACTGCTGGTGGAATTTTTTAGACAGCTGGGCTCAAGCCGGGAAATGAATATAAGTTGCATTTCTATGCATCGTTGTTCATAGTGGTAAAAAAAATTAATCAGTGACATAGCTGTGACACATACTCATTTAAGAGTCTACAGAGAAATGTTCATTTGTCAGAGGCAGCAAAGAAGAGATTATGTGTCAGCTGGGGAGGGGTGAAATATTTATACAATGGCTAAAAAACACCGGTGTGTAAGGGGGTCAATTGATTGTGTCAGTGGCCACATGACAAATACAGCATTGAGCAGCCATGGGCACTACCCTTGTGCCCGGGGGCTCCATTCTGATGACAAATACACAACGTGTTACTGTTAATGCTCCCCAGCAACCATGCGCTCAGCCCTCTTTGCTGGCTGGGCGGCTGAAGATTGCTAGGAAGCAGAGCTCCCATGGAAGCTGCCTACCCCCAACTTCATTAAGTCGAACTTGAAGTTGGTAAATTACTCCCCAAATGCCAAAACAGCTGCAAAAAACAATTTCTTTGTTGTGTGCAGTTTTTAAAATTTCGTATTCCTGAATTTCAAAGGGCTTTCTCCCTGCCTTCACCAAGACCATATCACCAGCACCTCCCATGCAGACCTCACCCTGCCCCAGGCTCTGCACCTCACTGTGTGGCTCCAGGGCAATGTAGAGCACCTGGGTTCAAGTTCTTGTCCAGCCAGTCTGTTAGCTAAGTTGGCCTCCTTCCTTGTTCTCACAGCTGAGGCCAAGGCCTAACTTGTTCCCCAGTTATAGGAAGGAGTCAATGTACCATCCCAGGCACAGTGATACTTCCGTGACCGGACACCCACCTGTCATTGCCTAAGGGGAAAGTAGTCTGGTTGGGACATCTGTCATCCCCAGGCAGAACACCTCTGCCTCTCAGCCCAGCCCATGAGCAGCCCACCTGGGGCTGTGTGATAGGTCAAACTTTCCAGAAGGAGGAGAACGTCGTATCAGTGCTGACAACTACTAGTTTTTGAGCCCTGATCACGTGCCGGGCACTGTGTCAAGTGCTCTCTGTGCATTATTTCACTGAATCTTAAGACAACTCTTGAGCTGGGTCTAATGATCAGTCCAGTTGTATAGGGAAGGAAACCAAAACCCAGAGAAACAGCTTGTCTAATGCCTATGCTATGTAGATAGAGGTGGCATTTGAACCTGGTTGGTAGGACCCCAGGGCACAGCCTTTCTGACCCTTGTTCACCTGTCTGACCATGTTGGAACTACGTCTCATGGTTAACACCTGCAAATCTTAATTTCAAAGCTTAAACCATTCAGATTCTAAGAGATCAATTAACAAACCTTGAAGATGGTAAAACTTGTGGAGGCATGGGCTGTATCCCAGACTCTGCTCAGAGCATTCACTCTAGCAAAACCCAGCTGATTTTCTCTCATCTTAACTGGGGCAGATAGAGCCGTTTCCCCTCCCCAAAGTGTCCCCACCATCCTGGTTTAGAAACATGGGCATTTTCACCCCTCCAGAGACTGACAGAGGCCCCTTCCACTCCCCTGCATACGATCCCTGCCTCCAGCCCGCTGTCGGTCGCTGTAATATCCCTATCATTCCTGCGACATCCAACATCCGTCATTTGATTTGGGATGGGATGACACTCTGAGAAAACAGTTGCAGATGAAATTTCACACATATCGGTGAACGTGGAGATTGCAGATAAGCACACGTTGCAACTTGTTTTTACTTTTTAAAATGAGATTCTTCCCTTATGAAGTTGTGCTCCACCTTAGATTTCCCACTGTGAGGCTGTTAGTAATGACAACATTAGTGATAGTGACAATAACATAGATTGTGCTCATTGAGTATTTATTATGTGCTAAGTACTTTGCACATTGTTTTGCTTAATCCTCACAACAACCCTATTTTACAGATGTGAAAACTGAGAATCAGAGAGCCTAAGTAATTTTCCCACAGATGTGTAGCTCGCAGGAGCTGGGCTTTGAACCTAAGGGTATCAGCAGCAGAACCCCTAGACTCTTACCCATGAAGGCCTGAGTTCAGTCCTACTGCACCGGAACAACTCCATCTAGCCCACACCCTGGCTTCGGCTGTATAAACTATGCTAGCTCCCAGATGGTCTTGCTCTCTTTCACCTCAGCACCTTTGCAGATGCTGTTCCCACTGTCTAGAAAGCCCTTCCTTTTATCTGTTCTGACATGGGTACCTCACTGGTGACTGTAGGGAGGAAACTTTGGCTGTTACACCTCATCCCATCCACAATCCCTGCCCCAGGACTCTGGAGGCCCCTGCGAGCTCAGCCAAGGGTGCTCTGGAAGGCTGCCCTCCCCACATCCTCACAGCCTGCCGGGCTGGCTCCAAGGGTCTAACACCAGAGGTGACTAGAAGGATCCTGCTCTGGAAAAGACAGCATCCCAGTACCCTCCCCTTCCCCCAGTCTCCACAGCATCCTTACACAGACATGACCAGGTCACTCCCTGCCACATCCTCCCACCCGCCAACACTATACAAGCCTCACCTCTCTCCTCCCTGTTGCTGTCCCAGCCAAACTGCCTCATTTACAGGGTTCCTGAGCAGTCCCCACTCTCTCTTGCCTCTGGCTTCTCCTGCTTGGAACATTCTTCCCTCTTCCTTCTCTTCCGCCTTCTTCCTATTCATCCTTCAAGATTCATCTTGGGTACCCTTCCAGGAAGCCTTCCCAGATTTCCCCAGCCTGGGCTATCTACTCCAGAGCAGGACATGGTGCCACTGTCCACCATGGTATGCCTAGTGCCAGCCACAGGGAAGGCCTCATGAATGTTTAACAAACCAATGGGTGAATAAATGAGTGACCTGGGAATGCAGACAGCCACAGAAAAGAGAGATCCCCATGATCCTAGACTCCAAGGAAGAGGTTCTGGAGGCTTGGTGTGAGTAGGGGCATCAGTTAAGCCACAGAACCTATGGGTAGGAGTTAAAGTCTCAGATTATTCAAGCAGACTAAGATTGTATCCAGAGTCTGAATAGCCTGTATGACTCAAAGCAAGTTACTTAACTTCTCTGAGCTTTGGCCATCTCATATGTGACGTGGGGGCTAATAATATGGCCAATATCATAAGGTTGTGTTGGGAGTTAAGTGAGATAATTCAAGTTGTGTACATATATGGATACTCAATTATTTGCTGTTGTTGTTAAGAGACTGGAATGGCATAAGAGCTGGAAGGGTTTACACTGTGTAGGCTACTCTGGGTTTCAGCTTCAAGATCCAGGGCAAGTGGACAATTAAGAACCCTGGACTTTCAGGAACTTGCATGGTCGGCCCAGTTCTGCCCCCCACAGGCTGTGTGACCTCAGAGAAGATTCCTTCCTCTCTGAGTCTTGGTTTTGTCCTCTTCGAAATAAGGACATTAATTCCTTCCGCCAGTAATTACCCAATAGGATTATTGTGGGAGATCATATGAGATAATATATATGAAAATGCTTTGAAATGTGCTCAGGGCTGCATAAATAAAAGGAATTATGGTTATCTACAGGCAGTTTGTAGGGGCTTAATTATTAGTCAGCATTCATGGGCACTGAAGCTGTGGAGCAGTCCTGCAAATGTTCCCTTGGCAGCTTTAGCAGAAAGGACCCTGTGGAGAAACTGAGGCTGGGTTGCCAGCATGTATCCAGGGGACCTTGGCAGTAGCGGGTGGGGTGGGGAGGTGGTGCTGAGATGGGACAGCCTTGGGGTTCCACCCTGGCCTGATCCCCAGTTTTAGGACCTCCAACCATCTTTGCAGAGGTGGGAGTCTGCAGGAAGAGGGGCAGGAACTCCTTGGCTTCAGGTGTGAAGTGCTTGGGCTGCTGCCAAGGGTGGCTCTTCTGGGTTTGCTCCTGGCAGCTCCTCCAGCTGGAGGAGCTGGAGACAGTCACCAGCAGGCAATGACTTGGCATTTGCTAGACCCAGCTGGCTGATGAGGGGAGAAGGGTGCCCAGCCTCCTTGTTTTTGGAGACCCAGAACTATGCTCTTTGGAGGGTGGAAAGGAGGTGGACCCAGGGCCTGCCCTCAGGAGTGCGGCTCAGGGGCAGTGGTGGGGCTACTCTTCACCAGGGAGGGACAACCAAGGATGAAAGGGCCCAGATGTGGCCTGTGAGTGGATGGCTAAGAAGGAAGGAGATGGAGAGAAGTGAGAGGGGGAGCAAAGAACTGGTCCTAGGACATCGAAAGTCATTCCTTTGAAGATGGGGGTAGAGGGTCAGTGGGAGGGACTAAAACAGGAGACATGGAGTTCCAGTGCCATCCATCCATTTATTTCCTCATTCAAAACCTTTCTTGAGCACCTAGTATACGTTGAACACTGAAGATAGAGCGGTAAACAAGAAGGAGCTTCCCTGCCCTTGTGAAATTGAGTTTAGGAGATAGATACAAACATGTGAATTTCACAGGGGAAGTACAGGAGGCTTTAGAAGGAAAAACAAGAGGCTCTACCTAGCCCTAGCAGCAGGGAAAGCCTTTCCTAAGAAGTGAGGTTTGAGATGAGGCCACTGGACGTCAGCTGGGGTGGTGTCAATTCTACAAATATTTATAGATCATTTACTATCGACCAACCAATCGACAGAGTCCCTGTCCTCAAAGAGGTAGCTATTAGAAGGGAAAAGAGTCCCAGGAAAAAGGAATTACACATACAAGGGCAGAGGCAAGAGAGGCCAAGTATGTCGCAGGAGCATAGAGAGCTCAGAGTGCAAGAGGCAAGAGATGAAAGATGGGCAGGAGATGAAAGACAAGGCAGGAGCAAAAGACAGCCCCAGGCCATGCTAGGGTGTTTGGAGCTTGTCCAGGGCCATGTGTGATGGTCGGATTTGCATGCTTGAAAGGCCACTCTCAAATATTCATTGGCACCATGGCAAATGAAAAGTCGCATGTGGCAGCCTCTGTCCCACATTCCCCACTATCAGGCTGATCCGAAGGCAGGAGAGGGTGTATCTAGGCTGCACGTCTGAAAGGCTGAGACTGAGTGTGTCTGTCACTGATTGAATGTGGGAGCGACAGAATATGTGTGCCTGCCTCATGCCTGTTCATGCCATTATTGGTGTTGTTGACCTTATTGCGGATCAATAACAATAGCCCCTCACATGGGCCTGGTGCCTGTGTCCATTTGAGTTTCATGAGAGATATCTCCAGGAAGCAGAACCAGGATTCCTACTCCCATTTTACAGATAATGATGCTGCTAATAATAGTTGACATATTGAGTGTTTAGTGTATGAAGGCTCTGTGTGCATACTACCTCATGGAACACACACTGCAATCACTCCCATTTTACAGATGAGTCATTTGAGGGCACTTACAAGCTTGCAAGGGCACTTACATGCTAGTAAGTGGCAAAACTGGGACTAGAAGCCATTTCTCCCTACCTTCTGCCCTTGTCCCAGGTAATCTTAGCCTCTCCTCCCTCCTTTCATCTTTCTCCTTCGAGTTGCAAAGCTGCCCCAATAAACAATAGCCTGGTATTGCTGAAACAGCCCCATCTCCTGAGCTCAAATTGTAAACTTTGCCTCTTCATACCCATACCCCTCCACCCTGGCTCAGCCCAGCCTTGAGGGCAGTGCCCCTGAAATCCTGGGCATCTGACACCTGAGTGCTGCAGGCCCCAGCCCACAGCAAGCACTGGCACTCCCCTAAATCTTTCCAGAGCCAAGACCCCTCCCGCCGCCATCTCAGAGCCTCACTTGGTCAGAGCGGCCAGGGGAGGCGGGATCGATGTGCAGAGAACTCAGTAATAATCCCAGCACAGGCAGCCAGGCTGCTGTATAAAGACAGATTAAAAACTCATCGGGTTGAGATGAGGAAATAATTCAGATGCTTGGCCATAGTGGGAACGTCTAGGGCTGCAGGTGCTAGTCGGAGTACATGTGAGGGGGTGGCCGGGACCCAGATGACAGCGGCTTTTGGCCTTGGGAATCTGCACTCCCCCACTTCGTTCCACCCCCAGAGCTACCTTCCTTTGCTGCCTGCCTTGAAGCCAAGGCTGACAAATCTCAGTCCCCCAGGGAGCAGCGAGGGGGAGGCAGGCTGGGGGAAACCGAGAGAGCACAGTTGCTGCCTAGCTCCACACCCTGGTTTATTTCCTCCGCAGCACTGAAATTATTTTGCTCATTTATTTGTTTACTTGTATGCTGTTTCCTCACCTAGACTATAAGCCCCGCGAGGCCAGGGACCTGTTCATCTGTGTACTGCAGTACCTCCAGCCCCCAGCCTACAAGAGGGACTTCTTAAGAACTGTTGAGTAAATGAATGCATGGATTGGAATCCTGGCTCTTGCTGTATGACCTCGCTGAGGTTCCGTTCTCTTAGCTGTAAAATGGGCACGGTAGTGGCTTCCAAAGGAGATCTCAGCCCAGCGCCAGGCTTCTAGGAAGCGCTCAATTGAGGATTTTGTTACATTGATGTCAAAAGAAAATGGAAACCGTGTCTGCCGCTTGAGATGCCATCAGGGGGCGCCCTTGTGCAAGGCGCTCGGCGTGCTGCGCCTTCCGCAGGCTCCCGGGTGAGCGCATCCAAGGCCGCCCCCACTCCCCGCCCCCACCTTTGGGGGGCTTATCTCCTCCCCTCTCCGTCCCGTTCACACGCCCACCCTCACTCCGCCCGCGTCCCCGCTCCGGGGACCGTCTCCGCAGCCCCGTGCCCACCCTTCCCCACCGCCAGGCCCAGACTCCTTCCGCCCACGCGGCCCCATATGCTGGAAAGAGCCTCCCACTCCCCATCTGTCAAGCCACTTCCTTGCCCCCATTCCCGGCTTCGCCGCTGTCCCCTCCTCCAGGAAGCTGGTCCTGATTGAGGGGCAGAGGACTGCCAGCTTCGCCGGTCAACCGCCCGGTATCCCCGTTCCCCCAACCACAGGGCTTTAGGGAAATGCCCGCTGCCCTGGGCAGATGACCCCCAGTGCTGAGCTCTGAGCCTCGAGTCAGGGTTTGCGAACAGATGCGAGAACTCTCTGTGCGCTTCAGACCCGTGGGGAAACCCTGCCGAGGAAAGGAGTGGGAGGGCCTGCGTGGAAGGACCCCTCGTGTCACGGCCGGCTGGCTGGGGGTGGGGAGCGGGCTTCGGGGCATTGCCGGCTGTTCGCCTGGAGGACGCAGGGCTTGGGGAGCGCGGTACAGACAAACACAGGCTGCTTTTCTCGCCCGAAAGACCGGTTTCATTTCGCAGATTGATTATTGCTGCGTGAGTGTGTGTGTGTGTGTGTGTGTGTGTGTGTGTGTGTGTGTGTGTGTTTGGGCGTTGTTAGTTTTTTAAAAATGTAACTTGCTTGTCTAATGAATGTTTGATTGCACCTACATCCGGAGGGTGTTTTAATGAAAGGTGAAGGCTCCTGGAGGGAAATAAATAAATAAAGGATCGCTCCCCATCCGTAGGCACCCGCTCCCCCGGCAATTCTCTATCCACAGCTATCTTCTGAAGCCCATGCCCTCGCGGAAGAATTCTGTTCCTGTTTGAATGTTCCCATGTAAATGCTGCTGCTCTCCCATGGAAATCACACCCTTCAATCGGTCAATCTCAGGGCTTTTATTAAGGGTGTGAAGGGGAGATGAATGGGGAGAGGGAGCTCTGGGGGAGCGGGGAGAGGAGCGAGGAGGCCTCTTTTCCCGCCGCAGGCTGGACTGGGTTTTGCTCGCTTGGTGAGTGCACACCCACTCTGCGCCAGGCTTTGTGCTGAGATCGGTGGACACGGAGAAAGCAGGCACAGGGTAATGCCAGTGCTATCAGTTCAATTCAGCAATTATTTGTTCAGCATCCCAGTACCACATTGTGACCCTGGGGGATTCGCTGAACCTCAGACAGCCTCAGTTTCCTCATCTGTAAAATGGAGATTGTAATCATATTTATCTCATTATGTGTTGGTGGGATTAAATGAGAGAGTGCATGGCACACAGTAAGCACTCAGGGAATGCTAGCTGTTATTATCTACTATGTAAGTAGTAGTGTAGGGGCTATGGGAAAGCAGAGCGGTGTGGAGCACAGACCTAGGAGATTATTAGAGGGTGGATTTAAAAGTGCATCCCTCTTACAGGTAGAATGTCTACGTTTAGGCTCAGTCCCATTGATCAGTCAACTGATAATTACTGACTGCTGGCATACCAGCCACTGTTCTTCACTTCGTGGATACAGCTATGAGACAGGTAAATCTGGTCTCTGCACAGAGAGCTCATGTCTAGTAAGGGAGACCTAGGTCCATAAACAGCCTGGCCACAGGGTGGGCAGAGCCGTAACAGAACAAGCCCAGGCAACTGTGGGAGCACAGACGAGGGGTATTTCACCCGACTTGGCTTCCCAGAGGAGGGTAATTTAACCAGACAAAGATCGAGGGTTAGGAATGTGTGAGGGATGGGAGGAAAAATATTCTAAGCCCAGGGAATTGCCTGTTGGGAGGGCACAGGGATTAAGAGAGTGAAGTCATGAGTGATTGGAGAACTGAAATTTCCATCTCCCATAATGGTTAAAGAAACAGCTTTGGAATCAAATGCCTGGCTTCAAATTCTGGGTCTGCTATGTGCTAGCTGTGTGACCTTGGTCAAATTATTTCATCTCTCTGTGCCTCAGTTTTCTCTTTTGTAAAATGAGTCTATTAATAATAAGGGTTAATAATAATATCCATTTCATTGGATTGTTGTGGAGAATGGATGAGATGGCATTTGTAAAATGCTTAGCCCAGACCTGGCATGAGGTTAACATTCAGTAACTGTTAAATAGTATTATTCTTCACTGTTGCTGAAGATGAAGCCATGGTGTGGGGAGGGTGAGAGGTGAGGAGGAGGCTCAGATCATGAAGGACCTTATAATCCATGGTAAGGGGTTTGTACAAACCTAAGAACAATGGGGAATTGATGGAGTGACAAAATCATATTTGCAGTCATCCCTGGCATCCTTCCTGACGCCTTTCTTTCACACCCCACATGCAGTTCATCAGAAAACATTGTCAGCTCTACCTTCATAACTCATTCAGCATCAAACCACTTCTTACCACTTCCATAGACTCTACCCTGGTCCGAGCTATTATCATCTCTTCCCTGTGTTACTGCAATGGCTTCCTAACTAGTCTTCCCACTTCTACCCTTGTGCCCTTACTGTTTGTTCTTCACACAGTGGGTGGAGAGGTCCTGTTAAAATGTAAGCCAATTAAAATTATTGTGTCATGCCTCTGCTCAACCCCTCCACTGGTGCAGCATCTCACTCAGGGTCAAAGCCAAAGTCTTTATAATGGCCTATAGACCCTGCAAGGTGTGGCCTTCTGCCAGATCTCTCCCTCTTCTCATACTCCTCCAGCCTTACTGGTCTCTGTGCACTTTCTCAAACATGAACTTGCCAAGTGCCATCCCACCTCAGGATTTTACACTTGCTGTTCCATCTGCCTGGAATAACTCCAGGTATCAGCAAGCCTCACTCCCTCACTTCTTTCAGATGTCTGCTCAATGAGGGCTTTTCTCCCTACCTTATATAATAGCAAGCCTATATCCTGCCACAGGATATACTCCCTGACTCCCTCCTCTGCTTTCTTTCTTTCCATAGCAATGATCACTGTCTAATACTATACATTTACTTGACTACTTATTATTGACCCCTCACCTCCCCACTGGAATATAAGCCCCACGAGGGCAATAGTTTTATTCATTGCTGTACCCCCAGCATCTTGAACAGTGCCTGGCACAGAATAGGCTCTCAAAAACTATTAGTTCAGTGAATGAATGTGTATGCATCAGAAAAAGACCACTGTGATGCAATGTACAGAATGAATGGGGTAGGGTGGGGCAATAGCAGAGGCTGGGAGGGAGACCTTTGCAATCTTCCAGAGCAGGGATGATGTCATCACATATGGGCCAAGGTGGTAGAACTGGAGAGGAGTGAGTGGTCTGGAGAGAAATTTCGGTTTCATCTGCAGGGTAGGGGCTGTAAAAGAAAGGAGGAGGTGAAGAATGATAGAGATGCCCAAGTTTTTGGCTTAGACATCTTGGTGGACAGTGGTGCCAATTATTGAGATGGTGAAAGGGGAACAGGCTGAGGTGAGGAGTTATTGATGTGAGCATCTCTGAGCCTTGGTTGCCTTATCTGTGGAATGTAGAAGATGACCTCTGCCCTGCCTACTTTCTGGGATGGTTATAGAGACAGAGAGAGGTAAAAGAAATGGGATCCCTTTGTATGAGTGCCCGGTGGGTTCCCAGATGTAAAGCAAAATTATTACTATTATTACTATTAAAGTCAACTCGGGGAGATCTGACAGAGAGGTAAAATGAGAACCTGCAGCAGAATCTAATCAAATGCCAGCCTGGGTGGAAGCAAATGCCAGGAAGCACGATTTAGTCGATATATGCAGTGGGTGGTCAGGAAGGGGAAAGAACAATGTGACCTAAGCTGTCAGAGGCCATGTGGAGGTGGGAGGGGGTACTCAGCTGGATTCTGGAGTGACAGAGGGGGAACCAGAGCAAAGGTTGGGGTTTGGTCAGAGGTTCACAAGCAGAGAAGCCGTGGGGTAGCTTGGGGATCTGGGGGTAGGCAGAGAACCCTGGGCACAGGATGAATGATGGTCACCACCACAGACTTCCTTTTCCTATCTCCACCTACCAAATGAGAAAACAGTGGTAATTCTCAACTGGTAATTCAATCCAGGAGAATGGGCAGAAACCATCAGAGCATGGCCAGTGGGGATCTGCCTCTGCTGTGTCATCCAGCCAGTTTTGCTCATGCCCATACTTGGTGCTGAGTAGAATGGGAAATATGGAAATACACTCTCTAATGTTCATCAGGCACCTACTAAGTGCCAAGGAGTCATGTGAACTTGTAGACTTGGTTCCTGCCCTCTGAGAGTTCAGGGTCAAGTAGGGAGACAAGCATTCAATAAATACTTTGCAGAAGCCCTGAGGTAGGTACTGTCATCCTTGTTTTGCAGATGAGAGGCTCACAGATGTTAAGGTCATCTGTGGTAGAACCGAGATTTGAACCCAGGTAGTTTGTCTCTAAAACTGTAACCACTGACGACACTGCCCATGGTCAGAGAGTCTGTGATCCTTGGCTTACACGTGGCAGGGACAGACTTGTACTATTCTGTCACCAGAGCCCTGGAGGGGTCAACAGGAAGAACTTGGGAAACTGGAGGGAACTAAAGGAGCCCCACAGAGCGAAAAAGGATCTTAGAGGCCAACTTGCAGACATGGCTATTTATTTTTTTACAAATATTTATTTCATTTCTTCTATATTCCAGGTACTGTGTGAGATAGTGATAGGTAGAAGATTCATTTATTGATTCACTCAGCAACTATTGAGCACCTACTATGTGCCAGACACTATGCTAAGCTGTGGGGTTACAAGAGAAACCAAACAGACAAAACCCTTGCCCTCATTGAGCTTATGATCTAATGGGAAGACAGAAAATAAACAAGATAAATAAGTTTAAATATATATATGTAGTATGATAGATAGTGATAAGTGCTAAGAAGGATAAAAAAGGAATTATGTGAAGTTGAAATTTTAGACAAGGTAGCCAAGGAAGGCCTCAGTGACATGAGGTGAGAAGGGCAGGCCAGGCTCAAGTCATGTAAGGCATTGCTGGTCCTTGTAAAAAATACATAGCTTTATATTTTTAAAAATCTAAAACACTATGGGAGGCCAGCAGAATTTTTCCCTTTTGTTTTTGTGTGCATGATTTTATGTAGGAGTTCCCTGGAGACCAATGCTCATGGAAGAGGGGCAGGAGGCAGGAATGGGCAGAGGGAGAAGATGAGCACAGGCCCGGCAGTGGCCTTGGCCGGCTGGATGAGGAACTCCAGTGCTGGACACGCCTCTTCTAGAGCTGTCGTGAGTTGGGCTGATGGCTCATCCTTCATCTCCCCCATCAGTCAGTGCTTGGGTGTAGAGACCCACGCAAGTGGCATGACCTTGGATGAGGCAGTTCTTTGCAGTTGATGCAATCCCGGAGGGGCTTAGAGCTGGAGGCTATTTCCCAACAGCAAGCCAGTACCAGGGGCAACGAGCCCTTCTCTGAACAGGGGCCTGGGCGGCTGTTCATACTGTCCATCCCATGTATCTAGGCCTTTCTTTTTCAGCCTATGATAGTGTTTATTCAGTGGAAGTTTTTAACCATAAATGATATAATCTGATTCACATATAATTTTTTAAAACAATCACTCCAGTTTCTGTGTGTGGAGAATAGACTGGGGTGGGGGCAGGGTGAGGTGGGGAGACCAGTTTGAGGCTGAGGCGTGTGGAAGTCCCAACAGGAGCCCCTGGGAAGCAGAGGAAGGACAGGCTCCTTGAGGCTCGGTCGGGCCCTGGGCCTGTGCCCAGTGACCCTTCTCCCACAACAGAATAGCAAACACAGCGACCAGTCCGCACCTTTCAACCTGGGTGCGGTCCCAAGGTCATCCTGCATCTGGAGCCACAGAGGTGGTGGTGGTGGAAGATTAAGTCCTCAGAAGGTCAAGTGAGCTTGTGGCCAGGCGTAAGTTCCTTTAGAGTCAGGAACCTCAGCTCTGTGGACCCGTTTCCCAGCATCTGCATTTCCCCCTTCTTTCCCCTTTTTTCTTCCCTCTGTTTGGTTGATACGTTTCCTTTAAAAAATCTTACCTTATCTTAGCAGAACTGAGAGGAAAGGAGGTGTGCCTGCACTGGTGAAGGCTGGCTGGCACACTGTTTCCCCACTCCCCATCCCATCCCCCGGGCCAAGCATGGGGGTGTCGGGAACCTGTCCCAGCCAAGAGGAGGAGCAGATGGGCAAACCAGGAAAGAGAAGTTAAGGCCACTGAACCTCCTGCCTGGAGTGGACCTGTCCTTCAGGAAAGGAGTTGAGGGATGGGAGGGCTGGAAGTTTCCTTGGGCAGCCATTGGCAAGATAACAGGGTTGATCTGGTTTCTGGTTTCTGCTCAGATGCGTGATGCGTAGTCCCTAGCCTGGGAAAGTCCTAGCTAACAGATAGACCCAGGCAGCAACTTTTCTACCCTCACCAAATGGACAAGCAAGCTGCTTGTCTCACCCTCAGTAGTACCAGCGAAAGTCAAAGCTATGTAGGGTGGAACAGATCCCTCCAAAGAAACTGGACCCAGTGCAGGACCTGGTGCATTTGTGAACTCTTGCACTTGCTGTTCATTCTGGGAATGTTTTCCCCAGCTCCTGCATGGCTGGCTTGCTCATCTTCGTTCACGTATCAGTTCAAATCTCAGGCCCTCTGGCCACTCTGTCTAAAATAGTCCTCCCACTCCCTCCCCATCACCTCACCTGTTTGGTTTTGTCTCCCTAATAAGCACATATCACCATCTGAAATGATATCTTTTACTGGCTTATTTCTTGTATGCTTCCTCGGGCTGGATTGGAAGCTCCATGAGGCCGGGCCCCTTGCCTGTCTTGTTCATCTCTGTATCTTCAATGTCTAAAATAGTGCCTGGTAGGCACTTACTACATTGTGAAATGAAGGAATTAAGTGTCGTCTTCTCCCTCATCCCTCAAAACGTCAAGGATAAAATCAACCCTGTGAGCATATAAATGGCCATAGAGGGACAGTCCCTCCAAAGAGGTTGGGCGCAACCCTAAGATCCCAGGCCATGAGCCCAGAGTGGGAGTGTGTGTGTGCGCGCACACGTGCACGTGTAGTGTGCGTGCATGTTTTGTGTGTATGTGTCATTGTGCATGTTGTGTGTGTGTGTTTTTTGATGAGAAGAGAGAAAACCATTCACTCCAAGCTGAGGTTCCTGCTGCACTAAATACAGGGACTCCCAAAGTCTGATCAAAGGCCAGCTTCTTTTAGGGAGCGGGAAAGGAACAGGGGAAGGAGAGAGGGCTTCTGAAAGTGACCCCTAGGGCTCTGCAGGCCTTTGCAAGGCCTTAGGCTGTCAGCTGGGGGTGCCCACCCAAGTATGACCACATCATCCCCACAATTTCCAGACCCTCTGAACCCTGGCTGCCCCTCCTCCCAGAAAAGTGTCAATGTGAAGAAGGGGAATTTGCTCTATCAAGTGTGACCCAGGGTTGGTGATGAATACCAGAGATGGTAGGATCAGCTAGAATAACATGTCACACGGTGGGCTGCGTCCAGGAATGCTGGATTGGGTAACTGGCAAATTGAAAGGCTGCTTCATACTATAATGGTTAAAGAAAAAGGGAATTATCTCATGCCTTTCTTTTCGTCTATCAAGGTGTCAGCATATGCTAATTACCTGGCAAAGGCTTCAACGAGAAGAGGAAGAACAACTATTATATTTCTGAGGAAAGATTTATCTTGCGTTATTGGCGCCAGTTGGAGGAGGAGGTGGGGGTGGTAGGGGGTCAGAGAGGCAAAGTGAGAACTGTTTTTTGACTTGAATGGAATAGAAAATGCCTTTGAACTGAGGTTTTTCTCCTAAGATTAGAAATAATAAGCCTTGTTGGGAGAGGCTTTGCTCTGAGCCTGTGGGCAGAAGAGGGGGCAGCATGGGTGGAGGACTCTAGCATCCTAGGAGGTTGTGGGAAGGGGTCAGGCTGGGCAGTCGACTGGGCAGGGCACGTAGAACTCCTCCATTCATCCATGGATTGTATTAAGGAGGCTGTATAGGATGCGTGTTCAGAAGCACAGGCTTAGAGTCAGGCAACCCTGGGTTTTGAATCCTGGCCCCACTACCTCCTAGCTGTGGTCTATGGCACATTGCTCTATGTTTCAGAGCCTCAGTTTCCTCATCTGTGGGGAAAATAATACCTACTTTATATTGGTTACTGTCTTAGCTAAATGGTATCATGTGAAAGAGATTTTCAGTGTAGCTCCATAAGCAAGAGCACCGGTGGATATTATTACTCAGCATATGTTTTCTGAGCACCTACTGCAGTTCAAGCACTAGGGAAACAGGTTAATAAGTCAGATAGGGCTCTGCCCTCCAGGAACTTATCACAAAATGGAGGGCCTGAATCTCCTTTGGTTCCCTCAGAGATCCCAGAAAGTGAAGAAAAGGGGTACAGGGAACAGGGAAGGGCCCTCAAGCTTTACATGAGGCTGTGCTTCCCCCATTATAATGATAATAACAGTGAACTGGATGCTTGATACACATGAACTCGAAGTGGAGATTTGGTGGGTAAGTGTTGAAGGCTAAAGGATCACCCCAGGAAGGAGCTTGGAGGTGTCAGAGCTTAACAGGATTGAGTTTGCAAGAGACAGGCGAGGGGCTGGTCAGGATCCAAGCTGTGGAGACCAACACTGGGGGTCTAGTACCTCCAAGGGGGTCTGTCCTCAGGAATGGAAGGTCCTGGGGCCAGATGGACTGACTCCCATGAGTTGACCCCAATGCCAATGTCAAATTTCAGCTGTCCCAGGCCCCTCCATTCAGGATCAGCAGCTGTGAGCAAGTGAGCTGGAGAGGCAGCCTGACATGGTGGCAAGTGTGCAGCCAATGGTGCAGAGATCTGAGTTCAAATCCTATTCCTCATACTTATCAAATGGTGGACTTGGGTCACTTCCTAACCTCTCTGTGCCTCTGTTAAATACAGAAAATGAACTCTAACTGTGGGGTTGTTGGGCGGACTAAAAACAAGGCATTCGAAGCACCTGGTGCACAGTAGACGTTCCCAAATGGTAGAGGTGATTACTAAAATTGGCCATCCTTGCCAACTATGTCTGATTCACTGCTGGCCCCAACCCCTGTGGCCTGGAGAGGCATTTACTGCTCTGGGGATGGCAGAGGAAGGAATGGGGGTGGCACCAGGTGGGTTGTGTGGCAGGCAGAGACTTTGAGCAGGTAATGGCTGTCACAGACCAGCAAATCACAGGTGTCGGGAACAACAGGAGTTACGCTCAGACTCCAAAGAACAAACACGCAGCACAAGACGTTTTGCCAAAGCAAAGCTGTTTTGATCGTTCCCGGATGTGACATGTATCGCATGAGGAAAGAGAGCCTCTTGCACTGAGGCTGCCTAATGGACAGCCGGCAGCTCCAAGCAGAGTGGCACTGGGCAAGGTGAGGATGAGGGTGGAGCACCCTCCTCATACTGCTGGCCTCTCCATCACCGCAGGCAAGGCTTCATAGCAGAAGCACTCTTGCCTGTGGAGTGAGGGAGGCTCACTATTCCCAATACCTCCAGATCCAGCCCTGGCCTCCACCTCTGCAGCCCCAGCCTGCATCACTCCTGGAACCCAGGCTCTGTGCCAGTCTAATTGAACTTCAAAACTTTGCCAAATGCGCCAGGCTCTGTCTGGCCTCCAGGCCTTTGCATATGCTATTCTCTCTGCCTTGGATTCGCCTCCCACCCACCTGGCTAGTAATGGCAAATGCCTACTTAATAACAAAAATAAAAGCAGCTTACATTTATTGAGCACTTACTCTGGGTTAAGTACTTACCCAATTTTATCTTATTTAGTCCTCACAACAACCTACAAGGTAAAAATACTGATAGTTGACATGCAGTAGATCCCTAGTATTGGCCAGCCACTGTTTTTTTTTTTTTTTTTTTGAGACGGAGTCTTGCTCTGTCGCCCAGGCTGGAGTGCAGTGGCGCGATCTCGGCTCACTGCAAGCTCCGCCTCCCGGGTGCACGCCACTCTCCTGCCTCAGCCTCCCGAGTAGCTGGGACTACAGGTGCCCGCCACCACACCCGGCTAATTTTTTGTATTTTTAGTAGAGATGGGGTTTCACCGTGTTAGCCAGGATGGTCTCAACCTCCTGACCTCATGGTCTGCCTGCCTTGGCCTCCCAAAGTGCTGGGATTACAGGTGTGAGCCACCGCACCTGGCCTCCAAGTGCTTTCTATGTATTAACTCATTTATCTCCCAACCTTACGGGGTTATTATTATTATTATTATTATTATTTGAGAGGGAGTTTTGCTCTTGTTGCCCAGGCTGGAGTGCAATGGTGCGATCTCAGCTCACCGCAACCTCTGCCTCCCGGGTTCAAGCGATTCTCCTGCCTCAGCCTCCCAAGTAGCTGGGATTACAGACATGTGCCACCACGCCCGGCTAATTTTTGTATTCTTAGTAGGACAAGTTTTCACCATGTTGGCCAAGCTGGTCTCAAACTCCTGACCTCAGGTGATCCACCTGCCTTGGCCTCCCAAAGTGCTGGGATTATAGGCATGAGCCATGGCGCCCAGCCTAAGTTGCTATTACTATGCTTATTTTACACATGAGGAAACTGAGGCACAAAGAGGTCAAGGAACTTGTCCAAGATCACGAGCTTGAAGTGGCAGAGCCCAGGTTCCAGCTCAGGTTACCTGACTCCAGACCTGGAATTCATAACTGCTGCACCATCTGCCCCTGTATATCCTTTAGAATTCAGCCCAAGGGCCACCTCTCCCCCAGAGGCCTTCTCTTTTCCCTGATTGGGTCAGGAGCTTCCAGCCTTCATCTTGTGAAGTCTGCTTGTCTGTCCCCTAGGCTGGAAATTCCCAACAGCAGGGACTGTCTGCCTGGTTCAGCACTATATCCTCAAAGTCTAATACAGTGCCTGGCAGCTAGCAGGGGCTCCACATAGGCTGAAAGCCTGCAAGAATCCTGCTGGAGCACATTCCCGCCCTAGCTTCACCTTTTCAATCACAAAGACTGTAATACCCCATCATATATGGTAACTGGGGTTGAAAAAATTCAATCACATAAAATCTGGGTTTTGATTTTTATATAGTTAGTGAGAAGCGATGCTTTTTTTCTATTATACTTTAAGTTTTAGGATACACGTGTACAACGTGCAGGTTTGTTACATATGTATACCTGTGCCATGTTGGTGTGCTGCACCCACTAACTCGTCATTTAACATTAGGTATATCTCCTAATGCTATCCCTCCCCCCTCCCCCCACCCGAAGCAATGCTTTTTCATCCATCTGAATTGGCACATAAAGCCAAGATAGTAAGGCATGCTGTACACCACTGACCCTATGCTGAACTGAGGAAATTCCAGATAATCACAGGGCATTCACTTCCTGACACTCCCATTCCCTTTTGAGAAATGGAACTGGCTGTAGGACAGGAGCTCTTTGCAGCCCTTGCTCATGCTGTATTAAATTTGTGTTTCCTGTGGGGAGCATTAGGAAGAGCATTGCCACACCCGCTTTGTGCCCAATCTTGGCCACATGCTCCGAAGGTCAAGGAGCCAACAGAGTAGCTGAGAGTCAGAGGGGCCTGGAGAGCGTGAGGGGCTCTGGTCTCACTCCACACATAGTTTCTGTTCTTAAGCCATCATAACACTGTTGCCTGAGCAAACTCTTGCACCACGTGTTCACCTTCCCACTGCCAAGGGTCACTCTTGTTGACTAATTCTTTTTGAGATGATGCAGAGATAACAAGCTCTGCCTTGGGAGGGGCTGTCAAAGAAATGAAAGAGATGGACAGCTCAGAGGAGAGTAAGAGTCCCGAGGGCGGGCAGGTCCAGGCAGGCTCCTTGGAGGAGGTGGCATTTGGTCTGGCCTCTGCGCCCTGCTGGCCTTTCCCCTGTGGTTATAGAGAACACAGAAATGCCATGTGAGCCTCAGCCTAGATTTCCCTTTGAGCCAATGACAATTTGGGGAGAGGTTATGGCAGCCTCCAGGAGATGAGAAGTGAGTCCTTATCACTGAACCACTACCCCCTCAGGTGTGCAGCCTGCCCAACCCTAGCTGAGAGGTGTGGGAGCCTTACTTTCCTCACCAATAAAATGTAGATAATGATAATACCTTCCTCCCAGGCCTGTGGTGAAGATCAAATGAGAGAATGCAGGGAAAATCATCTTATATGCTATAAAAGGCTCTGACAAATGCTCATTATTTCTTCCTATTCTTCTCCTGGAATTTATCAAACACTTTATAGGCCCTGGAGGTATTTTTTTGACTCCATTCTGCATGGCTTTCTCTGGCCATGCTTCTCCTGTCTTCTCCTGCTGTACTTTAAGGGAGGCAGGATAGTGCAGTGGTTAAGGAGGGAAGAGCAGGCTGGCCTGGGTTTGAATCCTGGCTCCTCCTTTGCCTAGAGGAATGCATGACTCAGGGCAAGCCACACCACCTTTCAGAGCTCCCTTGGCTCTCTCCTGTTTATCCTGTTTAAAATGGGTATAAAAATTGAACTTAACTCATAGATTGATGTGAGGACTAAATGAGATATTTTGTGAACAGTTCTTAATACTGTGCCTGCTGAGTACTTAATAAATGTCTGCTGTGTTGTTTTTTATTCTCTCTGGTAGGTAGAAATCTACCATTTTTGAGTAGTAGGACCACTGAAAAGAGACCTCAGGCACAATTTTTACAGGCTTCCTTGTCTCCACACTCAGGAAACGGGTAGATCAAGAAGCAGATTAGGTGCTCATTCATGCAGCAAGCAGTTTTTGAGTGCCTACTCTGTGCCAGGTACTCCTAGAGCAATAGGATGATGAAATTACAGTCCCCATCACTGGGGAGCCATGCTGCAGTGAAGAAGATGTTTATTGATTCACTCACTCACTCACTCTCATTCATTTGGTCAATTATCACCCATTTGCCAGGGTCTCCACATGCAGGTTCTGTGCTGGGCTCTGAAGCACAGAGCTGGGAACAGGGCAGGGAGCCTACTGCAGAGGTCAGGCTGGAGTCCCTTGAGGCCTCAACCTCTTTCTGATGTGTCTTCCCACTTCCTGTCACTTGGCCTCAGTCTCTCCATCTGAATGTCAAGGGGTCACTTGAGCTGGTCTCCAAGCTCCTGGCCCACACCAACATTCCAGATTTCTCAGCTAGGATGGACAAATGCTGAGTGACACCCCCATCCCTGCTCCCAGCCCACACACTCACTTGAAGCGCCAGCATCGATCGGCTTGGAGCTCATTAGCGGCCGCGCAGCCGTTGCTGCATGTCACAGGCTCTTAAAGTCTCCATTACCAAGGCCCCTTGCTCCTCTGTATTTTTAGCCCGCACCAGGAGGAGACGGCTGGCGTCTCCTGCAGTTATACACGTCAGGTTCTGCGGTTTCGACAACTTCTCAGGCCTCTGGGCACCTGGAGGTGGGGGCCCCCAGATCTGCTCCTGGAAGAGAAGCTGGTGGGAGGTGTGAGGGCCAGGGGTGGGACCAGGTGTCCTCTCTCCTGCAATCCCCCAGTCCCTTCTTGTGGGATACCGCCTCCCAGGTATGACAGAGCACAGGGACCCCCACAATTTCCTGGCTATTCTGGGACGTAGGAGGATAAACAGCTCTCTCGATGACACTGGACTGAGAGCAGGTGATGCCAACTTGAGAACAAAACCCAGGCCACTTGGACATCCCCAAGGATCAGCCACCATCTCTGGCTGCAGACAGGTAGAGCAAAACGCACAGAAGCCACCCAGCAGCGTGCTGACATCCAATACTGTGAAAGCAGGTTTCTTCTGCCTGCAGGAGACAGAGCAAGCTCGTGCAGCCAGCCCAGCTTGCAAGAGCCTGGGTTCCTTTGGCATTGATAAGAACTGTAGCTCACAGGCCCCAGAATGTGGGAGAAAGAATGTGTTTCCTGGTGAGAGACACCAGGAAGGATGAGGCAGGCCACAGCTTGCCTGGGAGAGGTAGGAGGTGCAACATGGAGGGGGATGGGGAGGAATCCCAACATGGGGAGAGGGGAAGTCCTCAGTCCTGAGATGGGAATGGGGCTGTTCCCATATTGGGAGCACCAAAGCCTGGACTTCCAGGAAGAATAAAAGCCTCAGTCAAGGACATAATTTAAATTTCTCTATTCCCCAACAGCCTTATACCCTAAGACTTGCTAATAAAATAATAGTAGTGAACAATTATTAGTCTGTTACTCTAAGCCAGTTACTTAGTGTACTAAGTGAGGTCCTTATATTTCCTGATCATCTTACCGATTCTTCACTTTAAGGGAGGAACTATTTTATTCTTCTTCTCATCTTATAGATGAGGACTGTGACGCTCAGAGAGGCTAAGCAACTCACCCAAAGTCACACAGCTGGAAAGTGCCAAACATATGCAGAATTTCAATCCAGAGTCCAGGCTCGTCCTACACCATGTATGTAGCCTTCAGATGCCAAGGGAAGAAATGAAGTAAGTTCTCACTCAACAGTGACATTTTACTGATAATGCAGCAGGAAGAACATCATTTTGGAAGGTTCTGTGTCTATGCCAGATGTGGTTCTGACAAATCCCACTTTTCCTCTGGGCCTCAATAAGGAGATAGATTGAGGCGTGGATGGATCAAAGCCATATTATACATCTGTTCTGAGCTTCCATCTGAATCTGAAAAAATGTTAAATAATAATAATAATAGCAAATATTCCTGGAATATTTACTCTGGGCCAGGTATATTATATGTGTTGTTTTATTTAATCTTCATACCTCCCCTGTGAAGTATTATCCGTAAACAGATGAGGGAATGAAGCTCAGAAAGGCTGGGCAATCTGCCTAAAGCCACACAGCTAACAACGAGGTGAGGCTGGAATTAGAAATGTGGCTTGCTCTGTCTTAACCACTTCTCTTTTCTGCCTTCTGAGGGTTCAGTGCTGGAACACCTAAATGTTTTGAGAAGGAGGAGCTTCAGGTGTCTTCTGTCAGAGCTGGAGGGGGGCCAGGGGCGGAGCCTATGTGATCTGCTGGAAGCACTCAGTTTTCTGTTATTTGGGTGAGAGTAGTGGCTTCCTTATTTTCAGGCTCAGGACACTGGCCTCCCTTTACACCACCCTATTCCATGCCATCTGTTATTGACACCCCACTTACCTTAAGGTGCTGAGAGCTTTCCAAACACAGAATAGCTCCTGAAGGAGGAGGAGGGGGAGAACCTGCAACACTTTTGCTCCTCCCAGAGGGTCCTGGAGGGGCAATGAGAGTGACACCTGACACAGGAACCTGGGGGTTTCCAAGCTTAGCCACCATCTATAAATTCACCAGATACTTATTGTCTGGTTATTCGGTGTCAGGCACCTTTCCAGGGCAGGGCTGCCATACAGAGTTGCATGCTGCACAACCTTCTGGAGGTGCCAATCATATTGTAGACACTGTACATGACATGACTGGGTGCTGGGAATGTCGTGGTAAGCAAGACCAACCTGACCCCTGGTCTCACAGAGGATGGAGTCCCACAGAGGCCTCAGTCAGGCAAGGCAGGAATGACCTTACAGTATGGCCAGGGTGGTGATGGGGGAGGAACAGGGGCTGTTGGGACTTGCAGGAGAGGCCCCAAGACTATATTTGGCAAGTCAAAGAAGGCTTCCTGGAAGAAGTGACGTCTAAACTAAGGCTTGAAGGATAAATAGAAGCAGGCTGCTTAAGGGGGAGTGTTCCAGGCAGGAGAAGCATGAGCAATTAATTATAATCCAAGGTGATACAGGCTGTAACATCAACATGAACACAGAGCTGTGGGAGCCTTTATTCATTCTATCAGTCGTTTACTCATTAAGGAGATGGGGAATAGTTATGCCCGGAAGCTGGAAAAGTTTCACCCAGGAGATAACCCTTGAACTGGGCCTTGGAGGATAAGTAAGGGTTTTCTGGGTTTAGAGGGGCAGAAGAAGGGGGAGAGAAGCATCTGAGGAGACAAAACCACATGAGCAAATGCATGCGGTTGGAGGTTTTAAGCATGGTGCCTGCACAAAGCAGAGGTTTAGGACACCTTTCCCAGGCTACTCTTGGTAGCTCTTTGTCTCTCAAACCTAAACTTGATATTTATTATTCACTTTTAACATGACCTCATTCGTTAATAAGGGTTCAGATAGGAATGTTGGATGTATGCATGCATGAGTGCAGGAATCAGTGGATGAGTGGAAAGACTAATAAATGCATGAATGAGGGAATGTATGAAAGAATGAATAATAATACTTAACATTTTATACATGCTTTCCATGTGCCAGGAATTGTTCTAAGTGTTTTTTATTTATTAAATCATTAAATCCTCACACAACCCTAGGAGGTAGGATTTATTATTATATGCATTTTACAAATGGAAAAAGTAAGGCATGCAAAGTTAAGTAATGCACACAGTGCCACACAGCTAGGAGGTGGAGTGCGGGGACAAGGGTTTGAACAGAGGCAGTTTGGCTCCAGAGGATGTTACAGCCTGGGTCCCAGGAACAAATGCTAGGAGTTGGGCAGTTCCGCATTTATCCAGATAACTCCTCTCTCACTCCGTAATGGTTTCTTGGCTAAGCCTCCTCCAGAAACGTGCTGCTTCCTTGGAGCAGACCTGGGTCCAGGCAGCCAGAGTCTGTCTGGGAACTGCCCTGGCTGGTGGGGACACACAATACCTGCAGCCCTCGCAGGGCAGCTGCAATGTGGTGAGGATGTGTTTCTCCTCCCCAGAAAAGGCTGGGTGAGAAAGTAGGGCCTTTAGCTTGCACAGTGGAGAGCATCCTTGCTCTGGGAGGGCCTCTCTGATCACTGAAAAAGAAGCTTGAAGTTTGCCTTGCAGTTGATTGTATTAGCATTTCAGAAGAATCCCCCTTCCTGGGAAGTGTATTAACGATTCACTCTGGCTGGTCTCTCACCCGGGGCAGCCTCTTCGTGAAGTGCCACAGATTTCCTAGAAATCCTCTGAGACATTTTGACATTCTGATTGTCACTGCCAATGTGGGCTGCGAAGGAATTAATTGACACAGATGAAACCCTCAATTTCCAAGGGCTGTGTAATAAAATAAAGGTTATTGTATGATTGCAGATTCCACCACTAATGAAAAAGGGCTAAAGACCATAATGACCATATGGCATGCTTAGTGAGTGGGGACTCACTTTGATTTTCACAGGCAACCATTCTGAACTTTAGGGAATATTAAGGGTGATAGTTATTATTTATCGAGAATTTATGATATGTTAGGTACTTTACTAAATGATCTATCTATATATTATGTATTCCAACTCTATGAATGAGATGTTATTTTCATCTCCATTTTACGGGTGAATAAACTGAGGCAGGGAGAGGTACAGTAAACATGGCTAGTAAGTTGGAGAGTAGAAATAGACAACCTTATGGCTGAAAGATATTCTATTTTCTTGAGGATGAAGGATGATTGAAATACCTGGGCAGGCAGGGTTAAGATATGGCTAAGCATAAGGAATTCTGGCTGGTAGAGTATTATAAGTGTCTGTACACACTTTCTAGACACTGAGAGAACACCACTGCCTTTTCTCTGAGACCACAGGAATCCCATCCATCCATCTACCCATTCATCCAAACAAAAGAGATTCACCCATTCATCATCCACCCACCCATAGATCCATTAATCTGCCCATCAATCCACTCATCAATTTATCTATCGTCCACCCATCCATTCATGCATCCATTCAGTTAGTCATATATTCATGTATTCACTTATTTATTCAACTCAGGGATGTCTCTGACTACCCCTCCCCAGCTTCTGTCATGGAGGTAGGTGCCCCCCTTTCCTATAAGTGCCTGCTATGACAGATGTAGCAGGTGGAGGAAAAGCAGCAGAAGAACAAGGTGCTGGGAGATACAGTACCACCTCCATAATTTGTAAAGAGTTCCTTTAACTTTCTCATCCCCAGTCTCCATATATGTAAAATGGGAATAATATTTGCAGGCTGTTGTGAATTTAAAGCAAGCAAATGTGTGATATGTTTTGGAAATATGAAAGTTCTGCATAAATTTATGTCTGTATCATCATTATCATCACTAGTGCAGTATGTACTCAAATCTATGACTCTCTTAAGTTTGAGAAGTCAGCATCTGTAAAATGAACCATTTCTGATTTTGTTTTAAAGAAATTCTTTAAAATTTATAAACATGAAATTCAGTAAAATAAAATTACTTTAAATCATGCAATTGTGCAGTTTTATAATAATCAGATCTATTTATTCCACATTCTCTTGAGGCTACAGGAAGTTTTGGAGATTAGGAGTTGGAAAGGGACTTGGTAAAAAGGGATACTTGATCATGAAACATCAGTCCTGTAATTCCTGGCTTAAGGGATAGCGCTCTCCAGAATAATATTACATATCAGGAAGACTGTTTAAGGCTTATTTCTTGTTGGTTATAAGAATAGGTGAGGGAAGGCCGGGCGCAGTGGCTCAGGCCTGTAATCCCAGCACTTTGGGAGGCCGAGGTGGGTGGATCACAAGGTCAGGAGATCGAGACCATCCTGGAGAACACGGTGAAAGCCCGTCTCTACTAAAAATACAAAAAAATTAGCTGGGTGTGGTGGCAGGCGCCTGTAGTCCCAGCTACTCGGGAGGCTGAGGCAGGAGAATGGCGTGAACCCAGACGGCAGAGCTTGCAGTGAGCAGACATTGCGCCACTGCACTCCAGCCTGGGTGACAGAGCGAGACTCCATCTCAAAAAAAAAAAAAAAAAAGGAATAGGTGAGGGAAGACTGTAAGGAAATATGTGCCTGAAAATCCAGGAAAAGATGAATAATCAGGCTACAAGATGAGCAGGAACTGCTGTAAATATAGGCTGTGTATCAGTCAGTGTGGGTTACATTATGTTGCAGTAACAAACAGTCCCCAAATCCCTGAGGCCTATGACAAATGTTTATTTCTCCCCTATATTACATATCTGTCATGGGTCAGCTGCAGCTCTGCTCCCCTGCTTTCTTCACTCTGGAGCCCAGGCCAATAGAGGAGCACACTGATTCTTAAAGCTTTCCCTCATATTTTATTGGCCAAAGCAAATCGCATGGCAGGCCTCTCATCAATGGGAAGTATGTTCCACTTTCAGAAAGGGCACCCAAGGGAGGAACAGCAAATATTTTGACCAATAACACAACTTTCCATACACATTGTAACTGAACTAGGTTATTTGAACCTCGGAGTGGCTTAGAGGAAGGACCTTTGGAGGAAGAGGTGGTAGCTCAAGTAATTTAGCTTCTCTCTGTGTCTGCCTCTTCTCCTCTCACCACCCATTTTCTATGTATTGTGGCTTTTGCTTTTGTGTCCCTCTTTTTTTTTTTTTTTTTTTTTTTCTGAGGTGAAGTCTTACTCTGTTGTCCAGGCTGGGGTGCAGTGGTGTGATCTTAGCTCACTGCAATCTCTGCCTCCTGTGCTCAAATTCTCCTCCCTCCTCACCCTCCTGAGTAGCTGGGACTACAGGAATGTGCCATCACACCCAACTAATTTCTTTCTTTTTTTTTTGGAGACTAGAGACTTACTCTGTCACCTAGGCTGGAGTGCAATGGCGTGATCTCGGCTCACTGCAACGTCTGCCTTCCATGTTCAAGTGATTCTCCTGCCTCAGTTTCCCAAGTAGCTGGGATTACAGGTGTGAGCTACCGCACCCGGCTAATTTTTTGTATTTTTGGTAGAGATGGGGTTTTGCCATGTTGGCCAGTCTGGTGTCGAACTCCTGGCCTCAAGTGATCTGCCTGCCCTGGCCTCCCAAAGTGCTGGGATTACAGGCATGAACTGCCACACCTGGCCTGCTTTTCCATCTTGAGATTCCTGTTTCCTCATGACTCTGGCTTCCCCTTATGGTCCTTTTGCCCTCTTTCTCCCTTATGACATTTTACCTTCTGATTTTGCCATTAATTAGCCAGAATTCTTTAGTGTCAATTGCTAGAAACCCAATTCAAAGTAGTTGAAGCAAAAGGGAAAAGAAGAAAATTTTTGGCTCATATATGAAAAATCAAAGGTAGAGCTGGACTTCAGCATGGCTAGGTCTCTGGGCCTTGATAATATTCTTGCCATCTCTCATCTATTCTTTCCACTGTGTTAACTACATCTCTGGGCAGACTTTCCCATCTTGTTGATGGGATGGTTGCTATGGCAGAGGCTCCTGGTTGCCTGACAACAGCTGTTCCCCTTTTCTTCCAATGTGGTAGAATATTTTAGTTGGCAAGATGGCCTTTCTTGCAATTAGTTGTGCTTTAGGACTAAATTCTGGCTAATCATACATGAGCAAAAATGATGTGTGTAACTTTTGGGCTGTTCCCCTAAAAGAAATTGTTGTGCTTCCCCTTCCTTTTTATTGCCTTCTGGCTGGCTGAAATGTGGTCATGGTGGTGGTAAGTGTCACCCCCCAGAGGGGGCAGAGCAACAAAATAGAAGGAGCTTGGGATTCTGAGAACTTTTGTGGAGCAGAACTACTATATCTACTTGAGCTTTTATATGAGAAAGAATTAAATTTTAATCTTGCTTTAGCCCTGTTATTTGGGCCTCTTTGTTACAGTAGCTTGATCAATATCTTAATTAATTCACTTCCCCATCCTGAGCCCATCATTGTGGTGAGAGGATAAAATCTACTGACTGGGTCAGGCCTGGGAATTAGGGTCTTATTGCAGAATCTGGGGTGAGACTACCTCACTTAAACTCTTAGGTGAGACTAGCTCATCTAAACTCTAGGACTGTACCCCAAGGAATATTGGGGTGCTATCACCAGAAAAACATGTGAAATGAGTGCTAGGCAGGCAAAAACAACACATGTCCATCACACCCTGTCAACTCCTCATTCTTCTTATGCTTGCCTGCTTAGATTCCCTAGAAAGACATTAGATTGGCCCAATTCATCTATTTCCTTTCACCAGGCCACTACTTATCTACCAGGTGACAGATAATGGCCCAATCAGCTGTGGCTATGGAGATGGGTCACCTGTGGCTACCTGTTTGGTAGCCGTGGTGGACAGAGTAGACAGCATAATTCACGTGTCTTCAGAGCCCTCTGTCTACTTGCTGTAGTGGGTGGGGTTCATGTTGAGGCCTGGGAGTAATTCAGGAAGTAGACTAGTGTTTTAGTCTGTTCGGGCGGCTATAACAAAATGCCATAAGCTGGGTGGCTTATAAACAACAGAAACTTATTCCTCGCAATTCTGGAGGCTGGGAAGTCCAAGATCAAGGCACCAACAGACTCAGTGGCTGGTAAGCGTTTACTTTGTGGTTCATAGAATGGTGCCTTGTCACTAGTCCTCACATGGTGGAAGTGGCAAAGCAGCTCTCTAGGGCCTCCTTTTTCATTTCTTGTGTGTGTGCTTTTTTTTTAAGAGATAGGGTGTATAAGGCCATTATCTCATTGCCATAAAGAAATACCTGAGACTGGGTAATTTATAAAGAAAAGAGTATAATTGGCTCATGGTTCTGCAGACCTTACAGGAAGCATGATGCTGGCATCTGCTCAGCCTCTGGGAAGGCCTCAGGAAACTTACAATCATGGCAGAAGGTGAAGGAGGAATAGGCACTTCACATGGCCAGAGCAGGAGCAACAGTTGGGGTTGGAGGTGCCACACCCTTTTAAGCAACAGATCTCATGAGAACTCACTCACTATCATGAGAAGAGTACCAAGGGAATGGTGCAAAACTATTCATGAGAAATCCACCCCTATGCTCCAATCACCTCCCACCACGTCCCACCTCCAACACTGGGGATTGCAATTCAACATGAAATTTGGGTGGGGACACATCACCAAACCACATAATTCCACCCCTGGCCCTTCCCAAATCTCATATCTTTCTCATGTTTCTAAATACAATCATGCCTTCCCCAAAGTTTTAACTCATTCCACCATTAACTCAAAAGTCCAAAGTCCAAAGTCTCATCTGAGACAAGGCAAGTCCCTTCTACCTATGAGCCTGTAAAATCAAAAACAGTTTAGTTACTTCCAAGATACAATGGGAGTACAAGCATTGAGTAAACACTCCCATTTCAAAAGGAAGAAATCAGCCAAAAGAAAGGGGCTACAGGCCCCATGCAAGTCTGAAACCCAGCAGGACAGTCATTAAATCTTTAAGCTTCAAAATAATCTCCTTTGACTCCATATCTTACATCCAGGGCATACTGGTGTTAGAAGTGGGCTCCTAAGTTCTTGGGCAGCTCTGCCCCTGTGGCTTTGCAGGGTTCAGCCCCCAAGGCTGCTCTCACAGGCTGGCCTTGAGTACCCGTGGCTTTTCCAGGTACAGGGTGCAAGCTGTCAGTGGATTTACCATTCTGAGGTTTGGAGGATGGTGGCTCTCTTTTCACAGTTCCATTAGGCAGTGCCCTAGTGGGGACTCTGTGTGTGGGTTCCAATGCCTCATTTCCCCTCCACACTGCCCTAGCAGAAGTTCTCCATGAGGCCCCTGAAGCAAGCTTCTGCCTGGGCACCCAAGCTTTCTCATACATCCTCTGAAATCTAGGTGGAGGTTTCCAAGCTTCAACTCTTGCACTCTGTGCACCTGCAGGCTTAACACCACGTGGAAGCTGCCAGAGCTTAAGGCCTGCACCCTCTGGAGCTGCAGACAAACTGTACTTGGGCCCCTTGGAGCAGAGGTTGGACCTGAGTAGCCAGTGTCCTGAGGCTGTGCAGGGGAGTGGGGTTCGTGAGCCTGGCCCATGAAACCATTCTTCCCTCCTAGACCTCAGGGCCTGTGATGGGACAAGCTGCCAGGAAGGTCTCTGAAATGCCTTCAAGGCCTTTCCCCCATTGCCTTGGCTATTAGCTCTTGGCTTGTGTGTGTTTGTGTGTGTTTGTGTGTGTGTGTGTGTGTGTGTGCAATCTCTCTAGCAAGTGGTTGCTCCACAGCCTCCTTGAATTCCTCTCTCAAAAACAAACAAACAAACCAAAAAAAAAACCTTTTCTTTCTCTGTCACATGGCCAGGCTGCAAATTTTACAAACTTTTATGCTCTGCTTCCCTTTTAAATATAAGTTCCAAGTTCAAATCTTTCCTTTGTTCCCACATCTAAGCATAGACTGTTAGAAGCAGCCAAGCCACTTGTTGCTCAACACTTTGCTGCTTAGAAATTTCTTTCTCGGCTGGTTGCAGTGGCTTACGTCTATAATCACAGCACTTTGGGAGGTTAAGGTGGGTGGATTACCTGAGGTCGGGAGTTCAAGACCAGCCTGACCAACATGGAGAAACCCCGTCTCTACTAAAAATACAAAATTAGCCGGCTGTGGTGGCACATGCCTGTAATCCCAGCTACTTGGGAGGCTGAGGCAGGAGAATTGCTTGAACCTGGGAGGCGGAGGTTGCAGTGAGCCTCACACCATTGGACTCCAGCCTGGGCAGCAAGAGCGAAACTCGGTCTCAAAAAAAAAAAAAAAGAAAAGAAAAGAAAGAAAGAAAGAAATTTCTCCAGATACCCTAGGTCATCACGTCCTCTCTCTCTCTCTCTGTTTTTGAGGCATGGTCTGGCTCTGTTGCCTGGCTGGAATTCAGTAGTGTGATCCCAGCTCACTATAGCCTCCACCTTCCAGGCTCAAGTGATCCTCCCACCTCAGACACCTGAGGAGCTGGGACTATAGGCACAAGCCACCATGCCCAGCTAATTTTTATATTTTGTGTAAAAATCGGGTTTTGTCATGTTGCCCAGGCTGGTCTTGAACTCCTGAGCTCAAGCAATTCACCCACCTCCACTTCCCAAAATGCTGGGATTATAGGCGTGAGCCATCAGGCCCAGCCCCCAGGTCGTCACTCTCAAGTTCAAACTTCCACATATCCTTAGGGCATGGACACAGTCCAGCCAAGCTTTTTGCTAAGTCATAACATGCTTGACCTTTGCTCCAATTCCCACTAAGTTTCTCATTTCCATCTGAGACCTTGTCAGCTTGGCCTTCATTGTTCATATCACTATAAGCATTTTGGTCACAACCATTTAACCAGTCTCTAAGAAGTTCTAAACTTTCCCTCATCTTCCTGTCTTCTTCTGAGGGCTCCAAACTCTTCCAACCTCTGCCTGTTACCCAGTGCCAAAGTTACTTCCACATTTTTTTTTTTTTTTGAGACAGAGTCTCACTCTGTTGCCCAGGCTGGAATGCAGAGGTGCGATCTCAATTCACTGCAACCTCCACCTCCCAGAGGCGATTCTTGTGCCTCAGCCTCCCAAGTAGCTGGGACTACAGGCATGCACCACCATGCCCAGCTCATTTTTGTATTTTTAGTAGAGACAGAGTTTCACCACGTTGGCCAGGCTGATCTCAATGTACTGACCTCAAGTGATCTGCCTATTTTGGCCTCCCAAAGTTCTGGGATTCAGGCTGCTTCCACATTTTCAGGTATCTTTGTAGCAATGCCCCACTCCTCAGTACCAATTTTCTGTATTAGGCCCTTCTTGCATTGCTATAAAGAAATACTTGAGACTGATAATTTTTTCTTTTCTTTTTTCTTTTTTTTTTTTGAGGCAGAGTCTCACTCTTGTCACCCAGGCTGGAGTGCAATGGCGTGATTTTGGCTCATTGCAACCTCCACCTCCCGGGTTCAGGCAATTCTCCTGCCTCAGCCTCCCAAGTAGCTGGGATTACGGGTGCCCACCATCACACCTGGCTATCTTTTTTTTTTTTTTTTTTTGTATTTTTAGTAGAGATGGGGTTTCACCATGTTGGCCAGGCTGGTCTCGAACTCCTGACCTTAGGTGATGAGACTGGATAATTAATAAAGAAAAGAGGTTTAATTGGCTCATGGTTCTGCAGGCTGTACAGGAAGCATGATGCTGGAATTTTCTCAACCTCTAGGGGAGCCTCAGGAAACTTACAGTCATGGCAGAAGGTAAAGGGGGAGCAGGCACATCACATGGCCAGAGCAAAAGTAAGAGAGAAAGAGGCAGGGAGGTGCCATACACTTTTAAACAACCAGATCTCATGAGAACTCACTATCATGAGAACAGCACCAAGAAGGGGATAGTGCCAAATCATTCATGAGAAATATATCCCCTTGATCCAATCAGCTCCTACCAGGCCCCACTTCCAATACTGGTGATTACAATTCAACATGAGATTTGGGGTGGGGACCCATATCCAAACTATATCATGGGGTCTTGCTATGTTGCCCAGGCTGGTCTTGAATTCCTGGGCTCAAGCAATCCTCCTGCCTCAGCCTCCCAAAATGCTGGTATTACAGGTATGAGCCACTGTGCCTGGCCAAGAGGATTCTTTTATAAGGGCACTAATCCTCATGATCTAATCATCCCCAAAGGCCCTAACTCTAATACCATCACATTGGTGATTAGGTATTCCACTTATGAATTTTGAAGAGAAACCAACATTTAGACCATAGCAACTGGGCTCTCCAGCCATGGAAAATGGGTTAGGGAAAATATGAGAACTGGCTAAGGGTATCTGTATGCTCTCAGCCCCCGTCTCCAAAAGTTGGTCTCTGCCCATGACCATCTGTGTAAAATGACACAAGGATCCTAGTTGGGTCATCTTCACTGTGCCAAAGGCAAAACAAGTTCTTTAAATTTACTGCAAACGCTCATTGGGGATGGACCAGAGTGTTTGTTAACTCCAAACACCAATAAATGCTGATAAATAATGCTATTAAAAACGTGTTATTGCTCTGACACTTTGTTATAACATCTTTCCTCTTACGTTTTCCCCATGTAACATTTACTTTAAAAGGCCCCAGCCAAAAGCCGAACGCCAATAAAACTGCACCAAGTCTCCCAGAACATCTTCATTTATGAAACAGTCAAAGACTCAGCTTCAGGGAGAAGCCAGTGAGATATTCCACTGTTTTGTAAACTTTGAAAAATCTGTAGCTCCTGTAGCTGAGGCCTAACTGCACATTGCATTTGAAATTTTGAAGCTTCAATTGCTTAAAAATATTGTAACTGCTTCTCAAACAGGAAAATTGCATTTAGATTTCCCTCTGTGTTTAACCTCAGACTGGCAAGAGATAGTCTTCAAATTTCCCCGGCAAATGAAAATCACTTTAGGATTGAGATTGCATATGGATAGTTCCTGCCATGAGAAAAAGAAATCTCCAGGAACAAATACAGTCATACCTTCTGTGCTGGGCCCATAACGTGGAGAAATAGATGATCATTTTGTCCTATAATCCACAGCATGAGGGATTTGGGACAGAGACAAGGAAAGACATTCTTGAATATGAGGTTCAGCCAGATCTGAACTGTTACTAAGGGAAATTGCAGTGTCCTGCACTCAATTTTCTTAGAGCCAGCCTCCTATAAAATTGTTCCATTCCTTTGGCACTTTCCATGTCAAAATTCCCATCTTCCCCACGGAGGCTCTAGTGCTTTCAAACTATCTCTTCTCAGTCAATCTTATAATTCATTCAAACTAAAGTGTGACAGTTTGCATTTTAAAGGGATTCAATGGGAAGAGGGCAGTGCTTTACTCAAAGGAATTAGTCAACATTGGTAAAATTATAGGCAATGACAGACGGTCTATTAGATGGAGTGTTAAACAGTGATCTACTTATAAGAGTGGTTTTACCTCTGATAAATGCATCCACTTTCCTCCCTCCCTCCCTCCCTCCCTTCCTCCCCCTCTACTTCCTCCCCTCCCCCCCTTCCTCCCTCTCTCTCTTCCTTTCATCTATTCAACAAACTTCTCTGGGGTGCCTGCTCTATTCCATTCTTTATGTTCGGTGTCGAAGTCTTGGAACAGGAACTTCCCACAACAAAGGGAACTGAGCCCAAGAAATAATAATCATAATCATAGAACTACAATTACCATTCATTGAGCGGGTGCTTACTACATGCTGGGAACTATGCTAGGAGCTTTTTCTGGATAGCATTTAATCTTCACAACAACCCAGTGAGGTAGGTAGTATTACTCCCTTTTCACAGACAAGAAAATAGAGGCACCATTCTTGGTCCAAGTTCGCACATATTAGGGTGTGTTACTGGGATACCAACACAGGCAGTCTGATTTCAGAGCTTTCTGTTCCAAGCAAGATTAGATTAAAATAAGCATATAGGGCAGGCTTTGAGGGGGCAAAGTACTTAAGGTGCTCTGGTCTACCTGAGGAGTTGTTTTAAGGGGCCGCAAGAAAAGCCAGCCTCTTGCTGAGTGTATAGGAGGCTCAGGTGAGGGGAGCCCCAGAGGGTCACCCCACTCTTGCGCACTCTCCCCCACGTCATCCCCTCCTCCTACTAGCAGATAGCAGAAGCCAGCAGCCTGGCTGTGCCCCAGGCCTGGCTCTGGTCAGGAAGAGGGGATCTTTTGTGAGTTTCTGGCCTGGTCTCCATTAACACCAATTAGCGTTTCTGCCTGCTTGGAGCTGCAGGGCCGACAGGCTTCTGTGATCCTGGTGGCTGGAGGTTCTGGCCTAGAAATGCTCAGGATGTGGGACAGAAGTCAGAGAGTCTGAGGGGAGGGACTTTGTCATTGAATGGAGAGGAAATGGGGTTTCACAGAGGCTCCCTGGGGCCCAGCAGCCTGGAGGACAGGGTTCTCTGGGGCCAAAGAGAAAGAAGAGAAAAAGACATCTAGGACTGCCTCCACCCCACCCCCGCATATCCCACTGTGTCTTGGCTAGGAAATTGGGGACTGGTTGTTGAGAGAGGAGGAGAAGTTCAAGAGTGGGCTCTGACATTCCTGGGCTTGCGCACCACTCTAGGATGAGTTCTTCTAGGAGCTTGGCTATCTAGAGTTGTGAGTGCCTTATTTCACCTTAAAGCAAGCCCAGAAAATTGGCCTCTGATTCCTCAGTAATCTAGGATTTGTGGCTGGCCATGGGTAAGCTTGAATAAATGGTATCAAATTAGCAGACTGAGTCCTTAGGAAGAGCTGGGAAGGGGACTGCCAGGAAAGCCTTGTCACCCCTTTATGAGGCTGTCTTTGGCCTTCTGGATGGATGTGGGTGAGAGATCCCTGAGTCCCTGTGGCCTGGGGAATGGCCCATGTCCACCTGCCCTAGATCTTTCTTGTCTGCGTGTTCCCTTAACTCTCCTCCCTTATCCTCTGGCTCCCTTCGTGTTGTCCCCTCCATCTGTCCTTTTTGTCCAGTTGTGGGCTTCTTCTTGTTCTTCCCTCTCCATTGAGCCTGCTTAGCCGGCCAGCCCTCCAGCAGGGGTGATCATCCGTTTTCACATTTCCAGTGCTTACTTGGACTGGACCACTCACCTTGCTCCTGCTTCTTGCAGGAGGGCTGTCTCCCATGTTGTCTGAACAGCCAGTAGCTACAGATGTCCAGGAGCTGGTGAATATCACCCTTTGCCTGGCTCCAGCTCCACCTGGTTGCCCAGATCTTCTTCAGTGACCCACCCAGGTGCCCCAGGGTTTTCCAGAACCCCATCACTATAGATTCAAGAACATCACTTCACCTTTCAAACACAGAACTTACTGCCTACCTCTCCCCTACTCGCTACTGGGGCCTTTCTGAGCAATGCATGAAGGGACGGGGAAGTGGTGTCCACAGTAGGAAGGACCCAGGCCCAAGCCAAATTTTCTCTTTTCTAACCTCTGGCCCCGCTTCTCTTCCTTGCAGTCTCCACTCTCTTCTTGGGAGCTTCTCCAAGTTTCCATGGCAACCACTACTTCCTGGCCCCAAATCCCTAGGACATGGACAATTTCAAGGTCAGACAGAGGCCTGAAGGGTGATAGAGGCCTTATATTGACTTCCCAGGCCCCTTCTCTGTTGCTGCAGGATTCCTAAACCTAGATGACAAATGATCATTTCTTTCTGTATTGAAAAAAAGAAATTCACCATCTCCAAAGCCTCTCTTATGAGAGGCAGGTACTGCTGCCCCCTCTTCCTTTCTAAGTCTCTTCTCTCTACTTCTTGGCCTTATCTGAGCTTAGGCTAAAGCCCCAGGATACACCCCAGTCAGAAAGAGGCTCAGGCCCAGTTGGGCAGGGCATGCTATGGCCATGAAACAGATACCTCATCAGCTTTCACTACGTTGTCTACTTCGGGTCCCCTGGGCTGTGGGAGGCATGGGAGAGGGGCAGGGGACATTGCTGTGCTCTGTGGCAGGACCTGAGAAAGGTGCTTAGATGCCTATATACTAAGGTGTTTTTCTGCAGCCTGGACAACCTGTGAGGTTTTCCTGTCTGCCTTTTGAGTTGAGATCGGATGTCCTGGGCTCTGACTGCACATCAGCCACTAATATTAATGCAGATGGAATCGGAGCATTTAGACAAATACGTAGCTCCCATTTCCTGAATAGTTAGTGAGAGTCACTCAAGCATCATAACCTTGATGGAGAGAGCTACAATTATCCCCATTTTACAGATGAGGAAATGCAGGCTCAGAGTGGTTGAGTACTTGCCCAAGAACAAACAGCAAGAATGGCGTGGAGCTGGGATTTGAATCCAAATGTCCAGAGCTCCTGCTCTTAAATGTTGCAAAATACTTCATAGGCAGGACTCTTGCCACTTCCCGCAGCTCAACTCAGTGCTTTAGCTGGGTGTTGTCACCACTGGGGCTCTGAGGCCAGAAAGCTAGAGTCATGAGAGGCCAGGAGCTCTAAGGCCTGTCTCAAGGGACCTGCTAGTGTCAGGGCTCTGGGGCTGGGAAGGAGCTTTGAGAGGCTTTCTCTCCACCTGATGGCCACCCATACCCACCCTGTCATTGGGGGCTGACAGGAGCTGCTTTGCCAACAAAGGTGTCCCTGAAGCTTTCTGCGAGCTCGTCACATACCTCTCCCAGGCAGGGAGTCACTGGGCTTGACTCTGCCTTTCTAGCAGGTGCTGCTGCCACTCAGGGCTTCCTGAGGAGGAGGAGTCCTCCCAGGGCCTGCCTCATGCTCCCATAGCTTGAGATACACAGTCAGCATGTTCCTGCCTTCCCCCCAGCCCTTTGAAGCTGGGGTCACTAAGCTCTGGAGAAATAGCTCCCCACACCTAGCAGATAGAGCCTGGACTACCCGGTGTTGTGACAAGCTGGAGAACCTCCAACTGGCACTGAGGCCCTCTGTCATCTAGATCTCCCTTCCTTACACAGCTGCTAGCATGGGTTCCTTCCATCAGACTGGTCCCATGAACTGGCCCCTGGGCCTTTGCTGTACATGTTGATTTCATGCCTCTCCTTTTCTCTCCCCTTCTCCCCTCTCTCTTCTCTGTTTGTCCAAATCCTGCCCACATAGGAAGGTTGAGCTCCACTCTCACCTCCCCCAGGGAGCCTCTCTGGACTACTCCAGCCTACAATAAGAGCTCCTTCCTCTGAGCTTTCACAGCTCACAGAATATAACTAAATTCTATGGTATCTCTCATCATATATTAGTCTTGTTTTTCCAATTAGTCCATCAGTCCCTTGAGGGCAGGAGACCACAGGTGACCCCTTTTTGCCTCTCCCAGTGCACTTAGAGAAGGGTTGGGCTTTCTTGGAACTCATCCATGACTGGTTGGCTAATTGGAATCTGCTGAACTCTATTCAGGGCCTGGCATGTATGTGTACACTGTATATAGATTTCATGTGTCTGTGTGTACCCTTGATTTACATGTTTGCACACATATGTAAGGTATCTGTGCTCATGCATGTGAATTATGGTTCATGTATGGCACTATGTGAATAAATGGTTTAATTAATTCAACAGGCATTTATTGAGATCCTGTCACAGCTGGGCACTGTGCCAGGTGCTGGGGATATGATGGTGAGTAAGAAATGGACAGCCCTAGCCCCTCAGAGCTGGGAAGAGAGACCATTAAAGAAGTGATAATAATAAGTGAGCTAAGTGCCATGATGGGGGAGCACATGCCAGAGGCCCTGACTTTAACCAGTCTAGGGAGACAGATCAGGGAAGAACTCATGGAGAAAGGAAAAGTTGGCAAAGACTTAGTCTGTTGAGGGTTAAATTGTGTCCCACTCCCTCCAAAATATATTCAAGTCCTAACTCCCAGTACCTGTCAATGTGACCTTATATAGAAATAGGGTCTTTGCAGATGTCATCAAGTTAAGATGAAGTCACACTGGATTAGTGTGCACCCTAATTGAAAGACTCTGGTGTCCTTCTAAGAAGAGGGGACACAGACACAGACACAGGAAGAATGCTATGTGACCACAGAGGTAAGATTGGGGTGATGTGTCTACAAACCAAGGATTGCAGCCACCGGAAGCTCTTGAGGGCGGGAGACCACAATTGACTGCCTTTTGCCCCTCCTAGTGCACTCAGACAAGGGTAAGAACCTTTCTGGCACTCAGAGAGAGACATGGAACAGATTTTCTCTCTGAGCCTCCAGGAAGTAACCAATCCTGCTGACACCTTGATTTCAGACTTCTGGCCTCCAGAAGTGTGAGAGAATAAATTTCTGCTGTTTTAAAGCCACCCAGTCTGTAGTAATTTTTATGGCAACCCCGGGTACCTCATATAGAAGCTTACTAAGAATCCACCATGTGAGGAAAAGAAGGGAAGAATGATTCCATCATAAGGAACAGATTACACAAAGGCAAGGGGGAGTTAGAGGCCATGGCAGAGAGAAATGAAAAGTTTAGTGGGGTTGGAATATTCCCTAGGAGGTGGGAATGGGGGGTTACATTTTAGAGCATGTATGTGTGTCCATATGGTTTGCATGACTGTGATTATATGTATGTGAAGTTTATACATGCATGTGCTTTTCGGAGTTTTGCATGTTTCAGCCTGTTTTTATGATTCATGTGTTTCTGTATGCTCTTGCATGATTTGTGTGTGTGTCCTGACCTGTGAGCATGTGTGCCTTGCATGTCAGTGCATGCATGTGCACAGTCTACAGGTGTGTGCATTGAACCCAAAGAAGTTGGTCTATGGTTGGTCACAGGAAGATTTGAAGCCAGGCAGAGCCCTGTTTCCTCATCTATGTGGTTGGGGCTCACTGTAAATGGCAAAAACTTGGTCAGACTGTGCAATGACTCAGGTAGACACCAGGAGCTCAGAGCTCATCTGTCTTGATTCAAGAAGATCAAAGCAGAGTGGATGATGCCTTGACTGCATTGGTTAGCAAGAGGCATGTGTGGTACAGAACCACTGAGTCCTTGTGTTTGACAGCTGGAGGTGGCCTTGGAGATTGTTCTGATTCCTCTTGCACCTCAGCCCAGCCCCACTGGCACTACTCCTGGGGAGTGCCCAAACTCAGTGCATCTTCCCAGAGAACATCTTCTTGGTAGAGTCCCACTCCCTGGGCAAGTTTTACAGTGGAGGGCAGGAATCAGGAAGGACACCCCTATCCCAGGCCCTCTTGATGGGATGTGCAAAGGGTTGGGTATATGCATCTTTTTTTCTGAGGAGATTACAGCCAGATAATCCATGACCCAAGAAATCTAAGAACCACTTCTCTAGTCTAGGCTGACATTGAGAGTGTGAGCGTGTGCATGATATGTGCAGGTGTGTGCAAGCATGCGGAACTCCCAACCTGTTTTCTCTCTGAGAATATGGTTGGATCAGGATGTCAAGTGCAGCCCCAGGCCCTACCAGCTGCTGTGTGGTCAGATTGCAGGGGCTGTCCTTGACAAGGCTGGCAGAACAGACAGAGCCAGTGTTAAGGACAAAAAGGGAGGGGCAGAGGCTGCAGCTCTGTAGGGAGGGCTGGCTTGTAACCTGAAGGAGCTCATCGAGATCAGCTCCCTGATCATCCCCATCCCTTATATGATTCACATTGAGGATGAAGCCTTGGAGGTGGAGCCAGGATGGGTGTGTGGGCAGGGATGGGACCATAGGTTGCACAAGGAGCATTGTGAAGTTCCTGTGTAACAGGAATTGAGGCTGTTCAGGACCTTGGTCAGCACCCCTGGGTTCCCGCAGCACCAGTTTCTCTGCCTGTTTCCAGCCTGCCCTATTTCAATGCCTCTGGCTATGATGGAGATGCTGAGTTACAGTGAACCTACATATAAAGTTCAGGATATAGTTGAGGGCCTTGTCAGGGCTACAGGAATTTTTGAGAGACTGGATGTGAAAAAGGAGGGTCTCTCACATGGGAGACTCAGTGAGGGGATACTGAGCCCCAAAAGAATGAAAAGAGAGGATCTTCCAGAGGTCAGGGTGGGCGGTGGTGGGGGGGAGGCTTGATGTGGGAGCCCTTGGCTTCAGACTCATCCAGTGGGAAGGAAGAGGAAGAGCATCCTGGTGAGGAAGGGGAGGAAGATTCTCCAGCTCGGGTTGTGTTTCTCTTTCCTCTTCTCTCAGGCACTGGGACGAGACAGCCTGAGCCTTACCACCCTTGCCCAACCAAACTCTCTCCGGCTGTGGGCTCCCCAAACATTCCAGGATCAGAGGCTTCCCTGAGGCTATTCTCTGAGACTTGTCCCATGTCCCTTCCTTCTGCTGTCCCACTCCCTTCCTTTCCTGGCACCATCACAGCCCTGCCCTTTGCACCCCTGTCCTAACTGGTAGGACTTTGCTGCTGCCATCCTCTGGCTCCCAGACATGATGGCTCTTTTCCTTCCAAAGAAATTTTTACAAGCAATTAATTAACCTCATCAGATCCTTTCTGTGGGTCCCAGTGCTAGGAGGGAGGCAGGAGAAGTGCCTTGTCCCCTGAGGCCAGTCAAGTGGATATGTGGCTACCTAGGCAGCTGCTGGGAGGATTCTATCTCAGGCAGCCACCTTTTACTCACTCTGGAGCCAGCAGTGTGGGCCCAGGTCCTGGGAGAAGTGAGGTTCACCCTGTCTGCTCGCAGCCCTGGCTTAGTCTCCAAACTGCCTTCCTTATTGGCTCCCTCCAACTTCCCTTTCCTCCTAGTTCTCCCCCAGGCAACTTCTGGGATCAAAGGTTGCATGCAAAGTACAGGGAAGGAATGCAGGTAAGTGTAAAGGAGCATGACCTCAGGTAGCAGTGATAACCTTTCCCCTGCATGCTGGGCCTGCCATTTTGGTGTAGCAAATGGCATGGAAATACAGGCAAATGCATAGTGTCTGCATGCAAATTGGCCCAGACATCCTGGCCACTTCCCTGGCAGCATGCAGCCCCTTGGTGTACCTGCAGGGTCTGATCTCCTGCGACCCTGAGGAGTGGTTCCTCAAATGGTCGGGCACTGGTGAGGGGAACACTGGGCCTACCTCAGCTGGTCCTGATGCCTGTGGATGAGACCCCTTCCTTCCACTCTGAGATCCCAGCTAGGCCCTGGGGTTTACTTAGTGTGTGACAGCGGGGGAGAGGCTGGGGCTGAGAAGAAAGGCAGAGGGAAGAGAGACAAAGTGGTGCATTGATTGTGCAGCTATCAATGCTGGGCTCTGAGCTAGACATGCAAGTTAACTCATGTTCTTCTGACACCCCAAGAAGTTCTTAAAGAACCTGAGGTTTAATGAAATGCAGCAACTGGCTCAAGATCTCACATTGAGTAACTTGTGAAGCCAGAACTAGACCAAGATTTTTATTATCTGAGCAAAATTAAAATGTAAATCAGATAGTGCCATCCTCTGCCCAAATCACTCTCATGGCTTCCCAGTGCTTTTAGCAAGAAATTCTCTTCCTTTCCACGGCCAGCAAGACCATGTCCCTTTCCTCCACCTCATTTCTCACTCTGCCTCAGCACCAGGCCTTTTTATGTTCCTCTAGCACATGTGCTCATTCTCTTCTTAAAGCTCTTGCACTTGCTGATCTGCCTGCTTGGAAACCTCTTCCTCCAAATCTTTATAGAATGGCTTATTCTCATTCTTCAGGTCAAACTCCACCTCTCAGAAGGCCTTCCCTGACTGTCCAGGCAATAGCAGCCTCCCTCCTTCCCTCTCTACCCCTTCTTCCCAATTTATTTTCTTCACAGTACTTAACAGCATCCGAAGTTATTTATCTGTTCACTTGTTCATTATCTGTTTTGCCCACTAGAACATGAGCTCCTTCAGGGTACAAACTGTGTCTCTTTGGTTCACCATTGTATTCCCAGGGCCTGGTGCTTAATAAGTGCTCAATAAATGTTTGATGAATGAATGACTTCAGAAAAGCTTCACTAGACCCCAAGGGGGCAGTGAGAGGAAGGAGGACAGGCTGGGTAGAGCAGTCAGCTGCTGGGCTGCAGACCACATTGAGGCCTGACCACTGAGGCTCTGGGGTTCATCGGAGAGAGTCCATCTGCCCAGCTGTCATTCTGATCATGAGGTGGCCTGGCCTCCCTTCCAGCACAGCGAACACGTGTGAACACATTTCTTCAGACTTCGAGTGAAGCCAAGTGAAAGGGACAAGGCTGCCTGGTGTTCCTGGACCAGAGATGTATGCCTTTGGGCTCCCTACATGTTCCCAGCCTTTCTTTATTTTGGGTGAGGTTTACGGTGGCTCTGCAGCCCACCCTGCCTGCCCCCAGGGTTGCAGCAGGCATTGCCTGGCAGGGAGAGACTGCTGCTCAAAGAACCCGATCTTTTGCATTCACTGACATTCTTGGATTTGGCATTTACAACCTCAGGGCTCTATTCCGAGGAGGCCTTTTGCATTTGATGTAAATATTATGGTGATGAGAGGTGACACTGAGAATACCCTGTAGGAAATGTAAATCCACCCCCACCAGGCTGGGAGCCTCTCCCCACTGCTGCTTTGGGTTGTTATTCAGGGGACTGATTCCTTCCAGTTCTTGAGTTAACCCACAAGAGCCCGCTTCACGTGTAGGCAGCAGGGTCTAGGAGTAGTACATTAGTTATTTCTCTAATTTGCAGAGGCACATTCATCCATCAATGTGGGATGCAGTGGCAGGGCCAAATGGCCCTGCAGCCATTCATTAAGAGGAGGGATGTCTCCTCCAAGAGGAGGCTTGGGCAGTTAGCTCTGGAGGGGTGGGGTTGGGGGATCAAAGCTAGTAATGGGCACTGTATTCCCAGAAGTCAGCTACTCTCCCAGCTACTTCCTCATTGACTCCCGGTTTCTACTTGTCTCCCAACAGAGTTTAGCCCTGGATCTGTGTGTCACTCTAAGCACTGGGGACCACTTTCAGCTGCAGTGCCCCTTGGTGCCACAATTTTACTCTCTTCCCAAACTCCCAGGGAAATGATGTTCATAATCCCCACTGGCAATCATGGTGGGGTTCTGGGACTGGAGCAGCTGTGCCAAGATGGTTTGCAGGATCAAGGAAAGAGGTAACATCTTTACAATAGTATCTCTTTGATACGCTGTGTGGCTGGGGACAAGTGACTGAATCTCTCTGAGCTTTGGTTTCTATATCCTTCAAATAGGGAAGATAATACCTATGTCATATATGAGGATTACATCGGGTTATGTGAGCGCATGTAAGGGGCCTAACACAGGACTTGACATGCAGTGACTGCTCAAGAAGTAGGGGCAGGTTTTGTTGTTGTTGTTGTTTTGTTTTGTTTTGAGATGGAGTCTCACTGTGTCACCAGGCTGGAGTGCAGTGGTATGATCTCGGCTCACTGCAACCTCCACCTCCTAGTTCAAGCGATTCTACTGCCTCAGCCTCCTGAGTAGCTGGGACTACAAGTGTGCACCACCATGCCCAGCTAAATTTTTGTATTTTTAGTAGAGACGGGGTTTCACCATGTTGGCCAGGATGGTCTCGATCTCTTGACCTTGTGATCTGCCCGCCTCGGCCTCCCAAAGTGCCAAGGGATTACAGGCATGAACCACCGAGCCCGGCTGACGTAGGGGCAGTTATTATTAGGTACAGAGGGCTTGTGAGACATAATGCAGACCAAGGGGCAGATGCTGGCTTGCAAGCCCAGAATTTACACCTTTTTTCCCTAGTTGTGCCATGAACATAATATCTACAGTGACCAGTCATTCAATCAATAAGCATTGATTATTTGGATGTGTAATGAGTGTTTATTATTATCATCAGTAAGCTGGTATAGCATAGAGCTCAGATTCTGGAGTCAGAGAAACACAGTTCAACTCTCAGCTTGGCTACTAAATATTGGACTTTTCTTTTTTTTCTTTTTTTTTTTTTTTAGACAGTGTCTCACTCTGTCACTCAGGGTGGAGTGGTAAGCAGCACAATCACAGGTCACTGCAGCCTCGACTTCTCTAGCTCAGGTGATCTTCCCAGCTCAGCCTCCTGAATAGGTAGGACCACAGGCACATGTCACCATACCCAGCTAATTTTTTGTGTTTTTTGTTTTGTTTTGTTTTTGTTTGTTTGTTTTTTGTAGAGATGGGGTCTTGCCATGTTGCCCAGGCTGGTTTTGAACTCTTGGACTCAAGCAATCCACCCTCTTCGGTCTCCCAAATTGTTGGGATTTCAGGCGTGAGCTACCATGCTCAGGCACTGGACTTTGTTCAAAGTTTTGATTTCTCCATCTCTAAGAAGGAAGTGATAATAGAACCCATGTCAGATGTTGTGAAGATTAAATGGGATAGTGCTTGGCATATAATTGGTTCTTCATGAATGTTACAACAAAACATTTTGTGAGGCTGGGTGCAGTGGCTCACACCTGTAATCCCAGCACTTTGGGAGGCTGAGGTGGGCGGATCACCTGAGGTCAGGAGTTTGAGACCAGCCTGACCAACATAGTGAAACCCTGTCTGTACTAAAAATACAAATTAGCCGGGTGTGGTAGTGCATGCCCATAATCCCAGCTACTTGGGAGGCTGAGGCAGGAGAATCACTTGAACCCAGGAGAAGGAGGTAGCAGTGAGCTGAGATCGCACCATTGCACTCCAGCCTGGGCAACAGGAACGAAACTCTGTCTCAAAAAAAAAAAAAAAATTGTGAGGTGTAAGAGGAGACTCTGGATTTGAAATAAAAGATCTGGGTTTGGCCGGGCATGGTGGCTCACACCTGTAATCCCACCACTTTGGGAGGCCGAGGCGGGCGGATCATGAGGTCAGGAAATCGAGACCATCCTGGCTAACATGGTGAAACCCTGTCTCTACTAAAAATGCAAAAAAATTAGCCGGGCGTGGTGGCAGGCGCCTGTAGTCCCGGCTACTGGGGAGGCTGAGGCAGGAGTATGGCATGAACCTGGGAGGTGGAGCTTGCAGTGAGCGGAGATCACGCCACTGCACTCCAGCCTGGGCAACAGAGCGAGACTCCTTCTCAAAAATAAAAGAAAAGAAAAAGAAATAAAAAGATCTGGGTTCAATCTACTTCCATCCCCTATTTATTTACTGTGCCATCTTGGGCAAATCACTTCACCTCTATTTTCCAATCTACAGACAGGATACAATGTCACCTAGTTTCAGATTGCCATGAAGAAACCTTAACATTTGGCATGGAGGGGAAGCTCACTATTTATGTAATAAATGAACAAATGAATGAGGTAGAAAGATTTTAGGATCTGGATTCAGAGAATTTGCATTGGCATCCCAGGTTTATTGTTTACTTTCTGTGTAATGGAGGACAAGTGACTTCACCTCTCTGAACCTTGGGTCCTCTCAGTATAAAACAGGGTAATATCTATCCCCAGCATTATTGTAGAATTAAATTAGACAGTTAATATTAAAATACCTTGTAAACCACAGGGCACTGTGCTCGCTCTAGTTTAATATTACTTTGTGCAGAGCCCTGGGCAAAGAGCTATGAGGGCTCCAAAGATATGCAAAGTCCTTGCTCCTAGCCCTAGAGGAGCTATGATAGACTTGAGAAAGGAAGGCATGAAATGGGGGGCAGAGCTACACAGAGATTTCCACCCATTCATTGATTGCACACATATTTACAGAGTGCCTTCCAAACACTAGGCATGAAAGGTCTCCTGGAGATATTAGGTTAGGCCAGATGGAGGGGCCTTGAACGCCAAGGTAAGGCCTTTGGATTGACTGTTCCATGGGTAGAGGTTTCGGAAAGTTCACATGTCATCTATGCTCCTGAGTTCGCTTGTGAACCAGGACTCTGGCTTGCTGAGTCACTTCCCTCAGTCACTCTCTGAGGGCCAAATGTGCACAGTCCATTGTAAGGAGAGCATTTAAATTAGCCATTCAGTGGGTGGCCCCTCCTCAAAGGTCAGTGGCCTATCTGGCCACCACAGCTGGCGGCCACAAAAGACCTGCCGAGAATCCTGCCGAGAATCCAATCTAATGGAGTGGTAAAGGCTCAAGCCACTCTTCCTGGGAGTGGGAGGGTGAGTTGCAAGGTGATTTTGCTGCTGTCACAGTCTCCCTTTAGACACGGCCTGTCCTCGAGGGCAAAAATAGCAGCTTTAGAGGCAGGAGAGTTTTGTGACATCATCCCCAGGTTCAGCCAGCAAACCTCACTCCAGCCAGTAGATCTTGTTTGCCCCTCGGAGATTTATGCCAAGGTCCTAAGGGACAACTTTGGTGGCCCTGGGGCTCCTTCCAGCCCCCTGGCCCCAGTTCTGGACCCTGCCTATGAACCAGAGTCCCCAGCTCCACCCCACTGTTTACACACCAGGTGAAGAGGAGCACACTCACTAGTGCACTGTGGCTGGACTCGTGTCTACCTCCATCTCTCCAGGGCTGAGTGCTATAGGCCTGCAGGGCCCGCAGGGCCTGCAGCCTCTCTGGGCTAGGAGCACACAGGCTGAGCTGAAGATGCTGAGGATGGCACCTAGCCTGGAGGCTGAACTGAGGGGAAGACATTCTGCAGTCTCTGGGAGGTGGGAGGGAGGGAGGGTGGTTTGCAGAGAGAATAAAGGAGTTTATGCACAACTCTGGGTGTATGTGTGTATTTGCATGTGTGTGTGCCTGTCCTGCAGCAGAAGATGGCAGGCAGGAATGGGGACTCCACAGCCTCCACTGATTAGAAAGGTTTTGAAATTGATAAATTACTTTGTATTGGGGCAAAATGATTTGACCAGGTTTCAAATGTCTCAGAGAAGGGAAGCTTCTCTTGGGCCAAGTATTGATTGCATTTAATAGAGCTGGGACTTTCTCACTTAAAAACAACAAAATAAACATCTAAGAGAAGGCACCAAAACACATATGCTCTCTCTCTCTCTCTCTGTCTTTCCTTCCTTCTTTCCCTTCTCTCTAAGGACAGGTAGGGATCCAGAGACCCACTCAAGTCTGGGGTGGGGGCAGGGGCAGTGCCGATGTCAGAGCCATGGAGTTCCTTTGGGGCAGATTGATGGTGGGGGCTCAGGAGAACAGGGAGCCTTGGGTTGGTCCCATTCTTCACAGATTGATTTTGCCAAACAGCAACTGTCAGAGCCTTTGATAAATCACTAACCCAGTGATGAATGCCCTGAGGCTGGGTGGGGTGGGGGGAAGGATGCTGGTCTGGGAGGCAGCCCAGGGAGGGAGAGGGGCAAGGATGGAGGGCTGAGGGCAGCAGGAGCCAGCTAAGGAAAAGTGAGTCCTAGAAATCCTGTGAGATACCCCTGGCTAGCTTACCCTGGACTCATCTCTCAACAGGACTTGACCATAATTATTGACTCAACAGTGCTTCAAATTTCATTTTCAGTCTGTCTCTTGTCTGTCTCTTGCTGTCTGTCTCGCTGTCTGCCTCTTTATCTGGCTTCCAAATGGACTCTGACGGTTTCCTCCCAAGAGATGATTCCTTTGGACCTCTTGGAAAGTGGAAAAGAATGTGGGGAAGGCTGGAAGCAAGTAGGGCCTTGGCAGTGGGAAGTGGGAGGGGAGGGGCGAGGTGACCTCCTGGAATGGAGGGATGAGGCCCAGCAGGGACCTGGACCAGCGGGGCGAGGGAGGGGCTGAGAGAAGGCAGATGCAAGCTTGCAGAGCAGACCTTGCCAGAAAGAAGCCAGTTTTTAGGAAGTCTTATTCTTTATGGAAGGAAAAGTTATGCCATGGGATTCTCTTATCCATCGAAGTAGTGAGAACAGAGACCTGCCCCAACTGAGCTCCCTGAGGAATAAGGGCAGAGGGGGAGAGGGACCAACCCAGAATCACAGAACTGATCTCTCCTCATGGCCAGAGCCTGCCTTGGAGGCAGCCCAGTTCATAGACCACAAGTTTGAGTCATCCCTGAGTGACCTTGCACGTGTGACTTAGCCTCACTCACCATCTGGTTCCTCATCTATAAAATGGATGTTAGAATAGAGTTACATGAAGTTTATATTAATTAAGATCGTGTGTATAAAGTGCTGAGCAGAGGGCCTGGCCCATAGCAAGCACTCAGTAAATATTAGCTGGGAACATTAATGTTCTCCCTGGTAGCAGCATGGCAGATTCTGAAGTCACAAAAACTCCTCGCTCATCCTGAGAGTAGAGAACTCTACCCAAGTTACTGATCTACAGGCCAAGCCACGTCGATCTTCTGTCCCCACTGTCAGTGCTTATGCACCCTGGGCAGAGGCCTACACTGCCTTTTCGGTAAAGGCAGCTGGCCCCTAGCCCTCCGGATGCCTGCTGGCCGCCGGCAGGTGTCTGCTGGCCCCGCGGTGCCTGCAAACGTGAGTGGGACTTGGTGCTGCTTTACCCATTGCACACAAGGCCGCTCCCAGGCTCCCTCAGCCCTTGGCCCTGTCCATGGTGCTAACCCACATCCCAGCCCAAGCGGAATTTCTGACTTCAACCCCTCTTGCCCCCCAACTTTAACATCTCTGAAGATCCCCTCCATCACCAGGAATGAATTCTGAGCTCACGTTCTGGAATGCTGCCAGGAAGAAGGAAGTGGTGTTAGTATAAAGAATCACACAAAAGGCCGCAGGTAATTATGTCTCTTTTAAGCCGCTAACAGGATTGGCCATTTGATAAATGGGAGGATTTGAGGCTGTTTTGTCACTGACAAGCTGTTGTAAGATCATATTGGAAGTTGAAGACAGTTTATCTTCATGTGTGTGGTGGAGAGAGGGGAATTCTCCGTGGATTTTACACCCTCTTTAAATTAATGTGATTTCCTAGGCTGGTCCTGTGCACGGGAGTGAGTGATCTTTATGACTCACCCCCTGATTAGATTACCTGGCTCAGTAGCCACCTCCAGCCCCTCTGAGTGCCCTCACCCTCCCAGGCCCCTCCCTGCTCTCATTCCTCCAGCTCCCCTCTGACATCCCCACTCCCTCCTCTAGCCCTACTCTCAGGTCCAGCTGCTGAGCGAGCCCACAGTTCAATTACTGCTATCTAGCCTGAGAGACAAGGAGATCTAGTTTCTTCAGTTCCTCTGAAGGGAGCAGAAGAGAGGGAGGTAGGATGGGAAGAAGAGGGAGGTAATGGGAGAGGGAGGGACGGAAGCAGTGGAGGAGAGAAGAAATGAGACAAAGAGGGAGTTGAAACAGAAACAGAGAGCCAAGCTGAGCCAAAGAAAGGAAAGAAAAGAGATAAAAACAGTAGCAAAGAGAGAGGAGGGATTTTTCTTTTATTTCCAGAACCTTCCTTAAAACACAGGCACCAAGGTGGCCTCCTTCCTTGAACCCCCAAATGAAGCAGTCCCTTCCAGGCATACTCTATCAGGTAACCGTTTTATCTTCCTCATAGCACCTGCCACAATTATCTTGTTTATTTATTTGCTTTTACAATATTTGTCTTCACTGCCAAATTATAAGACCCATGAGAGTAGAGATCCTGGCTGCCAGGTTCTTCCCAGAACCCCAGCACCCAGCATATAATGAGTTCTTGGTCCATGTTTATAGAATGCATGGTAAGGCAGGGATTTGAAGGGGGTCTGAAGGGGCAGGGCTGGCTTGCCTTCCTAGTCGAGGTCTAGAGGTGAGTGGGAGAATGCAGAGTCCAGGGCTGGATCACCATGGGGAGACACTTCTGGGGAGGAGAATGCTTCAGCAGTTATTTTGGGCAGAATTAGGTATCCTTTAGGACAATGCTTCTTAAAATGTAATCTGTGAACTACATGCATCAGAGGACTCTGGGAACCTGCATTTTCACAAGCATTTCACAGGATTCTGATGTAGTGAAGCTCACACTTTGAAAAACACTCTCCTGAGAAATGGGTAAACTAGAGGCTCCTACTCACAGGGAAACCTCAGCAAAACCAGGGATCTGGCCTCAGGGTGTGTGTGAGTGTGTGTGTGTGTGTGTGTGTGTGTGTGTGTGTGTGTGTGTGTGTTAGAGGGGTAGTGGTTGGAATACCTGCAGTGAAATAAGAAAGCTAAAGTCCATTATTTCCAGCCCAGGTGCCACTTCATTTTACACACACACACACACACACACACACACACACACACACACACACAATTCGGACTACTTGTAGGGGAACTGCCAAGTTCAAAGGAAGGGTTAAACCTGCTGGAAAGAGTTTTCCCACCCTACCCAGGACCCTTGAGAGTGAGGAGGACAGCAGCAAATGTGAGGAGAAGAGCCCTCCCTGCCCTGTGCCCAGGGGCCTCTGCTGCCCCCACCCACTGAAGTCTTTGCAGCTGGTAAGTCATGCCTCATTTCCCAGGCAAGCTGCACACCCACCCCCAAGCCCCAGGCCAGTCTCCCTTTTCAGGGGATCTCCCCCAGACTTGTCAGCAATGTATGCTACAGGATTGATTGGCTGCTACCACAGCATATCACCCCCTAATACACACACACATGTCACAGCCCCATCAGACCGGACATGGGCAGGGCCTCTACCAGATACCTGAATACAGTGGTGGGTGGTCAGGGGTGAAGGCCATATACTTGAGGAGTGGGACAGCCTGGGTATGTCCACGCTGGGCCTCATCCCGGGCCTGAGAATAGGGGAGGAGTATAGAAGACAAGATCCAACCAGTTTGAAAAGACAACTCATCTGCACTTCCAGCCAGTAAAATCAAAGAATGTGGATGGAGCTACCACCACCTCCCACTCACTCCAGGCTCCAGTGACTCTGTCCTTACTTCATGCCCCAAACAATCCAAGCCCTCTCTGCCTCAGCAGTATCCTCGCTTATGCCATTCCCTCTGCCTGCAACATTCTTTGACATTATTCCATCCCTTTTGCCTGGTGACTTCTGCTTCTCTTCCTTGGTGGACCTGTACAGATCCCAGGGCTCTGTGCCACCGTGGCTCTATATCTTTCACCATTTGCACCACTTGGCACTCTGGTCATTATATATTCAATGTCTGTCTCCCACTGGACTGTGAGCACCATACTAGGAAGGACCATGCTTGTGTGTCTTGTCCAGTACTGTATCCCTGCCCCACCCCCTTGCAGTACATGACACACGGGGGGCACTCAGGTGGGAAGAATGAGACTTAAACAGATTAATTTATTTCAACAAATGGCTCTTGAGCATCTGCTATGTGTCACATATGGTGCTAGATCCTGAGGTTGCAGTCATAGCCAAAAAGGCACTCTCTCTCCTCTCACAGAGGCTATGATCTAGTGGGGAGGTGCATAGTTGCCTGTACAGATAAATGTAAAAGTGCAACTGGGAGAGTGCTATAAAGGAGAGGCTCATGGTGCCAACACTAATATATAAAAGGAGGATTTGGTTAAGTCAGGAAGGTTAGAGGAGGCTTCCTTAGAAGAAGACATTTTTTGTGAGAAAGAGAAGCTTGTGTAGAGCAACAGTGGAGGAAAAAGTGTTCTGGAGAGAGAGCGGGAGCAGTTTGTGCAAAGGCCCTGTGGCAGGAGGTAGCATGGCTTCTGCAAGGAAATGAAAGTCTAGAAGGGCTGAAGTGTGTGGAGTGAGTAAGGAGGCTGGAAACTAGACAGAGACCAGGCCATGCAGAGCCTTGTCAGCTGACAGAGGGAATTTGCTTCTTCATCTAAGAGCGAAAGGTTTAAACACTGAATAGTTTAAACAGCAGGGGGCTGAGCATTGGAGGTAGTGATATGATCAGAATTGCATTTTGAAAAGGTCACTTAGGCTTCAGCACGAATAAGGAAGGGAGGGGGTCTAAAGGAGGCAAAGAGACCAATTAGTGGCATGTTGCAACCACCTAGGCTTGGACTATGAAGGTGGTGTTAGAGACTGAGCATTGTAGAGTTTTGAGAGAAAGTTTTCAAGCAGCACCACAGATTAGTGGCAAAAGCAGGACTAGTACCCATCCCCAGCCTTTATCCCTTCCTGAAGCCATTGGCCTCCTTCTGGTATGTCCAGTGGGCCAACATCAGGAGGGGTTCTCAGGCCTCCTCCAGAAGTATCCCCTGCTCTCTGCACACACAGGTGCCCATGTTCTGTACTGTGTTCCCTTTGGGATGCCCCTATGCATCTTCCAAGCTGGAAGGCCCTGGCTGGATACCATCTAGGAGGTGGGTTCCTCTCACAGCCTCAGGTGCTTTGCATTCTGGGAATCGTAGTTCTAGAGCAGGAAGGCTGGGCCTGCTCCTGACTGGGTCTGGCAGGCAGCCTGGTTGCCATGGCAGCAGCTGGGCTGGAGCCACCGAACCATTTCATCCACAGCTCTGCTGGCTCTGAGAGCCTCCCAGCAAGAAAGCTTGGGCTCAGGGGAGGAGGGGGAGGGAGGAGAGGGAGAGAAAAGAAGGGAGGGAGGGGAGGACCTCCCGGGCCTCATCCTGCTCTGGGGCTTGTGGACTGAGTCGGAGAGAAGTCACCAGGTCATCCGCAGAGCAGGACTCCTTGACCACTGGGAGTCAGCTCTGCTGCTCTGTTCTTGTCAGTCAGTCAGACCCTGTAGGTTCAGTTCTGTGTATGCAGAAGCCTGCACCAGACACAGAGAAAGGAGGGAGCAGCCTTCATCCCCAGGGGAACTCGGAGCCTGCCTAGAAAGGCAAGAAAAGTCCGAAAGAATGACAGAGCCAGGGAAAGTCTGGTCCATTTTCCCCCCCTAAATGTTCCTGGAATCCATTCCCTTTTCTCTGCCCCTTGGCCACCATCCTGGTTTGTTCCATCTCCCCTGGATAAGGCTTTCTAAAACACACCCCTGCTTAAAATTCTTCAATGGCTCCCCTTTGCCCACGACTGGATCCAATCCAAATTCTCTAGTAGGACCATTCATAGCCTTTCAAATACTGGCCTGAGGCTCCCCATCTAGTGTCTCCTCATGCCTTCCCCTCAGCTCCAGCCACACAGAAATCCCCTAGTTCCTCTTTCATAACCCCCACCTTTGCACATGCTCACCTCTGCCTGAAGTGCCCTTCCCTCCCTCTGCCAACCTCGGAGCCGACCAAACACAGCTGAAACACCTCCTCCTCAGCGAAGTCTTCCAAAATCCTCTCCACCAGAGGAAGAATTAATGGCCTGGTGCTGTGAGCTCCCAGAGCACTTTGTACATCCCTCTCAAGCACTTATCACCCATGTTGTGATTATTGTCTCTGTAGCTGCCTCTCCCCCCGTTCTCTCCTGCATCTGAGCTGTCTTTGGGTCTCCAGTGCCCAGCACAGTATCTGACACAAGGTAGGTACTCAATAAATGGTGAATGGGATGGAGTTCACTGAAGGAAGGCTATTTGGGTCTTCATCACTCACTCTCCCTCCCTGTGTTCGGCTGCTGTTCCTGGGCCCCTTCCCTCCCCTGCTCCTCCCTTGGGTACCTGCATACCTCAAACATTGCAGCTGATGGGCAGACCTTATCGAGCGGTGCCTTCTATTCTGGGCAGGGTGGCATGGGGACCTGCACGTGGAGGCTGCAAGCCTCTTCATGTCACTGGGAACTCACATCAAGTCATACCAGTGTCCCTAGAGAGGAGGTACCTGTGCTTTCAATGGAGCCATGATTTATGGATCCAACTCCAGGAGCTGAAGAAACCAATTAGGCTTCCTTGCTTCTCTATCTGGAGGCAGGATAATTCTAGGAACGTTCTTCCTCCAGGGCAGAGGCTCCATCTGCTTGGACCTAATCCCTGAGGTTTGCCCATCCAGCCTTTTACCCACCTTTATCGCCTACTCCTTGGTCAGTAGCTCCAAACCTCCTGGGCCGGCTTTCCCTGCATAAAAATCGTGCCTCTAACACTTGAAATGTGGGAAGTGAGAGCCAGATTTCCATTCTTTCCTAAATCTCATTTCCTCATTATAATAATAGGATAAAAGTCCTTGTCTACCTAGGTTGCTCATTCATTTATGAATGTATGTATCATTCATTCACTCACATATTCCCTTCCATGAAGATTTAATAGACATCTACTGTGGGCTAGGTGCTGGATTAATCACTAAGGATGCAGACATGAACCAGAAAACATGGCCCCTATCCTCAGGGAGCAGCTTACAGTCTATGGGGAATATCAACCTCAAAGTGCTTTGAGGTAAAAGTACAGACTATTAAGGACAGGCTTGGCCTGATCTTGAACCTCCATATTTATTTACTCAATAAATATTTACTGTGCACCTATGATATGGCAGGCATGGGAGATAAGGATGGAACCAACTCCCCTCACTGAACTCCTTTTCTCAGCACAGAGACACACACAGCACAGAGAGGACTCTGAACAATCACTGTATACTACAACTGTATAGACAACTGTGGGAGGACCAGAGGAATGGAGAACGCAGGCTCTGTAGCCAAAAACATGAGGTCCAGACTTCTCAAGGTTTTGGATGATTGCCTGAGATGGAGAGATGGGGTCCTTTGTACTCCATAGCAGTGAAAATGAAAGGATGGAGTCTTGGTAGGATTCACTGGGCTGGGGGAAGAAGTAGCCTTCCCTTGATAGGGCCTAGAGGATGATGGAGCAAAGGGCTCTCACAAACAGAGGTGTGAAATGGGAGAAGCACTAGCCACACAGGGCCTGGAGAAGGCAGTCAGTTCCCAGAGCACATGGAAGCTACTGTGTCACTGCCTCCACCATTTGGTAGGAACTTTATTTTCTCCATTCTGGAGGTTCAGGAAGAGCTGGTCCAGGTGTCAGTCTAGTATTGTGGTGAGGAGGACAGAGGCTGGTATGGTGGCTGGATCAAGCTGTTCTCCTTCCTGCAGCCCCTAATGCTGGGCCCACAGCCATGAGCTGGCTCCTTAGTCCCTTCTTCTTTCTGCTCCTGTGACTTCTGGGAACCGGGGTCTTGACTCAAGGGGCTCCAGATAGACCGTGGTGGGGAATGGGGAATAGGGTGGATGGGTGGAGGTCCATGACTAATTCTTGATGTTTCCAGAGAAGAAAATAGATGCTGGCTTGCTCTGTGAGTTCTGGGGTCTCAGTTCTCCCATCTCTAAGATGGTGGGGTTGGATTAGGCAAACTCTAAGGGTTCTTTGGCTTCTCTTTCTTCTGCAGCTGGGAACAGGGAGATGGTGGAGGGAGGCTCTGCAGAAAAAGGCTGGCTCCACCCTCTGCCAAGGGACCAAATCAGCATTTGCTGACATTTCTCAGGATGCCCTCAGTGCTGGTGACATTTCAGAGACTTGCTCCCTGGCAGGGCTAGAGGATACAGGGCTGACCCCAAATCCACTGCCACAGGCCCCACCCAAGGACAAGCCTCACATTCCAAACAGCAGCAAGGCACCAACTCTGAGGTTAGTCCTGACTTTGCTAAGGGGCTAGAGCCCATTTTGAAAATGCTGACTGGGACAGGAGCGTAGCAGGTCTGGGCCCAGAGCGTTCCTCACCCCAAGCCTCAGTGTCTGCATCTATCAAATGGAGCCCATTTCCCTGCCTCCTTCAAGGGTAGTCTTGGGATTCCAACTACATAAATGTGAGCAAAGGAAAGTGTTTCATAAACAAGTGTGAGATGCTCTGATGGAGGCATTAGGGCCAGGGCTGGGGTCAGGGGGAGCAAAGCTTGGAAGGATTAATGGGATGCAGAGGCTGGAGGAACCAAGTCATATTCTGGCAAGAGCCATATGGTGAGTAGAGGCCAGCAGAGGGGACCCAGAGAACTCTGTGATGCTCTTGCTGATGCTGACAGATAGTCACAGAGCTGTGGGCAATGTCAGAACCAGCCACATAAGGAGGAGGCCCCAAGCCTCGTTCATTAGCTTCACTCTTCAGCCTTGGGAATGGGAGAGAGGCCAGCTTGAGAGGCCAGGTCAAGGAGACAGTCAAGTGCCTGAGTTTTGGAGTCAGAACTAATCCTGGCTCCATTGATCATGAGCTGTGCAGCCCTAGGCAAGTACTTAACCTCTCTGAGCCTCATTTTTCTCATCTGTAAAAGGGTCAGAGCCTAGTAATAATGCGTACCTTGCATGTTTCTTGGGAGAATTCGAGAAGCTAATGTTCATAAAGCACTTAGCATGGGCTGCCACATAGCAGTTGCTGAGTCGAGTTGCTTCACTGATAACCATATTAGTGGCATCAGCTCTCAACCAGGAGGCAGATTGGGGTTCACCAAGAAGCTTTTCCACCTCTGGTCAGCCTAGACCATAAGGAGAGGAAATCCCCCTCCCCCGAAGGTTTTTACACATTTAAATGTGCGCCAGACACCTAACGTGCTCCCAACTCAGTATGGTGGGAAAGAGGAAGAAAACTTGATTTCTAGTCTGAGTCCTAATTTGCTGATTGTGTGAGCTTGAACGACTATGTTCCCCAGTCTGAGTCTCAGTTTTTTCATCTTTAAACATGAGAGTAATCAGGCAAGGATTATGTATTGGTATTAATAACCATTAGGTGAATGGCTGATGGGGAAACGGACATTTGCGTGGTGTCAGAGTAACCCACAAACATAATTTACTAGAAGGAAGATGGGGAGGAAATCATAACTATCATCAGCAGGTGTCTATCTGAGCATTTCTCATGGTGGATGAATTTGATGTTCTACGTCTTCTGATACGGTGCAAAGTGAAGTATATGACATCGCCTCACATGTGTTCTAGCCAAGAATGTTGAACTTGAATTGTTCTAGCCTTTAGATCTAACTCCCTGTTTATAGAAAACACTGGGATAGTTTCACAACCTCAACAACAGCACAAGGAAGTAACCAGGCAGTTGGAAGGAAGAATATTCTGTGGGGAAACTAATCTGAATATTTCAATGCATTAATGACCAAAAAAACCAGGGGAATGCACCATTTTAAGCGATTTAATACACATAACAATCAGATGCTATCCCTGTATTGGATTCGGACCAACTGTAAAGGACTTCTTGGGGGTCATTTGGGGAAATTTTTATAGGTTCTGGGCATTAAAAGGGATGAAAATTTACTGAAATAGAAAAGGTAGAGATTGTTGGTTAAAAAACAGATCATAAAGCAGTATGTATAATTCAATCACATTTTGGTAAAAAGATACTTGTATGTAAGAAAAAGATCTGGAGGGACATGCATTAAGGTGTTAATGGTGGTAGGAATATGATGTTTTTATTTTTATATTTTTGCTTTCTGTACTTTTAAAATTTTGCACAATTCATATTTATTACTTCGGTAATAATAAAATGCTATTTAACAAATAAAATGGGAATAATAACTGTGTACCTTGTAGGGCTGTAATGATGCAGTGAGATAATGCCGTGAAGAACAAGGCCTGGCATAAGCACATGCTCAATAGCTAGGTGCTGCTAAGATGTTTATGCTGTTCCACCCCCAGCCACCATTAGACAGAGCAGGCTTATTAGAGATGTTCTCTCTGTCCCCAGGTTCTGGCACAGAGCAGGGCTCTACTGATGTTTTCTGAAGAAATTATTTCCATTGGTCCAGCATTTGTTGGACATCAAGGGAAGCATGTTGGAAATTGTGGCCTCGTGCTCGCATAGGTGTAGGTCCCCAGAGCCCCCTCCACCCCCTCCCATGAAACTAGAGTGTGCCCTCAGCTAGGTCCCTGCAATAAGCAAGACCTCTTGCAATAAGCAAGAGGAGGTGACCCTCTGCCAGTGAAGTAAAGCTGTAGTGAACTGAGCCAAAGGGAACAAACAGTTTTTCCCCCTCCCTAGACCATACTCACCCAACTATTTTTGCCATTGGCTTCCAAAAGCTTCCACCTTCTTGACTACCCTAAATTCTGGGACTGGGCTAGGGGCTGGAGGTTGAGTCTGAGGCTATTCCACAAATATGGACTGGGATTAAGGCTAGCCCTACCATTGGAGGGGGTTCTTAGTCTGAGTGTAGCTTCCCAGATAAAGACTCAAAATTGGGACCAAGCTGCAGTCTGTCCACTTCCAGGGCCTGAGGATTCAGTCTAGGTCCGAGGCTAGCCCCCTGTTGAGAACTGATTTAAGACTTGAGGTGTGCCTCGGTCGATCGGAAGCTTGCTCTTGGCTGAAAGCTGAAGCTAAGTCTGGTCCTTGATAAAGGAGAGGTTGCCCCTGACTAGGGGACAAGGGCTGGGCTATTTCATTCTCTGTCAAGGGCTGGGAGCTGGGTCTGTAGTCAGAGAAGGAGCCTTGGAGGGGACGGTCGGGAGAGGGGATGGCAGAGCGGGGAGCTGGAAAGGGGCTCTCCATGGAGAAACAGAGGCGCCTTCCGTGGATCCAGCTCTGGCTCCGGCGTCGGCAGCACCCGTTGGGGGTGAGGACGGGAGAGGAACGTCCCTCCCCGGGGCGGGGGGTGGTGTTGGGAAGCGGGAGAGGCCACGTGTGTGTGTGTGTGTTCTGGGGGCCCTAGGCACTGCAGACGCGCGGTGCGGAGGGAGAGAGACGGGCGCCAAGGAGAGGCTTCCGAGGGGGTCCCCGCGGCTGGAGAGAGGCCCTGCCTGTGTGGATAGCGCCCCATTACCCCCAGCTCCACCCCTCCGAGCCAGCCGGGCTCCCCGCTCATTAGGCCGACATCTCCTCCTTAATAAAAAATACATGAATAAATAAATAATAACAGCCACAACCGAGCGGGAAACCGCTTGCCACTCTTCTGTTTCCCCAGCTCCTTCCTTCCAGTGCGGCCCCGGGGGCTCCCGGGCTGGCTCGGCCAGTAAAGGCCCTCCTCTCTCCCGCCCTTCAGTGCCGCAGGCATCCCGCGACTGGAAGGGGACCGGGCTGGGGCGGGCGCCGCTCTTAGGGGGACTGAGCAGGCCCTTTGCGACCCAGACCTGCTCTTAGAGGGGCGTGGGACGAGAGAAATCTGGAGGGGAGTCTTTTCTCTTGACCTTCGAGGAGGAAGAAGCAACAGCTGAGCCTTTAGGTCCGGGTCTTTGGGTGGTCCCCAAGCACACAGACCCCAAATCAGGGAGAGGCCAGACACGGCGTGGAGAAGGAAATGGAAAGTGGGACGTCTAGAGAGTTTCAGGGGCAAACGGGAGCGAGGAGCTGGCATTTGCATAGAATGAGGAAACCAAGTACTTGGGAAGATTACCTTTCTTAAAAGGAACAACAAAATCACTTTTTCTTCCTCCTGGCAGTCTCGCGTTGGACTCTTTATCCCTGTGTGTCTTGCATACACTCTCTGTCTCTCTCCAATGCCTTCCCTTTCACTATCATCTCCTTTCTTACTCGGGTCAGAATGCCTCCGAGATGTGTGCCAGGAGCCACCTCTTGTTCAAGGTTGAGAAGTAATTCTGCCCCGGGACTCTGGTTCAGGACCATGGAGAGCATCCTATAAGGGAGCGGTCCTCTCCCAAAATAAAACAAGAACCAAGAACCCTGTGGAGAGTAAGGGAGCAGGTGAAGTAGAAGTAGGGCGGGGGGGTGGCAAAAGAGAAGGTTATGGGCCAAGGTCATTCCCAGCCTGGTCCTCCTAGAATGCATGTCTCTGAAGTAGGACTCAGAATTTTTGCTGCCAGGGACCAAAGGCCTTGGTTCCTCCATACCCCCAGCCCCAGCCTCAACCACCACCACCACCACAGGGTGGGGAAGGAGAGGAGCAGCCTGTCCTTAGAGTGTGTGGTTCTGGAGCACAGCCCATGCCAGGAAGCTCTGGGAACCTTTCTGTGTAGAGTGCAAAGCTAAACACATGCACAGATCCTGGCACAGAGAACCATGTGACCCTCGAGCAGATGTTGGGGAGGCTGTGTGGGGTATGTTGGGTGTTACAACCCTACGGGTGAGGGGGTGCTCAAGGGTAGGGAGAATAGGAGACAGGAACCAGAGTTCTGTTAGGCTAGTTCATTCTGGCAGCTGCAGGCTTGGAGTGGGGGTCAGGCAGAGCCTTCCCTGGCCCCAGCTCTGAACTAATGGGACCCAGGAGTCTCCTCTTCCCTCTAGCAGCTCCCTCTGGATGGAACAAGGAGCCAGATTTCAGGAGCAGTCCAGATGTTCAGGGGAAATGCAGAGAAGTGGAGCAGATGGGACCTGGGATTCCTGTGGGGGCTGGGGAAGGAGGGCAGCAGCTGGAGGATGTGCTGGGGTAAGTACTAGAGCTAAGGCTGGCTTCAGCATGTGCCACGGCATGTGCCACAGTGTGTGCATAAGACATGGGGCTTGGTCAGAGAGCAGTCTAGGTCAGGTAGCCCTGGGTGCTTTCCTGGTACCAGCTACTAAGATCTGTCCTGAGCTGCCTCTAGCTGTGGCAAGGCCTGAGGGGTGTACCCTCCGTGCCAGGTGCTGTGCTGGGAAACAGAAGTGAGCAAGATAGACCTTGCCTCTGCTCTAGGAGAGTTCAGCCTTTCCCCTTAATGCAGGGCTCTGACTTTGGCCCAGGGAACCCATGTTTCCACCCCGAGGCCAGAGTGGCCATTCCTTTAGAGCTGGAGAAGAAAAGCCTTCCTTGCCCAGAGGCCTGAGTGAGATGGCCCACACTGTCCCTTCATTTTCTACCCTGGGAGACCAGTTCACCTTCCCACCCAGTGCCTCAATCCCTGGCCATGTCATCCCTGCTGTTCCTTGAAATTTCTATAGTTCTCGGGAAGCTGTGGGACAGACAAGGCAAAGGGGTCTGGACACTAATGGCAGGATGAATCTAGAACTGATATTGCTCCTGCCTTCCCCATGAACTCAAGAACCCTAAGGGCTTTTGTGTTCCACCCCTACTTTGCTGCATCTGGCTGTGGCCAGCTCATCATCATCACACCAGCCTGGGAGAATGGTCATGAGCTCCACTTGGTAGAAGAACAAACCAAGGTACAGAGAAGTAAAATCACGGGTTGACGGCACACCTCTTCAACAGAGCCTGTTTGAAGTTTGCATGGCTCTGTTTTTCCTCAACTCCTCCTCTAGGCAATATGGTCATTCTGGCTCTGCACACCAGCCAGTTGTGTAGCACCCTGGACTAGTAAGTAGCTTTTCCTCTCTGGGCCTCCATTTCCCTATCTGTAAAACAAAAGGGCCTAAATAGGATTATCTTGAAGAGCTCTTCCCATTTTGCTGTGCTGTAGCATCAAAACCACCGTCTGTACTGGGACAGGGCGCAGTGGGGGTAGACTGCATGCTGATGGTCCCCTAACTGAGGCAAGGCACTGACCAATCTACCACTTCTGCCAGATCTGTGGGGCACCCTAGAATGTCAAAATGCTTGGCTGGGGTGGGGGGTGGGGAGGATGGTCCTCTGTAGGCTGCAGTGCTAGGGTTGGAGTGGGGCTGAGGGAGCCCAGGCCCTGAGCCCAAGCTCTGCCTGCTGGGGAGGGAGAGCAGAGGGAGGTCTGGGGTGGAGAGTGGGGCTAGCTGGGCAGGCCAGAGCCATGTGGGCAGAGCCAGGCGGGCAGAGCAGAATGAGGCTCAAAGCTCCAGGGCTTTACAAATGGATTTTGCTGAAATGGAAATTTCCACCCATCCCTGAAATGAGCCTGGCAGTAAGGCCAGGTTTGGTGGGGGCTGCGGCAGCTGGGTACGTGGACAGGGACAAAAGCCAAACTGTCAAAGCCTCTCAGGCCTATCCACCCCTCTCCATGCCACCCAGCCCCCTCCTTCACCTCCTCCTCTGCTCAGGTCCTCCAGGCCCTCAGGGACCTGCTCATTCCTCCACACCTTTTTCTACCCTTCTCACTTTCTCTCTAGCCACTCTGTGCACTCTTACATCCCCTCCACACCTAGCACCCCCACCGCATACTCACTCTGGCTGCCTGTCACCCTGCATACCCCTCCCGCCTCTCCCTCCACCTCTCCTTCACACACCCCACACACCTGACACTTCCCTCCCCTCCTACTTTATCCTCACCCTGCCCTTTGACCCCTCACCTGCTTTGCGAACTCCTCCATCCTATCCACTCTACCTTCTATACCTGTTCACATGCCTGACACTTCCCCACTCCTGTTCACCCCTCACATCTCACACACCTCCCCCACACTTCATGTGCCCCCCTCACATCACTCTTTGGAATCCTCTCCTGCTCCTGACACTCCCGCACCCCCTACCACTCCCCTTGCACCCCTGCATGTACCACACCCCTCTCCCATCCCTAACCCTCTTCTCACCTCCTTACAGCCTTCCACCATAATTCTAGGCCAAATATCTCCTGGGGAAGAGCAGTGCTGTAGGGTCAGAATCATAGCTCAACGCCTCCTGGCTGGGTGAGCCAGGAGGTTCCCTAATTTCACTGCAACTGTTTCCTCATCTGTAAAATGGCTTTGACAACTGCTCCTGCCTCTTGGGATTGTTGTGTGGATTGAGTGGGCCAATGCTTGTAAATCCCTTTGCCTGGCACACAGAAGTGTTGATCGTGTTTATTGCCATTTAGTTGAATTGCCATTCATTGATACTTTGGGGAAAGAGGTCAGAGGTGAACTTGATAGCACAGGGCCAGAGTAACAGGATAAGAGCTAACTAGGCTGCTGGGAAAGGTAGTCAGCAACCCAGCCTGCAAGTGATGCGTTGACAAAGGTGAGTCGACAAAGGTGTGGCGCTCTCCCTCCCCACCTCCCACCCCCAGATGGACTGAACCTGAGACACTCCAAGGAGCCTGGACACCCTTTCCTCCCTAGGTTGCTGCCGGCTATTGCCACTGGAGGGCAACACACTGTCTCCCATGGACAGTGGGGTGTGGAGTGCTGGGAAGGGAGCTGCCTTCCATCACCCAACAGGCTTTTCTAGGAGCTGGAGCAGGGAAGAGGACAGGGCGCAGGCTGGGACTGGGAGGTCCCTGGAGGGCTCTCACTGGCTCCCTGCTGAGTGGGAGCGAATGGGGAGAATGTCAATGGAGGACAGAGTGCAGGAGCCAAATGGGGTCGGCAGGAGAGGTGTGGGGCTCGACTTGTTGTGGATTCCTTCCAGGGACTTCTGGTACTCAAGGCCTGTGTGGGAGTCGGGGACTGGCCTGGCCCCTCAGGAAACTGTGATCCCTGGAGACATTGGGATCCCCAGGACTGTGGGGAATGAGCTCCTTTGGCCCAGTGTGGAAGGCAGAGAGGAAGCCAAGGCAGGAGTAAGTGGAGAAGACCCTGAAGGCTGAATGAAGGGGGGACCACAGGTGAGAGACCTAGTGGCAGGACCCAGCGTAAGCAAGGGGAATCAAGAGGCTGATCTGGCTAGGACCTGGGCAGTGCAGGGGCATGTGTGGCCAGGCTCCAGCTCACTCCCCTAGGGCAGGGCCCAAAGAGCACAGCCACATGCCCTCATCCTCTAATTACATGTTGACTTATTACCCATTATTAATTAAACAGGAGCGCTGAGCTGCTCCAGGCTTCCTCCTGCCCCAGCCCCAAGTGCTGGGCACCAATCTTAGAGCCTGGGCTGAGCTGAGCCAATGATAGAAAGAAAGAGAGGTGGGAGTGTGGAGTTGTGGGGGACTGCCCCCACTGTCGGTGAAAGGGCAGTCACTGAGTGCTCACTCCGAGAAGTAGCCCTGGGTCTGGGGCCTGGAAGGAAGAGAAACGGATGGGTAGAGGAAGGGGAGCTTCCTAAGGATGGGGCAAGGGAGAGGGACGGAGAGCCCGATGGACGTGGGGAGCTGAGGAATGTGTGGAGAGTTGGCAAAGTCTGGAGGTTTGAGAGGCCAGGGGTGGGCAGGTTAGGGATGGGTGACTGCTGGACCGGGGGTGGACTATGTCTCTAGTAACTGCTGCAAGGTGCAGAGCATGTGCTTACGACCAAGGGGCTGCCTGTGAGTGAGGCTGAGCGTGTGCCTGCGGCTCTGCACTTGCGGGCTTGTTCCTCTGAAACTGGGTCTTTGTCGCCGTCTTGAACACCCAGCGCTGCGGGGGAGGGGAGGAAGCACCGGGAGATTGAATTACCTTTCAAATCTAAAGCCTGAATTCCTCCAGGCCCGGCAGGTGGGCGTGTGCACACATTCCCGAGAGCATTGTGGGATGTTGGCTGTCACTAGGGAGCCACGAGGTTTCCTTTCCACGGGCAAGGAAAAAGAGAAGCCTGTGACCCCGGAGAGGAGGAGGGAGCCAGGGAGGGAGAGAATATCTGACTTGGCCCCAGCCTGCAGCCCCTCAGACAGGACTAGGGAGGCCTTGGTTATAATCCTGACACTGCTACGATCTAGCCACACGTGACACTGGCATATGACAACCTCCCTGGTTTTCTCATCTAAAAAGAGGATAATAATAGTGATAACAGCCGGCATGAACCAGCCTTTGTGCCAGGCACTGTGCTAAGAATTTTCTTTCTTTTTCTTTTCTTTTCTTTTTTTTTTTTTTTTGAGACAGGGTCTGGTGCTGTTGCCCAGGCTGGAGTGTAGTGGCAAGATCAAGGCTCACTGCAGCCTAGACCTCCCCGACTCAAGTGATCCTCCCACCTCAGCACACCCCGTACCCCACCAGTAGCTGGGACTACAGGCACTGTGGGGTTTTGCCATGTTGCCCAGGCTGGTCTCGAACTCCTGGGCTCAAGTGGTCTGCCTGTCTCAACCTCCCAAAGTGCAGAGATTAAGGGCGTGAGCCACCACGTTCAGCCCAGGCACTTTATTTCTTTATGTCTTCATACAACCCTATAGGGTAGGTATTCTTAACCTCCCTATTTTGAAGACGAGAAACCAGGCTCAGAGAGGTTAAGTGATTTTCCTGTGTCTCACACAGCTGGTAAGTGGGAAGGCTGAGACTCTGTCTGACCCCAGAGCCTTGCCCTGAATAGCCTATGTTACCCATATATCAGGGGACAGGGGATATATGAGGAGTAAATGAGATAATGCACATAATGAAGTATTTAGAGCCGGGCATGGTGGCTCACACCTGCAATCCCAGCAACTTGGGAGGCCGAGGCAGGCAAATCATCTGAGGTTGGGAGTTCGAGACCAGCCCGACCAGCATGGAGAAACCCCGTCTCTACTAGAAATACAAAATTAACCAGGTGTGGTGGCACATGCCTATAATCCCAGCTACTTGGGAGGCTGAGGCAGGAGAATCGCTTGAACCCGGGAGGTGATGGTTGCGGTGAGGCGAGATCGCACCATTGCACTCCAGCCTGGGCAACAGGAGCCAAACTCCGTCTCAAAAAAAAAAAAAATATTTAGCCTAGTGCCTTGCACACAACGAGTGCTCAAGAAATATACTGTTAATGTTTTTATTATTTGTTCATCTGTACCGGTGCTCAGATGTTTCATTTTATGGCTGCTCAGGTGGCAGGGGGCTGAGGAGGGGATGGAGAGGCTGGTTATGGGCCTGGGAGAGGGGAAGTTAGCTGCAGGGAGGCTGTGGGGCAGGGGGCCGGTGGGCTGAGATGGGAGTAGGAGCCTGCATGCAGAAAGCAGGGGAGGGTGAGGCGAGCAGAGTGGAGGAAACAGAAGTGAGTGACTATGTATTTACTTAAAGACTTTGCTCCGGTGAGCGCCTCATTGGCCAGACATCTGGTTTCTCTGGGCATCCCCAGGGAATGGAAGTCAGACAGTATTACTTCAGTAGCTCTGATGCCATCTACCTCAGGCTGGCTTGTACTCATGGGGCTCAGGATGCTCCCCTGCAGAGTGGGGACCAAGAGCTACAGGCCTGGTCTAGAGCTCACTGGGAGGAAGTGGGAGTCCCTTCTGGCAGCCAGTTGGTCACTCTCCTCTCACCTGCTCCAAGCTAGAAGCAATGGGATTTGACCCCTGCACACACTCCTCCTCCCCCTCCTGACCTTTCCTCCTAAATATGGTGGTGGGTAATGGCCAGGAGCTGAGGAGGGCACTGAGGAAATCCTCCTCCATGCCGTTCCCCTCCGTAGTCACTTGGAGAAGAGGCCTGATGGAGAGGGGTCCACCAGGCGGCTGCCCGGGGCACTCATCTCTAAGGGGCACTAAAACTTCACTAGTCACCTAATGAGTTGGAGAAAAGAGTATCTACCAGGCACAAGCCGCTGTGGGGGTGGAGGGTGTTGGCAGGAACACTTCTATAAGCTGCTAGGTACAGAGGTGAGATCCCCAGGGGCCGACGGGCTACAATTGTTCATTAAACTCCCTTCCCTTCCGAGGGGGCGGGTCCTGGAGAACCAAAGAGTTTTGGTGAAGCTCAGTAGGGCAAGCAAGGTTAGGGCCGGCAGTGAACTGTTCAGCAGGTGGAGGAGAGGCTGAGGGCTGTGAGCAGGCCCCCTTCTCTGCACAGTCTCCGCGCAGCTTCTCTTCCAAATAAATATTGAACAAATATTGAAAGAGTGTTGGTTTGAAGAGGCACCAAATTATTAGCCTGCCCTTGGCTCTAATTTCCCAGTCCAACCCTGTTGCAAAAGTACCATAATGATGGCTTTAATGATTCCCTTCCTGTCTTGGTTCATGCCTGCATCTCATTCATTCATTTATTCATTCTCTCATTCACTCACTTAACAAAGCTTTCCAAGCACCTACTATGTGCCAGGCACTGTTCCAGGCACTAGCAATAAACAACAAACTGCTTCTTCCCTCCTACTTCTCACCACCTCCTGTGTGATTGAACCAGTAAGTGTTTAGAGTCTTGTGTGCTTAGATTGGATTGGGTGGGGGTGAATCAGAAGTCTGGAGCTCGGCTTCTGCCCCAGGAAGAAACCATTCCCTTGGGTGACAAGGAGCCATGGTAAAGGTACCATTTTTGTGCCTGTCCACAGCTTAGCCCCACCTCCCCAGCTTTTCTTGCCCTCAAGACCTGGTGTAGTCTTATAAATTCACTGTGTCCGGGAAAGGGTGTGTGTGTGTGTGTGTGTGTGTGTGTGTGTGTGTGTGTGTGTGTTTTGATATCAAGGAGGGTCTTTGCAGAGAGGCTGCATTCTCCCTAAGCATAGCTCTGAACTGGGCAGCTGGGTGTGGGGAGCTGGGTAGAGGGGAACAGCGGATGATTCTAGACTCCTCCCTCACACCTGTTGTACACCCCACCTGAGCCTCTCTGATGGGTAGCGTTGCCTACAGGAACCCAGCACCCAAACAGGAGACCAGGGGTTTCTCTCAATCACCTGGAGAGAGGACCTGCAGGAAGCCAAGAGGTAGGAGGGACCCTGGGACTTGACAGTCATATTCCCTGAGAAGTGCAACATACAAGACATCCTTAGAGCACATACTCTCTCTCGCCCACTACTACCACCCTAGGGCTCCACTCAGCTGCCTGGACTTCTGCACCTAATTCCAGTACTGAAAGGTAGGAAGAGGTCCAGTCCTGACAGGCTTGTCCCACCCATCCTACATGGCTTGAAGGGAGAGGGAGAGGAAACCCGTGAAGCCACTTTCGGGAAAGTGGGAAATCCCCTGCCCTAACCCTGGATCCTGGGCAATGGCTGCTGCCACAGAGGAAGGCTGTGAGGCAGGGGCGTATATGGGGAGAACTGGGGGCTGGGTCTTACATGCTCAGAAAGAGGGGGCCTATATCTGCACAGGCGTCCCCCCTACACTGTCTGACAGAATGAGATGCGTCCTTGCCGTCTCTATTTTTAGTCAGAACTGGAAGGAAAGGAAGTTCGAGGGCCAAGCCACCAGCCCCAGCTCCTGCTGCCAGCACCCACGCCACGTGGTGCGGGGGCGCTGGAGGAGCCCCGAGTCCCAGCTCCTCGGGGAGGCAGGCATGGCTCACCTCCCACCTGCCAGCAAGGCTTGGGCCTGATGGATCTCCAAGCAAGGGGACATGCTCTGGGTTGGGGGCTGGGGAGGAAGCGCTGCCTCCTTTCCCTGCCCAAACACAGGGCTCTGCAGTAGGTCTTGTTGGCAAAGAAGGAGAAGGGAAAGGAGGAAGACCTAGTTTGGTCTCCCAAAAATAGGACTTTGGTAGCTCTGAGGTGCTTTCTTTTGTAGGTTCTTTGAATGGAACCCTGGCTTCTTCCTTCAACATTTAAACATCTTGACCTCTATTAGCAGTGTTTGGGGCTGGCTCTTCCTCAATAGGAGGCTTGTATGAGACAAGAGCCAAGAGACTCTCCTCCACCCGTCCTTCTGTAGAGCTAGAGGAAGAGAGGGAGTTTTTCAGAGTGTTCTCACTTCCCTAGGCAAGAGAAGGACTCCTTGGCTGAAACCCCACAGCTGCTACAGTCATTACTTGTGGGTCAGAGAAAGGCCGTCCAGGTGGCAGTAGAGTATAGCGGTTAGAGCTTGGACTTCGCAGTCTGCAGACAGACCTGGGTCCAAATCCTGACTCCTCCACCAGCTAGCTGTGTGACATTGAGAAAATGGCTAAACTTCTCTGAAACTCTGTAAAATGGGGATAATTACGGTTCCTACCTCATAGGATTTCAAGGATTAATTTAGAGCATGTGAGAAAATGCACACAGTATGTGCTCGACTGTTTATGAAATTTTAAAAGCAGATTCGCTGCAGTCCCGGGTCAGAACCCCACTGTGTGGCTGATCTCTGGCCTATGTTGCAGAATCTATAGCTTTCAACAGATTCTTCAAGGGATCTAGGTACTCCAGACAGTTAAGAACCACTATTGACTAGTCTGGAAGTCAGGAGATGTGGGTGTTAGATCTTGTCTGCCTCTCACTCCTTGGGGAGGAACCAACCTCCTCAGTTTTTCTAGCTGTTCCATGAGGGAGTTAGACCAACTGAGATCTATGGACCAGGTGGGGCATTGTCAGACTCTGTGGAGTCTGATGAGCAGTGATGGAGAGAGTAACCAGAACTGGGGCTTGGAGGGCAGGTTCCAGGAAAGTGGGAGAGGGCTCCATCTCACCCTTCCCAGGAGCCAGTTTGGTCCATCAACCAACATGTCAGCCAGCCAGCAGACAGAAACTGAGCTGCATCCCTCCACCAACCCGGGAGGCTGTTGCCATGGCAACTTCATATTTATCCACTTTAGCTCCTAATTAAGGGGAAAAGCATATAACATATTGGATGTCAAGGCGGCTTTGTGAGCCTCAATTTAGCGGCCGTGCCTGGATGTCAAACTCAAGCGTGATTGCTGTTAATCACCTCCCAAATTACCAAGACAGGTCACAAAGGGAAAGGTCCCCAACAGTGGGGGCAGCTGAGCCCAGGGGAGATGAGGTGGTGGTAGGGGCAGAAAGGGAGACTTTGTTCCACAACATGACCTGGGGGTGCTGCTGGATGGATGCTGGCTCTGTGGGTGTCTGATTATGAGGTCTGTGGGAACAGTGGCTAGATCTGTTCTCACTGAGATCAGGGATCTCCACCCCAGAATCTCACAAACCAAGGCCCTTGGTCTGTAAAAATGGACTGACCAACTGATGAGCAAAGCGGCAAGTAAGGACCACGGGGTGGCCTCTGATGTCAGAAGAAAGATTGACAGATGACCAGGGCTGGTAAATTCAGGCTGACGTGGTATCTGGATGGATGAATGGATGAATGCCACATGGCAGATGGCAGATGGAAGATCCACTCAGGAGAGACTGGCTGGATGGCTGGATTCACACGTTCATCTCTCATCTCCCAAGCAAGTGCCTGGCCTCTCTACTCCTATTTGGGACCCAGGGCATTCTCAGATGCCAGTTAGGTCAGACCCTGCTGTGGTTTTTCTTGCCTGCCAGTACAGGAGCTGTGGCCCGAAGCCATGCTCCTTGGGAGAAACTTTGGCAGGTTTCTGGGGATGTGGGAGGCAGGGAGTAGAGACTGATAGAGTAAGGTTAGGAGTTGGGGGCACAGAGGGGAGGACATCAGCAGTACAGGTAAGAGCATGAGTTATGGGGTCAGGCAGGCCTAGGGTAGAGTTGCATCTTGACTATTTACAGCTGTGTGGCTTTGATCAAGTCACCTCACCTCTCTGCTTCTGTTTTCTCATCTGTCAAGCAGGCATGATGATAATTCATACCTCATAGGGCTTTGTGAGGACTTAGCAAGATGGTAAATGTAAGGCACTTGGCATGGTGCCCGGCACATGGAAAGCCTTCAAGACAGGTAGGCCTGGAAAGGAGGAGCAGGAACATGGTGACTGTGGGCTGGGCCTGGAGGGAAGTCAAGGAGCATTTTCTCCGTGTTCCCTTTCGGTCAGGACTCCAAGAGAAAGAACTCACAGAAAGGAACCTTGATGGGAGGCCAGCTGAGAGGGCATGGAAATAACTGGAACTCACTGGGCCTGTGTGGGCTATTTCTCAGCTTAAGAGAGGACCATAGGGAAGGAGGCCCTTGTACTCAAAGTCCTGCTGTCAGATCCAGAAGGGTCCTTAATGATGCCCCAACCCGGGAGATCATTAGAACTACCTGGATGATTCCATAAGCTCTACTCTCTGGGGTTACCCCAGACTCCCTGAATGAGAATCTCAGGAGTAGGGCTTGGGATATTAGTTTTGAAATCCTCCCAGGATGGTCTGATAATCAGCTGGGTCTGGGACTTACTGGTCAAAACCAGAGGCCCCTGTGCATCAGCACTGGGAAGAGCTGGCAGGAGGCGTGAACAAGCATTCTTCCAACACATCACTTTTCATATATGGTATCGGGGTTCTGCTTAAAAATTTGCATTTGAACATAAAAAAAAATCTACAGCTAAAAAGTTTGAAAAACACCAATTATGAAAATGGTAATAACAATAATTACAGCTAACATTTATTTGTTGTTTACTTTGAGCCAGGCACTATGCTAAGTGCTTCACATGGGTCATCTCTTTGAATCCTCTCAGTAGCTGCGGAGGTGGGTCGACTTGTTTATATAGAAGAGGAAACTGAGGTTCAGAGAGGTATGTCAAAGGTCACACCTTGTTAGTGGTAGATCCAGGATTCTGGGCTTCTGATTTCAGGCTGGGCCCTCTTCTTATTCTACAGTTGATGAAACGGTAGTCCCAAAGAGGTAAAGTGACTTTTCCAAGGTCACGAAGCAAGTTAGAGGCAGAGGAGGGATGAGAACCCAGGAGTTCTACCCATCCTCCTGCTCTCCAATCTCACCCTGAAGATGCATTGGGCAGAGAAAAGTTAAGGACAGACTGATCTGAGGGAAAGCATCTCAGCTCCGTCCCTCTGCTGTAGGCAGAGTCCTGGAAACAGCGGGTGGAGTGGAAGGGGCTTGGAAGTTTCCTGACTTGGAGGGACAAGGAGAAGCTTAGGACATGGTGACCATGGCCATGGCAGCCCTGCTGGCCTGGTAGGAGGAGTTGCTGTGGCCTGGTTTCCACAGATGTGGGCTGCAGCCGTTCTGTTGAATAGGAGGCTATTAAGGGAAAATGCTTTGCAAGGAGCTGAGCAGCTGGGAGAGATCATCAGAACTCTGAATGGGGAACTTTGTCCTGTCAGGCTCTGGCAGGCACTTGCTCCCTGGTCTGTCTCAAGGAGACTGGCTGGTCAAGAGGCCAAGGGGAGCTACCCCAAGAACCATTCCCTCCACTGCCTTCCTGTCCCTGGTCCCCACCCCCACCCCTGTGCTGCCCCATATCCAGGGTGGCCTGGGGGTTAAGAGCACAGGCTCTGGGGACTGACACCAGGGCCACATTCTGTAGGTGTGAAGCATGTTACTGAAACTCTCAATGTGTTAGTCTCATCATTTGCAAAACGGAACTAATAAGAGTATCTCCTTGTAATGCTGTTATGAAGATTGAGTGAGAAAATGGAGTTCATGCCTCAGTGGACTGGTTACTGTAGACATTATCTCCAGCTGAGGAATCACTCTTCCTGGTTTCTTTCCATCTCAGGCCCTCCCAGGGTGCAAATTCCTCTCCTGGGTCTCACCCTCTCTCCTTCCTTTCCCCAACAACCAGGCAGGGGCTCAGGACAGGTCTCCTTGTGGAGGCTGCGTGTGGAGAGAAGGAAAAGTATCAGCAGGACCATCCCAGCAGGGAGAGCTCCCAGGAAGGATAACAAACTCTAGCCTGCATGGTGCATCATTGCTTATGGCTCCACTTCGACTCAGGACACTCGTCACACAAAGCTTGCATGTCTTCTCCCACCCAGGCCTTTGCCGGGGCTGTTTTCCTCTGCCTGAGACACTCTTTCTCCCTTTTGCCTGGCTACCTTTGCCCAGCTAACTCCTATTTGTCCTCCAGATGTTAGCTTATACAAGCCCATCTCCAGGAAGCCATTCCTGAGACCAGGGTGTCCTCCTGTGTGCCCCTCACCCTAGCACTGATAAAGCACCCAGCCCCCTTCACTTTAGGCCATGGGTATCATGAAAGTAGGCACCTTGACCTGTTTACTTATCCCCCAGCCCATAGCACAGGGCCTGGATTAGAATAATCAATCTGTAAATATTTGTTGGATATTGAATGAGTGAATGAAGTGAATGAGTGAATGTGTGAATGGGTGAATGAAGGAATGACTGGGTTCCCTGGCCCAGGGTGGTACGGGGAAAGGAGAATGTCTGGTAGGATGAAGAGAAAGCAAAGTGGGTGCTTCCGACAAGACCGTAAACACATCAAGTTTAGGGCCTTCTCCAGGACAATGACCAAACTGACCCCCTCTTGGGACCCTGTCTTGAAGTTAGGCTACCAATGTCTGTAGCCACATCATGATCCTAAGTTAATGTTTACTGAGGACCTACTGTGTGTCAGCCACTATGCTCAGCACTCACACACACACACACACTTACTGTGTGCTACCTCACTGAATTCTTAAAGCAGCTCTTTGAGACAGGTACCATAATTATCTTCACTTTACAGAACAGAAAACTGAAGTTCAGAGAAGTCAAGATGTCTTGCCCAAGGCCCATCCAGCTAGCAAATGATAGGGCTGGAGGTACGGTTAGTGGTCAGACATGTTTGCTTGTTTTTAGAGCTATGCCTCTTAGCCACCAGACCATCTTGCCTTCCTTGTAGGATGGAGCGGAAGTCACCATTCCTCCCTCCCAGGAAGTGGAAATTGCTGGGAAAGAAAGCTGGAGAAAGTTCAGACCATTTAGTTAGCTTTTGGTGAGCAATCATGGTGCACTGGGCCCGGCAGGGAACGCAGAGTTGGCGGCCAGGCCAGCCATCCAGCTCCCCATCTAAGCAGACAGACCGACCCCAGGAAGAGGGGTGGGTGATGACAGCGGACTGGTGGGGTGCCAGCCCATGCGGTGGTGATGGCTGGTGTTCGTCACCGGGTGGCTCGAGGGTGGACGGTGGTGGGCCCAGGAATGGGGCATGGTACACAGAGCTGTTCTCGGTGGGGCTGCTTGGATGGCTGTACACGCTGGAGGCTTCACCACTCGGCGTGTGCCGAGCACAGACATGGCTCTTTGGCACTCAAGTCACTAACAGAGATGACTCCTTTTCCCATTGCCGCAGAGAACGTTTTCCTGCTTTTTAGGCTCAGCAGAGCACTCTTAACTTGCTCATTCTCACCCAACAGCTGTAGGATCCCAAGCTTTCAGAGTGTCCTTCTCTCCTGACAACTGTAAGCACCATCCTTTCAGCAGAGCACAGAGCCCCTTAGTCTGTGAGAAACCCTGGGGGCTGCTTTCCCTGATGTTGTCCACCGGGCTGGAAGCAGGCGGCCCATTAGGCTCAGGCTTTGGTCTTGTAGAAATTACCCAGCAAGGTGTGAGGAACAGCAATGATGGGGCGGCCCAGCCAAGTGCTAATTTCTTGCCATTCTTCAGGAGAAGCATGGCTTCTTAGCTCAGGCCCAGCGGCTGGTGTCACTGGGGCCGGTGGCTGGGAGCTGAACATAGCAGGAAGAGCCCAGACTCCTAGACTTAGAGCCGGGACCTTGAGCACTCAAAAAGTGGGGGGCACCACCCTGAAGTTCCCATGGCTTGGTGGCTTGGCTCAAGATGGCAGTCCTCTAACCCTCAATCAGCCTTGTCTAGGTGCCACAGGGCCAAGCCAGGGGCTAGATGTAGTGCCAGGGCAAGTGATTGGCATCAATTGCAGTTAGGAGGTAAAATTGTTGTTGGAGAAGGGGTTGGGTCAGGTGAGAAATAAGGACTGGGAAAGAAGTTGGGGGTGGATTTCCCTATGAGATGGATATTACAGTAAGAACTAGGGTTGAAGTCTGGGATGAGTGATGGATTGGTTAAGATTAGATTGGGGTTGGAAATGATATTAGGATTCTAATTGCTCTTAGAGTTTGAGTTGGAGCATTTTGGCTTGATTTTGGTATGAAGTGTGGGATTAGGGTTGAAACTGTAGTCGGATGAGGCTTGGATTTAGAGATGAGGAGTGGGTCAATAGGGTTGTGGTTGATTGTAGGTTTGCTGTTGGTATGAGGCTTGGTGTCAGAGTGAGATTACATTTGGCTCTGAGTTAGACTTGGAAGTGATTGGGAAATGATGAGAAGCAAGTTTTCTCTTCATCTACCAGGGTGTACATCTCCTGAGCAGGTGGAAAACCCAAAGGGAGAATACTGGGGCCTTCTCAAAAGTTAGCTGCCATCTACCTATCACCTGTCTCATCCATTTACCTCCACCTTCCAACCCTTACTCCCATCTCCCCTGACTTCCTTCTCTTGCTCTTGGGCAAAGCCAAGGCTCAAATGCTGTCTCCTTACTGATCGCAGCAGACATGACTGTCTGCGGCCCGTACCATACCCTTTTCCAGGCAGCTGCTTATTGCAGAGTCCTCCAGGCTGGAAAGTGGAGCTGAAAACAAGGCATTCTGGGTAGATCTCCATCAGCCGGGCCCTCATCCTAGGGGTGAGTGGGGACATGGAGTGCCCCCCCACAACTCTTTCCTGGCCCTCGCCAGGGCCCTGACCTCTCTCCTCCTTTCTGCAGAGGCCCCAGCCCCTGCATGCCTCCTCTCGCTTCTCAGGGTGACAACCTGACATCCTCCAGCACTCAGCACTGGGGTCAGGCTTTTAAAGCTGTCACTGGGGAGACTGTGGCCCCTCTCCCCCTCACTCCCCTGCCCCGTGTCCCTTCATGCAGAAACACGCATCAGGGCATGAAGCAGAGGACGTGGATGGCACTGTGATGCCTTTTAAATGCAGGCAATTAGTGGCTAAATAAAATATAGAACGAGCATCTCTGCCTGTTTCTGGCAGGGACTCACTAAAGACTGCCAGAGTTAGGGACCTTGGAAACTGATGGGGGAACAAAAGAGAGTGGGACTCCACCCAGTCCCCTGGTGTGGAGTCTCTTGCTGGGATAAAGTTGTAGAGAAGAAAGGCTTGCAGACTCAATAAACCTCTTAACCTCATTCAGGGATGTCTTAGTCTGTTTCAGCTGCTACAACAAAATATCATAAAATAGGGAGCTTGAAAACAATAAAAATTGATTTCTCACAGTTCTGGAGGCTGGAAAGTCCAAGATCAAAGTGCCAGCAGATTCGGTGTGTGGCAAGGGCCCACTTTTCCTAGACGGTGCCTTTTTGCTGTGTCTTCACATGGCAGAAGGAGTGAAGGAGCTCTCAAGGATCTATTTTATTAGGATACTAATTCCATTTACGAGGGTTCTGACTTCCTGACCTAATCCCCTTCCAAAGGCTCCACCTTGGAGGTTAGGATTTCAGTATATGAATTTGGAGGAGACGAACATTCAGTCCATTGCGGGGGAGCACAGGGGGTCTTGGGGGAGAGTCCTGCAGAATAGTAAGAAGCAGAGGATAGTGGCTTTAGAACATGACAGGCCTGGGTTTGTACTCCGGCTTTGCCACTTACCAGCTGTGTGACTTGGGCAGGTAGCTTACCCTTTCCAAGCCTCAGTTGCCTGGTCTGTAAAATGAGGTAATAGTTGTACCAATCTCTTAGCAATGTTGTTAGATTTAAATGAGGTACTAAATGCTCCATACCCCTCAAAAAAGGACCTTCCAGAAGGGAGTGAGGCTGGGGCATGAAATAGTTGGAGATATTGCTGAGAGGTCCTGGCATGGATGAGAACTCAGGCCACAGCAGCTGAGCAGACCTACTCCTGGGCCAGGGGCTCTTTCTGTGCTAAAGCCCCCTCTCAGGTGTTCCAGGAAGAAACAGGTGGTTAGAGTCTGACCATTAGAGCATGAAAGAGAAAGAACTTAGACCTAGTGATTCTGGTAGTAAGTTCCCTACTTGGTCCTCCTCCCTGGCACCCTCCTACTGGAATGCCATGCACAGATAACCACCTTGGATGACTTAATGTCCTGGAGCCTCAGTTTCCCCTGTATGCCTTTAACAAAAGCATGTATCTTGACTTCAGAGAGCCCTTAACAAACACACTAGCTGGTAACACCCTCACAGAACTCTTGCTTCTTGGTTAACCTGTTGGTCTCCCCATACTGCTCCCATGCTGAGTAGGGCCCTCTCTGGGGTGCTTCTCAGGGGATGTGGCAGGAGTCGTGAGGCAGCTCAGCAGACTGCGGGTTGGGGAATAGAAGAGGCCAGGAGCTGGGAGGCCAGTCACTTGGCTTTTGCTCCCACATGGTCCCCCATCCTGAGCTCCAGCTCAGCCCTTTTCTTTAAATAAAAGGAATGACGTCATCCTTGTGCTTAGCTGCTGAGCTAGAGGGAGGTGATCTGAGATACTGTGGAGGGGAAGCAAGAGGAGCTGGGGCTGGGGGTGGGGAAGCCATGGGACAGATGAAGGACAGATACCGAGTCCCCTCTGGGGATACCTTTGTGTGTGTGCATGTGTGTGTCTCCTGGGGTCCACCCATGTGTATGTGTTGGTGAATGGGCAAACTGCAGACTCACAAAATGTGAATGCTTAGATGAGACTTCACAGTACTGCTAGAAAAAAGGCTCATAGGTAACATGGTGGAGTCAGATCTAGACAAGGTTCTTCATGTTTCTGAGTCTCAGTTTTTGCATCTGAGGGGGTAACAATGATTTGGTCTTGCAAGCATTTTGTGAAAGGATTGGAAGAGAGAATGGCTGTAAGTACCTGTTACCTTGTAGGTTCTCAAATAAATGGTGCTATTAGGAATATGGACAGAAGCAATGCTGGGTAGCAAAAGAACACTGGCTAGCGTCAGGAGGCCTGCTCTGGGATCAGCCCAACCCTTCCTGGCCCAAGTCCTGGGCCCAGGCTCTGCCAGGTCAGGGAGTGCATGGTCCTCCCCAGTAATTTCAGTGCACCTGCCAGCAGCTCCCCTCTGAGTCCTGGGAGCTGCCTCTGCTCTCCTGCTCCAGGCACAGCCCTGGATCATCCTGCAGAAGCCCTGGGTTCTGTTTTTCCTGAGCTTCTCGGAGGCCTCTCTTCAGGGTCTGCTCAGGCTCCTGACGGCTCCTTCCCATCTGAGCTCTCGATCCTTCTCAGGGTCCCTTTTCTTCTCCCTCCCCCAGGCTCACAAATGCCTCCTCTTCCTTTTGCTCATCTCTGCTTCCTTTCTTCCGGGTTCCCTCCCTGTGAGTGTTTGCTTTTTCCCTCAGTTACTCTCCCTTTCTCTTTTCCTATTTCTGTCTCTCCTTGTCCATCTCTGATCTCTGTCTTAATTCAGCCTCCATCCCTGCCTCTCTCTCCTTCCCTGTTTCCCTGTCACGCCTTGCTCTGTCCTGTCCCTGTCTCTGATAGGAGCTCTCTCGCTGCCTCTGTCTACCAGCCCTGTGTATTTCTCCATCTCACACATGTTCTGCTCCCTAAAATGTGAGTCCCAAGCCTTGAACAAAGGCCCGAGGGGCCAGGGCCGGGCTAGCTCTCCGGCAGGGAAGGGCCCCTACCCCCACCCCCAGCCCTCTTCCTCACCCATGTGGGGTGCAGCCCTGGCTTTCTGTGCTTCCTGAGCACGGGTATGTGTGGGCCGAGGGCAGAAGGCCCAGCTTGCCTGTCATCTGGAGAGACGTGTGTGCAAAATGTTAGTTCTATGGCTCTGATTCAGCTCCGGGGCGGCTCACGGAGGGGGGGTGATGGGGACCTGGAAAAGGGAACTAGCTGGGCTGAAGTTGGAGTCCTGGGACTTTGGCAGAGGACTTGGGGATGCCTGGAGAGGACCCTGGGTGGGATAATGGAGGGGTTAGGTGGAGGTCGTAGCACCTTGGGATGCAATCAGATGGGATGAAAGTGAAGGAGGTTCAGTGAAAAGGGCCTAGAAGGGAGAAGGGGCATTTGGTGTGATGAAGGGGACACTGGCTGGAGTGATGGGACATTGCATGAGGTTTGTTCAAGGGATGGTGAATGTGGATGAAGTGGATGGGTCAGAAGGAGGTATTAAAGGAGATGAAGAAACCTGGATGTGGTGAAAGGCCACTGGGTGGGCTCCTTGGAGCTCCATCTACCTGCTCCTAGCCTGTCTCCCCGGCTGCACCTAATGGCAGGCCTCTGCTCCCAGTACTCACTTTGCTGCTTCTAGCCCTCACCTCTCAGTCCTGAGGCTTCCCCATCTCTCCTTTCCCTGTGCAGTTTTGAGTTGCCAGAGGTCCTCCCTATTTAGGACATTCCCCTTAGAGATCCTCTTATCACTGTGGTCTGGCCCTGCAGGTGGTTCTGTGTTTCAGGGTTGACCCTGTAGAACTGTCTGTCTGGTCCAGAAAGAAGAGCCCAAGTTCCCCCTTGCCCTGGTCTGGTTGATCAGCAGTTCTCACCTGAGGTTCAGAACAGCTCCTGAACCTGGGTCTGTGAGCAGGGTGTTCTGCTGGTGAGCATCAGAACAGGGATGGAGCCTTCAACAGTCATTAAGGCTGGCTGATGACTTCACAGGGAGTCCCAATAAGTGCCAGGGGCCAGTGTGTGTCCAGGCCACAGATGGCACATAGTCACCCAGAGGCCAAACTCACCTGCTGCTTCCCCTCCCCCGGACCCTGCAGCCTATGTCTGCATCCACCGGGTCCTGAAGAGAACCACTATGACCCTTTGGTTTTGGGGGAGAGGAGAGCAATTTCAAATAAACGATAACAATAATAATATAGGTAAAAGCTTTCGCTCATTGATTGCTCACTCTGCTAGGCTATGAGAAAGCTGGACATTTTAAACTCAAAATCTCCCTGACCATCTGAGGTGGACACTGTTTTTATACCCACATCACAGAGAAGAAAAAGGCTCATAAGTCCCCTTCATCACACCCAATGCCCCCTTCTCTCCTTCACAGAGAAGAAAACTGAGGCTCAACAAGGTCAAGTCACGTGCCTGGATTCATAACAGGGCCCATTTTCCTCCACAGCTTGCACTTTTAGCCCCTGCAGGCCCTAGGCAGCCCCTACAGTCAGTCTCCTCTGGTGGGACCCTGGGAGGTGTGAGTGGGGCAGGGATGGGTCCCGAACATTCCAGGAAGACGCTCATTCCAAGCTACAGCTTTGGGAGGGCTGGGTGCCTGTCGCTCCTCCCCCAAGGCATGGGACAACCTCCAGGGCACAAGAAGCACGACCAGTCCCACAGGGCCTGAAGATCCCCCCTGCCTCCATCAACACCCTCAAGAAGCTGCTAATTGTTTGCACTTGTAGCCAATGGAGGGCAGGTGACCTAAATGTAGGCCACTTTTCTGGGCTGTAGGTAGAAACCCGGGGTGAGAGTGAGGGGCTGTCCAGGGTCCATTCCTGCTTTATCAGCCTTGCCCTACAAGCTGCGGGACCCCTGCCAGCCTGTGGAAGTGCACCAAGACCCTCTCCACGTGCCTCCGTGTGGGTGCGCTGGGCTGCTGTGTTCCTGAGGCACCGGTGGGTGCGTGACGATGGCAGCTCCCACCCAGCAGAGCCGCGAACAGAAGGGGAGAGCTGCCGGCAGCTTTAAATAGCTCCTCACTGTATCTCACTTGCTGAAGTCCCATCCCCCCCTCCAATACTGGCTGTCCCAGGGAGGGGCTGTGAGCCCCAGAAATGAGGCCAAGACAGAGGGGCTCAGCCCCCAACTCAGAAACACCTACCAAGCAACACCTGCTCAGCGCTATGCCTGAGACACAGCCCACTTTTTTCCTCGGGGGCAGGAGGATCCAGGAAATCTCTTAGGGATTGTGGGTTGTCAAGAGACAGGTTTCCCTGGGCCTGCATCTTGGCTGGAAAGATGTAGCAGGCAGGTTTGTATTCAAGCCTTCCCCTAAAGGGGACACACTGGTCACCCTGCTAGCCCAGGTACGGCCCTAGCCCTTCTGACACTGAGAAGCAGCTCACTACCTGCTGCCCCCAAGAGCAGTCAGTGGCAGCCCCCTTGGTCATCAGCTCACCTCCTCACCCTGGCCCGCATCTCTATGCACAGTTCTTCCACGATCTGACCCTCCACATTCATTTCTCATCACTCTCCCCAAGCTACTTACCTCACTTGAGGTCCTTCTTGCTGTTTCTCAAACATGTCCAGCTCATTCCCACCTCAGAACCTTTGCACTTGCCGTGCCCTCTGCCTGGAATGCTCTTCTGTGGCTTCTCCCATGGTTGGAGCAAGAGCCACACTGTGATTTGTGTGGGTCCTAGGCACTTGCCTTTGTGGGTCCCTTCCTTCATGAAAATATATACAAATTATATTTTAGTACTGCATTGGTATAAGCATGGTTATGTTAAAGAAACTATTTTGGCTGGGCGCGGTGGCTCATGCCTGTAATCCTAGCACTTTGGGAGGCTGAGGCTGGCAGATTACCTGAGCTCAGGAGTTCAAGACCAGCCTGGGCAACATGGCAAAACCCCGTCTCTACTAAAAATACAAAAAATTAGCTGGGTGTGGAGGTGTGTGCCTGTAATCTTAGCTACTCGGGAAGCCAAGGCACGAGAATTGCTGGAATCTGGGAGATGGAGGTTACAGTGAGCCGAGATCACGCCATTGCACTCCAGCATGGGTGACAGAACGAGACTCTCAAAAAAAAAAAAAAAAAAGAAAGAAACTATTTTAACCTATAGTTTCTTTAACCTAAAAGTTCATTGTTTTCTTCTGATTTTAAAAGAAATTAAAATATTTTGAGGGCCCCTAAAAGTATTGTGGGCACTGTGCTACTGTCCTTAATGGAGAAGTGGGCCCTGGTTGGATCCTTCTCATAATTTAGGCCTCAGTTTAAATGTCACCTACTCCAGGGTTCCCTAACCCCCAGGCCACAGACCGGTACCACCTGAACTCTGCCTCCTGTCAGAGAATGCTTTAGATTCTCATAGGAGCGTGAACCCTATTGTGAACTGCGCATGCAAGGGGTCTAGGTTGCGTACTCCTTATGATAATCTAATGCCTAATGATCTGAGGTGGAACAGTTTCATCCTGAAACCATCACCACCACTGCGACCCCCACCCGGGGTCCATGGAAAAATTGCCTTCCATGAAACTGGTCCCTGGTGCCAAAAAGGTTGGAGACCACTGACCTACTCCAAAAGGCCTTCCTTGAAGCCTGCATTTAAAATATCTTCTGGCCGAGCATCGTGGCTCGTGCCTATAATCCCAGCACTTTGGAGGCCAAGGCAGGAAGATCACTTGAGCCCAGGAGCTCGAGATCAGCCTAGGCAACATAGTGAGACCCCATCCCTACAAAATATTCTTTAAAAAATAGCTGGACATGGTGGCTTGCTCCTGTAGTCCCAGCTACAGACTGAGGTGGGAGGATCACTTGAGCCCATGAGTTTGAGGCTGTAGTGAGCTACGATTCCCACCTCTGCACTCCAGCCCTAGTCTGGGCAACAGAGTGAGACCCTGTCTCAAAGATAAAATATATCCCATATCCACTTGCTGGCCCATTACCCCAATTTAGTTCCTTCACAGAATTTACACCATCTGACAATAACTTATTTATCTGTTTATTTGTTCCATGTCTCCTGTAACTAGAATGTAAGCTCTATGAGGGCAGGGACTTTGTCTTTCCACTGCTGAATAACCTGTGCCACCAGCAACAAGGTCTATAAAATTGGTGAAAGAATAGCCTGAATTACTTGACCAGAATATAGAGTCCCTCCTCTCAGCCACTCTAACATCTGTGCTCTTCCTTATTGGGCCCCCTCACACTTTACTAGGGTGGAAGGAAGAAAGGAATTCATGCACAGGCCTCAGACACAATCCACTTGTCCTCTCAGAACCTCAGTTTCTTCATCTGGAAAATGGGAATAGTGCTGACCCATTCTGAGAATGCAACAAGACAGCATACGTAAAGCAAAAGACCAGCCCACTGAGAGGGTGCAGTAAATTCAAGTTTCTTTTCCCCCTTCTCACTGTCCACCTCGGAGATTGTTCTTGGCTAAGGCAAAGAAACCTCAAGGCCTTGAGTCCCAAATACCTTGAAACACAGTAGGTGCTCAATAAACATTTGCTGGTTGCTGGTTGACCACGTCCGTCCTTCCCCTTCCAGCAAAATCTTAAACAATAGCCCAGTGGAAATTCACAACATCGTCTCCTCTTGCTCTCTTTCTACAAATATTTACAGAGCCCCTACTATATAACAGGCACCATGCTGGGCTCTGTGGAATCAATAATAAGTAGAAAGAATATATGGTTTCTGTCCTTCCTAGAGCTGGGTCCCTTAGTCTGGTCTAGACAGACATTAATCAAATAACCACTTCCATGGAACTATAATTGTGCTAAACACACCACAGAAGAGGCTCACCTGGCTGTGAGAACACATGATGGGAGAATTTGACCAGAACAGAAAGGTTGGGGACAGCGTCCCTGAAGAAACAATGACTGATCTGAGGTCTCTAAACGAGTTGGAGTTCATTAGGCAAGGAGCCTAACTGGACAGTAGGAGCATTCCAGGCAGTGGGAACAGTATGTGCAAATGCCCTGTGGCCAAAGCTATGCTAGACAATGAGATGGACTGGAGGGAGACATAGGTGGCCATGTGATGTAAGATGGGCTATGACGGTGGGCAGTGGCTGCACTGGGTAAGACACTATATCATTTTCTCTTTGTCTGCAGGTTCCTCAAAGGATTTTAAGTCATATGATTAGGTTTGTATTTTGAAAAAATTACTCTGGCTGCCTACAAAATAAAGATTTACAATTTATTTATAGATTTATAATTTATAAGAAAAAGATTCCACAGTCCTACTAGAAGAGGAATGGCAAATATATGCCATACTTGTCACAATTCCCTATTCTCATGCCCAGAGCAGACAGCACTAATCAATTACAGCAGAGGTTCTCAAAGTGTGGGCCTCAGACCAGCAGCATCAGCATCACCTGAGAATTTCTTAGGAATGCAAATCATCAGACTTCACACCAGACCCCTTGAATGGGAAACTCTAGGGGTAAAAGCCAGCAATCTGTGGCTTAACAAGTCCTCCAGGTGATTCTGATGCACATTGGAGTTTGAGAAGCACTGGACTATTGTATAACACTTTCCTATGAAGCCCCGTGCAGCATCAAAAACCTCAACACAGCACTCTAGGCCATCACTACTAATAGAGGCTACTTACACAGAGTGCTGGGCTGGGGCTCCTCAGAGAGGGCTGCACAGACCTAGGTCTGGAATTTGAGAAGCTAAGACCCTGACAAAGACCTAAATTTGGGCCAACAGCCAAGTGTGCCAGGAAAGAGAGCTCTGGACCGAGTCTGGAGATCAGGCCTCAAGCCCCTGCTCAGCCCCCTGCTCAGTGGCAGCACAACCTTAGGAGCCTCTTCTCCCTTCCAGGTCTCAGTTTCCCCATCTGTGCATTGAAGAAAATTTCTCTGTGCAGCGGCCCATTCTCCTGCAGCCTCCAAGCCAGGGTGAAGCAGATGCACGTGCAGTCCCCGGGGAAAACCCCTATAAATCTGCCTTCCCACAGGGGAGTGGAGCAGGGAGCACAGCAGTAACAGAGATGTTGCCCAGAGCTTGCAAGAGGCACACATGACTCAGCCCTGCAAGGAGGCATCCATCACCCTGGGCAGCCAGCGAGGCGGCAGGAGAACCACGGGAGGGACCGTGTGGGAGTGAGGGAGTGAGGGAAGGAGGAGGCGGGGCTCTTAGCCCCGTTTGCTCTACCACTTTCCCAGACCCGGGACCCATTAACAGACAAGAGGACTCTAAGCGCAGAGACAGGGGAAACCTGAGATAAAGAGTTGGGATGAGGGGCAAGGAGTCCAATTCTATGAAACCATTCAGGATGCAAAAAATGTGGCCCTGAACTACTTACAAATCTCAGGATTTGTAAGTAGTTCCTCAGATTACTTGTGAAGTTCAAGCCCATGCCCCTTCCCTCAGGTTAGCCTAGGGTGGGAGAGGCCCCCGTGACCCCTCCTCCCTAAGCAGGGAGCCCCCACTCCCTAGTGACTTCCCTCCAGCCAGCTTCCCTACAGACTCCCCTGGGATCGCACAAATCCTGAGACTACTCACAAGAATGCCTCCTCCACATCCACACTCATCTGGCTTCTTCTCAGCTCACATGTCACAGCCCAAATGTCACTTTACCAGAAAGGCCTTCCCTGATGAGCCATCTATCCCCCACCTGCCCGTGACCTTTTCATTGTCCTCATAGCTCAGATCACTCTTTGGAATCCCCCACTGATTTGCTTCCGGGCCTATGGTCATCTCCAGCATCCTCCTGGGATGGAAGCTCCCTGAGGGCAGGGGCCTCCCTGTCGTATTCTATCACCTGCCCGTAGAACAGCATTTGGCACAGAGTGGGTGCTCCACAGAGCTCCCACTTACCATGTGCCAAGAACTATTTGAGTTGATTTGCATACATTATTTTATCATGTCCCAACAATCTTGGAAATAGAAGGTATGATTATTTATCATTTTTCAGATGGAAACACTGAAGACAGAAAGATAAGTGATTTGCTAAAGGTCACACAACCAGGAAGTGGTAGAGTCCCTGTTTGGGCCTAAATCTGTCTGACCTCAAAGCTCAGAACATTTGGAATGTAGGAGCAAAGGGGCTATTAGAAATCTTGCAGAGGGCCGAGGGGGTAGTGTTGACCCAAACCTCCCAAGTTACTGCTAAGGAAGCATCAGCCCAGAACCAGGAGGTCCCTTCTAAAGCTGTTGTTACTTAATTTAGGATTTCTAAAGGGAAGTCCTGCTTTAACCAGCTGCTGTCCAACTTCTGGAATTTGTTACCCCCAAGGGGTCTTCACAAGCTGAAAATAGAATGGAGTTCAGAAAGGGTTGCACAAAATTAATGGATGACAGGACCCCAGTGGTAATTAAAGGAAGCAAGAGATGCTGGGGGTTTGGGCCTAGACGTTTGAGGTCAGCATCATGCTGGGGACTGCCACGGTCTCCCCCCAAATGGGTCCCAGGTGCCCCAGCAGAGTGAGCCAAGCCGCAGGCTGGGAAGCAGGGGGGAGGTGAATGATGTCAACGTCCCCACCCACTCTCTGGCAGGATTTGGCCGCCTGGCTGCTTCCTCCTCACATCCCCAGGCCCAGCTGGGCTGTCAGGGGTTGCTGACTCACTCACCTGGCCAAGATGGCCAATTTGCACATGTTCTCAATATTTTCTTTGCTAATTTTTAAAAATAAAATGCTATTTTTGCAAAGTCTTCATTACTTCCTAATTATTCATACTCCTTCCACTTTTTTGTCTTGTTAAATACAAAACTCAATAATCAGCTCACTTTTCTAAGATTACTTGTGAAGTTCAAGCCCATGCCCCTTCCCTCAGGTTAGCCTAGGGTGGGAGAGGCCCCCATCACCCCTCCTCCCGAAGCATGGAGCCCCCACTCCCTAGTGACTTCCCTCCCGCCAGCTTCCCTACAGACTCCCCTGAGATTGCACTGCTTTATTCGACTGTCCTGGCATCCCCACCTCTCCTTATCTTCCCCTCTCCATCCAGAGCTTCTCCCTCTGTGCTCTCTTCACCCACCCCTCCCTTCTCCCTCCCTTCCTTCCTTCTATCAGTCTATCCACCCTCCTGTGGCCTCCCCCTCTACCTAACCAAATTATTCATCCTCCTCCTCCACCGGCCCCCTCCTTCCCCAGACTCCTTTCCTCCCCTATCCTTTACCCTCCCCTCCCCTCCCCTCCCCAACGCAGCACCTTCACACCTGGGAGCTACCCTCAGAGCCTGAAGGGTCTCTCTCACCCTACCCACCTCCTCCTGAAATATCATCCGCAGGCCTCAGTGATGCTGCACTGCTGGCTGCTCCAGCAGGTGGGTGCTGCGGTTCTCTCCGCTGATAATTCATTCCCCCTAGCCCTGCATAATCCTCCTTAAATCAGTTAATCCCTGAAAACTCACTTCTTCAGGCCCAAGAGCAGCAAGGAGGAGCGGGACGGGTCCCTAGGACTATAAATCCCTAGAGTACTGGGGCCAGGATGCAGTCCCTCTTTCAGCCACGCTGGAGTGTCAGGGATGAGACTAGCAGCTCCCCGCAGATCCTGCTGACAGGCCAACTTTATGGAAGCCTTGGCAGGGACAGCAGCCCCCTCTTATCCCAGGTAGTGGAGTCTTGTGGCCACCAAGGGGTAGGTGGATATGATGGGGGAGTTGCTGCTGGACCTGAGCCCCTTCTTCCAAATAACAGGCACCCCTGGGCTCTCTGGCAGGGGCCTGATTTCTGCCTGGGCTTTTGCTGCTGCAGTTTCCAATGCTCAGACACCCGCATGTGTGTCCACGTGGCCATGTTCACATGGCACATGCATCCACCTCACACATCTCTACACACTGTATACATCAGAACAGGGCTTCTCAAATTTGGGTGCACCAGAATCACCTAGAAATCCTATTTGAGTGCTAAGCCCCACTTCTTGGGTTTCTGATTCAGTAGGTTTGGGGAGGGGCCTGAAAATGTGCATTTCAAGCACATCAAGTGCTGCTGATGCTGCTGGCCCGAGTACTACACTCTGAGAACCACTGCTCTAGAGATGCCCACATGTGCATACACACAAGAGTACACGTTCATGCACAGAAGGTTTTGCAAAATGAGGAGTGAAGCTACTAGGAAGAACTGAAGCTGTGAGCTCAGTTTGGGGATTACTCAGCCTAAGAACACAAACTCGCAATATCATTTTCTCTCTCGGTCTCTGATTCTTGCTACTTCTCCACGGTCTCTGCATTTCTGTGTATCTCTTTCTCGGTCCCCCCGTCGCCCAACTCCCTGCAGCCTCCAGGTGTCCTCCCAGCCCCTTTGCACACATGAGCTCATCCATCTCCATCACCCAGCAAGTGAGTGGCAGGCAGGTGAGAGAGGAAGAATACAGAAGAACAGGCTCAGCTCCCCGCCAACAGGGAGCTCGCTCACCAAGAGAACACAGCCAATTATTCCCCCCGTTCTGGGGGATAATCATTAATGCCACAGGAAATTCTAAACAAATGATTAAATCATTACTGGGGAAGACGCAGCAAGCCTGTGCCACCATTAAGCCTCCCTTGTACTGTTGGTTTTCAGAGAGCTTACCTGGGAAGTGGGGAAGAAAGGGGCAGATGGGCATCATCACAGCCCTGCAGCATCACCAGCAGCCAGTCTGCCAGGGGCCAGCCCTAGAACCACCTTCCCCTCTCTAAGCTGCACACCCAGCAACTGTCTGAGAGCCCCTCTTGCCCTACCCATGATGAAGACTCTGTTCCTGCAGCCCTTCATGATCTCATGCCTCCTGATGAATCCATTTATTCAGTTGACAAACATTTACTGAGCACCTACTATGTGCGAGGCCATAGTCTAGGGACTGGGGATAAAATGGAGAACAAGACAGATGAGGTCCCCGTCCTTGTGGAGCTCACAATCTAGTGGGGAAGGCAGATCATAAAAGTAAATAAGAAAACAACTAACAAATGTGGCAAGTGCTCAGGAGGAAACAAACAGGAGACTCAGTGTTTTGAGTGGAGTGTATACTTAGAGGATCTCGGAGTCCCCCTACACTCTAACAAACAGCCTGGCAGACCATACCCATCTCTTGGGCCTGCGGATCATGTTTTATACGAACATCTGCAATGTCTGAGCATCCCTCTTCTTATCCTGAATCCCCAATATGCTATCTTTGGAAAGATAACAAATATCTATCTATAACAGCCACTGTTTTTTAGCACTTACTATGTGCCAGGCATTGCACAAAGCAATTTATGGTCATTACATCATTTCATCTGCAGAATAATAATAACATTACGAGGTGGGTGTTTTTTAATCCCCATTTTACAGATGAGGAAATGAAGACCTGGAACATTTGAGCCATTTGGCCAGGTCCTACAACGGGCAACTGAGGGTTCAACTGATGTCTGAGTCCTGAGCTGGGACATTTCACCCCTACCTTGTCCTAACTCCCAAGAGAAACATGACAGGGCTGTGTGAGCTTCTCAAGATCTATTTCAGGGCTAAGAGGTGCAGCTGGGTCCCTGTAGAGATGGGGCTGCATTAGTGTTGTCCAGCCACGGCTGGTTACTGGCTACTAAAATATAGTAAGTCCAAGTCTCCAAAATGCAGCCCAGAGAGGAAAGCGACTTGATATGGCCAGGGCAGGGTCCCACTCACTTGGGGACCCTAGGCCAGTCCCCTTTGACTTCCCCAGCCTGTGGGTCTCTGTAAAACCCAGAGAGACCATCAGCCCTATCTCCTGGCTGCCCCTCAGGACCCTGTAGCCTCCAGAGGGCTCCTCTAAGTGTCCCCACATGCCCTCCACCTCCTGCCCCTGTGGCCAGGCCACACTCCCTAGGGCCAGTGGGGCAGCCTGAGGCAGACAAGACCAGAGCCTGGGTCTGCGGTGACTAATCGGCTGGTGCTTAGGAGGCCATGGTGAATTATTCACACAGATTCTGTGAATTATTCACGTTGTTATTATTTATTTTTCAGAGGCGCCTGCGGCAGAGCCTCCAGGCCCATGTTCAAAGGATGATATAACTCCTGACTCCTGATCGCCTTTGTCTGTGGAAAAGGAGTCAGGCCTCTCTCCAGTCTCACCTGGGAGTCCCAGGGAGCAGGCTGAGGGCAGGGGGCTGCTGCCTTGGGGCAGGCTCCTGCAGGGCCCCAATCCTAACACCAATTAAGAAGTAATAGTCACCACTTACTGAGTCTTCGCTGTGCCCCAGCACTGTACTCCCCATTGACAGGCTCGAGTGAATGTCACAACTACCGTGCGAACAATACTGCCAACCCCATTTTACCGATGCTGGGATTGAGGCTCAGAGATGCTGTGGCCCTTGTTCAGGGCCGCCAGTTAATAACTGGGATGCAGGCCCATGTCAGTGGACTGTAAAGCCAGCAGCAGCCACATTGCATGTGTCAGTCAACATTGCACCTGACACAGTCCTACGGAATCCCTTTGCTGCCCCAACTTGCCCACCCCCACCTGCAAATCATGCTGAGGGCAGGCCACGCCCAGTGCCGCCAATGCTGTCAGACGAGCCAGCTCCTCATCTCCATGGCGACAGGATTCTCAGCAGCCAGAGCTGAGCTGGATCTGCCTCTGAGGAGTGGAGGTGGCCTTTGCCCATGGAGCCCCCCAGGTGTCTCAGACTCTTAGCAAGTGTGATTCAAGGGCTCCCCTAGGTGCCCCACAGCTTCACAGAGCTCCCCTGCCTTCCCCCAGACACACACACAGCCCCACTCCTCCCTCACAGAGCTCTGATGGAAGAAGCCATCCCCAGCCTCCGTTCTGCGCTCCTTCCCATGACTCGCCTGCTGTCTAACCTCCATCCCCCTGGCTGCAGCTTCCTCTCCTCTCAGAATCTTCCTTCCTTTGCCCTCATAGCTGCCATCTGGAGGAGACGAGATGGACATGTGGGCTCAGCCCTGGGAAGGCCCTGAGGGCCCCTTATCAAGGTGACCACAGTCTCACAGAGATACCTTCCTATGGGAGGGTGCCTTTGTCTTCCTGTCACCACATTCATTCATTCATTCATTCATTCATTCAATAAATGCCTACTGGGTGCCCTTATTCAATAAATACCTACTATGTGCCAGGCATTGTTCCAAGGGCTAGGGAAGTGGACAGCAGCAGCAGGGCTACCTTGTTAGGGCCCCTCCCATCCCATAGGAGCCTGGGCCTGCCTCCCAGCACCTGTCTATCCTAGCATAAGCAAAATCACAGGCAAACTGGATTTGAGCCTGACTCTTCCAGTCCCTGACTCTGGGTCACCTTGAGCTAGCCGCTCCTCCTCTCTGCCTTTCCCCTTTTTAAAATAAGGGAGTGAGACCAGAATCTGCTTTCTAAGGACCCGCCAGGCCTGCTTTTCTCAGGTGTCAGTAACTCAATAACTGGAACAACATAATCATTTCCATCCTACAGCTGTGAAAGTCAGAGCGTTGCACGTGCTTCATCTCAGGTGGACTTAATAACTGTCCCTCTCTTCCCAGCTCTGTGCATTTTAAAGAGGAGTCTGGGGATGTCTCTGCTGCTAATGGTGGATTTCAGTTGCCAGAGAGGAAAGAAAACAAACATTTGCAGGATGCTTGTGCTTTCCTTGCAAATGTTCTTTATTAATCTTTGCAGAGGTAGAGTCCACTATCCCCGTTTTACAGGCAAGGAAACTGGGATTCAGGCCACACAACCGGTAAGTAACAGGGCTGGGATTTGAACCCAGGCCCAAGACAACACATGCTCTTGCTGCTGTACCCGGCTGACTGAGCTGGGCCCTGGGGATGGCGTGTGGCTTTCTCTTCCAAAGCCTGTGTTGGAGCTGGAGGGAGGGCAACTAGGTCAGCACCTCTTCCAGGGAGTTGGGTGCCACTGATTTGATTTCTACCTTCTCCACCAACCAACAAGCGGACACCTTGGGCCCAGCTTGCTGAGATTCAGGGCCTAGGAAGTCCAGGTTTATATTGACCCCAAAGCAGCCACCTCGGCAGGGTTGGGACTGGATTTCCTCTTTATCTCAAAGCACCTGGACTAATTCCAGGTGGGCCGGCAGGTGGGGAGAGACCTTGGAATCTGGAATGCAGGGGCCACACCCATACTCCTGGCCCAGTCTGGATACCAGCCTGGGCCTTTCCCCAGTGGTCCTAGGGCAGAGTTCTTCAAGTGCAGGTCTTGGATCACCAGCATCTGAATGGGGAGTGGGGGAGGGGGGCTGCTAATATAACCAGATCCAATTTGCGTATTCCTCTAGACCTCCAGAACTGGGCATGGGGGGATCCTACTCAATATGGCTTCCCCCATTCTGAGCTTCCCCTAAGCTCAGAAACTGCTGAGCTAACTGCAGAGCCCAGGCTCTGGGACAATCCTGAGTTTGAGCCACTGACTAGTTAGGCAGCCTCTGACCAGGGTTCACCTCTGACCTCAGTTTCCTCATCTGTAAAATATGGATGATTCCTGTACCCTCCTCACAGCGTTGTTATGAGGATCGTGCTGGACAATGTAGATAAAGGGCTGAAGACACTATAGATAAAGGCCAGTTCAAATTACCATCATCCCTCCCCACTCATTCCATTCCCTTCCAAGCTGATGACCTGGGCCTGGGGCTGCAGTTCTGGGAATACTGAACTTGTCCAGCAGGTTCTTGGCTTTCAGAGCTGCAGCAGGCAGCTTGCCCTCCAACCACAGTCAGGTGTACCTGTTGGTCTCTCTCAAGGCTCCAGCTGAAAGCCAGCTCTCCAGACCTTTATCTTGGATAGAATGGAGTGGTATGGCCCTTGCTGGACCCAAGGTCAGACGTAGGGGTCAGAGAGGGCTGCCTCGTGGTCTCGGGGACAGAAGATCTTGGGCCAGGCTTGTGATCTGAGACCTGAGAAGTGGCATGGCTGCTGGGGCAGCTACCATTTAGGGAGAACCCGAGTCCCAGGCAGCTTACATCCCCTATCACACCCCTGGCTGGGGTAAATACTGTTATTGGTTCTGTCTACCGATAACAAACCCAAGGCTCCGTCTTGTGCCTAAAGTCATTGAGCTGGTAAGTGGAAAAGCTGAGATCTGAACCCAGATCTGCATGATTCCAAGGTTCCTGTAGTGCCCAGTATGTGACACCACCTCCCTAAAGCATCATCATGATCGTTGAGCACTTGGTGAGGGCCGGGTTGTGAGCTAAGCACTCTATATGTTTTTTCTCTTTTAACCTCCACAGTCGCTCTCTAAGATAGATACTATTATTATTGTTCCCATCTTACAGGGAGGGAAATCACCAGGCAGAAAGGCTAAGGACCTAAAGTAACTTAGCTTGGCTCTTTCACTATTACATCCGGGGTCTGGGGGAAGTAACTTTCCCAATTATTAATCTTCCATGATGATGCTTTACCTCCAAGTACCCCTCTGCCTCACCCATGTCTGCAACCGTTACTTCTTTTGGGGGGGTCTCCTTACCCCACCCATGCTCCCATTCTGGCTCCTCTGAACCTGAGTGCAGGATTGCAGATGTAGGCCCCACTCCCACCTCCAAACAACAAACTGCCCTTCCCACTGCCTCCAGGCCCACTGGGAATCTGCCCCTAATTGCATCTCAGGCTGGGAGGCTATTAGCCTGTGATTGCATCCCCAGTGCCTGCCTTGCCCCCCGGGTCTTCACTGTCAGCTTCCACAGGGGTTTGAGATGACGTCAACAACCCCCAATCCCAGGGCCTGGCCAGCTCTGCTCCCCAACACCCCCACCATCCAGTTCTAGGTGGGCTCCTCCAGGGAGCTGGGCCTTTTCACTGTGGGCCAGCCAAGAACATGGGCCTGAGGAGGGTGCCCAGCCATGAATCACAGCACACGCATGTCTGCACACACATCACTGGCCCTGCTGTTGCGGGATCCTCCCACTGAACCTCTCCCCACTGCAACCCCTCTACACCTCCTGCCATCTGCCTCCCCTCCACCATGGGAGGACAAGGGTCTGGGGTTAGGACTCCTGGGTTCTTTTCCTGGTTCAGATACTCCCTCTGTATGACCTTGGCCAAGTCCCTTCCACTGTCTGGGCCTCAAAAATAGAGAATTCTTCCAGGCGTGGGGGCACATGCCTGTAGTCCTAGCTATTTGGGAGGCAGAGGCAGGAGGGTCGCTTGAGTCTAGGAGTTCAAGGCAAGCCTGGGCAACATAGTGAGACTCTCTCTTTAAAAAAAAAAAAAAAAAAAAAGTGAGGGGGATTGGGATTCGTTTCAGTTTTCTCTATGCTTCTACTAGCAGAAAAGAAAGATTACCATTGGGTAATTCCTGGGGTTTTCTTCCACCAATATCTAATGAGTCCTAGGCACCATGCCAGGCATTAAGGATTCTAGCAAGGCAAGTTCCTGCCCTGAGAGTTACAACACAAAGTGATCAGGGCTAGGATGGAGGAAGCACAGGCAATGACAGTAGGGGTTGGGGGTGCCAGCAGTGGCCCTGGGGTACCTACCCAAAGGAGAAACGTTATCTAGCTTGCAGGTATAGTCTGAGAAAGCTTTCTAGTTTCTGAGACCTAAAGGATGAGGAAGAATTAGCCATATAAACAAGGATAAGGTGTGGGGCTGGACATGGAGAATGTTCTAAGCAGAAGGAACAGGACTGAGAAGAAGCCTGGAGGCTTTGGTGTCGAGAGCAGAGGCTGGAGGGTTGACAGAGGCTGGCTTGAGAGCTTGGACTTTATTCTGAGGGCATTGAAGAACTACAGAAAGATTTTAGGTAGGAGGGTGATAGGGCTGCCGTTTGGAGGGAGGATTGGGGCCCAGAGAGGAGAGAGAGAGAGACCTTCAGGGAGGCTACCAACCATCTGTCTTACCTCCCCCAAGTGTGGGAACAGTCCCTCCTGTCTGTCTGTGTTAGAAGGGGAGGCTAGGCTTTGCTTCCTCTCCTTTCCCTCTACACCCCCACACTTCCCTCTCCTAAAGCTTACACACACACACACTCTCATACACATGTGCGTGCATACACACATGACCTGCTGCAGATCCTCTGGAGGGGAAAGGGCAGAGGTGGCTTTGGGGAGGCGACACAGAGCCATCTGCCCCAAGGGAGCTAGAAGAGAAGGGGTCTGGAGGTTTGATACCCAACTGAAGCTCCACTAGGGAGAGCACACTCCCTGCCACTTGGTGCAGTGACACCTTTCCCTTCTCCCCTCTACCCTAACAGGTTAATCCCATCCTGAGCCACGGAAACTGGAGCTGGGAGTTTCACCACCTTATCACCACCAGAGAGCCTCCAAGATCCTCCTTCCCCTCCTTCTCTCTCCTACTTCTCCCACCTCCTCCTTTTTCTCCTAGGTGCGCTCTAACTCCCTGCCTCCCTTCTACCAGGGCTCATCAGAGCCTGAAACATGCTGTGTGTGCATCTGTGTATGGATGTATGCGTTAGGGGGCATGGTATGTGTGCAAGAAGCACAAGGAGGTGCCCACCAGCCACCATCGGGAGATGCGCCAGAGGGCTGTGCAAGGCTGAAAGGGATTTCAGGAGGATTCAGAGATTAGAGAATTAAACATCCTGCTACAGCCTCCCTTGAGCCTGGAATCCTTGTGGCTCCAGCTGCATAGAGAGCTCAGCTGGGCCAAGCCAGAGTTGCAGGGGATTCCTGGGCTCCTTCTCTTTACCCTGCCTCCTGCTCCCCAAGGCTCCCTCAAGCCCCTTCCCAGACAGGGACCTGGGCCACAAGACGCCTCCACCCCAGGGTCCAGATGTGCAAACCTCCCCTCAACCCATGTGCCTCTTCCAGGCACCCTCCAGGGGTGGAGTGCGCAAGCCAGACTCTTCAGCCAGCAATCATCAGAATTCCAGCCCTGGCCACAATCACTCCTGGAAGGCACATGTCCATTTTTCTCCATCTCTGCAGCCCAGGCCCATTGACCTCCTCACTCCCCACCCTCACCCCTCTCCCTTCCAGTCCCTGCACTGAAACCAGGCAGATGTTTCTATAAGAACACCCATGTCACTGCTCTCCTCAGTGTCCTACAGTGGCTCCACACTGCCCTCAGGATAAAAGCCAAACTCCTCCACTCTGGCCTCAGCTCCCATTGCACAAGGTCCTGGGGTCCCTGCTTGCTCTCCCCTCCAGGCCTGGGCGCTGATGGTCTCTACTCTCAGAGTCTCCGTCACTCATTATCTCCAGGCAAATCTCTCTCTGTTCCTCAGGTCTCAATTCAGAAGTCAGCTCCTGTTGGAAGCCTCTGACTACCACTGAGGCACACCCTTTATGGGTGTGGGTTGTCATGGCCCCCAGGACTTAGCCTGCCATAGCACTGACCACACTGTACTGTAAATAAATGCCTGCTGAACATATTCAGCCTCGACACCACTATATCAATAAAAACTCAATCATGTATTCCAAGTGTATGAAGAAAGGAATGAGGCAGGAGAGAGGCGGGGTGGCAGTACCGTGCTGCAGACTTCAAGTGCCAAAGACACTACTGCATTTATAATAGTTGCAGCTATTATTGATTGTGTGCCAAGTCCACACCAGCCACTCTGCTAAGCATGATCTCATTTCATTCCCCCAGCAACCTTGAGAGAGAGGCATGATTGCTATCATTCCCATTTTATAGATAAGGAAACTGAGGCTCGGAAGGATTAATTTACCCAAGGTTATACAGCCAGAAGGAGGTCCAGGCTAGATCTTCCTAAAGGCTGGGGTAGGGGCTTTAAGGTGGGTAAAATGCAGCCCACTGAAAAGGCCATGTATCACCTCTAGATTCTCAGCAGGCCTGGAGAAGAAATCACTAGAGTACCCCATCTTCCCCTCACACCAGGAGAAGTTCTGCTTCTCTGGCTACCTGGTATGAGGTTCCTGAGGACCTAGGGGGAAAGTGTATGACCCCACCCTGGAAGCTTCCAGGAGGAGTAAGAGAAGCAAGTCCCTCGTGACGTCCTTGTTCCCACTAGTGTCTCTTTCCGAAGCAGGATTCTGACAAGTCCGGAGTACGTCCCCTCATCATCAGGGCAGGAGGTAACGTGCTGAATTTAATAGCAAAGCAAATTTTGCTGGAGAAGAAATGAGATTTCTTTGTCAAGGTGAGTGTGTCTGGGAGAGCCAGGAACAGGGTGGAGTTGGGGGATGGGGGCACTTTGGAGGGGCTGCAAAAGGGGAGTGTGGATCTGGAATTATTAGAATGTTGATTATGTCCTCTTGATTGTTAATGAAATTCTTCACCTTGGGTTTCTGGACCAGGGGGAAAGCTCCCAGAGCTCATTTTGCAGCTGATGAGAGCAAGAGAGAGGGCAGGAGGGGGCAGAAGACTCTCGGCTTAGGGAGAAATTAAATTCCTCCTAAACAAATGGAACTGGACAAGTCTGACCACCACCATGTGAAGGCAGAGCCCTAGGCTGACCTGAAGTCCCCTGTGGAAATGGGATGGAGACCCCTGGCTGGGTAGGGAGTGGCCAAGAGGCTTGACTCAGGCAGCAGAGTGCAGCTCCAATAATAATAGCTGACATTACTGAGTACCTTCCATGTAGCCAGAGCAAATGAATGTGCATGTATTATCTCATTTAATCCTCCCAACAACTCTTGCAGGTAGGTAGTATGATCGTTCCCATTCTGCAGATGACAACACTGAGGCACAGAGAGGACTGAAGCTTGTCCAAGCTCCCACAGCTGGAAAGTGGAGGTGCCAGTCTTTCAGCCCAGGCAGCCTGCACCAGCACCTATCCTTTGAGATTTGAAAGACGCTCCAGCTCTCCTACTTTCTTTTCTTTCTTTTTTTTTTAAGACAGTATTTCTCTTGCTCTGTTACCCGGGCTGGAATGCAGTGATGTGATTGTGGCTCACTGCAGCCTCAAACTCCTGGGCTCAAGCAATCTTCCCACTCATCTTCCAGAGTAGCAGGGACTACAGGTGTGTGCTACCATACCTGGCTAATTTTTTTATTTTTAATAAGTCAGGGTCTTGCCATGTTGCCCAGGCTGACCTCAAACTCCTGGCCTCAAGCGATCCTCCCACCTCAGCCTCCCAAAGTGCTGGGATTACAGGCATGAGGCACTAGGCCCGGGCTCTCCCACTTTCTTCACTACCTCCCTGAGCCTCAACTGCGTCATCTGTAACATGGGGCCAGTAATCGTTGTCAACATGAAGAGCTGTTGTTAGGAGCCAATGAAATAAAAATAAATTTAAAACAACTTAGTACAGAAATAGCATTCCCTTTGAAGCCTTGCTCTCTGCCTTCCAAAATGGGAAGTGTCCCTTCTTATCCGGCTGGTTGAGGACCTATGACACAGAGGTGCTGTTCTAGGCACTGGGAATAGAACAGTGAACAAAATGAACAAAAATCCCTGCCCTTGTGGAACTTACAATTAGTGGGAGACAGACCATAAACAAGACAAATAAGTACATTATAACCTATATTAGAGAAGGTAAATACAATAGAACAAAACGAGGCAACAGAGGAGGGGTTGGAGCACTGATTGGGAAGGGCTGCAGTTCAAACAGGGCAGTCTGAGTTGGTCTCACCAAGAAAGTGACTTGAAGGAAGCAAAAGAGTGAGCAAATATTCAGGATAACAGCACTGCTCAGGAAGAGGAAACAGCAGTGCAAAGGCTCTGAGGTGGGACTGCACTGTTCGTGTTACAGGAACAGTAAGGAGGCCAGAGTAGCTGTGTTAGCAAAGGTAGCATAGTAGGAATTGGAGTCACAAATTCCAGAGGAAGTGCAGCTAGTGTAGGGTCTTGATGGTCTTTGTAAGGACTTTTAGCTTTTATCTGAATGAGACAAGAATCTATCAGAGGGTTTTAGGCATGATCTGATTGATGTTTTAAAGGTATAGCTGGGACAGCGGTATTGAGACTAGACTATAGGGGGCCAAGGGCAGAAGCAGAGAGGAGAGTTAGGAAGCTATTGCAAAAACCCAGGTGAGAGTAGGTGGCAGCTTAGTTCAGGGAGGTAGTGACACAGATGATGCTGAAGTCTGATTCTGGATGTATTGCGAAAGGGAAAGCCCCCAGGATGAGCTGATCATCAAAAGTGAGGAATGGGAGAAAGAAGCAATCACCGCGGATGATTCTGAGGATTTTACCCCTTCCACCTCTCAATTCCTGAAGACCCATCCCTTCCTTTTAAAATCCAACTCTGGCCGGGCATGCTGGCTCACGCCTGTAATCCCAGCACTTTGGAAGGCCAAGACGGGCAGATCACGAGGTCAAGAGATCGAGACCATCCTGGCCAATGTGGTGAAACCCCATCTTTACCAAAAATACAAAAATTAGCCGGGCGCGGTGGTGCACACCTGTAGTCCCAGCTACTCAGGAGGCTGGGGCAGGAGAATCACTAGAAGCTGGGAGGCAGAGGTTGCAGTAGCCGAGGTTGAGCCATTGCATTCCAGCCTGGCGACAGAGCAAGGCTCCGTCTCAAAAAAAAAAAAAAAAAAAATTCCAGCCCCCTCTCTCGGGGCTCTATTGGAGATCCACTGCTTTCATCCCTCTCTCTTTCCATTGTCCAGGCATTTGCCTTACAGAGCCCAGGGCAGAGGACCCTGGTCAAACAACTTGACCCAGGGTATAAATCTGCCTCATGGCCTTCTGGGGCTCCCCCAGTCCTTACCCTGGCTCAGAAGGTCCCATCACAGTCTGCCGTCCACCTCAGCAGCCCCTCAAGGTCCCTTGCTCCTCCTGACTGCAGTACCCCTTTTCTCGCTCCCTGGAACTGCCTCTGCTCTTCTATCTCACACAGCTGCCCACCATGCTGCCCTCAGGTCTCAGTGGGAGCATCACCACCCCTGGGAAACCTTCCCTGACCTGCTATTCTGGAGGAAGCCCCTGATTCCAGGCTCTCAAGCCCTGAGCCTCTACCACAGGGTTGCGTGTCTCTTTCCTTGTGTGATTATTTGATGAAAGCCTGTCTCCCCACGTGACTATAACCTCCATAAAGGCAGGGCCCACCTGTATCGCTAGAAGCAGACAATTCACCAAAAGAGACATTCAGTGGATCTGACTTGGATCCTTAGGCTTTTGGTAAATTAACTTTCATTGACCTAAAGCCTCCAGCTGCTAGGTAAATGTCTGGCACATAGCAGGTACTTCACATATATTTATTGAAGGAATGAATCAGAGTTCTCTAAGATCTTGGGCATGTGACAAACTTCCTGAGCCTCAGTTTCCCCATATGTAAGGATGGGAATAAGAATACCTATCTCATGAGTCATTGTGAGAATTAAAAAACCTACGGCATGAGCAATGCCTCACACTAGTAGATGCTCAATAATTGTTCCAATGCATGTTCAGACAATTACCACCTTACAACTCCCCTGTGCTTCCCCTCCCCTCCCCCACTCCCTCTCATCCCTCCTTCCATTCTCCAGCCTCCTCCCCTCCCCACCCTTCCCCTCCTAAGGACTCCCAGATGTGGAATCACCAAAGCCTCTGAACGTTCCCCTTCTCCCCCAAGATCCCCCAATGCGCCACTGGTTACATATTGATCCTGTTTAACTTTCCCAATGGATGATAAACATGAAATTAAAATGACTTCCTGGAATATTAATGTAGTAAATGGCCCTATTAAAAGAAAGAAAATACAGCTGAGAAAATTCGCTTTGATGTAGCGTTTCTGCAGGAGGCTCATTTATCTGCAGCTCAGACTCTCAAAATGAGATTCTGAAGGTTTCTCTGATGTCTCTTATTTTTCCCTCACCCAGAATTTAAACAGAAAATAGAATCACAAGCTAGTGTCATAAAACGTGGGCCTTTTCCCTTCTCCACCAAAAAGCAAATGAAAACAGGGCCAGGTTGATGTCAGTCTCTGCAAACATGGGGCTGAGGACTCACCTGCTCCTCCCAATCTCCTCTGTATCTTGCTCACTGGGGCCTGGTCCAGGCTGCCAGGCCGGCTGCCTAGATTCAGCAGGGGTTCCCAGAAGCCTGTGCTGCTACTGCTGCTGCTGAAGTTAGGAAAGTTGCCTCAGAGCTGGGTGCAGTGGCTCACGTCTGTAATCCCAACACTTTGGGAGCCTGAGGCAGGTGGATTATCTGAGGTCAGGAGTTCGAGACCAGCCTGACCAACATGGTGAAACCCTGTCTCTACTAAAAATACAAAAAAAAAAAAAGCTGGGCCTGGTGGCAGGTGCCTGTAATCCCAGCTACTCAGGAGGCTGAGGCAGGAGAATCGCTTGAACCTGGGAGGTAGAGGTTGTAGTGAGCCGAGATTGTGCCACCGCACTCCAGCCTGGGTGACAGAGCATGACTCCGTCTCAAATAAATAAATACAAATTTTAAAATAAAATGTAAAAAAGGAAAGGTGACTCAGGACCCCAGGAGGCTGTGCCCCAATGTGGGTAAATACTGTAGGTTTGGTGGACTTGAAATCTCGGTTCTCTCACTTGTTAGCTATATGTTCCTAAAGTACTGCACCTCTCTGGGCCTTGGTTTTCTCATCTGTAAAATGAGGATATGAGTGCCTCGCTCACAAAGCAGTTAAGAAAAGTAAATGAGATCATATAGCTTGCATGTGTCAGGTGCTCAGTATTGTAATCATTTGTTACCATTATTACAAATGATAACTCATGTTGTTACTATAATCATTGAGGCCTAAGCAGAGAAAAGAAGTTTTTCTGACCCCTAGGCTGGGTCATGTGCTGCCTCTGGGTGACCATAGCCCTGAGCTTCTCCCATCCCAGGCTGGTGACTTCCCTGCCTCTTCCAGCAGCCTGCTTATTCCATGAAGGCCGGCCTGGGTCTTGCTCATAATCATGTCCCAGCAACACATGGCAGAATTTAAATGTCTTGGAGTCAGAGCCAAGGTGCTCTGGGTGATATCCTATCCCCACCTGGCATGGTTGTGACCTAGGGTCCTTCCATGCAGCCATAAGAGCTCCAAATGCCCAGCTTGGCAACAGCTATCCATCCACCTTCCGCAGACCTCAGGTCCCTTGTCTGCACCTTCCCTAGGTCTCACCTTGATTCTGTTATGCCCATTCCTTCCTCCCTAGGCTCAGAGAGGTGGCAGACAGAGCATTCAGATAAGGTCCTCTGGGATTAACTCTTCCTTTCTTTCCCCCTTCTCTCATCTGACTTCCAGCTTCCCCCTCTCCACAGCAACTTCTGCTGACATCCTCAGTCTCCCTCACCTGGGTTTGGCCCTGTGGGCAGGTAGAGGGGTACTGCATGCCTATTGCCTGGGCTGACTCTCCTGGGTGCTGCTGGATAAGCCTAAGGTGGGCCCACAACTTCCCTAGCCACATTCCTGTTACCTGCAATTCAGGCTCTTTTTGCCCTTCCCCACTGCCAGAAGGGGCTCAGGACCTTTTCTGCTCCTCCTGGGCAGCCAGGACCCTGCCATAGTGCTTCTGAACCATTCGCAGTCCAGCCCCAGCCTCGTGCGTATGCACACAGAGTCGCCCTCAGATCCGCAGTCACAGGATCTCTGTTCTCCACAGCCAAAGGCAAGAAAGAAGAGGACCCCCTGTGGACAAGGGGCAGGGGCAGGGGCAGAAGGCTTTGGAAGATCAGCTTGCCTCCTGGGGGCACTGTCCCCTAGAGACCCCTCCCCAGCCAGCCCATGGCCCCCTAGCAGGAAAATAAGAAGTTGGAGCAGAGGGGTTAATTTGGGGAAAAGCAGCAGCTGCTTGAAACAGAGAGGGTAGGCCCAAGGCAAGAGCTGCTCCTGCTGAGGTAATGATTGTGAGGGATGCTAGAGCTGGGGCCACCCACAAGCCCCCCAAACGCACTCACCCCCAGGCAAGTTATCTGCTTGGACACCCCCCCACACACACACATAAAGAAGCATCATAATCATCTGGGCATAAGACGCAGTCCCTTCCACACAATTACACAAGCGCTGCAGTCCCTCCCTGTGTTTGAGGATAAAACTTTTTTTTTTTTTTTTTGAGACAGAGTCTCACTCTTGTGGCTCAGGCTGGAGTGCAGTGGCGCAATCTCAGCTCACTGCAACTTCTGCCTCCCGGGTTCAAGCGATTCTCCTGCCTCAGCCTCCTGAGTAGCTGGGATTACAGGTGCCTGCCACCATGCCCGGCTAATTTTTGTACTCAGTAGAGACGGGGTTTCGCCATGTTGGCCAGGCTGGTCTCAAACTCCTGACCTCAGATGATCCACCCGCCTCAGCCTCTCAAAGAGCTGGGATTACAGGCGTGAGCCACTGCACCCGGCCTGAGGATAAAACTCTTTGGAGATTTCAGAGATGAGAGCTGCAGGAAGCCCTGGAACTCAGAAGCCCGAAAACACACACACATATAGCTACACCTTTTTCCAGTCTCTGTATCAGGATATCAGTCTCTGTTCAGCACGCCAAGGTGACCCCCATCACTGTACAAGGGCAGAGGACCCCTCCCTGTGAAAGTGAGAGTTGGGAGCTGGCTGCCTTTAGACCTGCTGGCGTCTCCTTATTCCTGGAAAATACACGTTATATAACATCACACACAATAAAACACAACCAGGTCCCACATTACCTATGACTTGTATATAGCCCTGTGAGCAGCTCTGCAGTTGGCATAATGTTAGGTTTTTGTAGGCATTTAATTAAGCATTTGTGGCTTGTATTTCTTCATGTGAGTTCTGGTTGTATTTGAGGTCATTGAAAATTGTCAGCAGAACCCTCAAAAGCCTTTAGGGCTTGGGTCTTGGGTTTATGATGAGTGATGGATAACAGGACCCTAGTGAAAGGGGTGGTTGGGGGAATGTTGCCACTGGGAGCCCAAGTCCGCTTTGGTGACAGCAAGCATGGATAAGCCGGGGACTCACGGGCAGGACACACTCTGAGGTCCTAACTCGATTGCCACCAGTTACCATCTCTCTTGGAGCCAGAGAGAAATCAAAGTGAGCTGCGGGCCCAGCAGCCCCTACACTAAGACGCAGACTTTACCTGTACGATACTGACCCAAAGACCACACCTGAACACTGTGTGCAGGCACCAACACAAAAATACACACAGGCCCCAGCACACACACTCTGATATGCACATCCTCAATGCCTGGACACATACCCCAACTAATAGCCATTACCCCAACACCTAGGCACACACTTGGACACACTCCCCAGCAGACCAGCTCACCCCACATCCCCCAACACAGATATCCACACACAGTGGCACAGAGGTACCCCTTGGGCAAAGCTACAGATGGCCACCCATTCCGTCACTTGTGTCCGCACATCAAGACATACCAGGCATATAATTACAGATACCCACATTTGAACACCCTCCCTCCTGCTTCTTCTCACACCCACCCACACATGCTCCCTGCCCTGTCATGGGGAGACAGAGCATCTCAGCCCCAAAGAGCCCAAGGGTCCTGATTAACAGGAAATTCTACGAATGCCAATTAGAGCAAAGTTTACTGAACAAATTGTTTGCAGTTGTGCCCCAGAACCATCATGAATTTTAATCTTGCATTGATTTGCACTTATGTGAGGTTTGCAGATGGCAGGGCCTTTGGTGCCTCCTGCCCCTCCCACCCATCTGGGAGGAGTCATCACCCAGCCTCAGATGCAGGAGCTCTGGGGGCAGCCTTCAGCCTCTACTAGTCCAGAGGCCAGCACCACCAGCCCAATTGGGAGACTCAAGATGCCCAGAAGATGGGCAAGAGTTTTGGAAACATACATGTTATGGATGAAGAAGACCCTATGTTTTCTTTCTTTCTTTGACATGGAGTCTCATTCTGTGGCCCAGGCTGGAGTGCAGTGGCGTGATCTCGGCTCACTGCAACCTCTGCAACCTCTACCTCCTGGCTCAAGAAATTCTCCTGCATCAGCCTCCCGAGTAGCTGGGACTACAGGTGCGCATCACCATGCTCGGCTAATTTTTGTATTTTTAGCAGAGATGGGGGTTTCACTATGTTGGCCAGGCTGATCTCAAACTCCTGACCTCAAGTGATCCCCCTGCCTCAGCCTCCCAAAGTGCTGGGATTACAGGTGTGAGTCATCGTGCCTGGCCAGACCCGAAATTTTCAAGAACACCAGTAATCTGGGGAAAGGGCTGGAGGCCTGGAGCCTCTTGCTTTGGAAACAAAAGCAAGATCACAATGTGGCAGAGATACGTAGAGTCGGGCACAGATGTTGTAATAGTTCTACTACTGCCTCAACCAACATAACTGCCAGTATGTTTATAATTGCAGTCCAAAGGACCTCTTCCAAAATTGATTTGTCTTCCTCTCCCTTCCACCAAACCCTTTTCTCAAACACTTCCGTAGTCTCCTGTTACTTAAAAAAAAATCCAGCCGGGCACGGTGGCTCACACCTGTAATCCTAGCACTTTGGGAGGTCGAGGCGGGCAGATCACCCAAGGTCAGAAGTTCGAGACCAGCCTGGCCAACATGGCGAAACCCCATCTTTACTAAAAATACAAAAATGAGCTGGGCGTGGTGGTGCGTGCATGTAATCCCAGGTACTCGGGAGGCTGAGGTAGGAGAATCGCTTGAGCCTGGGAGGCAGAGGTTGCAGTGAGCCAAGATCACACCACTGCACTCCAGCCTGGGCCACAGAATGAGGCTCCATCTCAAAAATAAATAAATAAAAATTAAAAATCCTTGCCTGATCTTCACCCCACCCCCAATCATCTCACCCATACCTCCTCCTCTCACTCCTGCCCCTCTTATCCATCCACTGTCAGCCCCTGGTAGGAGCCGTGCTTCCTTCAAGCCTCAGGGCTCTTGCACATTCTATTCCTGTCTGGAAGAGTTTACCTAGTTAACCTGTACTCATCCTTCAGGCCTCAGTTCGAGTGTCACGTCCTCAGGGAAGCTTTTTTTGACCCCCTACCTAGATCAACACTCCCTGCCATGAAATGCTCTCATGGCCCTCTTATCATTAGAGAATCAAATCCATGAGGGCAGGAACTGTATCTGGCTTTGTTCACCACTGTATCCACAGGACTTAGCATAGGGCCTGGCATATAGTAGGTGCTCTGTATTAATTAGCTTTTGCCACAGTAATGCTGTATAACAAACCACCCAGAAAGTCAGGGTCATACAGCAGTCAATAAGTATTTTTTCCTGCAGGTTGACTGGATTTTGGTTGATCTAAACTGGGTTCAGCTGGGCTTGGTTCCAACCTGTGAACTGGGTGCAGGTCTGCGCCCCCATCTCTCATCCTTATTGAACTAGCAGCTACCTGAGGCATGTTCTATAAAAGACAGGAATGCAAAAGAGCATGCCCGACTATGCCAGCTCCCCCTTGGCCAAAGAAGGTGCTGATGCCCTGGCAAGGGCATGGAAGTGGTGGAAGCAGTGAAGAATTAGGACCAGTTGAATCTATCACAGGCCCAATAAATATCTGTGGTGTGGAATTGAATACTTGCTCTGTGCTAGGCATTGTACTAAGCACTTTACATGCACTAATTCATTTAATCCTCAAGTCAACCCTCTAAGTATTATTAACCCAATTTTTAAAAAGTAGTTTAATTGAAAAAATAAAATCTTCACAAAGTAAACAACTCAAATAGTACCAGCCGTACTCAATGAAGAGTAACTCTTCTTCCTACTCCAACCACAGCCCTACTCCACAAAGAAGCAGTGTTTCCGTTATTTTGTGGACTTTCTGATATAGTCTATGATATGCAAGCCCCGCCCCCGCCCCGCCACATAGAGATATCCCTTTTTAATCATTTGGTTTGCTTCATACTATATTAAAACGGTTCTGCATCTTGGTTTCATTTTGTTTTCAAAGAATAATATATATTGGAGCTCCTTCCTTATCAATCAAATTGATCTACATTATTTTTCACTTATTTCCATTTTACAGATGAGGAAACTGAGGCTTAGAGAAGTTAAGAGACCTATACCAGGTATTGCAGCTCAAAAGAGTCAGGGCTGGGATTGAAGTTTACATCTTCCTGACTTCAGAGCCTGTGTTCATAGTCACTCTGCTTTACTGACATGGCTGGGGGACCCACAGGGTCCCCAGCATGGGCAGAGTAGACCTAGACAAAAACGTCTGAGCTCCAGCTGGGCGTCCTCTCTGGGATGAGGGATAGCAGTGGGAACTCTCATGGTGCTGGGTCCACCCAGGGTCTGCTGGAACCACCACCAGCGCTGGGAAGTGCCTTGGCCCCGGCCTTTGCCCTCAGACCACCCACCCTTCTTGGTGCCCCAGCACTAACTGTAGTGATATGAATGAATAAATGATAATGAATCAATGATATCAGGTCCACAGTATCTTAGAGGGCTGGATGTTTTGGAATTTCTTAAAAGACATATTAATAATATCTCCCCCAATGCGACAAGCCTCATCTTCCCCTCTACTCCCTTGTGGAAGAGGAAAATGTCTTAGGCAGGAAACCTGCCCTCATCCCTAGCTGTCTTTAACTTAGTTTATGCCTTTGGGCAAGCCACTTGCCCCTATTTGTGAAGGGGAATCATAATTCAGAGAAAAGAGGAGAGGGCCTACTGAAACTGCAACCGTGTGGCAGAGTGTCTGGTGTAGATGCTGACTTGGAGGCATGGTCAGGGTGCTCTGATCCTTGTGCCTGGGCTGGGACTCACCGGGAATCCACAGGAACAAGCCAGAATTCAGCCTCCTTCCGTGGAGCTGGCAGCTGTGCGATGGGGGACAGTGCAGTATGGTGGCTCATAGCCTGCCTCCGCCTCTTACTAACTCTGGGGCCTGGGGCTCTGCTAATAATAGTTACAATCTATTGTACTCTTAATATGTTCCAGATGTAGGCAGCCCTGCCTTGTTTAATTCTCCTGACAATTCTATGGAATAGAAATTATCTCCAATTTACACAAAGAAACCGAGTCTTAAAGAGGCTTAAGTGACTTTCTCAAGGCCAAGGGGAAGGGAAGCAAAATACTTTGAGTCTCAGTTTCCCCATCCATAAAGTAGGTACGATAATGCCCATCTCTCACAGTTGTGGTGGGGATTCACTGAACTAATGTAAGCAAATTAAACTGGCATAGCCACAGACACATAGTAGGTGCTCAGTCAAAGGAATTCCCTTCCCCCTCTTCTTGGAGATGGAGATTGTGTTGGGACAGTACATTGGAATCATCTGGGGAGCTTCAGAAAGGACTGATGCGGGGTCCTAGCCTCAGAGACCCTGATTTAAGTGGTCTGGGTGCAGCCTAGGCATCAGCATTCTTAAAACTCACTGAGTGAGTCTAATGCTTAACCAACATTGAGAATCACTGTATTCTAGACCCTGACTGAGTGGAGGGTAGACATTATGTGAGGCTCGCCACTCTGTAAGCTCCTGAAATAGCCTGCTCACTGGTCTTGTGACTTCTACTCCTATCCCCCTCCCCATTCCATTCTTCATTCAAAAACCAGGGGGATCATGAAAAACTCAAATCATTCCCCTTCAGTAACTTCCCATTGTACTTAAGAGTAAAAAAAAAAAAAAAAAAAAAAAAAAAGTTTTACCTTTTTCCAAGGCCCTACATGGCCCACACCCTGCTGACCCTGCCCATTGGTCTCTGTATCACTGTCCCCTCTGCCCTCCCTCTTCAGTCTGTGGCTGGACAGTTCCCATCCGACCTTTATTTTTTATTTATTTATTTATTTTTGAGATGGAGTCTGGCTCTGTCACCCAGGCTGGAGTGTAGTGGCTCAATCTTGGCTCACTGCAACCTCCGCCTCCCAGGTTCAAGCAATTCTGACTCAGTCTCCTGAGTGGCTGGGATTACAGGTGCACACCACGCCTGGCTAATTTTTGTATTTTTAGTAGAGACGAGGTTTCCCCATGTGAGCCAGGCTGGTCTCAAACTCCTGACCTCAGGTGATCCACCTGCTTCAGCCTCCCAAAGTGCTGGAATTACAGTCGTGAGCCACTGGGGGGGCCCCCATCTGGCCTTTAGATCTTATCTTAACTAGCACTTCCACAGGGAGGTTTTCTCTGGCCAGCCCTCTAGGGTTGGTCCCCTCAGTTTTGCTCTCCCACATACTGTTAAATACATGATGAAATGAACAAAGCACATTTAATGTTTTTTCATATTATTATTATTATTATTATTATTATTATTATTGAGATGGAGTTTTGCTCTGTCGCCTAGGCTGGAGTGCAATGGCACGATCTCAGCTCACTGCAACCTCTGCCTCCCAGGTTCAAGTGATTCTCCTGCCTCAGCCTCCCAAGTAGCTGGGACTACAGGCGGGCACCACCATGCTTAGCTAATTTTTTTTTTATTTTTAGTAGAGACGGGGTTTTGCCATGTTGGCCAGGCTGGTCTCAAACTCAAACTCCTGATCTCAGGTGATCCACCTGCCTCAGCCTCCCAAAGTGCTGGGATTCCAAACATGAGCCACCACACCTGGCCTTAAAGTTACTTCATTTGTACATTTGCCTATTCAATGTCTCTCTCCCTTACTAGACTCTAAGCTCTATGAGGCAGGGTTCATGTCTGTTTTTGCTCATCGTTGTACTCCAGTGGCTAGCATAGGGTCTGACACAGAGTCAGTGCTTAATAAATATTTGTTGAATGAATGCCTAAGTGATAATGAATGAATGATACTAGCTCCATAGCATCTTGAAGAACTGAACGTTTTGGAATTTCTTAATTATTTTTTAGAAATATGTATTAATAATAGTTCTCATCTAGTGAGTATTTACTGCGTCTCATTTCCATAGAATGAGAGAACTACAAGGGCCTCCTTGTCTTGCATTCTCTCTCCACCCTCCACAGCTTCTCTGTCTTCTCTCCAGCTCACTGTTCTTCCTCTGCAATCTGCCTTTCAGACTCCAGTCTATAGAACTACCTTCACCTCCTAATGTCCTCCCTTGGGCCCCTCAGCAAGGCCCCTGACACCAGCCAAAGCAGAGGGGGAACCACAGGCCTTTTCTAGAGGCTGGGCTCATGATGCAACTCTAGCACCAGGCATGGCTGCAGGGGAAGATAGGGCAGTGGAAAAGGCAGTGAAGAGAATTAGGATAACAGCCATGATCTGGTGGTCCTGGTGCAGGGAGAGGATAAAGAATAGATGCCTCAGAGGCCATCATGCCAGGTCTTCAGCCCTGCCTCACCCTTCCCACCTGAATCCCCAGCCTGCTAATTTCCCCTGAATCTTACCAGGGCTGTCCCAGCCCTTCAGGGAGGACAGGTGTTTAGAAGAAACCCTACTGCCAGCATCTATATTCTCTTCTTCTCATCTTCAGCTTCATGGCTGGCTGTGCCAGGCACTGCACCAAGCACTTTATACACATCCTCTCAGTTCATCCTTACAGCATCCTCAGGTCATCATGATCATTATTCTTGAACAGACAAGGAAACTGAGGGTCCAAGTGGTTGTGTTATTTGCTCAAGGTCACCATGTTTGTCTGATCTCAGATACCAGCTCTTAACCATAATGCCATACTTGGTTCCCAAAAGGCTACTGCCTGGAACCATCAAAATCCCTAATCCCAAAAGGACAGCTTCAAATAAGGCGGTGTCTTGCACACCTTCTTCTCAAGAAAATAATGGCAATGCAGTTGAGCCCTTCTGTCACTTTGATAGTAGCTTTCCCTTCACGCTTAGTAAAGGTGCTGCAATTACTATGGGCACCTCTGGTAAGAGGAAATTTTAAGGAAGACAGAATCATAGGATGTCAGGCTAGCAGAGACCTAATGCCATACCTCTCAGCTCACAGGTGAAAAAAAAAAGGAGGTCCACAGAGGCTTCCCACACCCACCTCAGAGCAACCACCTAAATTTGCAATTTGAGTTCTGTTGATATTTCTGCCCATGTTCTCATGCCTGAGCTGGGTCCTTTGCAACCAGCCTAGTTGCTGCTTTGGTAGATTTCCATTTTGAATTTCAGCTATCCTACCCGCAAGCCCCTGGGAGCCTCCTGCTTCCTCTCATTTCTTGTGTCTTTAAAGAAAACTCTCCTTGCCTGAGCTCCCTCCCATTGGATTTTGTCCTTTGGAGCTGGGTCTGTCTCCCTCCCTTCCTCTCTTCCTTCCTCCCTTCTTCTCTCTCTCTCTCCTCCCAGCAAGGCATCTCCCTCTTCCTTATTCAGCAGGAGCCACAGGAGGCCTCAAGCCCCAAGTGTCCGCAGCCCAAACATGGCCACATGCCCACCCTCCCTGGTCGGGGCAAGGAGTGTGGACGCCCTTTGGCTGCACTGCAGTGCCTCTAACTGCAGCTTCTCCCTCTCTCTCAGGGTTGCTGAAAGATTATTAGATAATTTTCAAATTTGTAAAGCGCCTTAAGCTCCTTGGAGGAAAGGTGGTATATGAGTGTAATAACAATAACAATCCTATCTGTCAGAGCCATTGAGAAAATGAATCTTGTTATTCTCAGGAAACAGCCGGAGGAACTTCAGCAAGAAACATGAAAATAAAGCACAGAGCACGGCCTCCTGACCAGTCAGCAGAGGGGAAAGTCCCCACCAAGTGTGGAGGGAGCATTCGAGCCCTGCTCCCTGCCAGCCCAGTGCTGGTGCAAAGGGGCTCTCAGAAAGTCACCCAAATTGCCTCTGACACTTCACCAATTAAAATGACTTTAGGACAAGTTGAAATCAACTTAGGGAGTGAAGCATTCTGATTTCTGAGACTCTCCCAAGGCAGCGGGGAAGGCAAGTGTCTGAGCAGGTTGTCACTCACTCAGGAGTAATGATGGGAAAATCCATCCCGGTAACGTGATTGAGTTTGGTGAATTAGTAAGGATGTTTACACTGTGTGCTGCAAGTTGGAGTGGGGCTGGCAGGGGTTTTGACACATGTGGCAGCTTCACTCCTAATGAGGTTCTCGGACTCCACACTCAGCCCGGCTGGACTTCAAGTCGGGCTGGGTCTTACCCTTCAGGTGAGTGGCTAAGGGCAGGGGTGGGCTCTGCAGGCAGACAGGACTGGGTTTAAGTTCTGACTCTGGTCACCACCAGCCCTGTGACCTTGGGCAAAGCTCTGTGCTTCTCTAAGCCTCAGTTTCCCTGTGTACACAATCTGCATTATGATAGCACAATTCATAATGCTGGCTGTCGTAATGAGAAACATGAGATGAGCTATCTTTTTATTTTTTGTTCACCTCCACAGGCCAGCATGGCCACGGAGATAAAGGAAAGCCAGGTTTATCTCTTCTCCCCTGGAGTATCTGTTCCCTTAAGAGCCAAGAAGAGACAAGGAAGGTGGGAACCTGCAGAAAACATAACCACAGTTCTAGTCCTGACGATGCTTCTGCCTGGCTATGTGATCTCAAACAAGCCACTTAACCTCTCTGAGCCTTGTTTTCCTCATCTGTAAAATGGGATAAGCATGCAACTTCTCTGTGGGTATCTGAACAGAACTTCTAAAAGTTCTGAGCAGACATTTGTTGGTATGCAAGGCAATGAGTGGCCTCTGGGAGAAAGTTTAGAGAGGGAAAATGAGAACAGGTTGCTCTTTCTGGTGACCATGGCTCCCTGATGGGGGAAGAGGATTTAAGGACTGACAGGGAGATTGTAAAACCTGAGGGAAAGAGGCAAGAGTGGGAGAGGATCCTGGAATTTATCAACTAGGCTTGCTGGGAACTCACCAGAGGAAATTACAGAGGACTACAGCATGAAAGACTGAAGTCAGACTGGAAACAGACTTCCAGGCAATCAGGCAACAACAGGCCTAGTCCTTCCTGATATCTTTGGCTGTACCTGAGTAAAACCCCAGGAAGGGACGCACAGCCTGACTGTGCTGGAAGGAAGGCAGAAGGATGGACAGGGAGACCCTGAAGATGCTTCCGCAGGACCAGAGAAGGAGGCAGCGGAGGCACAGCAGTCCCTCCCCGAGGCTTTCTTTGAGATTCATCCTCTGGAGGCCTTGTCGGAACCTACGGTGACCCTGAAGCAGGGGCCATGTCCTCACAGACATGCCCAGGTCAGCACTGGGCCACAGCTCTATTATTTAAGTGTTTCATAAAAGAGCAAACCTCCGGGGCTGGAAGAATGACCGGGATCCTGACTCTTCCTGCACAGGAAATGAAGTAGCTGTGTCCAAGCCCTGGCTTGACCTGCAGAGGACTCACCAGCTCTGGCAGAAGTTTCCCAGCCTGAGAGGGCCCTGCTGTGGCTGAGATGATGACACCTGGGCCCAGACTGGGTCCCTCCCCTCCACACAGAGCCAGGACCCACCGGTCCCTACACCCACTGCTTGTGGACTCTGCAGTGATTTTACTGTAATTTCCTCGTTGTTGCAGTTAATAGCATTAGTTTGTTAATTACTGTATATTTTAAAAGTAAGACGAAAGGGAATTCCCACTGGAGACTTGTTCTTGGCTGAAACAATGTGATATGAGGGAAGGAAGAGTGTTCACGGGTAATGAGCTTGCCCTGCTGCTTTCTGTTCCCTTGACAGTGCCTGGGGCCAGAGATGGGGCTGCCAAGGTGGGAGGCAGGGGCCCCCCACAGAGCCCAAGCCCATCCCTGGAGGGAGTCCTCTGTAGCACCCCACTTAACCCCAAAACCTCTGCCCGGGTCTTCTATCCCCAGCCCTGCACTATTGTCAGAGGGAGGCTTCAAGCCTCTAAGGAGGAGGGGTCTGCCTGAGGAGCCCTGGCACCGAGGGAACCAGACCAGAGTGAAATAAGACACAAGGAAACCTGGCCTGTGACAAGGAGCATTGATTGAGTAGGATGGAATTTTTATTAGGAAACAGCTGGAATTTGGGGAGAGGCTGCTACATTTAAATTCATCCTGAGACTGCAGCCCTAGAGGGGAAATGGGAGTTGGGCAGGTGCGGCGGGGGGCGGGCAGGCACAGGTCTTGGCAGAGGCAGGAGCAGCAGCTTGTGGTTGTGCACAGAGATCTGGCTGAGGGGGACAAGCAGGGCCTGCCATTGAGCCCTGACGCTGCTGTCAGGGCTGTGGGCTGGGTCAGCTCAGAGGAAGGGTGCCTTTGGTAACTCATCCAACTGAAGGGGGTTGGTGTGTGCTCCTAAAGCCCTGCATGTTCAAGTTGCCCCCATTCTCCCCACCCAGAGCCATAAGGGAATGGAGGCTGGGGCTGAGCCCCAGGACTCAGGAGGAGTTGGGGGCAGAGGCCGGAGAAGAGCAGATAGGGAGAGAGAGGGAGGAAGGGAGAGAGACTTAAGACAGAGAAGGATGGAGGACTGAGAAAGAAGTTCATACAATCTACAGGAGCTGATTAAAATCCTGGAAGAAAATGTGATGGAAAGACTTTCTATCTTTCTATTGAGACATTTAACCTAAAAGAAATGAGTTAAATAATTTATACAGAGAACGAGTGAAATTTGCTTTGATCAAATTAAAAAATATGACTCTGGAAGTAAAGTGTCCGCCACGTCCTTTCCAGGCAGCAGAAAGAGCTGCCGAGAAACAAAATGACAAAGACATAAAAATAACTAACCCTAACCCGGCGAATATTAGCACCATATTTTTTGGGAGATTACACGGCATCACCGTAGGCCAAGCAGAGAAATCCTCTCTAAGCACCAACAGGAGAGGTTTTGCTCATTGAGGAAGCCCCATAAAAGCCAAAAAACGGATAAAATTTTCCTTTGCAAAAGTGATCCGACTTCACTCAGGGGTTGGCCCAGAAGCCACAGGGGATCAAGTTAAATTTCCCATTTGTGCATTTCAAAAAAAGAAGAAAGCCGCTCAGCTCCCCTCCCCAATTCTGTGTTTCTTGAAGATTATTCCTCTCCCATTTACACCGCCCCCACCCCCCCCCCACACACACACACACACGCACCTGCCCTTTCTAAAAAAAATCCGGCAACACCTCATTCCATAAAAGTAAGTGTTCCGTTTCATCTCCTCTTAGGAAACATCACGGACAAGCTCCAAAACTCACAAGCTATAAGCATAAATGCCAGTGACTTAACCTCTTGGAGCCTCAGTTTGCTACTCTTTAAAATGGGGCTAGCATCCACTGCACAGAGTCATGGTGAAGATTAAAACAGATGAATAGAACCTGGCAGATGGAATATTCAGTAAGTGTTATGAACACTGTCTTCCTCCTCGACCTAAAGAAATATCCAGCAAGTATAAACCAAAATGCCAGAGATCTCTACCCCAGCTCTACCCCCACCTGGAAAGCCCATGGTGGGAAACCATTAGTCCAATCCTGGAGAAAATATTTTAGCTTCACGGACAGCAGTCTCTCTGACTTTGGGGGCCCACTTGACTAAAAAAACCACTTTTGTTTCCAAATAGCTGGGGAGAACATCCACAGATTAAAAGCAAGGGCTTCAGAGTCAGTACCAGGTTCAAATTCTGACTTCACCACTTACTTAGCTGTGTGACCATGGCCAAGTTAGCTTAATCACTCCAAGTGTTACTTCATCTGCAAGATGGAATAATAATGGAACAACTCTTATGGGATTGAACAAGATAAGGGATGTAAACAGGGTACCTACTGTATAGTAAAAGTTCAATAAATGACAACAGATATTATTTTTTGCAATGACCTTGGGAGAGACATTCAAGGTCACTGTGATTTTTCTTCTCAAACCTTCAGTAATGGTTTCTGATCCCCAGATGAGAGGAGGGCCTAGCTGGCCTCTGTTCCGGCTGCACCACAGGAAGGACTGTGGTCAGCATTGGAGCCACCTTTACTGGTTCTCTGACACACCCCGGTGGCACTGAGCAGGGGAACTAGGATGAAGGAAGGGCTCAGCCCACTGACGCATGAGGCCTGGAGGAAGGATGGGGAAGGTTAGCTTGAGACCGAAGGTGTCATCAGGAAGCTGGAATGGCAGCCTTCAGATTTCCAAAGGTCTGGCATTTGCCAAAGGAAGGCTGAAAGTGAATATGAACTCCTACTGAAGAAGCTCTCTTTGCAGTAATATAAAAGGCTGCCTCCATAGCCAGTGAGCTCCCTGTCCCTGGGAGTATGTAAATAGAGCCTGAGGGCAATACAGAAGGGCTTTGAGCATCCACTGAGGATTGCAATAGGTGCTCTCCATGTGGCTGTCAGAGTCTGCCAAGAGGGCTCTGAAACTACTCAGCCTGTTTGGTCTCGGGTTTTCTGCTTCTGCCTTTCTTCTCTGTGATCCTCCTTCTTTTCCTTCTCTATGGAATTATCTTCCTTCTCCCCACCGCATCCCTCTGAGGACCCCTGAAAAAAGCAAAGACCATATGGAGATAGAGTCTGTGCATATTGCAGGTTTGTTTGGTTGAATGGTGTGAAGATGAAGGAGAGTCAGGTGATGGAGAGGCAGGTGATGTATGTATGTGTGTGTGTCTGTGTGTGAGAGAGAGAGAGGGGGGGAGATTGGAAAAGGAGGAAGAAGAAACAGAGAAAACAGGGAGATACAAAGAGAGGAAGAAGCAAGATAGAGAAGAACAGATGAACAGAAAAAGGGGAAAAAATCAGAGAAAAATGCTGAGGAAGAAAAACAAAAATGAGAGACAGGCGATTGAGGGAAGGAGAGCACAGCTAAGGTGGAGAGTGGCGGTAGCCCTGCACCTGCAGCTGTTGGTGCAGCTGGGTGGTGGGTGGGCCCAGAGCACACGCGTGTGCATACAGAAGTCGAGCCGCTGAGCCACTGTCAGTGCAAGAATGTCAGCCCTGGGATGGGGATGAGCCGGCTTTTATCTCTTCCGGCTGTGCAGGATTTACAAGCTTTTGAAACGCAGGATTAATAAGAAGAGGCCGGTGTTTTAATCTATAATGGAACAGAAAGTATCATTATTGTTAAATAATGCACAGCCTGTCGTTTATTAAGAATTAATGGTTTATCGAGTGCTCAGGTTGCTGCAGCCGCCTCTGCCCTTCCAGGCCTGGGCTCCTAGCCACTGGCCTGGACTGACCGGCCACGAGCAGGCTGGAAGGGTAGCAGCCAGCTGGTCAGCCTGGGATGGAGAGGCTCTGGCTCTGGTTCAGAGGCTTGGCCTCTCTCAGTGGTCCACTCTTGCTCAGGCTGGGGGTGGGAAGGGCTAGAGTGGAGGGAGAAGTTATGGGGTGTGAACCCCACCTCATTTCTTCAGCCTGGATCCATCAACCCCTTCTGAGGAGACAAAAGAAGAAGCATCCTCACCGCATGGGACCTACCCATTCTGCTTCTTTTTCTAAGCCTATAAAGTTTAGTTTCCCCCTCTCATGTTTAGTCCTCTGGAGGTGGTGACAACACAGATTCAGGGAGACAGGAGTCCCTTCTTTCTCCTTCTCCCCTCTGGGTCCTGGAGTGATGGATCACACACTTCCCAGAAGGAGAAACAGAAGCATCTGCAAAGGCACCCTGGCGAGAAGGGAACCACATTTCCTGAGAACTTTCTCTGTGCCAGTTGTTCCATAGATATCATCTCACTGTAATCTGTATCATCACCCTAGGTGGTACTATTGTCTCCATTTTATAGATGGAAAAACTGAGGCTTGGGGAAATTAAATCATCTGCATAAGGCCACAATACAGATGGCAGAACTGGACTATACTATTTTATTTCAAAGCCCTTTTCACTCCACACATTGGGGCAACTACTCTGGGCTTCCCCGTTGTCTCAAAATGAATGACCTCAGAGACAGCATTTGAGAATTCCTAAGGGTCTCTGCATCTGTCATATGGAAATGCAACTACAATGATGCACCAAGCAACAGCAGACCTAGCATCTCCACCAGCCAGGAAAACAGAGTCATGGATGGCAATCCAGGAGCCTGCCACTCCACTCAGCACCACAACCGGGCTCCATTCTTGGGCTCTTGTGACACAGAACTCCCTGCCCTCCCCAGTCACCAATCTGCATGGTTTGGGTCTTCAGCCAGAAATACTCAGGTCCAGACACAGAAGCTGACCATATGCCCACCGTATCTGAGGCAAGAATCAGAGCTGTGTGACTTTGGGGAAGTTACTCAACCTCTCTGGACCTCTGTCAAATAGTAATAGTGCCTGCCTCAAAGGATTATTGAAAGTACTAAATGGGGTCATCCATGAAGGAGTTTGGCACAGACTCCACTGTGAGCACTCAGTGTTGATATTGAGGAAGAGGTGTGGCATTGATTCCAGCAGGAGAGTTCTCCCGCTACAGCCCAGCATTTCTCACCTCATTCATTCAATCCACAAACACGTGTGAGCACGGACTATGTGACAAGCACACACCTCCTGAGCGCTTGTGCTGGGCATAGAGGTGAGCTAGTCAGAGGCTGTGCCTATTTCCCAGACACTCTATCCCTCATCGTACCCTTCTTAACCACCCTCTCTCCCACGCCATCCTTCTTCATCTCACTCCATCTTAGCTCCCATCCCAATTTCTCATCTCCACCTTCTTCCTGCATCCCATGCTCCTCTCCACCTTGCACCTTCCACCAGCTCCCTCCCTCTCCCCATCCCAGCCTCTTCTCCATGCGCAGGTCTCTACCTTCCATTTCCTCCAACTCATCCCTTCCTCCCCCTGGCCTCATTCCCATCTCCTTCCTCATTCCCCTTTTCATTTCTCCATCCCCAACCTGGACTCCACTCCCATCCATCCCCATCTCACCCCAGTCTCCCACCCGATTCCCATTCTAGTCTTTCCCTGCCATTTTTCTTCTTTACCCCATCTCCATCTCTCCCTTTCCTCAGCCCCAGCCCCAGAACTCCAACCCTTCTGATTAGAGGGGCCCAGTGGAACCCATGGGGGAGGGGACACTGCCCCCAGAGGCCACTATGGGAAGGTGCATTCCAGGAGACGAACCCCAAGTCCCCGAGAGCTGGTGCAGCCCCATAACCTGCAGTTGGCAGAGTCGGGGAGGGCGGCGACTGGGCAGCAAGCAAGCTCCTCGCTCCCTGCCCCCATCCGTCCCCCTCTCCTCCGGGCGGGCCACCACGCTGGGACCTCGGCCCACAGCCCGGCTCCTCACGCGGCTCCTGTTTTATTAACCTGACTGTCGGGGCTCTCGCCACTGAATAGGGCCTGTCGCGGGGGCTAAGGGGGTGGGGGGGCCTGGGCTTTGCCGTAGATCACCATGGAAACGGCAGCCTCGGCCAATCAGTGGACAGGCAGCACCGAGTGCAGCAGGCAGCTTGGTCTCCGAAGCCTCGTGCAGCCGCAGGCTGACTCCTGCCTGACAGGCCTTCCACAGCCCCTGCGGTGGGAGAGGATAAGAGCGGGGACAAGACCCGAGGAGAGGGGGCAGACGCGCAGGAGTGGTGGGTAGTATGAGGCCAGGGGACACTGAGGGTTGGACTAGAAGATGGGAAGAGACTGGGGAAGGGGATCAGGGACTCCTGGGGTGGGGTTTTGGAGGAGCCCGGGGCAGGGGGCTGCATTTCTCCCCAGCTGCAGTTCTCTGCCTAAGCCAAGGTTTCTCAGCCTCAGCACTATTGACATTTGGGACCAGGTGCTTCTTTGTTGTGCGGGCTGTCCTGTGCACCGTAGATTGTTTAGTTGCATCCCTGGCCTCTACCCACTAGAAGCTAGCAGCATCCCCCCACCCCTAGTTGTGACAACCAATGTCCCCAGACATTGCCAAATGTCCCTTGGGGGGAAAAAACCACCCCTGGGTGAGAGCTACTGGTCCAGGCACTCATAGGGCAGTGGTCACTGTTTATGAAACGTGCTCTCTCTGAGCTGGCTTCTCTAGGGAAGAAGGAAGGAGGAAGAAGAAGATGAATAGGAGTGGGAGTGAAAGAGAAAGGAAGAGGAGGAGGAGCAGGAGGAGGGAGCCCAAGGCAGGGTTCCAGGTGGGTGGGAGAGCCTCTGGAAATAGGGATGTAGGAGAGAGACGCCCCAGGAGGGAGACATAGGGCTGCCATTTTGTGCTGCAAGAATGAAATAAAGTAAGGTTCCTAAATGCCTTTCCTCCTGGAGTTCCTTCTACCTGCTACAGCCCTTACCAACCCTGCTATAGAAATATTGTCTTTCCTTCAGGCCCATATCAGGCACCACATCCAAGAAGCCCTCCCTGATAATCTCAACACATTGAATTTTCTTTTTTTTTCGTTTTCTATTTTTTTTTTTTTTTAAGATGGAGTCTCACCCTGTCGCCAGGCTGGAGTGCAGTGGTGCAGTCTCAGCTCACTGCAACCTCTGCCTCCTGGGTTCAAGTGATTCTCCCACCTCAGCCTCCCCAAGTAGCTGGGATTACAGGCACCCACCATCATGCCCGGCTAATTTTTGTATTTTTAGTTGAGGCAGGGTTTCACCATGTTGGCCAGGCTGGTCTCAAACTCCTGACCTCAGGTGATAACGCCTGCCTCGGCCTCCCAAAGTGCTGGGATTACAGGCGTGAGCCACCATGCCCAGCCCTCCTTCTTTTTTTTTTTTGACAAGGTCTCACTCCATCACCCTGGCTGGAGTGCAGAGGCATGATCATGGCCTACTGCAGCCTCGACCTCCTGGGCTCAAGCAATCCTCCCACCTCAGCCTCCCGAGCAGCTGGGACCACAGGCACGTGCCATCATGTCCAGCTAATTTTTAAATTTTTTTGTAGAGACAGGATCTCTCTATGTCACCCAGGCTGGTCTTGAATTCCTGGACCCAAACTATCCTCCTGCCTTGGCCTCCCAAAGTTCTAGGAGGTGTGAGCCACCATGCCCAGCCCAGATTGAATTTTTATTTTCTCCAGGACTGCTCGTCACTTTGCTTCTACCTCCATGCTAGTACTCAGCACCTTGGTTCACCTACTAACAATAGTTCCCTTTAGTGAGGGTTTCCTGTGTGCCAGATGCTGCAGCAAAGGCCTTAAGCATGCTTTCTCATTTAATCCTCCTCACAGCTCCCTGCATCTCCAGTACTATTATCATTTTACAGATAAGGAAACTGAGACACAAATTAAGTAACTTGCACAAGGTCACTCACCCAGTTAGAAATAGTAAAGTGAGGATTCAAGCCCAGGTTTTCCTGACTTCGGTGCATGTGTTTTAAGCCTCTGTTAGTGTCCATCTCCCCCATTAGATTCAAAATCGCTGGCAATGCCTAGCACAGTGCTGGCGAGTAGTAGGCACTTGAGAGCTGTTTTGAATTGGCTGGTGGTCTCTGGAAAGGTCTGCCTGGGCAGCTGAGAAGGAGGGACTGAATTGGCAGTGCCAGGGTGTTGAGTGCCCTCTAAAGGCCCTCAGGTTTTGCTGGGGCCTGGATGAGCTGGGCCAACCTCATGAAAGGCAAATGCCACTGAGGCTACATCTCAGCCACACTACCTTACTGGGCCACCTTGGGTCTCTGGACTGACCTGTCCCTCAACCCCATGGATGCTGGGCCATGGCCCCCCCTAGTGGCCAGAGGGTCATGGTAGCGGTGGTGTGGGATGGGAGTGAGGGCAGCTGGAGATCTCACAAACAGCCCAGTGGGCTTCCTTCCCTCTGAGCCCTATTCCTAGGTTCCAAGCTCTCTGAGGAATTGGAGCCAGATGCCTCAGGAAACTGTCATTGTGGAGCCTGGCCCCTAACCGAGGCCTAGAGAATGAAGCAAACCCCCTTTTTCCCCATTACTCCCCTCCACCCAGTAAGAGCCCCTTTCCCTCCTGCCCCATTTGAAATGAAGGGGGTAGTGTTGGCAGACAACTTCCATCACAGCCCGCCTCCCACCAGGGTTGATTCCACCCCCATCCCTGCCTTACATTCCACAGAAAAGGGTTTGAGGCTGAGGGTTGTCTGACAGGAAGCATCGCATGATGCTGCTTCCCACCCAGGTTAAGGTTTTGATCTGGAATCCAGGAGCTAGAGTCCCAGGGGGCTTACATCAGAGCTGCTCCCCGACCCCAGACACGCATACACCACCCGCCTCCCCCAGGAGGCACCTCAGCTTTGAAGGCAGGGCTCCTGACAGGCTGCCGTTCCCATGGCAACCCCATCCCAGGCTGCCCTACCCAGCACTTCCTTCCACCCCCCTTCCTCCACCCTGAACCCGCATCACCTTCATTCATAGAACAAGAGCTGCTTCACATTGGCAAAGTGGACACCCCTTCCCCCAGTTCTCTCCCTTTTTTTCTTCCTCTTCTTATTCAATGGAGAACCCAAAACCAGAGAGAGAGAAATGGATGGCAAGAGTAGGACTAAGGTGGATGAGGGGTAGGACAGGAATGGGAAGGAGCCATGGCTCAGTGCCTTCTGCCAACCTGTGGACCCCCCAACTCCAAGGCTCCAGTGTCTACTCTCATTCCCAGATCTGTCTCAGTTCATGGATCTGTGCCTCTCCCAGCTCTATCTCTGTGGAGATCCAAGACCTAGCCAGGCTGTCTGATGGCCTTATGGCTCCAAGCATAGCAGGGCCAGGTCCCAGCCTCCAGGCCCAGGTCTCCAGCCACCAGCCAAACTGTAGCTCAGAGGCCAGGTGCAACAACTGGGCTCTGGAACTCAGCCTAGGAGTACTGAGGCTGCTCCTGTCCCTAACTCTGGTGCCCCTCCAGCATAAGACACTACCTTGCAGAGGTCACTGGGGAGTGAGGGGACTCTAATTTACAGTAGGATTGTGGGAAGGGCTAGAGGGGAGTCTCAGACTCCAGCCCTGGTTAAACAATGCAACTTCTCCTGCTGGGAGAAGGAAACTTGGCTTTTGGACCATTGGCAGGTGCTGTTGGAAAGTCAGGACAGGCATCAATCCCATCTCTGCAGGAGGTGCTGAGCAATGGTCAGCAACTCAGCTTCAGAATCAACCAGCCTGGATTTGAATTATCATGCCCTAATTTATTCACTGTGTGATGCCTACCTTCTCCAAGACTTGCTTTCCATATATGAAAAATGGAGATAGTAATTATATATAGGTATATGACCAATATTTATAAGCTCTACCACCCTTCCAGAGACAGTGCTTGAGATGTAATCTCGTTTAATCCTCATAACAGCCCAGTGAGGTAGATATTATTATTACTATATCTAGTTTATCCTACAGAGAGGAAACTGAGGCTCAGAGATGTTAAGGTGGTTAAGGTGACCCAGCTATGGGACTTTTTCTTTAACAGACAGGGTCTTGCTATGTTGCCCAGGCTGTTCTCGAACTCCTGGGCTCAATCAATCCTCCCGCCTCAGCCTCCCAAGAAGCTGGGACTACAGGTGTGCAGTACCACTGTGCCTGGCTAGGAGCAGAGCTTTTAATCCCAGGCCCTATAAGAGAATGTATGCACAGTGTCCAGCAGCTGCTAACTAACCAGTAAGTGAAGATTTTCTTATTAGTGAGGTTCTAGGCCCTACATTGGCCTCATCTCTCATTTCCCTCACTCTGGGGATATACAGCCTCCACTGGCAACCAAGATTGTGAACTTACTGGGTGAGAGTCAGGAAGGAGCCCAGGCTTGGTGAGATTGAGGATGTGGTATGGAAGGGACCTAATTTTGTGGCTGTGAGAGACCATCTCTAGCTGGCCCTTCAACTGTGGAAATAGAGCAAGAGGGTGAGGCCTCCGGGAGGCAGTGGCTTGTCCAAGGTTACCTGGTGAACAGACAGCTTCACTCCTCCTCAGCCCCCCAACCCAACCCTTTGGACAACACATCAAGGTCAGAAGCCTCTGAGGATTAGAATCTCTGGAGAAGGGTGGAGAGGTGTAGAGGGGAAGCAATATTTGTACTAAAGGGAGCTGTCCTGGAGCTCAAACCCACACAACCAGACTTGGAATCCTCACCTCCCTTAAGGCTCACCCCCAGCCCCTCCAGCTTCCATCCACCCCTTCCCCGAGCAGCCCCGCCCCTCGAAGAACCTCGGAACACTGGGGCCTAACCATCTCCCCCCATCCCCCATCTTGAGTGAATGTGCCGAACAAACAGCATTGTTCCCTACACAATGGACACAAAGAACTTGGGAATTCACAGAATGGTCCTGAATTTCTGCTTCCTTCCCCTCCAAGCCCTAGAGAGATCCATTGTCTGTAAACTCCACTTAAAATATGCACCATAGCTCCAGCTGGGGAGCCACTTAAGACTTGCGGAAGCTCCTCCTCCCACCCCCACCCGCTGCCTTCCCTCCTTCCTAGCCCTTTCAGAGCTAGGCAGAAAGGAGGGGGAGCAGCAGCCACCTAGAGTCCCTGATGGAGTCTGAAGCTGGGAACGACCCTGTCCACCCCCAAGTTCCTTAAGTCAGACGCTTATCTCACTGGGTCAGACCCAGCACCACTCAGCACCTGGGGCTCCCATTGTTACAGCTGCGTTGGGGTTGAAGGACCTGGTCAGCTGGTGGACTACTAATCACAGAACCTTGATGCTGACATGAAGACTCCCTGGGGCACCTCCCTCTATTCTCCTGTCTGCTTACAGACCCCCAAGGACAGGGAACTCACTACCTCCTAAGGCACCTGTTCTACCCCTGAAACTTCTCATTCTTATAAGACCTTCCTTAGAAGGAACCCCACCCACTTCTCCTTAACAACCCACTTCTTCACCTCCCTGCTCCTATGTTAACATGGTCTTCCTCTGCAATGTGACAGCCTCGCAGAATTTGAAGGCTGCCAATATATTTTGAATATACTGAATATATTGAATATATTGAACATAGAACACATTTGAAGGCTGTCAATATATTCCCCTGTATAAAGGGGATACAGATAAGTTACACAGGTAAGATAACAAGCCCTCAGGCTGGGAATGTGACTCATGCCTGTAACCGCAGCACTTTGGGAGGCCAAGGCAGGTGGATCACTTGAGGCTAGGAGTTCAAGGCCAGCCTGTCCAACATGGCGAGACTCTGTCTCTACTAAAAATACAAAAATTAGCTTTGTCGTGGTGGCGGGCACCTCTAGTCCCAGCTACTCTGGAGGCTGAAACATGAGAATTGCTTGAACCTGGGAGGCAGAAATTCCAGTGAGCCAAGATCGGGCCACTCTACTTCAGCCCAGGCAACAGAGCGAGTATGTCTCAAAAAACAAACAAAAAAATCTCAGATAACCAGCTTTCCCAGAGGGTTGTAATTCTGGTGGGAAGTCAGATACTAATATCAGATAAGATAATGCATAATTACTAAGTAAGATAAGAAGTTGACTATAGGAACTTGGTAATATGAAAGCATCTAACAAAGGAAACTGATCTAGTGTAGAAGGTAGAAGGGTGACCCACCGTAGGCTTCCTGAGAGCTAAAGAAAGTAGGATTTGGCCGGACACACTGGCTCATGCCTGTAATCCCAACACTTTGGGAGGCTGAGGTGGGTGGATCACCTGAGGTCATGGGTTCAAGACCACCCTGGCCAACATGGTGAAACCCCATCTCTACTAAAATACAAAAATTAGCCTGGCATGGTGACACATGCCTGTAGTCCCAGCTACTCAAGAGGCTGAGGCAGAAGAATCACTTGAACCTGGGAGGTGGAGGTTGTAGTGAACAGAGATTGTGCCACTGGACTCCAGCTTGGGTGACAGAGTGAGACTCCATCTCAAAAAAAAAAAAAGGCCAGGCACGGTGGCTCACGCCTGTAATCCCAGCACTTTGGGAGGCCAACGTGGGCAGATCACCTGAGGTCGGGAGTTTGAGACCAGCCTGACCAACATGGAGAAACCCCGTCTCTACTAAGAATGCAAAATTAGCCGAGTGTGATGGCACATGCCTGTAGTCCCAGCTACTCAGGAGTCTGAGGCAGGAGAATTGCTTGAACCCGGGAGGCAGAGGTTGCGGTGAGCCGAGATCGTGCCATTGCACTCCAGCCTGGGCAAGAAGAGAAGAGAGAGGAAAGAAGAGAGAGGGGAGGGGAGGGGAGGAGAGGGGAGGGGAGAGGAGAGGGAAGGAAAAAGAGAAAGAAAGAAAAAAAGAAAGAAAGAAAGAGAAGGAAGGAAGGAAAGAAAGAAAGAGAAAGAAAGAAAAAGAAAGAAAGAAAGAAAGAAAGAAAGAAAGAAAGAAAGAAAGAAAGAAAGAAAGAAAGAAAGAAAGAAAAAAGGATTTAATTCTGGAAAGAGGGGAGGAAACAGTATGCAGGGTGATGGGATCAGACTGTGCAAAGATCCTGTGGCAGGAGGGAATCCATCTTATTCAAGGACCTGAAGAAGCCAATGGGATTGGAGGCCAGTGGGTGGGGTTGTAAGACTGTAGGTCTCAGTGAGGAGGTTGGCATGATTCTAACAGCAATGGAAAGATACAAATGTGTACGTGCAATAAAAGCTGATTGACATTTGCCTCAGAATGACACAGATTCCTAGAGTCACTGGCCCAAAGCAATTCTTCCGAGCTTTTGCACTTGCTGTGCCCTCTGCCTGGAATGCTCTGTTTCCAGATTTTTTCTGAGGCTGATTTGTTCTCATCATTTAGGTCTTGACCCAAACCACTCGTCCTAAAGGAGCTCCCTCTACATGCACTGTTGCTCTCTATCCCTTTATCTTGTTTTATTATTTTTACAGCACTTTCACGATCTAAAACTAAATTGTTAATTTCTTTGCTTTACTGTTACTCTTTCCACTCGCTAGAAAAAAAGCTCAGTATGGGCAGGAATTTTGCCTTAGCGACTACCACATTCTAGCGTCGGCATTGTGCTAGCCCACAGTAGGGCCTCAATAAATAATAAATGAACAAATGAATGAATTACTGAATACACACCAAGATAAAAGGGCCAGTATTTACCCACAAACATACACATATAAATGTATGGTTATTCATGGGCAAGTGCATGAGTACCCACGGTGACTCAGAGATTTCCCTCGCCCACAAGGACCACCTCTCAAGGGGCCTTTTAGGCAATCCAGAGCCTGTACAGTTCATTGCCCTAGTCTAGCTAATCAATATACACCTCCTCTGGCTGGATGAGGACCTGCACAAGCAGACCTGTCTCAGGTCAGCCATTGGTTAATCAAAGACGAGGGTGGAATTTAAAGTGCCCTATGGAGGGGCAGTGAAAACAGATTGATCCATGTGGCCTGGACACAGTAAAACCCCTTACAGGCTCCATTTATTTCCCACCTCTCATCTCCCCTCTCCTCCTGGGGCCCCAGCCCATCTTCCACTGCTCCCCATTTCCCACTCTACTGGAAGTGGCTGAACCAGGCATTGTGTGGGACTCAGGACAAATAGATTAGAATTTAGTGGGGTTTTACAGGGTTTGGGAATTTGACTAGGTGGGCAATATTTTAAACAAGCATTTATTGTCTTAGCAAGTACCTACTAAGTGCAAAGCTTGGCTAGGGACTGCCAGATTCATTACATAATAGCTGATTCAGGGCAGACTGTGAAAAATGATTTAGTCAGAAACCCTAAAGGTGGAATCCCTGTGTTCCCAAGGTACATGTCAGAGTGGGACACAGTTAATTCCCAGTTGGGGAGCTCTGGGATAGCTTACTAGAGTATCATTCTAAATAACTACCACTTTAATAGAGCACTTACTGTGTAAGCACATTTTACATGTGACCTTTCTGATTTAATCCTCACTCTTAAGCCTCTGGGTATGTGTGATTGCTATTATTATCCCATTTACAGATGGGGAGACTAAGGCTCAGGGAGGATTAAGCGAGTTGCCCAAATTTTCCACAGCTATTAAGCGGCAGAGTAGATTTTCAAGCTCAAGAGGAGACGCCAGAGTCCCTGCTCTGGGACCCCACCATGACAATGGCTATAGCTGTGCCTTGACGCAAAGGTAGGACTTACTTAGGTGGGAAGATAGGAGAAGTCCATTCTAGGAAGAGGACACAGTTTGAGAAAAAGCTGATAGGCAACGGTGCCAGAAGTTTTTCTGTGTGTGTATGGATTTTGTTTGTTTGTTTGTTTGAGACTGAGTTTCGCTCTGTGGCCCAGGCTAGAGTGCAGTGGTGCGATCTCAGCTCGCTGTAACCTCCGCCTCCCAGGTTAAAACGATTCTCCTGCCTCAGCCTCCTGCGTAGCTGGGATTACAGGCATGCGCCACCATGCCCGGCTAATTTTTTGTATGTTTAATAGAGTCAGGGTTTCACCATGTTGGCCAGACTGGTCTCCAACTCTTGACCTCAAGTGATCCGTCCGCCTCGGCCTCCCAACGTGCTGGGATTACAGGCATGAGCCACCGCGCCCAGCCTAGATGTTTTTTAAAACTTTCTGGTAGCTGGTCAGGTGTGGTGACTCACACCTGTAATCCCAGCACTTTGGCAGGCTGAGGCAGGCGAATCACCTGAGGTCGGGAGTTTGAGACCAGCCTGGCCAACATGGAGAAACCCCGTCTCTACTAAAAATACAAAATTAGCCAGGCGTGGTGGCGCATGCCTGTAATCCCAGCTACTCGTGAGGCTGAGGCAGGAGAATCGTTTGAACCCGGGAGGCGGAGGTTGCGGTGAGCAGAGATTGCGCCATTGAACTCCAGCCTGGGCAACAAGAGCGAAACTTCGTCAAAAAAAAAAAAAAAAGAAAAATCTCTGGTAGCCTGAGGTCCTAGGAGATTTAAAACAACAACAACAAAAATAACAAAAACAAACAAAAAACAACTATTGCTGACTTTTTTCTCTATCTGGTCTTTAGGATATTAGCCCCAGGATGGATTCTTGCCCTGGGTGTGTCTTTCTCTAGTTCCCAAACAGAATTTTATCCAAAGGTGGATGATAGGGGGTGAGGGTGCAGTATTTTTGGTGAATTGGTCTTCTCCCTACCCTGGCTGGGATGGGGGCCACTTGGGGACACTTTCCAGGCCCAGCTGGTCCTCTGCCCATCTGCATCCCTGCCTCCTGACTCATTTCATTCCAACCAATAGAGTCTTAGCATGCAAATTTAATGAATAGGCAAAGAAATGATTGGCTCATTTTCCCTGATGTAATAATGCCACTATTCAAGTAACTCCTATGAACCCTACCCCCACCCCAGTTCAGGGCATTTGATCATGTTCTGGCAAGAATCCCCAACTCCTGTTTTCCCTTTTTTTCCCCATTCTGAGTTAGCGAATCACTTCAAAATGCCCGACTCATCTCTCCAGGGGTGGGATGTCTGGAGGGCCAGGAAGCCACCCTTAGGCCTGAACCACTGCCATCTTTCTGGGAGGCCCCTTATGCCTCTGCGGACTGTGGGTAGCATCAAATCCAGGATAACAGAGCCCATTTACTAAGACGTTTTGCGAGAATCCATGTCCAAAGCCTTCCTGAAACCAAACCCCAGCATATCGGCTGTTCCTTTCAGCCCCTAATTTAGTAATTCTATTGAGAAAAAGAGATTGTGGGTTTTTTTATTTGGTGTGATTTATTCTTTATCATATAAATAATAATAATTTACACAAAGCTCATCCCCAAACAGAAGAGAATCTGTACATAAAAATAAACAAAAATTAAACTGAGCTGGGCCTGGTGCCCAGAAAACCAGCCAATTCCAAACACAACCAGGGGGAACAAATTCTCCAGGTCCTGGGAGCTCTGGGGCCTTGGCTGGAATTCTGGGTGGAGACTCTGGTCCGGGAAGCCATTGCCCTCTTTCCTGTACATCCTGTGCCGGATGATGGCACATCTGGCAGCCAACACTCATGGACAGCCAACCAGCAAGCTCACTGGGTTGGGAGGTGGGTGGGACTTGAGCTTAAGGGAAGAATCAGTTTTAAAACTCCTGGGCAGTGTTGCTTGCTTCTGGCTTCCCCAGGGGCTGTGAGAGATACTGTGGCTGGGGAGATGGGTGTTGGCCACCATCCAAAGGGGTGGAAGCTGCCTATGGCTCCATCTTTCTCCTGTAGCTCCTTAGAGGCATGAGTTGGACAGAGTACCCACTGGTCTTCTTTTCCCTTGGAGCTCTAGCTCCCTCTCTGGAGGCTCGTTATTTCTTATAGATATTGAAAGATGACAAGCAATCTTCTTGGCCATTGATTAATTTCCCTCAGCAGGCACTCTTTGGCTGTTCGAAACTTCTCCTTCACCACCTCCATCTTATTGCAGAAAAATCTCTTAAGAAGAAGACTGCCTTCCACATTCTGGTTTCGTACCTTTACTTACAAAGGGAGGAGTATATGTGGCTTAAACTGCTGTTTGGTTTGACTGTAAGCCCCATCCTCCCATCCCAAGGCAGGGGTTAGATCTGCATTGGTCTATAGGTACACAGTCATTTGCAATTAGAGACTTTATAAATGGTGAAGTTGATCATGATAGTGAACGCGATAAGGCTAAGATGGTGATGGAGAAGATAAAAGGAAAAGGGATTTTGATAGCAGTGCTGAGCCTGCCCTTGTGTCTGGGGTGATTATCTGGCTTAGCCTGAAATGAGAAATTGTGAAGGTGGTGGTGAAAGCTAAGGACAGGAGAAGAGGAAAGTGAAGGTAAATGTGTCCAGGTACAGGTGAAGCTTCCAGAGAAGAGAGGTAGCACAGCCCAGTGGTTAGGAGTCTAGATTCTGGGGCAGGACATTCTGGTTTCAAATTCTAGCTCGACCACATACTAGCTTAGGGAAGTATTTAACCTCTCTGAGCCTCAGCCTCCCCAGCTGTAAAATGGGAATCATAACAGTACCTGCCTCAGAGGGTGGCTCATGGTAAGCGCTGTATGAGCATGTGCAACCTAAGGTATAGGTGGGATTACAGTTACAGCCAGAGGAAGGGCCACAAAGCACAGCAAGCAGCACTGGGAAGATTCAGGAGATCTCGATCAGGCCCCATCACAGTCCTGTGTGACTTTCCCCATCTGGGCCTCAGGTGCCTTGTCAAAGGAGAGTTGAAGTAAATAATATTCAGCCCTCAGAAAGTCCCCTTGGGCAGCAAAGCTCTGTATGCATGACTGGTAATTGTCCTGTGGGAACATCCAGCCCCAGAAAGGACTCTACAAGTCTTTAGGTCCAGGTGTAGATTCAGCAGGCATGCTTGTGTCAGGGGTCAAACCGAGGGAGTTGCTGAGCCCGTTGAAACAGCCTCCTTTTAGGGGTAATAGAAAGATGAGAGGTGAGTTCTTGCCTGGGAGAGGAGGCTCCAGCTGTCCCTCTCTCCAAGGAAGCGGCTGGGCTCCAAAGTACAGCCTGATGGGGCTGAGCCGCCGATCCTGGTTGTACTGTGACTGCAGCCATGTTGGCATCTGCTCCCAAGTTTGGGCACATGAGGGGTTTCACTACCAGAACCAGCCTTTTCCAGTTCTGCCCCTTGTTTGCATTCTTGAGTTTTTTCCTACCCCCTGGGGTTAAAGGACAGGAGGGATAGAAAGGGCACTCATGCCCTGTGCCAAATTAAATCTTTATAGACCCCCTTCTCTAGGCCTTGTCTAAGGATGTCAGAGCCCTCTAAAGTCCCCCAAGCCAACAGGAGGCTATCAGAGGCTGCAGGGCAGGAACTGGCCACAGGATGTTTTCCTTTTATTCTGCCCTAGAAGAAACCCGGCTTCAGGTTCATTGCTCCCTGAAAATCAGGGGTAAGGAATGGAGTTTGGCCTTCAGTACCCAGGGGGCTTCATCAGTCCCTCACCTCTTCTCCTGACAAGCCCTTCAGCCACTCTTCCACCTGAAGGAGGGAGAAGAGCCCTGCTGTGTCCTGAATTCCAATCCTGGGAACTGTCACTCACATGGTCTCTGGTCCCAGCCTGAATTTAATCCAAGAGCGGAGGCCTGCCTGGTCCCAATCAACCTAGGCACGGGGGATCATGGGCTATGTGTGTGCATTTGGTTGGTGCTTAGAAGATATAATACAAATATTAGCAATCCACTTGAACTCTTACTCTGTCAGGCTTTACGCTAGATGTTCCACATGCATCACTTTACTGAATCCTTATTTCAGAGTAAGAAACAGGCTCAGAGAAGTTAGGTCACTTATTCAAGGTCACACAGTTAGAAAGCTTCAGAGTCTAGATTTGTGGACCTCTCTGATTCCAAAGGCTGTGCTCTTATTCACTGAGCTTTGCAACATGTACCTGGATGAACATGAGGTCTCCCGCCTGACACTCAGTTTACTAACAATGTGTGCTGAGGACAGTGTAGTGGGCCAAGGGGGGCCACCCTCAGGCCTCAGATCCACCTTCCCACCCATGATCTCCTGTCTACCTAAGAGTGTCCAGGGATACTCCCAGAAAAGCTGGAACAGAGACCAGAGCCATGCCGATGCCTCAAGGAGGCAGCCAAGTCTTTGCTGAGTCTGCAAATCCTCATCTCTAGGCCCCCCATGAGCTCGTTTTGAGAACTCCCCCAATACCTCTCCCAGCCCCTGCTCCCTCCATCAAAGTGACCCTCCAACCCCTCTTTCTTTTCTCTCCTACCTCCAAAGTATTCCCTGCAGCACCCCCAGGTTCCCTTCTTCCTGAAGCCCAGACCTGTAGGGTTAGACTGGTCCAGGCTGCAAATCTCCCAGTTGAGCTTCTTTTTGGGGTCACAGCTTCAGAAGCATCTCTGCATCTTGCCTGTACTTTGATAAATCGTATGAAAACCTGAGTCTCTTCGCTTCTCCTCTGGAACCCCCTCCTCCCTGCAACTTCTCTCTGCTCAGCAGCTGCACAATGCAGTCAGAGGGAAGGGGGTGGACTGGCAGAAACCAGCTTGTTTCTGAGGCTGGAAAACAGAACTGTAGGAAATTAACAGGCTGAGAAATGTCTGCTCGGCTCCGCATTTGTTTTGCACCCTCAGTCTTTCTCTCTGCAGCTCTCTCCTCCTGCCCCTGCCCCTCTCCCACTCCCTGCCGCTCAGTGTGGGCACCTGGGGCTTGGCGGCTCTGTGTCTGGGCCTTGCAGGAAGGTGCATCTTCGTGTGTGTGTGGGAGTGTGTGCATGTGTGTGTGTGTTTCTCTGTGTGTGTTTAGGGATGGCAGACCTGCCCCTCCTTCAGAGGCAGCTTAGCCAGAAACGCCAGCGGCAGAGACAACTGTGCGGGTGGGGATGCTGAGCGCAGAGCCGGCAGAGCCCGCGGGCAGGCAGAGAAGCACCACACAAGAAATTGATTCCATTAAAAAGTAATCTTAAATTTAATAAAAGTTATGATTTGTTTATAGCCACAGAACCTACAGGCAAGAGGGAAGGGGGGTAGATTCTAGTGATGGATAAACAGAAAGAAAAAAAAAATAAGAGAGGGGGAGGGGAGGAGTGAGAGATGCTTAGGTTTGGATGGATGAGAGGATGGAAAGACCTGGGGGTGGGGAACGAGACCATTTTCTCTCCCTCAGATGGAAGAAAAAAGCCTGTGGCTGGATTCCAAAGAGGAAGCAAGAGTGAGGAGTGAGTGAGGAGATTCAAGGAGCTCTCGGGAGATGGAGCTGTTGGAGGGGGCTGGGGACATGCAGGCACGGCCTGGGAGAGGCAGATGTGCAGGAGGGACGGTCTGGAGCCCTGGGAGGGCAGGTAAGGAACGCAAAGCACCCATTCAGCAGTCAGACAGGCAGTCCTGGGTTTCCACTCCAAGTCAACCTCTTCCTAGCAGTGTAACTTGACTTCTCAGATCTTCATCCTTTTCATTGGCCAAATGGAGCCACAGAGATAGTGCCTACCTAACGAGGTGGTCGTGAGAATGAATGAAATTGTACAGGTGCATCTCCTGGGTGCCCAGTAAAGGACAGCTCCCTTCCTGACCCTCCCCGGATGGAGGTCATTACCCCAACACTGCCCCCTCCTGTTTATTTGCAAGCAATGGCCAATCCTACTCCTTTCTTTTATTCTTTTTGCAATGGAGGGGACTGAGTGGCCTTCATCTCCAATCTCAATCTGGAGGCTGGTTCTCCTGGGTAGTCGCATACTTTGTCCTTTGCCCACCTCTCTAGAGCATGAAGAGGGCATGGGCAAGGCGCTCTAGAGCCCACTTCCACTATGAGCTAAGGGACCATCTAGGGGACACATTCCCTCGCCTAATCTGCCACCCCCTACCCTGCTTTTTCTCTCTCCCTCAGCCTAGAATCATGTGTAAACACAGAGCTGAAATTCTCCTGACCCCTGAGAAGTGTCCCTTGGGTGAGACTGCCCAGGTACAGCCCCTTGGCCACCATAATCAGGTCCTGTTGGGTAGAACATTTGGCTTTCAGGCAAGTCTCCTGTTGTTCCTTCCAATGAGCCTGGGCCCTGTCTCTAGGCCGGCTGGGAGGGAGCTAGGACCTGCAGGGTCAGCACCAGAACTGGTGATTGGGGCCTAGGCAGGAAGCCAGGACATCACTGTGAGATGCTATGTGAGGCGAGAGCCAGAAGATCTCAGCTATCCCAGAGTCCAGGGACTGAGAACCAGGAAAAATCGTCACAGCAACAGGAGTCTCCTGGGGAAGCAAGAAATCATTCTGAGGATAACACGGCCAGTTCTACTCAGTCATCTCCTCCTACCTGGGCTGCTTTTAGCAAAGTACCTCCACCTGAGTTCACTCTTGCCTCGTGGCATGTTAAAGGCACCTGCTGGTTGGAGACATTGAGGAAGACAGGACAGGTGGTATTAGCATCTTCATTTTACTGATGAAGAAACCGAGGTCAGAAAGGGAAAGCTACTGTCCCCAGGCCACACAGCATGTAATATATGGAGGTGGAACTGAAAGCAAGCATTTAGACTCTGGATAAAGGCACCACAGCCTACCCTACTGAGTGTCACTCATCATGGCTACATGTACTGGAGGCCTTGTCACCACTGCTACCACCATGCTGCTTAGCTCCCCCTTTTTTTTGCCAGTATCACCACCTCGGGCCCCATCACAGCGGCTGCTGGGCTCACACACACATCCTCTTCCAGGAAGGGCAGCCCAGTCTGGGATTCTCATGTCCTGTGTGGTTTCCAGAAGAAAGAAACTATAGCCCTGAAGGTGGGGCAGTGGCCTACAGACAGTGGAGCACAGTGACCTGCAGCTAAGAGGCTCTTGGCATTGCTGAGGGTCTGGCTGGGACTATGGATGCAATCTGGCCACCACCTCCAAAGGATTTCCAGACCTCTCCCGCTGAACCAAGACACGGAGATGGATAGGCCATCCTGGGTAGGGACCTCCAGTGGGGCACCCTGCTGCTTCCCTCACACTCATGCTGTGTGTCCAAGACAGAAATGCCACCCTGCTGCCCGACCTCAGTCTGTCTGATGTCTGTTTTCTGGTTCTATTCTCTGCGAAGAGACCAGTCTAGCCACTCCCTGTGTAAAAGCCAGCCACCCTCCTCTTGTTGAGGAGGATTCTCTTTCTCCTCTTCTGCAGAGACTGAGGCATGGAGGGCAGTGTCTGGGATGAAGGGATCATTTAGGAAGAGGTCCTCCAGTAAGGTCTGATCTCTGTCGGCACCCTAGCCTATGTTCTCAAAAGCAGATCCTTACAACTTTACGTGAAATGGTCCTTACCTCTAAGAGTTGCCTTTAGAGGTGACCTTTAGAAGGAGCCACTGTGGAGTCCTGACTTCTGTGTGACGTTCATTAATAAATCACCTTCCCCAGCCACTCCCCAGAGCTTGTCTTCCATGATGGATGCAGAAAAGGGTTCAGTCAGGGAAAGGAAACTAACATGGGCCAAGAGCCTACTGCGTACCAGGCCCACGCTAGAGGATTGACCTACAAGATGCCATTTGATCCTTGCAACAGCTTTGTGAGGCGGCTCTTACTATTTCCACTGGGCAGTTAAGGAAACAGAAAATCAGAGAGGTTAAGTGACTTAACCAAGGTCACACAGGAAAAAGGTGGCAGAACTGGGATTTGAACCCAAATACATCTGAATGGAAAGTCCATGCTCTTTCTACCCGGAGTGCCTTTCATCACTGGTTCAGCTCTAGGGATGGAGGGCTCCTTCACAGAAAAAAGTTCTCCACTCCAACTTGGCAGTATTTTTCAAAATGAAAAATTCATACATATTTTGAGCCAGCAATCTCTCTTCTAGGAATAAATCCTCAAGAAACACTCATACATGTGCACTAAGTGTATTAGATGTTCTTGTTTGCGAAGCAAAATATCAGAAACAAACTAAATGTCCATCAGTAAGGGACTGGATAAATAAACTGAATGACTATGTAGCTGTAAGAAAGGAGGAGCGCCGGGTATGGTGGCTCATGCCTGTAATCCCAAGTTTGGGAAGCTGTGGCGGGTGGATCACCTGAGGTCAGGAGTTTGAGACCATCCTGGCCAACATGGAGAAACCCCATCTCTACTAAAAACACAAAATTAGCAGGGCATGGTGGCACATGCCTGTAATCCCAGCTACTCGGGAGGCTGAGCCAGGAGGATTGCTTGAGCCCAGGAGTTCAAGAACAGCCTGGGCAACATAGGGAGACCTCATCTCTACAATTAAAAAAGAAATTGGCCGGGCGTGGTGCCTCATACCTATAATCCCAGCACTCTGGGATGCCAAGGCGGGTGGATCACTTGAGGCCAGTAGTTTGAGACCAGCCTGGCCAACACGGCAAAACCCTGTCTCAACTAAAAGTACAAAAATTAGCCAGAGGTGGCCACGTGTGGTGACTCACGCCTGTAATCCCAGCACTTTGGGAGGCCAAGGCAGGCAGATCACTTGAGGACAGGAGTTCCAGACCAGCCTGGCCAACATGGTGAAACCCCATCTCTACTAAAAATACAAAAATTAGTAGAGTGTGGTGGCGTGCACCTATAATCCCAGCTACTTGGGAGGTTGAGGCAGAATAATCGCTTGAACCCGGGAGGCGGGGGTTGCAGTGAGCCAAAATGGCACCACTGCATCCAGCCTGGGCAACAGAGCCAGACTCCGTCAAAAAAAAAAAAAGGAAGGAAAGAAGGAAGGAAGAAATTAGCAAGCCATGGTGGCAGGCAACTGCAGTCCTAGCTACTCTGGAGGCTGAAGTGGGAGAATTGCTTGAGTCCAGGAGTTCGAGGCTTCAGTGAACCATGATCGCACTACTGCACTCCAGCGTGGGTGACAGAGCGAGACCCTGTCTATAGATAGATAGATTGATTGATTGATTGATAGATAAAGATTGGTCTTGGAGCAAGGATTACATGATGAGTTGTTAGTAGGGACATTGGTTGCAACTGATTGCTGACTGTTCAGATAAACTCCAATGACCTTGTCTTCCTCCCCACCCCAAGCAGACCCACACCCTGTGCAGACTGGAAGCTCAGATGGACTACTGTCATTACACAGACAGCCTATGTAGCAGCAAAAAAGCTTTCATGAAACCTCAGACTGGCCCATCTGGAAAATCATCTTTGGCTGTGTGTTCTTTCCGATAAGTTATGTTATTCCTGCTTCACTGCTGAATGTCAGTTCAGTGATCCTAAAGGACAACCCCACCCCCATGCACACCTGCTTTCCCATCAGACTTAGTCCTCATCCCTGTAGTTGTGTCTCTCTCTAGGTTGTCTTTCTCTGCCTCTGTTTCTCCTCTCTTTTTTTTTTTTTTTTTTTTTTTTTGAGACAGAGTCTCACTCTGTTGCCCAGGCTGGAGTGCTGTGGTGCAGTTATCGGCTCACTGCAACCTCCGCCTCCTGGGTTCAAGCAATTCTTCTGCCTTGGCCTCCTGAGTAGCTGGTACTACAGGCATGTGCCACAACACCCGGCTAATTTTTTTTATATTTTTAAAGTAGAGATGGGGTTTCACCATATTGGCCAGCCTGGTCTTGAACTCCTGACCTCAGGTGATCCACCCACCTCGGCCTCCCAAAGTGCTGGGATTATAGGCGTGAGCCATCGCACCCAGCCTCTCTCCCTCTGTTTCTCTAAGTGGACTTAGAGTCTCTTAGATGCAAATGACAAAAATACAACTCAAACTGGCTTAAGCTTTTTTGCTCACATAACTGAAAAGCACAGGAATAGACTTCAGGCATAGCTGAATCAAGGCGCACAGACATTGTCACCTGGCATCTGCCTCACTCCAACTTTTGGGTCTCTCTCCATTGTGTTAGCTTTACTCTCTGATAGCCACTTTCCAAGCAGTTTAAGAAGCTCCAGTCTTACACTGACCAGTGTGGCAAACCCGACAGAAAGAACCCACTCATCTTTGAATAGTTCAGCAAAAGATCCACTGCTAATATTATTGGATTAACTTTTTTTTCTTTTCTTTTTTTTTTTGAGAAGGAGTCTCGCTCTGTTGCCCAGGCTGGAGTGCAGTGGCACAATCTCCGCTCACCACAACCTCCGCCTCCTGGGTTCAAGCAATTCTCCTGCCTCGGTCTCCCGAGTAGCTGGGATTACAGGCACCCGCCACCACGCCCAGCTGATTTTTCTATTTTTAGTAGAGATGGGGTTTCACTATATTGGTTAGGCTGGTCTCGAAATCCTGACCTTGTGATCCACCCGCCTTGGCCTCCCAAAGTGTTGGAATTACAGGCGTGAGCCACGGCACCCAGCCAGATTAACTTTTAATGAGTCACCGTGTCCTGGAGATGGAAGACACAGATTGACCAGGTCAAGTTACGTGCCCACCCTGGGATCCTGGGGTAAGATCAGCTTAGGTCACAGAGACAAGGAAGGAAGATGGGAGACTTGACTGTCTGACCATGACACTGACATCAGGGAGTTCTTCACCTTCTAGATCTCAGTTAGGTCTTATGAAAAACTGGGTATGGCATCCAGATCTGATTCTCTGCTGTTGGGACACTTGCAGTCTAGTTTCTTTTCATAGCCTTAGGCAGATGATCTGAATTAAAGCAGCTTCCAGATCTTTCTGTCACCACCACTCTCACTACTCCCCTATTTCAACTCCCAGTGGAGACTCTGTGGTATAGAGGGGTGAGGGAGGAAGAAAAGAGAAAGTAAGAGATGGGATGGGAAAGAAAGAGAAGGGAAGAACAACAGAGACAAAAGCTCTGGAGCAAACCTCCAAGGCTGCACTGGTCCTGGGCCACCTCAGCCCCCATCTCCATCCCACCCACTGGCCCACATCCTCCACCTGTGAGTGGTGCATTGCGGCTTAGCTGTTCCAGACCCCCTGGCTGGGCTGGGCTCCAAGCTCTGCTGCTTTGTCAGGGTATCATTATCCCCATTCTGCAGCTCTTGTCACCTGGAGGCTCTTTCTTCTTCTCTGGCCCACACACCAACACACAGGTGCCTCCTGCCTGGCTTTCAGCTCCTCCTACCTGCCACCTTCTTTCAGGGCCCTTTCCATTGCCACATAGTCAGTGGCTCTGCCCCTAAGGGTGCCATCCCAGCCCAGGACCATTTTCCCTCCTCTTCTCTTCCTCACTGAGTTCTCCACCCTTTGTCTAGAGAGAGCCAAAGCCTCTGCTCTAAAGGGTTTCTTTTTTCTCCCTGGGAGGAAAAAGGTGAAAAAGGTATCCAGGGTGCTGGGCAGATCCAGATAACTGATCACTCCATGAGAACCAAGCACTCACCTGTGTCTGGTCTGCAATGCATCCACATTCTTCTCCACAGCTCAGAGTGGAAGCTCCTTTTCTAGTTATCCCACACTCAGGGCTTCTGAAACTCACCACTTTCCCTGAGTCCCTTGTCAATACCTAGTTTTGCAAATTCCACCTGGGTTTCAGGAGATCGCAAAAGCTTTGAGATCTGCCTGCAACTCGCTGTGAAAACCTTGGACAAATCCCTTCCCTGCGGACTCCTGGGTTGTACTACAGTGAAGAGGTTGAATTAGATCAAAGAGGTAAATCCTAGCACACATGCCACCATTTCTCATCCAATGCCCATGGCAGACATTGCTAATCAACTACGGCACTCTCTTTTCAGGATGCATTCCAGGAAGCTGCTAGTCATCATTCAACATTAGCTCATGACATGAAACATCTTTGCCACTCCTGGACTAGCTGATCTCTGAAGGCCCTTCTCTCATTGACAGCAAGGATTGTGTGGCCTGGTTGAATCAATATTACTTCTCCCTAGTTCCCACTTTTCCCTCCAGCTCATTCTTTTGATCATCCCCATCCCTCCCTCTCTCTCATCTTGCCTTGTTTCCAAGTCTCTGCCGCTGAGTCCATGTAAACCCTAGATGATGTCTGGGTCTCCAAGGTTCTGTTTACTGTCACTCAACTTCAGGCTCTTTGAAGGTTACATTTTCCAGGCAGTCACACTTACACATGTTGGGCGGTTCCGTGGCATTGGCTCAGGGGAGGGAGGCAGTGATCGAGACATCAGAGACAGTCAGAGGAGGAGCAGGAGGAATAAGACCAAAGAAATATTAAGAAAGAGATAACAGGATAGACAGACAGTGGGGCTAGAGTTAAATTTATGTATCAAGGCCATCCTGGTAAGAACAGGGAGCAGGAGTTTTAATGGAATTTATCCTGGACCCCCAAGGTCACAGTGGGAGGGAGGATCAGGGAGGACCTAAAAGCAAAGGACAAAGGGAGCATATAAATTAGTAGCTCAACTGACAAACGTGAAAGAGGTGAAGGGATTCTTTGGTGGGGGAAACTATCAGGAGTTGCCATAATAAGATGGACTTAACCATGCTTCACGAGTGTAAAAGCATCCACTAGTTATTGATCAGAAGAGTTTGGTAGAGTCAGGCAGGTGCTGGCTAGCAGCCAATTAGAGGCTTAAAGCAAAGCCCAACCCAGGTTGCAGGACATGTCTTATCTCCTCAGAACTGCCTGGAGCAGTTTTAGAGTTTCAGGAAATGCTACCAACTTTATCAGATGGGCATGTGCACTGGTGGGGCATGCACAAGGGCCAACCAGCCAAGAGCGGAATGACCAGAAGAAAGCCCATGTGGCTGTGCACAGTGGCTCATGCCTGTAATCCTAGCACTTTGGGAGGCTGAGGCAGGAGGATTGCTTGAGTCCAGGAGTTCAAGACCAGCCTGGGCAACATAGCAAGATTCTGTCTTGCTACAAAAATTTTAAAAATTAGCTGGGTGTGGTGGCGCATGCCTGTGGTCCCAGCTATTTGGGAGCCTGAGGCAGGAAGATCTCTTGAGCCTGTGGGGGTGGGGGCGTTCAAGGCTACAGTGAATCATGGTGATGTCACTGCACTCCAGCCTGAGCAACAGAGCAAGACCCTGTCTCAAAAAAAAAAAAAAAAAAGGAAGAAAAGGAAGGAAGGAAAGAAAGAAAGAAAAAAGAAAGGAAAGAAAGAAAAAAGAAAAGAAAGAAAGAAAAATAAGGAGGAGTGAAGGAGGGAGGAAGGGAGGGAGGGAGAAAGGAAGGAAGGAAGGGAGGGAGGGAGGGAAAACAAAGCCCTACATGCTATAGGTCTGGGTTCAAATCCTGGCTCATCTACTTACTGAGACTTTGGTCTCAGTTTTCTCCTCTGTAAAGTGAAGACAAGCAGCACCTAACTCATAAGGTTGTTGAGTATTAAATAAGAATGCATGAGGCTGGGCGCAGTGGCTCACGCCTGTAATCCCAGCACTTTGGGAGGCCAAGGCGGGTGGATCACCTGAGGTTGGGAGTTTGAGACCAGCCTGACCAACATGGAGAAACCCCATCTCTACTAAAAATACAAAATTAGCCGGGCGTGGTGGCACACGCCTGTAATCCCAGCTACTCGGGAGGCTAAGGCAAGAGAATCACTTGAAGGTGGAGCTTGCAGTGAGCCGAGATTGTGCCATTGCATTCCAGCCTGGGTGACAGAATGAGACTCCATCTCAAAAAAAAAAAAGAATGCATGTAAAGGGCTTGGCACAGTGTCAGGCTTGTGGCTGATAATAAATGGTAGCCGGTAATGTTAGCATTAGTATTCTCATGGGCAACATGTCTAAGGGGTCCCTTGAGTGACCCCTACTACACTCAACATATATACATAAACTTTAATGGTGGGATCCTCCAGGCACACCACCTAATTTGCATGTGATAAATTTTGTCTAAACCAAAAAAGGCTGTAATTCAAAATATATGCTCTTGAGTGGGATTGCTCATGTATAGGAAGAGCTGGACAGCTCCTGTGGGCCTAAGAGGAAGAACTGATTCTTCCCTAGGATGCAAAAGCCAGGTGTGGGGGAACAGCAGAAGTGCTGGGCTGACAAAGGCTCGGAAGAGACCCAAAGATGCTGACAAGAGGGGCAGGTTCTGGTCAGTTCTTTGTCTCCTTGACAATGCTGTGGTTGGGGCCCTGTCCGGGCTGCCTGCCCTGCCCAGCACTCCTTTCCTCCTCCCTGAGAAGGAAATGGAAGAAAACAGGACTTCTGCTGTCTGGAAGTCTGCATGGCTGGGGTTGGCAAGGGCCAATCAGGCCTGTAGGCTGGCAGTCAGGACGCCAGTCAGCTGGGGATGAGGAGCTAGGGATGAGGCTGACGGGGCAACTTCCCAGAGACCCTACAGCTGGCCGCTGCTGCCTTCCTGAGGCTGTGCAGTGGGGTGTGGAAGGAGCCAGGGATCGTCTGACCCCATGTGTCATGCCCGCTGACTCTTCCATGTGGCACAGAAAGAAACCTCAGCTTCCCAGTAGACTTCTATCCCCAGGACATGAGTGGTGCCCACCTGAGCCTGAGACCACAGTTGCTTTTCAGATGTCTCTCAGCAGGGTTCCACATCGTCATGCCCTGGCACAAGCACAGAGGTTAAGGGGAACCTGGCACAGAGGTTAGGCTGTGGAGTCAAGCAGACCTGAGTTCAAGTCTCAGCTTTGCCATTTACTGGTGTGACCTAGGGCCAGCTCTGTGAGCGATCCAGGCCTCAGTTTCCTTACCCAGAAGTTAGGGATGATAAAAGGAAGTTCCTTACAGGACCAAGTGAGAATGATGCATGTGAAGTATTTGGCCCAGGTCTGGCGCATAGTAAGTGCTTGAAAAATGTTAGCCATAGTTCTTCTAATTAATTATTACTATAATTTGTGAGGTCTCCAAATGTACTATGATTGAGCAGTTACATAAATTCCAGCCAGAAGTCCATATGGCCCAGTATGGGAATGACTGTCTCCAAAGTCCAGGGTGATTTGATCCTAGTCTTTCTGTCACACTGAGGATGTGGCGCAGGTCAGGGCTGGAGTCCCTTTAGACCACTGGAGAGCCTCCCTTTCCGTGGAAACCCATGGGGAATCTTAGATGATATAGCTCCTGGATTCCCTTTGCCCTCAGGCCTGGCCAGGGTGCGGAAGGAGGCAATGGGGATGGGGAATATATGCCTCTGAACAGCTGTGCCTGAAGTGGCCCGCTTCCACATCCCTGGGACCAGGACGCCCTCCAAGGGAAAGGACCCAAAGCTGCCTGGATTTCCAAAGATTTTGGTCCAGACTCTAGATGGTCAGGGCTGGTGGCTTGGGGAAGCAGCCCCCACTTCTCTGAGCCATTGCTGAGAAAGTAGGAGGGAACAATGGCTTATGGTGACAGACAAGAGGCCACGAGGAGACCCCAGACTCTTTTGCTAGGGACCTTAGTTCAAGAGCACCACCTGGCAGTATTCTCCTCCCCCTGCCTTATTTCTCCTCAGGAACAGACTGTGTTCCTGTGTTTACCTGGGGGGTGAGCTGGGTCTGGGTATTTCTCTGTATGTGGGCCCTTCCTTGTCCCCCACCCAACGGATGCCTGGGCTGGATTGTATATTTCCGGAGTTGCCTACTTGAATCACAGGCTTTTATTTTTAGAAGATTACAAATGCGGGGGCTGGAAGAGAGAACTGAGGGCCCGGAGCTGGGGTGGGGGAAGAAGTTCAGGGTCTGAATACGGTGCATATGGGACAGGAGTGGGGCAGGCACTAATAAGGAAGGAATAAGTGAGATGGTGGGAAAAAACGAGGTGAGGAAGTTGGGAGGGGTCCCACTCTCCCAGTGCCCCAGCACCCTGTGCGGGATCAGACTTTTCTCGGGCTGGGGAGGGCCTCTGGAGGGGAACGGGTCAAGGGCCACCTCTCCGGCATGTAGCTGGGTCCCCTGAGAGGCTGAGGAGCCTGGGAAAGAGATGAGAAAATCGCTCCCCTTCCCCCTCCCCCAGGCCTTTGGGACTGGGAGAGAAGCTTCCTGTGCAGACAACTTCTCCATCCCCTGGGCTAGGACGTCTTAACCCTTCTAGTGCTGGTATCAGAGAAACAGCAACACAGATGTGCACATACATTCTTGCAGAATGGCCCAAATGCTACGTCCCATACAGGTGTAGGCCTTGCTCTTGTTCTGCCGTGTTCAACGTGCACCTCCCAGCTCCTGACCCCAAAGCCCCAGATTACTCAAAGCAGCAAGAATTCAGCGGATTCTCCTACCAGAGCACAGACTGAGGAAAATGGAGACCCTTCACCTGGGCATGGGTGGCACAGCATCTCTTCCTTCACTATTGGGTAGTGAGAAGACATCAGACAGAACTTAGAGCTTGTAGAGTTAGGAAGTCCCCATCCTGCCATTAATAGGGAGCTCCAGGCTGACAGGAAAGGAGCCTTAAAGCCAAGAGAGCTGGTTTGCATTTCTGTCTCTGTGTATGACCTTGAGAAGTTACTTAACTTTCTTGACTTTAGGTGCAGCTTCTGAAAAACACGAGGAAATCAAACCAGAGATGGTCTGGTGCCGTAAGAGGCAAAGAAAGGATATCTTTCTTTGGCTTTTCATTCCCTGGAATCCCCTGACCAAGGCAGCCCCAAGTCTCCAAACACCGAATTTCAGGGCTTTCCTCTCCGTCTGCTCCATAAAGGCAAGAAGCCATTTGCTGTCTCCACCCCTGAATGACCATGCCCAGCATGGTATCTTGCACACAGTTGGCTTCCAATAAGCTTGTGATAAGCAACTAAATAGATACATGACCCACCTTGACTTTGGGATGGGATTTTTTTTTTTTCTTTTTCCATTGTCTTCTCAAGAGTACTAGACTAGAAGTTAGAAAGACCCGGCCCAAGGCTGGGCGCTGTGGCTCACGCCTGTAATCCCAGCACTTTGGGAGGCCGAGGTGGGTGGATCACGAGGTCAAGAGATCGAGACAATCCTGGCCAACATGGTGAAACCCCGTCTCTACTAAAAATATAAAAATTAGCTGGGCATGGTGGCACACACCTGTAGTCCCAGCTACTCAGGAGGCTGAGGCAGGAGAATCGCTTGAACCCGGGAGGCGGAGGTTGCAGTGAGCTGAGATCGCAGCACTGCACTCCAGCCTGGGCAACAGAATGAAACTCCATCTCAAAAAAAAAGAAAGAAAGAAAGACCCAGCCTTGGGTTCATGCTCTGACTGTTACTTACCACTTGTGAGGCTTGGGACAAGTCACATTGCCTCTCCAAGCCTCAATTTCATTTATCTGTCAAAAGGACGTTAGAAAGAAAGCATCTACCTTATGGGCCTGTTGTCAGCATAAATCCAAAAAGCCTTTGAAAACTCTAAGGTGATATACAAAAGCACGTAGGATTGTTATCGGTAATACTGGTAGTCCTAGACCTAATTTCAGGGGTGGTCTGAAGTGTGGCACTTTTGAGCCTGAGGCAGCAGCTTGACAGATGTATGATCTTGAGCAAGTTTCTAAACCTCTCTAAGCCTCAGTTACCTCATCTACAAAATGGGGATTCTAATAGTACCTGATAGTAAATATAAATGGTTTGCACCATGCCTGGCGCAGCAAACTCCATAAATAGTGGCTATTGTTATCCTCACCTCCCCCATTAACTCCTCCAGCAGCTTTGCCCCCACCTTCCCACCTCGAGGTGGTTGTTGCACCCATACCTTTCTTGCACAAAGACAGATATTCCCAGCTTTCTACTTTGGCCTGATTTGGATGAAAATTTATCTCCCAGAAGCTGCCTGCCTCCCAGCCCTGGAAGGAGACAGAGTAGGAGTGAGGGTTGCTCAGGGGAGGCCAGAGGCTGAGGGGCTTTGAATTGACTGTGTGTGTGGTGGGGTACGAGGATCAGAGGCTGACCCAGCACCCCCACCAGCCACCCCAGATCGAGGCTGCTCAGCCTGCCAGGCGGGGCACATTGATGCTGGGAGCTGCTTATCAGGTTAGAGCGGAGCCACTGTCTCTGGCTGTCTCTGCACATTACCCGACCCATCCGTCCTGCTCTCCTGCGCACCCTGCCTGCCCCCAGCTCTGCCTGCGCTAACTAGTTAATTGGATCTTGGCTAACCTGGTTATGGGCCAAGTCAGCCAACTCTCCTGCCTCCAGAAGCAGGGTGGGAGAGAGGCAGAGCCGCTGTGCATGTGTGCATGAGCATGTGTGTCTGTGTGCTGGAGCCTGTCTTTGGACTGGATCTTGGTCCCTAAGGTGAGCCCAGAGCACCCTGCCCCACTGTGACAGGTGGAAGGCACTGAGTCACACGACCTGATTCCAAAGCGCAGCCATACCACAAACATAGTCTATATGACTGGGGTGGGAAGCTGAACCTCAGCTTCCTCCTCTGTAAAATGGGGCTTATAAAATGTACCACCCAGGGTGGTACATTTTATCAAGAGAAACAGAACATTCACTTCAGTGCCTGGCACTTAGTAGGCACTCTGGGAATTACAACCAATCATCATCATCTTTAGTCACATTGGGTTCCTGCCATCCTCCCCAATCCTGGGGGGTTTGTAGGAAACATCTCAGGGTGGGGGGTAGGAGAAGCTTTCATTCACTGTTCTTTGCAGGTGTTTCCTCTGAGGCTCAACTCCAATCTCCTCAATTGTTCCTTATGCAAATGTTATGCTAATGATCACATCAGCGCTCCCCCGAGCCCAGCGCCAGGAAGGTGACGCGGGGCTGACTCCCCAGCTTTCACTTTGGCCAAGTCCCTCGCCTTCCTCCCCAAAAGAGGAGCAAATGCTGGTCCTCTGACAACACCAGTCCTCAGGGCAGAGAGAGAGAGACCTCGATGGAGAGAGAAACAATGAAAGGCCCCAGTCTTGGTAGGAGACGTGCAGCCTCGTCATCACCATAATCATCAACATCAAAAAGGCCTTTGGAAACTTCAGATTCTTCCCCGCCTTGTGCGGATTACTCTACAATTATAGAGGCCCAGCCCCCAACCCTGAGGAGCTGGAGCTGGGGCTGGAGGTGGGGAGGAGCTGGAGAGGGAGAAGGAGAGCTAGAATTTCTTTTTTTCTTTTCTTTTTTTTTTTTTTTTCTGAGACGGAGTCTCTCTCTGTCACCCAGGCTGGAGTGCAGTGGTGCGATCTTGGCTCACTGCAACCTGTGCCTCCCGGGTTCAAGTGATTCTCCTGCCTCAGCCTCCTGAGTAGCTGGGACTATAGGTGCCTGCCACCACGCCTAGCTAATTTTTGTATTTTTAGTAGAGATGGGGTTTCGCCATGTTGGCCAGGCTGGTCTCGAACCCCTGACCTCAGGTGATCCACCTGCCTCGGCCTTCCAAAGTGCTGGGATGACAGGCATGAGCCACCACACCTGGCCAAGAGCTAGAGTTTCTAACTGGCAAGTAATTTTCCTTAAGGACAGGGACCATGCCCAGCATCGCCCCTCCCCAGCGCTCAAGCTCCAGGAGGACAGAGGTCCCCCAATAAAGTGTAGAGATCAAAACTGAGGAAGTGATCCCAGCAGTTCTTGTCCCACCATGCTTTCACTTTCTTACCAGCTATGTGACTTCATCTCTTTGTCTTGTTTCCCCAACTGTAAGATGGGTATAATAATTCCCACTTTTTACGGTTTACTATGAGAATTAAATAAGTAAAATCTTGTAGGCCTCCAGGAAATTCAATCATAACTGGGGAATAGAGTGACAGCAAAGGAAAAGCAATTCCCATTCCTGTTCTGTGGCCCACATTAGCTGGGCGGTCAGATATAACCTGTCCCACTTTGCACCTGGCAACTTGATGTGGGATCAGTTTTCTGAACCAAGGCAAATAATAAAATCAAATGGTGTGTGCCCTCCCAGCTAGGTGGGTTTGAGATTGGGGTCTCCGCTGAACATTTAACCTGCCCTCTGGGTTAATGTTGGACAAGATTTATAGCTGGACTTTAGTCTTCTGACGCTATCCTCTAAATGGTATAAAAATAGAGATGGAGTTGGGGGAGGTGCCCAAAGGCGACACTGTAGGCACAAGTACAGCAGCAGGGCAGGGGTGCTGATGAGGCCAATGTGGAACCAGACTCTTCCCTATGGGGAACCTCCTGCTGACACTGCCAGGTTTCTGTGTGTGTGTGTTTGTGTGTGTGTGTGTGTGTGTGTGTGTTGTGTTTTTTTTTTTTTTTTCCTGAAATGCCCAGGCCTGTAGGCAGCTTTCTCCTGATCCCTCCAGTCTCTATAGAGAGGAGCTCCAGCACTGGGAGCCTACTCCAGGGTAGACCCAGCCCTCCAGGCATAGTAGGTGCTCAGTAAATACAAATTGGATGGACTAGAGAGATAGCCCCGAGGACACTGCCAAATAAATAACAAATTGTGCAAGCAGCAGGCCGCTGTAATTAGACCAAGGAGGACAGTCAGTTATTAATATCAGACACGTGGCAGGGTTAACAGCCACTGAGGGTGGGTACAATGAAGAGAGTCACTTTCTGCACCCTCAGGGACTTCCCTTGTGATGGCCTTCTAAAGAGGGCTGAACAGCACCAAGTGCCCTCGCTGCCTCTGGATCCTGCTGCCCTCCGCGTGCCTTGGTGCCCCACAACTAGGGCCCTGGTCCCTCCCATGTCCCCCTCCCTCCTACAACCCCTCAGCCCCTTATCTGCCCAGCCATTATGATGCCTATCAGTATGAAGCCCAGATGAGAGTTCTTTATACTCGAGCCTTATCTCCCCTGTGAGATTCTAAACTACCCAAGGGCAGGATTTATCCTGTGCCCATTACTGTATCCCCAGTTGTGGGAGCAGGGCCCCTGTCCTGTAAGGTCTGCTTAATAAATGCTTGTTAAAATGGAGAATTCCAGTGGGGAGGACAGGGAGCATGAGGGAGAGACTGGGAAAAAGAAAAGGAGGTTAGCTCGAAGAAGGGAGAGAGAGAGGAGGGAAGGGGGAAGGAGGGAAGAGAAGGAACAAAGGAAGTAAAGAAGGGAGGGAGGAAAGGGGTAAGGGAGAAAGAGAAGAAGGCTATATTATGTGTATTCATGGGATCGGGAACAGAAGCCTTGCTGTCCTCGGTGCTTAGAGTCTATTTGGAAAGATAAGGTGGCAGGTAAAGAGTCCTGCCCCTGCCCTGCTGCCCTGCATCTGCTGGGGCTGGCTGGCGTGTCCCTGGCCCGTACCTGCTCTCTGCCCTTCAGCCCCGGCTCCCCTTGGCAACTCGCCTCTGAGGAGGTACTCCTGGGAGCCTTCCAAGGGGTGGGGGCCGGGCAGGAACCCAAGCCAAGCCAGGGAGCATGGCCAGGAAGGAGTCAGCAAAGCAGATGCCGCCCCTCTCCTGCTGTCTTGATTAGAGAAATTGAGATGTTAATAATATTCTGAGATGCAAGGTGCTAATTAAAGTTAATTACTGTTTCCTTGTGAAGTAACCTCTCCTCGTGTTTACCAGGAACAAGGCTGCCAGCCGCTCCCCTGGCTCGTGCCAATCACGATGCCCGCTGCTTGGTGTACCCCTGCACTCTCACAGGTGCCCTCAGCTGCCCCAGACCAGCCTGGCCCAGTCCAGGCAGGCACAAGGATCTGAAGTTCCCAAGCTCTGCCTCTTGGCATGGCACCAGACCAGTCCTGCCAGGAAGCATGGGGACACATGGGCATAAGTGACCCCTGGGGCCTGGGGACAGGACTAGTGGCCTCAGCAGCTGGCACCCCTGTCCTGTGCCTCCTCCCCTCCTACAGAGTCTTGACCTGTCTCTTTCCAGCTCCTTGACCTGAAACAAGTTACTTAAACTCTTAGAACCTCAGTTTTCTCATCTGTAAACGGGGCTAATAGTTCCTACCTTGTACTATTGCTGAAAATCAAATGAGACACTGCCTGTAAAATGTTTACCACAACCACATAGCTGGAATTTAATAAACTCTCAATTAAAGATAACTGTGATTATTGTTGTCTTTGTTAATAATCATCCCCCCCAAATCCCTCTCCTGTGTGGTCTGACTGCAGGACTGGGGCTGGGTCACCTGGGTATATACATGTCCTCCGTGGATACGGGGACACCACCCAGCTACGCTGCACACATAATCCCACACCAAACCACCCATTTGCGAAGCACATCCCCTACCCACCTTGTGGAGGGCCTCCCGCTTGCTGGCACCCTGACACATCCTCTTCCCACGGCCCCCTCCCTCGTGTCAGCCTCACCCAGAGAAGTAGAGAGAAGAGGGGCAGCCGAGGAGTAGAGAGAACCCAGAAGTAGAGTTCTGCAAAACCGTGTGTGTGTGTGTGTGTGTGTGTGTGTGTGTGTGTGTGTGTGTGTGTGTGTCTCCACTCTTGTGTTCCAAGCTTCACAGGGCTTTGGGGGAGAGGCCACCCCCTTGGGCCAGGTTACCATGACAACCACTGCAGGTGCACACCTCCAATCTCCTCTGTTCCCTCACCCCCACCCCCACACACATAGCCACTCTGCCCAATTCCGGGGAGACACTGCTTCTCAGGGGAATCTCCCCACCCCCCAGCCTCCAGGCTATCTCGCCTGTCCCTTGTCTGCCTTCTCAGGAAGCCCCTGGGCTGAGGAGAGGGCCAAGGAACAAGGTGAGGCCCTGTGAAAAGATTACCCCTCAAATCCAGCTTCCTCTAGGGGCTTAGTGCTAATGAGTTAATATTGCCATCACCTTTGATTTGGGAAGACGGAGGCTTCCGAAGGAGCCTCCCTGGGTAGAGCATGGGTAATCAAAGGGTCAGGAGCCCCTGTGGCTTTGCCTCCTTCCCAGCCAGAGGAGGATCCCTGGCTCTTTCTATAAGGGCGGCCTGGCCAGCCCAGCCTGGGGCATTTCCTGTTTATGGGCTTAGAAGGACAAGGGGAGGAGATCTGGGGATGAGAGTGAGTTGTAGGGACATTGGTGGTACCAGCAGGCCCTGGGAAATCCTTATGACTCAGCTGCTCTTGGTGGGTCCCTGCACTCTACTCACTGTGGCCCCGGACCTGAATTTCAGGTTTCCCCTTGCCCTTGCCAAGGACACACTCTGTCCTTGACTCCCTATTCCAGGTTTGCCCTCCTCCTACCCAAAGCCCCTGCCTCTGGTGCCTCTGGGCACCTGAATCCCTTCCCCTAAAGTCCATGCCTCCTGGTTCTAGCTCCATCTGCTTCCATCCCAGGTCTCTCCTCTTCCCCATTGTCCCTCCCAACCCATCCCACCCACTCTCTTCACCATCTAACCCTCTTTCCCCCTTTTCACCACAGTTCTCACCTACAGCCCTACTCATCTGGAGCCTGCCCTCCTTCTCCCTCCCTTATCTTGCTCTGGCTACAGAATCTCTAAGCAGAATTCCTTCCATTCACTCATTCATGCAACAAATATTTTCGGTGGTGGTAAATAAGTTAAACAACGTTCTGGCCTCCTGCAAACTTTTATTCTAGTGGGAAGAGGCAGAAATTGAAGGCTCAAAAAGATTAAATAATCATAGATTGGAATACGGTCAAGGAAAGGGACAAGGGGGGCCTGTGACCAAGATTGAAAGGGACACCTTCTATTCCCTTACTTAGATATGTTGTCAGGAAAGGGTCATAGGCAGCAGCCCTACAGGAACTACCCTAAGACAGAGGTTTGACAGAGACAGTCCCCCAGCTCATCTGCAAGCAGGGGGCATGGAAGCCACTAGACTCGGATGCTGTCCCCCTCATTCCCACCTGTTCTGCTGGACACCTTCCTCCTTAGTCAACCGTGACAGAGACATAAATTCGGGAGACCTCGACCTCCTCCCTACCACCCCAACCTCTGCCTCTGCTCCCAACCCACCAGCTTTTTCCAGCTACTGGGGTCTCCTGATAAGGCAGAGGGAATGAGGGTTAAGGGTACCAGTCCTTGGGAGTCATGCCTTTTTTTGTCCCTACGGAGGGGGGGACATTGAACACAGGGGCAAAAAAAAGACATGACTGTGTAAACATACAGCCTAAAAGCCGTAGGAACCACTACAGCTATAAGAAATGAAATATACATGTGCTGGGAAGGTTTTGGAGGGATCTTGGCCAGGAAAGGGTTCACGAGAGCAGCTTTCCTGAGTGTAGCATTTTGAGGGTTGGGGGGTAAGGAGGGCATTGGGCATATGGAACAGCTCCAAGCCACATGGAGTCAAGCGCATATGCACAAACACAGCTCAGGGACTTTGCCCTTCCCAGCGCTGCAGCCCCATGAAATATTTAGGTTTCTGGACGCTGCTCATCCCTTATTGTCCCCCTCAGCAAGTACGCTTCCCCTACATCATTTATGGCTGTCCCCTTTCCTCCCCTCTGAGGCCTGCAGAGAAGGGAAAAACAGACCCTAAACTGAAGAAGTGTGTCCCTCCAGACCTTGTGGGCAGAGGGCAGGATCCCAGCCTCATCCCCTACACGGGGACACCATAGTGAGTAGCCCTGGGAGCCAGGCAAGGGGGATGGGTCCAGGAACTGAGAGGCAATTTGGGCCCCCAAGAATGGAGAAGCAGTGGCAGGAGGAGGGGATTGGAAGATGCAGCTGTCCTGGCTCCAGAAGGACCCCGGAGAAAGGACAAGAGTCTGGAGTGATGATAAAAGCTGCCATTTATTGAGCCCTTACAATATACCATGCTAAGCAACTTACGTGCATTCTCACCTTAAATCCACACTGCATTTTTGGAATGTATTATCCTCATCTCATAGTTAGAAAAAGTGATGCACAGAGAGGTTAAGTAACTTGTCTGAGACAGTCAGCCCGTCCAGCTCCAGACCAAACTCACACACACACACACACCCTGACCTGTGTGGGTATGTGGAGGGGAGTCGTGCCAGGCCAGCGTCCACCCTACTCTCTCTTTCTCCCCAAAGACAGGGCTCCTTTCAGTATAATCCCCTCCCCCTGCTCCTCCTCCACTCACCAGTGGATTGGCCTAGATTAGCAATCCTATATCCTTTATCTGTTCCATACACAAATATTGGTGGCCAGAGGTCAGGAGACTCCCAGGAAGGGGAGAAAGGAAGGTGAGGAGCTAGACAGGGTGACCAGGAGAGAGTGAGAGTGAGAGCTAGAGCTAGAGACAGAGATACATGGAGACAGACGAGAAGGGGCAGAGTAAAAAGCAAGTGGGCGTGAAGGGGTGCTAGTGGCAGCTGGGAGGCTGTTAGAGAGACCCATCAGCCTGTATAGTCACAGCCCACCCCATCCACTGGGTGGCGATAGGATGGATGGCAGGTGGTAGAAGGAACTCCCACCCCCACCTTCACCCAGCTTTGTCTCCACCCACCCTCCCCCTTCACACCCCTGCTTCTCCTTCCCCTCCCCGACTGTCTTCTCCGGAACAATTCTGATTAGACTAAGTGACTAAGAGGTGGTTTCGGCCCGAACAGCCAATTAGGCCAGGAAGAAGAGAAAGTAGCTTCCCCAAGTCTTCCACCCCTACCCACCCACCCCCATCTGCCTTTTTCACCTAGACCAAGTATTCCTATCCCAAGACTACAGACTGTCAAGAAAGTTCCCTTGATTCTGCCCACTCCTTACTGCCCACTGTGCCCCGTTACCTGTGTCCAGACAGCCCCTAATCTACTGCTTAGTCCCCACCCTGAGCTCCTCCGTCCTCAGGGCCCGAATCCACTCACGTCTTCCTGGCAGGGTTGTAAGGAAAGGGTAGGGCTCTCCTTGGGAGGTTATCTTTCTAAGTCTCTTTATTTCTCTTTCTCCCTTCTCCCTCTCCCTCTCTCTCTCCTCTTCCTCTGGCACTTATTTCTAACATCCGTGGACCAGGCCTACTGGTTGCCATGGAGACGCACGGTGCAGCTGGATGGTGAGTGTGTGTGAGAGGAGCTGTGTGCGCTCTGCAGCAGGGGCGGGCGGCTGTGTGTGAAATGTATCCATGTTACAGGAAGCATTCTTTGAGGGGGAATCAGACAGGGATCCAGGCCGCCTCCTTGAAGTGAGACCCAGGCCAAGGGGGAAACTCTAAAAGGCCTAAGCCCCTAAACCCCTTGGTCATCTTCATCTGGGAAACATCCACCCCTTGGCCCCTGCAGGTCAGATACTAAATTCTGTTTCATCCAGGATCTGTAATGGCAGATTCTGGAGGGGCCCTAACCTGCCCCGCCTGCCCAAGAGGACTAGGAACCCCAGAACCCACTGGGAAAATAGCGGGCTGAGACCTGTCCTGAAACTGGGAGGGGGGTTGGGGGCAGCTATAGAACAGGTGGAAGATTAAGCTGGACAGATGGGCTGACTGATGAAGCCCACATCTCCCCAATATTACTCCAGGGGATGGGGTTGGAGGGGAAGGGGTTTGGCCCAGCAGGATGGAAACTCCCCTCCATTTTTTTCTTTTTTCTTGAGACCGAGATTCAATCTTGTTGCCCAGACAGGAGTGCAATGGTGTGATCTCGGCTCACCGCAACTTCCGCCTCCCAGGTTCAAGCGATTCTCCTGCCTCAGCCTCCCGAGTAGCTGGGATTACTGGCATGCGCCACCATGCTCGGCTAATTTTTTTGTTTGTTTGTTTGTTTGTTTTGAGACGGAGTCTCGCTCTGTCACCCAGGCTGGAGTGCAGTGGCGCAATCTCGGCTTACTGCAAGCTCCGCCTTCCGGGTTCACGCCATTCTCCTGCCTCAGCCTCCCGAGTAGCTGGGACCACAGGCGCCCGCCACCAAGCCTGGCTAATTTTTTTGTATTTTTAATAGAGACGGGGTTTCACCATGTTAGCCAGGATGGTCTTGATCTCCTGACCTCGTGATCCGCCCGCATCGGCCTCCCAAAGTGCTGGGATTACAGGCGTGAGCCACCGCACCCGGCTGTATTTTTTTTTTTAGTAGAGACGAGGTTTTTCCATGTTGATCAGGCTGGTCTCGAACTGCCCGCCTCAGCCTCCGAAAGTGCTGAGATTACAGGCGTGAGCCACCACACCCGGCCAACTCCCCTCCATTTCTACTCACTTTGCCCAGAAGGTTAGAAGAAAAGAAACCCAGGTAACTGCCCTGAGGAATCTTAGCATCTTAGAGTACTGTGGCTATGCTCTTTTCTCCCACTTCAGGGCCTTTGAAGGCAATTTCCCTGCAGTTTCCTTGTATCTGGAATGTTCTTTGCCAAGCTCTAAAACTTCAGGGTTATTTTTTTTTTTCTCTTTTTTGAGACAGGGTCTCACCTTGTTGCCCAGGCTGGAGTACACTGGCCAACCTTCAGGTTTCCTCAGGGAAGCTTCCCTGGCTGGGTAAAGCAGCCCCCTCCCCTCCCCCACCTCCAGTTATCCTCCTTCTTGTCCCACTGTTTGTTTCCTTCACAGCACTTTAACACAATCTATAATTATCTCATTTATTTGTTTATTGTCTGTCTTTTCCTCTAGAATGCAAGTTCCCAGAGAGAGAGAGTAGGCATCATGCCTGTCTTATTCAGCACCATAATGCTAGCACCTGAGACAGTGCCTGCCACTTAGTAGGTGTTAGACGTGTGATAAATAAAAAAGTGGACAAATTATCTCATTGAAGCCCCACAATAACCTTTGGTGATGGTAAGCACTATTATCCCCACCTTACAGAGGAAGAAACTGAGGCTCAGCCACCTACCCAAGGTCATGCCACTAGAAATAAGTACAGCCAAATTTCTAACGTAGGTCTCTCTGACTCCAAGTTTGATGGAAAGTGGGGACCATTCTTTTGTTTGTTTTCCGAGATGGAGTCTTGCTCTGCTGTCCAGGCTAGAGTGCAGTGGCACAATCTCGGCTCACTGCAACCTCTGCCTCCCGGGTTCAAATGATTCTCCTGCCTCAGCCTCCCAAGTAGCTGGGATTACAGGTGCGCACCACCGTGCCCAGCTAATTTTGATATTTTTAGTAGAGATGGGGTTTCCCCATGTTGGCCAGGCTGGTTTCGAACTCCTGACCTCGTGATCAGCCCACCTCGGCCTCCCAAAGTGCTGGGATTACAGGTGTGAGCCACCGCGACCAGCCAGGGACCATTCTTAACCAGCCTAAACTGCACCTGGTTCCTCTTCCTGTCTGCCTGTGTATCTCCACTCCCAACCCAGGCATCCCCAGAGAAACCTGGGGCAGGGAAGGGAGGAACACAGAATCTGGAAGAATGTAAATCTGACCTTTTCTTTTACAGGCTTAAAATCTGTAAATGGCTCCTCTCCAACCCCTCAATCCAAGCACTTTAAGTTGACCAGCAGGTCCTTAGTTCTGGCCCCTGCCTTCTTCTCCAACTTCTCCTGCCCTCCTGAGCCACCTCACCTCCTCCTCCACCTCCAGACCCTGGCACATACTCCTCCTCAGCCTGCAAGGCTGACCCCTTCCTCAGTAGCCTATCCCTCATTTGCCCTTTGAAACTCAGCTCTGGCACCACCCCTTCCAGAAAGCCTCTAGACTTTGGAGAGGACAGCGCCTTTAGGTCTCCTGCCAGAATTTCCGGCTCAAGGCAGGGCCGAACACAAGATGTGGTCATTGTTTACCTGTCTGCCTTTCCCACAGAGACTGTGTGTCATTCTTGGGGTCCAGTACCCTGTGCCGGTCTGGCACATGGGAGGGGCTCAGGAAATGTTTGTAGAATGAGTTAATCAACCAGTGACAGGATTCTGGTACCCAGTCGGCCACCACATCTCCTCCAACTTCCTTAACTCCAGACATCTTTTCCTGGGCTAGGCCTTAACAGAAGGAACTCCTCACCCTTCACTGTGGGGTCAAGTCAGGGGTGGAGACAATGCGGGCCCCTCCCCCGCTGATTCAGCGCCTCTCCTAATGAGGTGAGGCCTCAGGTTTAGGAAGGGTTGCCACACCCACTGGTAGGGGGAGGGTCTGTGATTCTGTAACTGGAGGATAGGTAGGGGGCTTCGGTTGTAGACTGAGTAGGGAGCTGACCTAAGCCGGTAGATTCAAGTACTGCCCGAGAGATCTCTGCCTTTCCGCCCCACACCCCAGTCACCCCGCGCCAGGCTCTCGGCGCGTCAGATCCCGGCCCTGCGTTCTTCATCTCCTGCCCCGCCACGCCCCCAACTGCAGATCCAACTCGGGTCTCTCCGAAAGCAGCAAGGAGCCTCGGGGTGGGCTCTATGCCCCGTGATGCTCCGCGTCTGGGAACGGATGAAGGGGTGCCAGCAACCCCCGCCGTCCCCGCTGTCGATCCGGGTTTACACGAGGCTCATCCGGGATTAGTCCCTGCGGTCGGCTAATCCCAGCGGCTGGACCGACCCCGGGGTCCGGAGCGAGGCCCACACAGTACCGGCCTAGGGAGCTAGGGCGCGGGTCGAGCAAAAGCGCGCGACGCTGGGCGGGTGTGGGGGTGGGGAGGGGCGGAGGAGGGAGCAACGCCCCGGGAGGCGGGGCCAGGAACCGGCTGATCCGGTCTCTGTTTTCCGACCTCTCCGGAGCGGGTGTTTACCCGGGAGCCGGACGGAGGAGGCCGGGGCCGGTCGAGCCCGGAAGGGGGGAGGGGAGCGCAGTCGGAGACCGAGGCTGAGACCTTTTCGGTTCCTTTCCCCTAAATCGACTTCCAACCCTCGTTCCTGAGCGTGGGAGAACGCGGCAGACAGACAGATGTCTCCCGCCCCTTATCCTATCCAGTTCCGCAATTCACACTCGTTGCCAAAGAGTGGGGAGCGGGAATGGATACACCCGGGAACGACTGCACGTCCTGCGGGCGCCCGGGGAAGAAGGCAGCGCAGCACAAAACCTCTCCTGCGGTCACCTCCCACCCCATCCTGCACCTGAGTTCTTGCGGGGAGGGGGTGCCCACAGCAGGTCGGGCCCAGAGGATCCGGCAGGGGTCACTTTGAGGTGTACGGACTAGGAGTCTATCCTCAGAACGCGTCAGCTCGACCCCATCCCCGATTAATACCAGTGCGGGTCTCAGTCTCTTGTCCCTCGCGTCCCCCAGCCCTCTCCAAGGCCTCCAGATTTAGCTCCCACTCTCCACGGGACGCAGGCCCGAGGACCCGGAAGAAGCTGAGTGGGGTCCGGTTTTCACACTTTTATTGTAAAGCTCGGGAATAATTACACGGGTCTTTCATTGACAGCTCAGCAAACAAACCGGAAACGAACCGAACCGGAGGGGGTAGGGGCGGTGCCTGCGCATGCTCGCGGCGGGGTGGGGGGGGGTGGGGGTGGGGGTGGGGGGGTCAGAGAAAGAGAAAGACAGAAAGAGACAGAAATCATTACAAATCAACGGGATTGTGCTCGCAGCGCCAGGGATGGGGTGGGGTGGGGCGGGGCGGGGGCCCTTCCCGGGAGGAGCGAGGCAGTGGGAAGTGGCACGAACCAAGAGAAACACGACCCCAATGTGGGCACCCGACGCGCCCAAAACCCCCCACCCCGACCCCCACCCCCCTACACACGAGAGAGACACGGCCCCCCTCCCCACTAGATAACCCGAGGAGACACAGTCTCCCCTCCCCATGGGCAGACACACCCGCCCGAAACCCCATGGGCGGGACACAGTCCCCCCTCCCAGAGAAGTCCCCAGTGGAGACGCCCCTTAAGAGACTTTCTCATGGCCAACACAAGCCCTCCCAACACCCGGAGACAGCCCCGACCCAGGGAAGAAATGGCTCCAGAGGCCCTACCCTCGGGAGAGAGAGGTATCCCAGGGCTCCTAGGAGAAAAGACAACTCAGAGATGCCCAGCCTCATCCTAAAGTGCTGCAGGGCAGAGAAACCCCCATAGGAGAGATGGGGGTAGGGCCAGAAACATCCCTTCCCAGACGTGTTTCAGAGATAGCCCCCTTCCCTGGGAAGAGAGATGGCCCGAAACTGACTTGCCTTAAGTACTCCCAGGAACCCTGGGAGGAAAACAGGCTCCCCAGAGAGCCTGGGTAATTGGGGGAGACATGCTCCCGTGGTCCTCAGCGGGAACACATGTCCCCCGGAGACTCCCAAGGGGAGAGATAGGGCCTAGAGAGACCCCAGAGGTGAGGGATGCCCAGAGAACTTCCCCCCACCCCGGAATGTGAAACATGCTTCAAGGACCCTAGGAGAGAAATATGTCCCCATATACCCTCCCCCTACGGAGAGACATGCCCTGAAGTAGGGGGATGGGGACCGACTAGGTCCCCTCTGGGAAGACACAGACTGGGTCAGGCTGGGTTTGAGGGGGGCTCTCCTCTGGCCAAATGTCGCCTATTGGTACATAAAACTGTACGCGACACAGGCATTGGGGAGGGGCTTCACAGACCTAGGACCCACAGGGATAGTCCCCAGTGCTGTCGCCAACCCCTGCCCACCTTTGGTTTCATCTCTCCAGTGCCCAGTTGGTGACAGACTCAGTGCCCTGGCCCCAACCAGGGGGCTGGGGGCTCTGTCTTTGCCTGTGGGAAGGGCTTCTCAGCTCTCCCAGCCATCTGGGCCACCCTCTTTCTTCTGGCTTCTCCATTGTGCAAAATGCTCCTCTGCTCTTCTGCTCAGTGCTCAGGGGTCTCTAAGACCAGGGCAAGGTACCCAGGCCACTAGGGGCTTCCAGTGGGAGTCCACTGACCCCAGGAATGCCGCCTGTCTGGACCACCTTCTCCACCAAGCAAATGGGCCTCATACAATCTTCTTGCCCGAATCCTGACCTCCAGGACCCAGGACAATCCTTGAGGCCACTGTTCCACCAGCTGGGCACCCAATACTACCAACTCCAAGACTATTGCACCTGCCCCATTTGTGCAGGGGAAAGGGGCTGTCTCTTTAACAAGCCCCAAGCCCATCTCCTGGGCCTCCCCAAGGGAAAGGAGCCTTTGGCCAACCCCTAGACCTGGCTGCTGCCACCCCATCCCATTCTACCCCTTCCCCTCTGTAGAAGGGCTTCGTATGCCAGGGCTACCAGCCTAACAATGCTCTCCTTCCTAGCACTGTCACCCCAAGCCAAGTTGGGGGTAAGGGGCAGATAAATAGGGTGATTCTTCAGGCCCCTGGCTTTTCCGGGGTGGGGGTGGGGTCTCTGGGGTACAAGAGTCAAGACCCCAGCAGCACAGCTCCCAAAGGCACCAGACGACCCCGCAGCCTGTACCCACCGCTCGCAATCTTGGACCACCTCCCCAAGCTTAGACTAAGTCAAGCAAGGGCCATACCCTGAGTCTCCAGCCTCCCAGCCTGGGCCCCTAGGGAGCTGGAGAGGTATGGGCCAAGGCAGTGGGGGTTTCTGGAAGGAAGAGGGGCTGAGGCTTTGAGATGGCCACAGTGGGAGACGGGGGCTCTGCAGGACGCCCCTTACACCCTGGCCCCCTGAGGTGAAGAAGAGAACTTCACCTCATCATGGCTGACTGGGCTTCTCTGCCCCCCAACCTCCCTACCCCCTCCCCCATGGGACCCCTGACCCTGACAAAGGGAAGCCCAACTGGAAGAAGGGGGCCTGGAGCCCAGGGTGCCCTGAGGCAGCCCTCCCACCCCCTGAGATCAAGGCAATGGTGGTTTTACAGGCTGACGGGTCAGTCATGGCAGGGGCTGGGGGTTGAGAGGGCAGGGAGGGGGCAGGATGCAGGCCCCCTATATCGGGAGCAGCACCCAGCCACCCCCTGAGCAAACCTTCCTGCTCCCAACTCACCCAACCAGGCCAGAGGCACAGTCATCCCACCCCTGTCCAGCTGCCCCCCACAGCCTCAGGGCCCCTCTGTGATGCTCATCTGGATGTGGGAGGCCAGCCTGAGCGGGGATCCCCCCAGGGCACAGCGCAACAGTTCCAAAAAAATAGAGATTTGTATTTTTAAGAAAAATTAAATAAAAGCCCAGCTCTGCTGATAGGCAAATGTTACCCCCGTCCCCACCCCCACCCACCCGTTGTTTCCCTGGCCTGCACCCCCATCCCACCATGGCCCCAGGGGTATTTACAACATGGAACAATAGAGGCCTGGGTTGGGGGGCACTGCGGCAGGGAGGAGGGGGCACAGGGCAGGTCCCCCCCCAGAGGGGTCCCCCAAGACAACACGACATCAACAAGAAAAGTTGCAAATCAGGCAGAAATGGGGACGTCATTCCAAGGTCCTTATATACAGACACTGCATGACCAGCAGGGAATGGGGGCCCAGATGGGACTAGGCGTGGGCATGTGGCAGGCAGGTGGGCCAGTCCAGGAGCAGCACGGGAAAACAAGGCCTCCGCTCCACTCCCACCCCCGTCCCTACCCCACCTTTGGTAACAAAAGCCCTTCAGGGAGCCACTGGTGGTCAAGAGTTTCCTCTGGGAGCTCCCAGGGAAAGGGGCTCCCCAGTTCAGCCCTGCTTCAGGGCTAAAATTGGGCATGCTATCCCCGCCCTGGTCGGCCATGAGGGAAACAATGAGTTAGAAGTACGCTGCCCACCCTTGACTCCACCATCTGCCCAAATCGAGGGGGTGCTCCCTGGAAGTCAAGGGAAGGAGCCCAGTCATTGCAGAGGAGCCCTCTTGGGCATCAGATGGGGGAAGCCCCATAAAGGGGAAGGGGCCCCTGGGGGCTGGGAGATGGAAATGAGGGGAGAGGACCTGGACCCTGCATGGGAGAAGGGCCAGCGTGGTCATGAGGTCAGTGATACCCCCACTTGGGGCCCTGGCCAGGAAGTCCACGCTGAAGGGGTGGAGAGTGAGGCCCTGGAATGGGCCATTTGGGAGCTGGCCGGCGGCTGGGGGAGGGGGGCCGGCCGGCCAGTAGGGGGCTCACAGGTAGATCTCGCGCTTGGCCGTCTGGGCAGATGCCGGTGTGGCTGCGGGTGGGAAGTCCGAGGTCTGGGTCAGGGGGATTTCCTCCAAGGTGGCCGAGTCCTTGCAGGAATCATGGCTACTGTGGGAGAAGGCACTGTAGGAGGGCAGGAGGCGCACGGGGGCCGTTTTGGTGTTCCGGTCTTCCGGGGGGCTGGGGCTGCCGGCGCCCGCAGGCTCCTGCCCTCCTCGGTCCTGGTAAGGCACGAAGGTGGAGAGTTTGAGGGCGCTGCTCTTGGTCCGGCGGCTGGGAGATGACTGGCCAGGCATCCAGCATGTGTCAGAGTGGCCAAACTCACTGCACTCCCGGGTACATGTGCCTGTCATGGCGACATCAGGCAAAGGGCGAAGGTCTGTAGGAGGGAGCGGGGAAGGACAATTGTCAGACATACAGCCTCTGCAAAGCTCTGCTTCATGGCCTCCCACTGGCATCTACACCCCACCTCAGGACAGGAGTATGCGCCCCTTCCTGACCGCTGAACTCACAGGCACACACACCCTCAAAGAGACACATGCCCTCCCACCATCGACCTACTGGCCTACTGTACACACGCACACGCACACACACATAATCTATCTTTTTTCTTTTTCTTTTTCTTTGTTTTGAGATGGAGTCTTGCTCTTGTCACCCAGGCTGGAGTGCAATGGCGCAATCTCGGCTTACTGCAACCTCCACCTCCCGGGTTCAAGCAATTCTTTTGCCTCAGCCTCCCGAGTAGCTGGGATTACAGGCGCCCACCACCATATCTGGTTAATTTTTGGATTTTTAGTAGAGATGGGGTTTCACCAGGTTGACCAGGCTGGTCTTGAACTCCTGACCTCAGGTGATCCACCCACCTTGACCTCCCAAAGTGTTGGGATTACAAGCATGAGCCACCGCACCCAGCCTTATCCTTTTTTTTTTCAAGACAGGGTCTCACTCCTGTCACCCAGGCTGGAGTGCAGTGGTGTGATCTTGGCTCACTGCAGCCTCAATTTCCCAGGCTCAGGCAATCCTCCCACCTCAGACTCCCAAATATCTGTGACTATAGGCATGCACTACCATGCCTGGCTAATTTTTTATATTTTTTTGTAGAGATGGGGTTTAAGCCATGTTGCCCAGGCTGGTCTTGAACTCCTGAGTTCAAGCAATCCGCCTGCCTCAGCCTCCCAGAGTGTTGGAATTACAGGCATGAGCCACCAAGCCCTAAATAGACACATTCCTTCCAGCGTCACCTACCCCCCAGTGCTCTTCTTACACACCCACCAAATCTGCCCTCAGACAGGTGCACAAACACACACTCATCTACACACTGCCTCATCTATCTCCAGACAGACTTAAATGTGCAAATCTATCCTCAGGTGGGGTTGAGGAAACCTCCATCCTCATTGAATTGATTGACACAATCAACTCTCTCTCTCTCTCCCTCTCACACACACAGATAGGCATGGATACACAAATCTACTACAGTGGGCACCTCTATCCTCAGATGAAATTGGGTACATTGCTTCCTTCAGAACCCCCTCAAGCTTCACATGCTCCCGGTGGTCCTGAACCCACCCTCCTCCTGCAAGACCTTGCTTTAAAGCCAGGGGGAAGGGACGAGCTTCTGTGTGGGGTATTCACATAGAGGCACACACTCACATCCACAAGCACGCTCATGCAGCCCCTCCCCACCTCACTCTGGCCCCTAAACCAGCCACCACCCCTGGCCTTGCCCCAGCTCCCTGCCCAGAACACCCACGGGAACAGGAGTTGGCTGCCTGACATCAGCAGTAGCCGGTGTAGTTGCTGGGCAGCGGGGGTCTCCATGGGAACGGCTGGGCCATGAGTACTTCCTGTCACAGCTGTCCCTGTCCTGCCCTTGCTCAGGGACAGCACCAGGCAGTGACCCCCCCCCACCCCCAAGGGACATGGCTAAGCAACACTGCCTGGGACAGGGGCTCCCCTGGCACCACCCACTATGGCTTGGCCTCCTGCCAGTGCCAGGTGAGGAGGGGACAGCTCTGTTGTTAACCCTCAAAGTGCCAAGGCTCTACAGCTCAGAGCAGAGTTGGGGGACGCAACATGGCTCAGAGCAGAGCATGGGCACTGGGTGGGTGAGGCTGGGTGCTGGGCAGAGTCCCACAGACCCCAGACCCCAGAGCAGTTCCCACATACCTGGCACTCTGCCTCAGGGCCTGCTCCGGCCAGCCGGCTCTGCGCGGGCACAAAAAGGATGAGACGGGCATGAGATCGCGCATGGAGGGGCGGGGTGGGGGTGGAGGGCACTCTGAGACCTAGGGCCTGGGAGGTTAGACAAGGGCCCGGGAGGTTAGACAAGGGCCCTGTGCCTGAGGCAGGGGAGTGAAACCTCCCATCTTTTGTGGAGCGAGGAGGCTTTGAGTTGAGGGAGTGGGTGGGACCCGAGGACAACTCCAACTTAGAGAGTCTTTCCATCTCAGGGGTTAGCTCGTTCACTCTCCCCCTCCACAGGCTGCCATGGACGACTTCACACATGCACACGCACTGCACACACACTGACGGCACACCTCACCATCCATTCCCATGCCGACCTCTGCGCTGGCTCACACCTCCTTTTTGCCATCACCCTCCAAATCCCTCCCAGACAGGCCTTTCTCTTCACCAGACCTCCTACCGCGCTCTTCCTCAAAGAGGTGCCAAACCTTCTCCCACTCCTCACCCCAGCATATCGTCACTCCATTCTCTGAGCCCCCTGTAGCATCCAGGGCCCAATCTCTATTCTCAAGGCCTTCCCAACCTTAGAGGACCACCACCCACCTTCTCAAGGTTTCCTCACCATTACGTGAGCTTTCTGGCCACCACACTCAGGGTCCCTGTTCCCAGGTGGCCGTGTAAACATGGTGCCGAATGCAACAGCTTTGGAGTCAGAGAAACCTGGGTTTGAATCCCTCCCAGGTCTGTCACGTTCTAGATGTATGACTTTGGGCAAGTGACTTAACCTCTCTAAGCCTCAGTTTCCTCCACTGTAAAGTGGGTGCCATAAAGTTCTCAAATCACAGAGTGGTTCTGGGGATTAAATGCGTGTATACCTGAAAGCCCTCAGCACGGTGATGATGACTGAGCACATAATAACTCAATACATAGATGATTTGTTTAAGGCCTTGTCACCATTCCCAGGCTTCCACTCATTCCTGGGGTGCCCTGACCATGGTGCTGCGCCTCACCATTCTCGGGGTGCTCCATCTCTCCTATGCTGCCATCAGGGGTGGTGCGCTCATAGTGATCCTCAGGCAGGGCCAGGGGACCGAGTCGAGGCCCTGAGGATGACTTGCTGGACGGCGTCTCAGACTCCTCCAGGCCACTGTCATAGTAACTGTGCTGGGATGGGTCCTGCAGCTCCTGGGCCTGGCTGGTGGCCGAGAAGGTGACGCGGCGGTGAGGTAACTGCAGGGAGACAGATTGTCACTACTGACCAGCCAGCTTGCCCACAGGGCCCACCACCATACCAGGCCCTAGTACAAGCCAAGCACCATCCTACTCAGGCTTCAACAGCAACCAAGAAGAGACCCAGGCCCCAGCACAGCACATTCCTCCCGAAAGCACAGGCCCCAGTGAAAGACAGCTCCTGAGTTCTAGGACCGCTCCTAGTACAGCCAAGTCCACATACTGGAAGTCCCAATACAGCGCAGGCCCCAGTGTTATTATAGCCCCTATGCTACCCCAATAACCCTCATCCAGTGCAACCGCTTGTTATAGCACAACCCTTCTAGTTCTAACCCAGCTTCCCAATATTGGCACAGCCTCCCTTTAATCCCAGAATGACCTGTAATACGGTGTAGAGCCCAATACCAGAGTAACATAATACCACCCGACTCCCCTAATTCCAGCTCAGCCTCTAAACACCAGCATAGCCTGCAGTTTCTAGAACAGCTTCCTAAAAGAAGCAGACTCCTAACTCCCAAACAGCTCACCAATACCACAACAGTTAGTTCCCTCATTTCCAAACAGCACCCTCCAAACTCCAGCTCCTCACCTGTCTCACTGCTCTTGCCACTGCCTCCTTCCAAATGAGGGAACAACCTTTCTTTTCTTATCCTGTGTTCCTCATCCCTGGTTTGTGATGTTGCAGCAGTCTGAAGACTCCCTGCTGTCGCCCCTCCCACTCAGCCCCCCATCCCCACTTCACTCCCCTCCAGAGAGGCCTGGGAGTGGAAAAAAAGGGAGGAGCCTGATAACAAACCAGGGCACCTGGGGGAAGGGGACAAAGCAGAACAATGGAAACTCCCCAGTCCTCCCGATCAGGAAATAGAATATTCACTGGAGAGGGTAGGGCTCTGCCAGGAGCCTGGACATGGGGAGAGGGCATGGCACCCATTAGGGATTAGGAAAGCTGGTCTCAAAGGGAGACTCCTTCCAGGAAATAGGAAGGAGCTTCTGGGAGGGCTGCTGGCATGAGGAGCCAGACTTGGAGGCTTGGACTGGGGACTGGGGGTCGGGGGAGTGGAACCGTGACAGGCTGCTCCCAGCCAGCAGCCCTGTATGCCTGCCACAGGTTAACGATCAGCCCTGGAACCTGGCAATCTCAACTTGGCACTTGGCACAACCAGCCAGCCACCCAAATACCCACTTGGGACTGCCACAGATTTTCCTGCCAACCAGAAATTAGGAGTTGTGGAGGGTGCAGACTCAGGGTCCCTGGAGGCCAGGGGTGAAAACAGCTAAGCCCAGGGCCCTGCTGATGAGTCTCTAAGCTCCTTCCCATCCTCCAAGACTTTGGCAGTGCTTTGTCTTACTCTATAACTCTGGATAGGAGGTTATGAAGATGGCCAGGGGAGGTGGCCCTGGCTTTGTAGACTTACCCTCCTAATAGCCCCATTCAAGGCAGCTAGGGTGGAAGAGGCTGTCAGGACAGGAGTTTTGGAGCTGCTGTGAAGGTAGCCCAGAACTGCCTCCCCACTATCCCCATTCCTGAAGATGGCTCCCACCTCATCTTCAGGAATAAGCGACCGTTCTTGGAATCCTTGTATTGATCTAAAACACTGAAGGGTCTGGGTGATGACTGATAAGGTCCCCAAAACTAACATGGATGTTTGGGGCCGGGAGGCTATAAAGGAGTGTAGTCCACCTGGTGTAGGGGTGATTAGGGTCCAGGAGGGGTCTGGGAGGCACAGGGCAACATGGTTGTTGGTGCTTCTCTTTCCAGTTTTCTTTCAAGATACTGGCCAGCAGTCCCACCTCCCTGCAGAACCCATATCTGGTAATTGAAGGCTTTGGTCCTGCCTACTAAGCAAGTCGCTTGGTCTCTTTTCCCATGATTCTTTTCCATAAAATGGAGGGTTGGGTTATACCCAACACTTAATGTTCCCTCTAATTTTATGACTATCAAATTATAAAAGCCCAGATCAAAAAATCTCTCTCAAACTCTTTGAGTCCTGAAGCTCTAGACACTTGCTGATTATTTCCAGTTGGCTCTGCCTACTGGCCCTTAAGATTCAACATGTCTGAAACCAAATGCTTCTTCAATTAGCTTCTGTATGGGCAATGATCTCATCACTATCCTATCACCCAGACTCAGAAGGCTGATGTCTACCTGAGAATCCTGGTAGCTCTCCCCTCATTCCCTATCCCTACCTCATATCCAATTATCCCTTGAATCCTGTGGGTCCTTTCTCCCTAACCTTTGCCAAATCCATCCATCCATCACCCCCATTGCCACCATCATAGTCCAACTCTTAGAGGTTCAGTCCTGTACCTTCATCTCTATGCCCTTTTAAGCCCACCATATATTCCAGTGCTCTTTCTAAAACTCAGTTCATCTAAAACACTCATGAGCTTTCAGGGACTAGTTCCTTCTGAAGAACTTTTGGTAAGGCACCTATGTCCTCTACAACCTACAGTTCTTCCAGTCTCATCTTTCAGCTTTCTCTTATGCCCCTCTTCTTGCCAGAATATTCCTTTTTCTGCCCTTTCCCTGCCTCCAACTTGGTTCACTTCTGCCGCAGGAGTTTGCTTACACGGTGACCCTGTGAGGAGGCAGGGGACCCTCCTGCCCTAATCCTGCTCATCATTGACAAGCTGACTTTCTCCTTCCAGAAGCCCATTTCCATGTCTTGTACAAGTTTTCCCATACTGTGCTCGTCAAAGGAAGGGAGGGGCAATATGGTGAAATAAATTCAGAAAACTCAAGAGGTAAACAAAATTGGGGCCAGGCACGGCAGCTCACACCTGTCATCCAAGCACTTTGGGAGGCTGAGGTGGGCAGATCGCTTGAGCCCAGGAGTTGAGACCAGCCTGGGCAACATGGCAAAACCCTGTCTCTACAGAAATTACAAAAATTAGCCAGGTGTGGTGGTGCACGACTGTAGTCCCAGCTACACAGGAGGATCGCTTGAGCCCAGGTGGCAGAGGTTGCAATGAGCCAAGATTGCGCCCCTGCACTCCAGCCTGGGTGACAGAGCAAGACCCTGTCTCAAAAAAAAAAAAAAAAAAGGTTAAACGAAGTCTAACAGGTTCCCCCTTTTTTGGAGGACTCTGCAGAGCCTTTAATAGGCTAATGTGATCATGAATTTCTTACTACCAAAACTAACTTCACCACAGAACGCCTTTTTTATAGCATAATAGGTAATAGGAGACCCGCCTGCTTTGTGTTTGAATTTGGCTGCATCACTATTTAGTTTTCACTTCTGCAAAATTAATATTAAAATGACCCATATCATAAAGAGTTATGAGCACTGATTGAACTAATTCACACAAAGTGCTTAGCATGGTACCTCACACCTAGTAAGGACTCAAAAAATGGAAGTGAGTGCCGGGCATGGTGGCTCATGCCTGTAATCCCAGCACTTTGGGAGGCCACGGCGGGCAGATCGCCTGAGGTCAGGAGCTCAAGACCAGCCTGACCAACATGGAGAAACCCTGTCTCTACTAAAAATACAAAATTAGCTGGGTGTGGTGGCACATGCCTGTAATCCCAGCTACTCAGGAGGCTGAGGCAGGAGAATTGCTTGAACCTGGGAGGCAGAGGTTGCAGTGAGCTGAGATCGTGCCATTGCACTCCAGCCTGGGCAACAAGAGCAAAACTCCATCTCAAAAAAAAAAAAAAAAAAAAAAAAGGAAGTGAGCAGTAGCAGTAGAAGTAGTTTCATGGAATAAGTTGGGAAAAGCTTTAGTAGGGCACTTCTCATTCGACTCAAGACACTCAATTGCCTCATCGTTCACTTGTCTGTCTTGTACAAGTATGGCCATTTTTTCATCAGGGTCTAGTACCATGCTGAGTACTCAGTGGAAACTTGGCCTGTGTGTGTTGATGATGACAACAGGTGGTGTGGTTTGGTTGTATCTGAATGTTGGGAGAAGACATTCAGTGTGGCTCCATGGATGGGTTAGGTTGGATTAGAGCTGAGTAAGAGACAATCCCTCAGATCATGGGAAAGAAAAAGAGATGAAGACGCTAAAGGAATAGGAGAAAGACGGAAGGAATGCCAGAAAGGACAGAAAAGGAAGAGAAAGAATGGGAGGTCAGGAGTTGCTGGAGATCACGATATGGTTAGATCTCACTTCCCCAGGCCCCACTCCTCCAAGGACCCAAGGAGTTTTTACTTTGGGGGCCCCCCAGGGCATTGGGGGAATTTGTGGATGGAATCAGAGGAGAGAGCTGGAGCCTTGGTCCTCTTGGGAGTGTCTCAAGCCTCTTTAGTCACCATGGAGATAGGTTGCCTCTGGCCTCAGAGACTCCCCCAGGGCCTGAGGCCCCTCAGCCACGATTTAGCCTTCCTCCAACTCAGGCACAACCAGAGACAGGGCAGACCCAGGAGAGCAAGAAGTGAGAGATGGAGAGAGAGAGAGTGCAAGCAAGCAACCCAGGGTGGCCAGAGCAAGGAGTGGAAAGTGGGGAGGGAGGTAGCATCACAGGCGGAAGGCAGAACTAGGAAGCCTCTGCTCATGAGCAGGGAACCCCCTAAGAGTGGGGGTGCAGGGCAGGTCAATGCAAAGAACTTAGGAATTCGCCATGTCTCCCCCAGGGCCCCGCTCCCTGCAGCTCAGGCTGGTGATCATGGTGGGGAGACACAGGGGAGGGCCAGCGAATTGCTGGGTGTTGCCTGTTGTTGGGATGAAGAGGCTGGGGAAGGGACTTGAGGGAAGGACTTGCCCTGGGGGAAGGTGGCTGGTGTAATCAAGAGGTTCTCTGCCTTCACCTAAGGCAGGAAGGAAGGCTGAATGCTACTCCCTACCAGGTGCTCCAGTCTGAGGTCTGTCAGAGGCAACTGTTTGAGCAGATTGGAAAAATCAAGCCTCAGATGGGGCAGGACTTGGGTATAGCTCCACCTGCCCTTTCTGGGTCATTCTTAGGAAGAAAGCCCTATAGACATGGGGCAAGGGGACACATTGCCAGACACCTCCATTTGAAGGCTGGTCAGAAGGCCACTTTCCCAGACGTGGATAGGGACATGGGGGTGGATGGCAAGATGGTAGGCTAAGATAGTGTGGGGTACAATGGGCAGGTCTAGGATGTGGCAAGAGGCAAAGAGAAGGGAAGGGGAAATTGAGGTAGGACCTGAGGACAAAGGGCTGCTTCCAGTCTCTCTCGCTGCTTCTCTCAGTTCCAGAAAATAAGAAACCAAAACTCCAAAAATAGAGAACTTTATTGTCAGGGTCAAGGGCATGTGGGACCCAGCCCCAGAAGCCTAGTGGTGAGGAAGAGGTTAATGCACAATACACACAGAAGGCACAATGGGAAGGTGCCCTCCCCTGGCAGACTCCCCACTCAGTTATCCACAGGACCCCAGGTCTCCCTGTTTCCCTCCTAGAGAAGCACCTAGGTCTGGTCTGACATAGAGACCTAGGTTTGGAGTAGACTTCTTACCCATTTCCCTCCCCACTTACGCTCACCTGCCTACCACCCCCAACCCATAAGGCCCAGTAGCTGGTCCAGGGTCCAGGGACTTGGCAAATCACAGGTCTCTCCCCAGTGGGGAGAGGGCAGGGAGGAGACCACAGAGCACACCCTCCCTTAATCTTCACTCAGCCTAATCCGTGTGCCCGGTGAGGCACTAAGGCCCCACCTCCCACTGCTGGCTCAGGCTGGCCCCCAACACGGGCAGGCACAGTAAACCTGCTCCATCACTCCCACACCTCGGTCCAGATGGCTCCGTGGTAGGGGTGGGGTAGGGGCTGGGGTGTGCTGAGCTGAAAGGGCTGGCCTACCTGCTTGCTGGGGTATTTGGGGGGGTTGGTGCGGTAGCTGTAGTCGGAGTACTGCTCAGAGCCCGTGGACGTGGTGTCCCCGGTGCCCACGAATGTGTTTGCAGGTGGCAGGTCCTGTACCACCTGGTGCTTCTTGGAGGCTGAGGGTGACTGGGGCTGCAGCTGGATGGAAGGCAGTGGGGAGTTAGAGCGATAGTGGCGGCCCAGGTCAGGGCTGCCTGGTGGGTAGTTGAGGGGCAGGTGGATGCGGGGACTGTCCCCAGGGGCATCGCTCATCAGGTTGAACTTGAGGGACTTCTGCAGCCCGGCCTCATCCTCGTCCTCCACTGGCTTCACGGGCTTTGGGGACTTGCTCTTCTTGCCTTTGCTTTTGTTTCCCTTGGAGGCCTTGCCACTGGGCTTGGGGGCATACAGGTCCTTGGTCTCCTTCTTACCAGCCTGGTAACCACTTTTGGCCTCCCGCTGTCTGCAGTAGCGCACAAGAACCGCCAGGGCGATGAGCAAGGCCACGGCCACCACACCAGCCACCACACCAAAGAGAATGTTGCCACGCTGCTTGGAGCGCTCATATTCTGGATCCCCAGCAATGTCAATATCCAGCGGCGTGTCCAGGCTGTGGCCCAGGAGGGTCTCCAGCAGCGTGCGGTTGGCCAGAGTCTCATTGACATAAAGATGGACCAAGGCTGTGCCATAGCGTGGGGGCTTGCCGCGGTCACTGACCTTCACCACCAGGCGGTGTAGCCCATGGTGGCGCCGCTCAATCTCCTTCTCCAGGGTGATGGCACCTGAATGTGACCCAATCTGGAAGAGTCCATAAGGGTTGCCACCTGCAATGCTGTAGATCAGCTCAGCATTGACACCAGAGTCAAAGTCCTCGGCTGCCACCTGGCTGACCGTCTCACCAAGACGTGTCTGGGGGGTCAGCAGCTTGTGAGAGGTGTTAGAAGGGGCAGTGATATAGGGTGCGTTGTCATTCTCGTCCAGCACATTGATGGTGACACCAACGTAAGCTGAGCGAGGTGGGACGCCACCATCCACTGCCTTCAGCTGGAAGGTGTAGGTGCTTTGTTGCTCTCGATCAAAGCTCAGGCTGGATAGGATGGTGCCTGTGCCATTCTGGATAACAAAGTCACCGTTGTCCTGCTCCACTGAGAGCTGCACCTGGGCATTCTCCCCCTTGTCTCCATCAATGACAGTCACCATGCCCACTGGACTCAGTGCTGGCATGTTCTCCATCACTGAGAAGTTGTAGCCACTCAGCATAAATTTGGGGTCATTGTCATTGCAGTCCAGCACATTGACAAGGACAGTGGCTGTGCCCTGGAGGCTAGGACTGCCCCGGTCAGCTGCCACCACCTTCAACTCATAGCTCTCCCGCTGTTCCCGATCCAGAGATGTCTTCACCTGGATCTCTCCAGTCTCGGGTGAGATGGTGAAGAGGCCCTTAGCAGCCGGCTCAGGCTCCAGAGAGTAAACCAGCTCAGCATTAGAGCCAGAGTCAGCATCACTGGCAGTGATCTCAGCAATCACTTCACCAGGCTTGTTGTTTTCCGGGAAGGCGACCTCAGTGACACTCTGAGTGAAGACAGGTGCGTTGTCATTGACGTCCACCACCTGCACCTTGAGGGAGTTAGTGCTGGAGAGTGGGGGGTTGCCAGAGTCCACAGCCACAATCTCAATGGTGTAGTCTTTGACCTTCTCGTAGTCTAGCGGGGTGGTAGTCTGCAGGAAATACTTCTTCTTGCTGTCACTGCCTGTCTCACTGGCCTGGCGCAGCTGGAAGGGCACATCACCTGCCACCACACAGGTGACAGCTGCATTCTCTCCCTCATCTCGGTCAGACACCTGCACCAGGGCCACAGCTGTCTCCTCTGCCACATCCTCTGAGATGTTAGCCATCCCATCTTGATGAGTCACTAGCCCTATGCCCCGGATCTCAATGGTGGGGGCATTGTCATTCATGTCCTTCACGGTCACAACCACCTGGGCACGGGCACTCTTGGGGTTGGTGCCTCGGTCCTTAGCAAGCACTGAGAAGCGCAGGGTGCTTAGGTCCTCACGGTCCACCGGGCCCTGAACAGTGATAAGTCCAGTGTTCCTGTCCAGTCGAAGAAGACGCCTCACAACTTCGGGCGCCTGGTGGAATGTGTATTCGATTTCTGCATTGGCACCTTGGTCTGAGTCATTGGCCTTCACCTATAGGGCAGGAGAGAAAAACAAGGAGAACAGAGATGGTTTAGATCAGGGATAGCAAATAAAGGGGCACACATGCTGCCAATGTCCTTTCCAACAAGCATGGCAGACACAGCCAATCCAACATCGCTCCCTTTCCAGAAGCCATGTGTGTCCTGCCTTTTCCCAATTCGGACATTCTGGCAGGCATTACTAACCTATTTTCCTGAAGAGCCCAGATGCAGCCTGCAAATCCTCAACAGTGCTACAGGCAACTATTGGAGATGGGACAGGGCAGAATTAAACCTCACTTGTCATTGCTGTATGGGTCCACAAAAATACCAGGAGAGGATGAGGATCCAATAGAACTAGGGAAGCCATTTCACCAATGAACCCTGCCTGAACCCTCCTGAAGAGATGGAGAGGTGCGAGTAGTAGAGGCGGTGTGTGTGCCCGTGTGAATGTGCACTACATGCACGCACGCATGCACATATGTATGTGTATGATTGTGTCAGAATGTGTGATTAAATGTGATATGTTTGTGTGAGAAGGTATATGTGTTTGTATGTGTATGATTGTGTCAGAATGTGTGATTATGTGTGATTTTTGTGTGAGAAGGTATATGTGTTTGTGCATATGTGTGTTTGCACACATGAGTAAAGACTCACATGCCCATCTGAAGGCCCCAGGTTGGGGGATTTCTTTTGAAAGAAGTCAGGTAGGGTTGTGGGTCAGAGAAGCCCTCCAGGCCGGGCCCCAGCCACCGCTCTGTCAAACCGGGGAAACCTGTTTCAGCAGCAACTTCTCCTCCCGACTGGCACCGGCTGGCGAGGCACCAATGCGAGGAATCCGGCCTGAGCCTGCAGCCAGGAGGGAGGGGTTGATGCAGGCCACAGAGCCTGCTGGCAGTGGGCTGGGCTCCCAGCATCAAACAATGAACTGTCTGTCCCTCTGCAGTCAGCGGGCACACCCTCCCACGCCAACTCCAACGCGCACTCGACTCAACTCTATACAAACATGGTTGGTAATGGGGAAGAGGACCCAGGTGGGAATGGCCATGGGGTACTACTGGGCAGGGAGAAACATGAGGGCTGGAGTTAGGTCACAGCCAGACAGAATGTGACTGCTGTGGGGAGTGAGGGGAGAATAAGCATAACTTGGCAGAGTCTCTGGGGTAACAAAACAGAAGAGTCCTGGGTTCAAATCCCAGTTATACCACTTCCCAAGTAACTATGTGACCTTGGGCCAATTATTTAACCTCCCTAAGCCTCAGTCTATGAATGTGTGAAATGGGGATAATAATGTAACCTATTTCACAGAACTGTGGTGAGCATCAAATGGGATAATACAGGTAAAAATGCCTGACATTGCCCGGCACAGGGAAAGTGCTCCCTAAAGAGCATGTATTTCTTTTTGTCTGTCCAACCATCTACCCTCCTACCCGCCTGCCTCTGAAAAATCAGTGCTAATGCAGTAGTGGGCACTGCACCTAGTGAGCCCTCAAGCCACTGCCAGTCCTCTCCTCCTTGGGAATGGGAACTCCAGCTATCCCCGCCTGGGCTTTTCCTACAGTGAAGACTCCTGGGCAATGGTTCCCCAGGTACCCTGGTCTCTGCTCACATCTCTGAGTGCCAAACCCTAACAGTTTCTCCTCCCCTCACCCCAGTCTACCTGTCATCAACTTTATGATGAGGATCCCCAGTCTCCCTTGGCTCTAGATTGGTCTTCCAGCTTATCTGTCTCTTGTCTTACCTCTCTTTGTCTCTGTGACTCTTGGCTTCTGTCTCCTTTCTATCCTTGCTCAGTTCTGATTCTTCCCCTTTCCCACAGCCTGTTTTCTTCCATCCTCTCTTTTCAGCCCTGCTGACCTCTCTGCTTACTCTCTGCCCTACTCTCCCGCTTCACCTCACTGGGAGGTGGTAAAGCTCTTACACACCTAGGCTCTGAAGCCAGACTCTTGGCTGCGGCAAAGGTGGACTCTGAACTCATTAGCTGTAGGATATCAGGCGAGTTTTCTAATCTGTTTGGGCCCGGTTTCTCATCTGCAAAATGGGGATAATACTTACCTTGTACTGTAAGGATTAAATGATATAATACACATCATGTGTTTAGAACGGTGCCTGGCACCTAGGCTATTATTATTTGCTATCCCCGACTGTCTGTCTCCCTTTTCTTTCTCAGTCTCTTTTCCAGGTCCCAGTCCACCAGGCTCTAAAAAAAAAAAAAAAGGCTGAAACTCCCACCCATCTCCCACTTTGGCTTGAGGACCCAGGACTAAGGGTTTTCCAGGATGGGTAATGGTGTCCAGGGCAGGCCGAGCCTCCTCAGCTCCCTCACATCAAAGAGAGAGGCATCTTCAGCCCATGGGGAAGGGGAAAGGAGCTGGGGCTGGCAGGAGGCCAGAGCTGAGATGACAGCGGGAGATACACCCACCTGTCTGCAGAGACGCTTTCTTTGCTCCCTCCCAGTCCCCAGCCCCACCAAGCTGCCTAGCGCCTGGGGCAGTTCCCATGGAGAGGGGTGCTGAGAACTTCAACAGAGGAAATTGACCCCCCACTGAACCCCACTGTACCAAGCACCCCACATCTATGGGCACCCCATGCCTAGGGGAGGAGGCATGTATACAGACACCCTAGTATGTTTTTTCAGAACTCTGAGGGTCCCACCTGGCTAAAATGATCTCATCTGACTTTGTCAGGAAGAGGCAAAATGAGGCTATATCCTCCAGCTTCAGGAAAACCTCATCTGGCTAAAGAGAAACTATCCCTGGTTGGGAAGATACTCTCATCTCAGGAGAGATTCTACCTGGATAAACGGTGATTCCTTTGTTCCAACTCAGCTCACCTGGCTAGCAGAGAAGGATCTACTTGACTAGGGCGGGAGTTTTACTTCTCAGAGGTTCCCCCAGCTTGAGTCTGCCTTAGGGGTCACGGGAAACTGTTCATATGCTATTTCACTGTCACCTAAGTAGCCTGATAGAGGAAAGTAATATCACCTGCTGGGGTGGGGTGGGAAAGACTCCCCTGGCTGAGTTTGGGGAGAAGGGGTCTCACTACAGTATTCTGGCAGTTTTTCCCCTAAGTGAAGGGAACTCTCACCTGGTTGGGTGGGCTCCCATTTCTAGTGGTGGGTCACCCTGACAGTTATACGGAGGGGGCCTCTCACCTGGATGACCGAGTGGCCTATGGGGCTATTCTCAGATAGTTCGGCCTCATAGGAGGGCCGCTCAAACTTGGGGGCGTTGTCATTGGTGTCAAGCACGGTGACACGCAGCAGGGCACTGCTGGCGCGTGGGGGGCTGCCGCCATCCTGCACCTTGATGGTGAGGTCATAGGAGTCCCAGCGCTCACGGTCCAGGTTGCCCATCACAATGAGCTGTGGTTGCTTCTCCTCCTGGTCCTCTGCCACCTGCAGCCCAAATAGCTCCTGGGCCTCAGGCCCAGCCTGCAGCTCATAGGATGCCACACCGTTGGGACCAGCATCACGGTCTGAAGCCAGCGGGATGGGGAAGAGTGAGCCGATGTTGGTGTTCTCAGGGATGGCCAGAGTGATGACTGGTGAGGCGAAGTTGGGTGTGTTGTCATTGATGTCTTGTACTTCTATCTGGCCCTCTAGCAGCCGGGGGCTGCCATTCTGCACGAGGTCTGTGATAGATACCTCAAACTCCAGGATGCAGGGATCACCAGGGAGCTGGTTCTGGCATTCACGGAGCCCCTCACGGTCGATGGAGGTCTCGGTGGTGAAAATGTCACCTGTCTTGCCATCCACGCGAAGGTACGGGGCACCCACCTCTAGCTTGTACAGGTGCCCCACATCTGGAAAACCATAGTCGGCTGCGAGGCTCCCAATGAGGGTGTTGGGTGGCTGTTCCTCCGGCACCTTGTACACTACCCGAGTGGCGTGGCCTGGGGATGGAGCCAGCAGGAGCAGCAGTGCTAGCAGCATGGAGGGCAGCAGTAGCCGTTGCCCCCCAGGGCCTGGGCTGTGCCTCAGGTGCTCCATCCTGGGAGGCCCCAGAATCAGGAGGGCTGCAAGGGGAAGAGGCAAAACAGAGGCCATGAGCTGGGAAGAAAAGCCTGGCCCTGAGCTGCCCAGAGCTGGCCCCATACTCACCCTCTCCCACTGACACACGATTCTCCACAAGAGCAGTCAGTCCCAGCACAGAACCCCGATTCCAGAAACTCAGATCCCTGAATCTCATCCACAGCTGGGTGTAGCAGCAGTGTCTGCCCCAGCTGGAGGAGCCAGTAAGAGGCCTGGCATGCCTAGAGCAGCTCCCGCCCATGGAACACCCTCACCCACCTGACGCTCCCTGGGCCCAAGCCCGGCTGCCCGCCCTCTTTCCTTCTTTTCCTCCTTGCTCTCTGCTCTGTGCTTCACCCAACACCTCCTTCTCACGAGCATCCTGCCTTAGTCACCGATGGTAATTACCTTGATACTGAGATAGGGAGAGAGAGCCAGTGGAAGGGTGAGACCTCGAGCATCCCCAACTGGAGCACCCCTCCCCACATGCATGGTAGGAAAGAGACACAAGTACGTCCTTACACACCCCAGACCCTGGGACCTTGACTTGTCACACTGGGCTCCATTAAGGTTGGCTGGAGGGAGAGGGGATGATGTCTCATTTCTCTTTGTTCTGAGATGCCAAGTCAGTGCATATGCATGAGGTATGACATCTCAAATCCTCTTTTTCTGACAATCACCCACGGTGCCCAGTATTCTCCACCCCCATAAAAGGCCAGCTTGAATTGGGCAAGGCTTGTGAAAATGGTTAGGGTTGAGGAGTAGGTGTTAGCCTTCCCGACTTTCCCCCAACACATATGCCCCAGAACGTGCACACAGGCCACAGAGCGTGCACACATGCCCCAGAGCATGCACACATGCCCCAGAGCATGCACACAGGAACATGCACAGTTGCTAGGGCTCCTCTCCTCTCCCTCCTGCTGCCATGGGCAGGTGCGTACAAGGGAACACAGGTCAAGATTGGGGTCAGAACTGTGGTCAGGGCTGACTAGCCCTGGAATTGGCATTGGGAGCTGCCCTGGCCTGTCCTTAGCAACAGGGAGCCCAGCAGGTCTAACTGGGACAGAGCTGCCGATGATAATGACACCAGCAGCCTTTCCCTGGCCACTCCCCCACCCCACACCCTCTGGTCTCTGGATGAACATCTGGCTCTTATTTGACATCCATCTCCGTATATCCAGCCCCTACTTCACACTTGCCTCTCCCAACCTCTGCCCTAGTCAACCACAAGCTGTACCCCATCACAACAATAACCCCCTTCTTCTGCCCATCTCCCCTGGCTTTGAGGTCGTGCATTTGCAGATCCCAGCTAGACCCAGCTACTGTCTCTGTCTTGAATGCCCCCTCCTCTCCAACAAAATCATGGCCAGTCCCTCCTTTATTCAAATCCAAAATCTTTGGATCAGCAGTTTCTTTGGAGGCTTCTGGTTCAGTCTCCTTTCCCCACTTCCTCACTTTTACCTGGAATACCTTCCCCACACCTGGAACACCCACCCCACATCAATCCCACTGAGGGCAGGCTCTGGCCCTCCAGGAAACCTTCACAGTCCTCTCCTGCCCACGGTGACCTCTCCTTCCTCCAACTCACAGCCACTTATTGTCTGCTCCAATCCCAAGGCAATGAATCATGGGGCTGACTGGGACACCGCCCGCCTGTGTTGTTCAGCTTCAGTATTGTGCACCTATTCCTGAGTTCTCTGCCTTTCCAGGCAAACACAAAGCACTACGAAGGAAGGGACAGTACTCTGTACACTCACTCATCCCCTGCCCCCTAACAATGCACCTTTGCACATCTGGGTACACTGTAGGGACTCAGTCATGCATTCAACAAATGTTTATTGGGCATTTACAATATGCCAGGCTCTGTCCTGGGCACTGGGATGCAGAAGTAAACAAGACTGGTCCAATCTGCCATGACAGTGCTTCTAACTCAATGACTATTTGTCCATTTTGTTTGGTTGCTTCTGTATACCATTTGGCGAATGTAAGGCAGCAGGGTGGAGAAGAGCGAGGGTTGTGGCATTAGACAGTCTGAGGCAAACCCAGCTGCTCACTTCCTGGCTGCATGACCTGAAGCAAAGATTTAGTGCCTCAGTTTCCTTACCTGTAAAATGGGGATAATACTACCTATTTCCTAGGGTGTTTGAGATACTGTGGGCTAAATGTGGGTACTCAACAAAGGACTCCTTCAAAGCATTTAGCACAATTGTAGTTGTGTACCTGTTTGGAAAATGTGTTAATTGTCTGTCTTTGCTCCAAGATGGTGAGCAGAAAGCAGGAGAGTTTCTACTTTGTTTGCTCCTACCTCCTCAGGGCTTAGCCCTGGACCTGGCACACAGTGGGCACTTGGCAGCTCTTGAATGACTGTTGTTATTTTGCTCTCTAGGCTTAGCCTTTCCTGGTACTTGCTGTGTGACCACTGCTCTTTTACTTGCTCACTTACCCGATTCCCCTACACCACTAAGAACTTCCTGGGGTAAAATGTAAGTCTTCTCTGTTTAGGGCACATAGTAGACTCTCAGCAAATGTTCACTGAATGCACAGAGTCTTTAGATAAATCAAACACATCCCCTCCTCTGTATGGCCTTCCCCAAGCACAGGCCCCTCCCTAAAGTGTGTGCGGCGTTATCAGATTGGTGTGAATGTTAATCTCTTTAAAGGAAGCAGGAATTTATCTGTACTCCATTTGGATCCACCCCCCACCCCCCCCCTCCACCTGCATGGACCTGGCACAAGGCTCATCTGACTACTTCAACCCCAACCCAAACACATCGTCAAAGGACCATCACCAGAGAACCTCATTTTCTTATGGGACTGTATCCTGCTGCCACCCTCCTCTGCATATACAATGTGGTATCACTGTGCACCCTAATTCTCTACAAAAGTCTTGGCAGGTGAGGCGTTATGTGGGAAGCCCACGGGAATTACCCTAAACCTGACCAAGAGAATAAATAAGGCAGTCACTGTTTGCCTCTGTTCTCTCCAGATCGAGGATACTTAAGATAGTTAATCTTCTGTGGTCACATCCTCCTTCAAGAATTTTATAAAACCATGGTACAGATTTTTCCAGGAAAAATGACTGTTCACAAATTTTAGCCGCTAATTCAGGGGGCCATGATCTGGCAGTCAGGGCGAATGATGTGTGGCCACTCCAAGAGCTACGAATTAAGCCCCTGCCTCAGGCTTCCTCCATCTCACAGTCACAACCTGAGGCCCTATAACCTTTCAAACCTCCTAGGCAGAACAGGCACACATGCTTGTGAGACTACCTCCGCTCCCCACACGCTCTTTCTCACCCTGAGGAGTTGTCTTACCTTCAACCAGCAAAAGAACCAATTAAGGACTGTGGTATCTAACCTCTGAATTGGAAAGAGAAGGAGAACCACAGGATAATATCCAGCTCAAGGAAGGTATGGGATGGCGGGGCTGGGGAAAGGTCCCAGAAAGTAGGAGGAATGTGGGGAAAACAGGGTTGGGGGAGAGTTGCTCACAGTGGGGAAAGGAGTTGAAGAGGGCTTAGGCCTTTCAAGCATCTGGAGAGTTTCTTCAAAATGAGGATTATCTGGCCCCACCCTTAGGAATCTTTATTCAGGAGGTGGGACCTAGAGAAACCCCCAAGCAATTGTGATGCAATGGTCGGACCATCTGGGTACAACTTTGAGATAATTCCAGGGAGTTAAGAAAGAGCCTGAGGTCCTGCAAACTCTTTTTTTTTTTTGAGACAGAGTCTCACTCCGTTGCCAGGCTGGAGTGCAGTGGTGCGATCTGGCCTCACTGCAACCTCCACCTTTCGGGTTCAAGCAATTCCCCTGCCTCAGCCTCCCAAGTAGCTGGGACTACAGGCACGTGCCACCACGCCCGGCTAAATTTTTTTTTTTTTTTTTTTGTATTTTAGTAGAGACGGGGTTTCACCGTGTTGGCCACAATGGTCTCGATCTCCTGACCTCATGATCTGCCCGCCTCGGCCTCCCAAAGTGCTAGGATTACAGGCGTGAGCCACCGCGCCTGGCCCGGTCCTGCAAACGTTTTTTTTTTCTTGAGACGGAGTCTTGCTCTGTTGCCCAGGCTGGAGTGCAGGGGCGCGATCCCGGCTCACTGCAAGCTCCGCCTGCCAGGTTCACGCCATTCTCCTGCCTCAGCCTCCCGAGTAGCTGGGACTACAGGCGCCCGCCACCATGCCCAGCTAATTTTTTTTTTTTTTTTTTGTATTTTTAGTAGAGACGGGGTTTCACCGTGTTAGCCAGGATGGTCTTGATCTCCTGACCTCGTGATCCTCCTGCGTCAGCCTCCCAAAGTGCTGGGATTACAGGCGTGAGCCACTGCGCCCAGCCCCTGCAAACTTTTATCATCACCTTTGCCATCATAATCACTCATCATCATCATCATCTCAGCAAACACTAAGATTTTATCAGTACTAAGCATTTTACACACATGATCTCTTTCCTCCCAACCCTCTCAAATGGGTAGTATTTATTATTACACTCCTTCCCATACTACAGATGATCAAATGGGGGCTGAGAAAGAATAAACTGTCTTAAGTCACAGAAGTAGTATGTGGAAGAACCAGGACTTGAGAAACAAGAATGCCTCTTCACATCCCAGAGTCTGGGGGAAAGAAACAGAAATATCTGAGGCTAGAATCTGATTCCTGTTATGTCACACCCGCCTCCCCACCATTCCTGGACTGCCAACCTTGCCCCGTAAGGAGGGAATAAGAAACAGTGGGCCTAAGGGTCAAGGAATGAACCAGCCCAGGCTTCCTAGGCTGCTGCTGTTCACCCAGGGGCCCGTAGAAATGCAGGAAGAGAGCCAGGGTGGCCTGGAAGGGCAGGAGCAGCAATAAGGAGGCCTTCCCTCACCCGTGTTCCCACCATCTCTGAACTTTGTCCCCAGCAGTTGGGCACTGGGAGTCATTAATCCCACACAGCAGCCTTTGATACATGCAGCGCCTTATCTGCCCTTCCCCGGGCCCTGGCTGCCTTCCTGGGCAACGGTGCCCTACCTCCCCCCAGTGACATGGGCACCCAGGACCCTGAGAAGCCAGAGCCTGAGGGGGAACAGGCGCAGGGACCCATGTCCCTCAGATAGAGGAGCAGAAGTGCCGTCAGGGGTGTAGGAGTAAGGGATAAGGAGGGGACGGAGTCCCAGAAAAGCTGAAGGAAATACTGTCTGTGTCAACATCTGGGAAGGGATGAGAACAGAGGTGAGAGTTCACCCGGAAACTTCACTTCCAGCCCACCCCGGGGACCAAGGTCCATTTTGCTGAGTGCTGTGGCCAGAGAAAAAACACACAGAGGCAGCCACCACTGTCCCAGTAGCCAGGTCAGCTCTGACTCCCCACCCTCACCCCAGCACTGTTACACAACGGTCACTGCCGCGGGCACAAAACACCAAGGGACAAACGGACTGTCGCGGGGAGAGGGGAAGAAAATGGGGTTGCGTGGGGTGGAGCTGAACAGAAGCCTCCCACAGAGAGCAAGTGTGCAGACCTCAGCTCCTCTCCCCTCTCTCCCACAACCCTCTATTAGCCTCTGCAGGGCTTCTGGGCACCTGCATGTCAGATCGTTGGGGTTAGAACCCTCGCTCCACCACTTCCTAGCTGTGTGACATTAACCAAGTGAATTTACTTTTCTGAACCTGTTTCCATACTGTGAAATGGAAATAATGAAACCTGCCTCTTGAAATTATTTGGGAGAATTAAATGAGATCTCATGCCTATAAGGTCTATTACATTAAGGTCTATTTACATTACATGTAAAGGACAAATCATTTTTTTTTCTAAGTCTTCTAATTGCTGAATAGACCATTTTATTTCCAGCATCGGGCACACAGTGGGTGCTCCTTGGTTCGATGAATAAACAAGCCAATCCCCTCGCTGGTTGGTAAGTCCTATGAAGGCAATGATGGTATGTCTCTTACTACTGCATCCTCACCACCCACCATGGACCCTGGCAGATAAAAGGTGCTCAATACATTGTTGAACAGAATCTCTGCACCAACTATCCTTGCTCACGGCAGGGGCAGCCCTCACCTTCTTCTTTCCCTACACCCCTCCCCGAACCCTGATTCCCACTTAGCTCCTCCCCCACCCTCGCGGCCCCCTCCTGGCCCTTCAACCCCCTTCTCAGCAATTAGCTTACTATCGCTTGCCCAGCTCCCCTGCAGAAGTAGCCACAGCAGCAGCCCCTCTGCTAAGAAGATGGCAGACCAGCAAGACACCCACTTCCAGCTGAAGTCCCTTTTGGAATTGGGAATTGGAGGTGGGTAGGAGAAGGGGTAAAAACTAAATGCGGCCAGAACTGAATCCAGACTTGCCTCCCTATCACACTGCCTCTGGCTACCTCTGGGGGCCAGTCTGCCTCTCCCCTCGATTCCACCCCATGCCCTAGTCTAGTTGTAATTACAGGTTCCAATTCCCCCAGACCTTAACGTCAATAAAGTAACACCCACCTACTCCCGCGCCCCCCACCCCCTACAAACACAGCTAGACCTCCGGCTTGTCATAAAAACTTTCTGGGCGGCCCCTTCCCTGGCAGCTCCCGAGGGTTGACCCAGAGCAGGTGCTAGAAGCCTCGCGGCGTCTTCCTGCACGAAGCGACCCAAGCAGCCCCAGTCCGCACCGCCTTGGTCAGCGGGCGCTCCCAGCACACACCCAGCGCGCGGAGCGACTCCTCCCAGAGGACGCCGAGTGTGTGTGTGTGTTGCGGAGATTAGGGGGTGGCGGGGGGGACGGCGGCAGTTTCTTGGGCTCTGGCGGCCCCACCCCCACCCCGGCAGCGCCCAGCCTCCAGGAACCCAAGGCAAGGCTAGGGCGCGGCGTGGTGAGAACGCGCTTCGGCTAGTGGGGGGAGCCCTTGCGCCCCCCGCACCCAGGCCACCGCGGGGAATCCCTCCTCCCCGGCATCTCCGGCCTCGGCCTAGGGTCCCCCGCAAGCCGGAGCCGGCGCGAGCGGCGCAGCGGGCGCCAGGAGGGGGCGGGGAGGGAGCCGGCGCCGGAATCACAAAGCCGCGAACCCGGCTAGGCGGGGACATTCTCATAAAACCGACCCTCTCGTGGCGAGCAGAGGGGGTTTTTTGCCCTACGCTCAATCCTCCAAGGCCTCAGTGCCGCCCCCAGTCTTTCCTGGCAGAAGAAATAGTAGCCGACCACTGTTGGGGAAACTGAGGCCAGAATTCTGACTTACAGAGGGTAGCTGGGGGGAAGGGGTGCGAGACCACCTCGCCTACAAATTCTGCTCCTATGCCTGCCGCGATCTCCGTTCTGGCTCCAGGGCCTGCCCGCGCACACACTGGCCTACAGCGGGGACCAGGCGGAGGGGGCGCTCAGGTGTGAGACGAACCCAGGTGTGCGGGACCCACCAAGGTGTGTGGGACCCAGGTGTGCTGGAGACCCAGGTGGCTCAGAAAACTCAGCTAAATGGCTGGAAGAGGGTCGCAATCACCGTCCCAGGCTAGCACCCTCTACAAAGGAACCTGGGGCCCCAGAGCTCCGGGGAGGCGGGATGGCTTGGCCAGCCAGGTCCAGCTTGTTCCCGGAACACCAGCCGGTTCGGCCCGGGAGTGGGGGTTGGGGAGGCGCCGACTGGGAAGCCGGCAGGCCGGCCCAGCCTTCCCGCTGTGCCGATATTTACAATAATAATGTCGCGATTAACGTGGCGGGGCGCTTGGGGCTCGCCGAACGACCCCGGCGGCTTCTCCTGCCTGAATCTGGACTCCGAGAGAGAGGAACGGAGTGTGTGTGTTTGTGTGTATGCGCTGCAGGGTGTAATGTAATGTGACACTGTTGGTTTAAGGTGTGTGTGACACCCAGTGTTAAGATGGGTGAAGCAGTGGATTCTGTGTTTGTGACCGTGAGGCGCTGCTGTAGGTGCCAATTCCTGTGTTAGAGTGTGTGCCATCAAGCGTGTGCTGAGATACTGGGTTGTGTGTTTGTGTGGGTGCAGTAGAGGGGTGCAAGGAGACCTGTGCTGTGTACCTATGTTCTGGCCAAGAAGTGGGTAAGATGATATATGCTAGGGTGTGTTCCTTAAAGGAATGTGGGGGGTGGCTAGGTTTTGAGGGTTCATCTAGTGAACTGTGGCTGTGACACTCGTACATGAGGGCACGAGATTGTGTTTGTGTGTCCACGTCGCGGGGTGTCACACCCGGTTGTGTTATTGCTCTGTAAAGCCACGGGTTGTGTGTCGGTGCTGCTGATCGTGCAGACACTGAAGCGGATTCTGAGCTGGCGACGGTGCCCCAGTGGGCGCTGGTGTGCGGGAGGTATGTCTGTGTGCACATATGCAGGGATGTATGTATGTGTGTATATATGTCCACGGTCTGGCCCTCTGGGTGCCCGCGAGAAGCTGGAAGCGGCTGAGTGAGCCGAGGTAGTTGCCCAACAAGTGTGTATGTATGTGTTGTGGACAACGGTCCTTGCTTGCTCCGTCCTCCGGGAGACCCCCACCAAACTGGGGGCCGCGCGCTTCCCCAAACCCATCCTCCACGCCGCGCGCTCCTGGAGTCTCCTTATCCCCGTCTCTCCGAGCGCGCCCAGGTTTGGGACGCGGGGACTAGGGTTCTGCTCAGCACCCCCTCCCCTCCCTCGGCTTCTCGCCGCGGACCTGGGAGGACGGAATCCCTCAGCCGCATCCCCTGCTATGGGCTCCCAGCAGCCCCCACCTCAGCCCCCTCGCGCCGAGCTCGTGTTGGGCCCCCGCGGCCTCGCTCCGCCGAGCGCCCCTCCCTCAGCTCCCGCCGGCCATGACCGCTTCGGGCCCCAAGCCGCTGCTGCCTCCACCGCCGCCGGATCCTTACCCGCCTCCGGGCAGCGCCGGCCGCCCGCCCCGCTGTCCATGAGCCGCCGCCGGCCCCGGCCTGGGCTGCGGCTCCGCACGGCTGGGGCTGGAGCTGCAGTTCGGGCTCCGGCTCCGGCTCCGGCTGGCTCTGGGCGCAGCAGCCCGGCGGCTTTGCGTCCGCGCCGCGCTCCCGCTCCCCGAGTGTGTGAGGCGGCGGCGGCGGCGGCGGCGGCGGCGGCGGCGGCGGCGGAGCCAGCAGAGAGCGGAGCGCACAGCCCGGCCCGCCCCCTCCCTCCCCCCTCCCTCCCGGCCCGCCCGCCTCCCCGCCCCCCCTCCGGCCGGGAGGTGGAGCTCGGGACCGCTCCGGTCCGGCTGGGAGGGGACCCCGAGCACCGCTCCCCAAAGCCTGGACCCCTCCCTCTGCCATCTCTTCACTGCCCGAGGCCCAGTACACAGGCCGTGCCCTCCTCTGAGCTTCACCTTACACTTATCCCACCCAAGCCTCCATCTAGGACCGCTCCTGGATTCCCCTCCTTACCCTACTCAAACACCTGTCCCCAGCTCTGTCTGCCCCCTGGGAAGTCGAGGCAAGGGAAGTGTCTCCCACAGCGCCTTCTTCCCTGGGCACCTGCTCCTCCATATCCACCCTCTTCCCGCCCAGATCCCCGATCGCCCTGTGTGGCCCTCCCTTCCCGCTGCGCTCGGGGAAAGTCCACCCCTCCCCCTCCGGCCGAAGCCGCAGAGCGGTCAGCCTCGGTGGCCGCAGCAAGCCGTGGGGGTGGGGCTATGGAGGGGACCGTGGGAGGAGGAGGCTAATGGGACCCGGGGGCTCTAGAGTGAGGATGGGGAAGATACACAAGCGTGAAGACGAAGTGCTGCTCCTGAGCTTAGGCTATTCGAGGGTCCCCTGATCACCTGCCCTCTGCACGGCGTAGTGCTGCGGCCACACGTATTTGCCAGTGACTTACATTATACAGTCACCGGGTCCCTGCCCCGCGAGGCCGCGCAGTGTCACGGCCTGTGTCACACGCCCTCGCAGTGCCACACGCTCCCTATCACACTCACACCAAATCACACACGGTGTCACACGCAGTGTCTCACACACTCCAATACTCGGTTTCTCCCATTCAGCTCTGGCTCTCTGGCGCCATCTAGAGGTCTCTGAGTAGCTTGGGAACTCCCTCTCCTGCGCTTGCGGTTTGGTAACCCAGGCTACCAAGTGTCCCAGTTCAACAGGACCTCCTGCCTTCTTCGCCTGCAGGCCCAGGCAGAGTGTTCTAGGTCAAAAGAATGAGGAAGGTTATCCCTAGCCAGGCCTAGTGCTGGGTGAGGAAAGGCTCTTGTTATGGGATGACCAGTTGTTGGGCCTCTTTTTGCCATAGCCTCTGACTCCCCATCTCTGTCCTTCCCCATTTTCCTGTTCCTACCACTCTTCTGTGCCTTTCCTCTTTCTTCTACTTCCTTCTCTTCTCAGCTCTGGCCTCTCTCGGTGGGATGCTCTTCAGGGTAAAAGTGGAATCTCTGGTTAGCTAAGAGGGCAAGCAAAGTCTGTCCAAGATCTCTCCCAGAGCAGCCCTGCTTAACTGGACTCCTTTTCTGACCTGGGCTCTGCTCTATCCCTCAGCCCCAGGAGCCCAGGGGCAGGGCTCTAGATGGGAGATGGGGTAATCTGGTGAAAGAGGGGGGTGGGTCTGTTCTGTAAGTAGCTTCTTTCTGTCTCTAGAAAGCTCATACTCTCCACATCATTGAGCACAGCTCCGAGGAGGGAATCAGTGGCCCAGAGAGAAGAAATCTTCCACAGAAGAGCTGCCCCGGTCTCCCTGCCCCCAGCGTGTGCCCGCTGCCCAATGCAGCAAACCCTCCCCAGTCTGCTTGCTGGGAGCCATTCAAAGGCTCCTCTGTTCTCCTCCCTTGCTCAGGGCTGAGCAGGATCAGCAGCCGCAGAGCTGGGCAGGAAATGCTAATCTCCCAGATGTTCGCCTCCATCCTCCCTGCTCCACCACCATCAAACTCAAATTCTGCACCAAGTGGTAGGAGCAGAACTGGGCCACAGCAGCAGCACCAGGGTGTGCCTACTCTTCTCCCTGCTCCCCAGCCCCTCCTACCCCAGCTGCCAGGCTGGGCTCTGTGCCCCTGAGTCAGGGACAATGTAGATATGAGAATTGGGGCCTTTTTTCCCCAGGAAAGAGGGCAGGTGAGCAAGCAGGGACTGGGAGGATGGTTGGGGAGCAAGGGAGGTGGCATTTGAAGAGGAGAGAAGTCAGACTTCTGGCCCTGTACCAAAGTGGGAGGAGGACCTGCTTGGCAAGTGAAGCACTGGGGGAGGCTCCTGAAACTGATGGTGCCTGAGTTCCAGCTGAGACTGTGGCCAGGGATTGGAACCAGGGTGATGCTGGGTATGGGAATGGTTGGGGTGCTTGCTGTGATATCCGTGTACCTGGGATGGGCTGTGGCTAAGTGAACTAGGATGCTGTAGGGCCTGGAACTGTAACACCAAGGCTGCTGCCTCTGATTGTACTTAGGACACTGTTGCAGTGCTCTGATGCTGGTGTGCCTAGGCTATAGCCAATAAGATTACCTGAGAAACTATCGCCAAGCTGTGTGTATATGGGTGTGTGTGTGCATGTTGAGGGAGAACTGTAACTGATAAGCTGTTGGGCCTGAAGCTATAGATATGAGGCTGGCACACCTGAGACTGGCTGTAGCTGAGAAGCTGTTCCCTGTTAATATGATGTAGATGGGACTGTAACTGGATCCATTGCCTAGGTCCTAGGAGATGAGAGGCTGTTGCGAGGAGCCTGTACCTGGGAGACAGGCTGTTACCTGGGATAGGAGCAGAGCTACTGTTGTGTATAGGACTGTAGCTGAGCTGCTATTGGTCCTGGAGCTGTAGCTGTGATGACAGCATACTGGGGATTGGCTATAGCTAAGATGCTGTTGCTCAGAATTGTGGTTGGGCTGTTACTGTGTGCTGGACTCTAGCTGGGATGCCTGCAGCTATAACTTTAAAGCTTGGGTGTAGCTAGGAGGCCATTTCCTGGTAATTTTGCTGGACCATTGTTGTGTGGGGGCTGTGGCTGAGACTCTATTGTTTAGGAGATGACAAGCTGTTCTGGGAGGCAGGATACTACCTGAGATGGAAGCTGATGTACTGTTGGAGCTGATCTACTGTTGTGCATAGGGTGGTCCCCAAGTGGCTGTTGCTGGGTCAGTGACGAGCTGGGTGGGGGAAGCCAAGTGAGTCCTGCCTTGAGGTCTGGGAGATGCCAGGAGCTCTAGGCTGGGTGGGGGCTGCTGCTCTGGGGAGGCCTCAGCAGCTGCTCTGCTGTGGAGCTGGAAAGCCTGTTTTCATTACTGTTTTAACTCTTTTTTTAACCTTGTTTTTCTCTCGGCTGCACTTTCGCTCACTCATTAATTTTGGTATTTTTCTCACGGTGCCTCAGCCCCTGTCACGGCTGCCATGGCAACAGGAGGCAGTGTGCTCAGTGCCAAAATATCTGATCAAAAAATAACCAAAATAAGCAAACACCAAGACGACTGTTCTGGGGACTATGGTCAGGGAGAGCCGATGGCTCAGATCCAGGAAACCCTAGGCTCCAGGGTACCTGTTTCACTACCCCTCTCCCCCAGGGAAGCTTTGCTGAACGTTCTGATAACCTAGAAGGCCCCTTTCCAAGGAATCCCCCACAGCACAATCTCCCAGGACTCTGAGATTTCCAATAGTTCCTGTCCAAGGGGCAGCTTTGCCTGAGGTGGGAGCATCGGGAGAGGGTGAGGGCTGGGGATCACTTCCCAGGAGCTGGCAGATGAAGCTTCTAAGAAGCTCCCTCCCTGCCCTAGCCACAAGCATCCGCACTCACTCATTCACCCACCCCTCTTCTGGCCCTTCTTGCCTTAGGCTTATCTCCCTTTCTGTGCACCCAACCCCCACTAGGCCACTTTTGTTTTCTCATAGCCCAACGTTCTGATGGGATGAACAGAGGGGAGGAAGCTGACAGTCTCCAGCCCCCTACCAACTCCTCAGTGGAGGTGCCAGAGAGGGGTACCATAAAAGTAGCTGACATTCCGAGGCCTCTGCCCACCTCTAGCTCACCTTCCTAGGGGAGATTCCTGAACATCCCTGACCACTCACACCGCACTCCAATTTTCCCTCCCACTTCTTGGGAGCCTTCTAGTTCCCTGGAGACCTCCTCTCAAGTGGGCATGTCCCCAGGAGGGGTAAAAGGATAGAGCCTCACATAAGTTAGAAATGGGCAGAGCTCTTGGTACTACCTGTCTCTTTTCCTTCTTCATCCACCACTTTCCCCTCTGAGGAGGCTTGTCTAGATGTCTGGAGCACTGGGAATTGGGGGAATGAGGAGGAGCCCCTCAACTCTGTCTCAGTCACATCACTTAATCACACCTCTCCTTCTGCCCCACCCCTCTGGCAGTGAAGGCTCACTCCCAACAGATCTCCACCCGCTTCCGGGAATGGCCAGAACTCGCCTCCTGCGTCTCTCTTTCCATTTCTATCTTCCCCTCCCCCCAAGAGCTGTAGTGGCCTTGGCCTCCTGGCAGTGCCTTCCCAGCCTGTTTCCATAGAAACTGGGTAGGCTGTGCAGTGCAAGAATCGGAGGGGAGACAGGAGCAGGAAGGAGGGACCAAGCCTTAGGGACAGCCCCCGATGAAAGGACCGAGAGAAACGGGGAGCTGCCCCATGCAAACTGAGGGTGGGACCCCGATTTGGGGAACCAGGCGGGATGGAGCGTGGAGTGGGGGGAAGAGGTAGCAAAAGCTTGGTAGCTGGCTTTGCTGCCTCCTGAGGAAGGGGCACAGAATCTCCCCTTCCCTGCCACAGGTAGTGGGGGTTCCTCCCTCCCCACCCCCTTAAAATCCTTCTTTACCAGGAACTGCCTGATCCAGATGAATCTCTTCTCCGGGGCCCACTAGTCTCTAAGAAAGGGACCATGGAATTCCTTTCTTCCCCGAAGAGCTCCCCACTCTCCCTGACCAGAGTCTCCTTGATCTGGAGGCTGGGCAGCCCCCGGGGACCCGGTGGCCGCCGCTGACCCCGTGGCATGCGGCTCTCAAAGGCCCCATTCATCTCTGGGGGCTGAAGGCGCCATTGTCCCCAGCGGGGGGTGGTGTGGGGAGTGAAGGGGTCTGGACTCAGAAGGAAGGAATGCGTCTGGAGAAGTTGCCCCCGGGGCTCCAGTCTCAAGGTCCCCACCAGATCTCCATCGGGACCCTTTCACGACCCCGAGCCCTTTCCCCAGGAGCTCCCAGCAACCTTCGCGCTTCTCCGGAGGGTGGGGTCTGCCGCGGCGCGGGGGCAGCCTCACCCCACCTCACTGCTGGACTCCGGAGAACCATTTCTGGGACCGGGAGCTGTCCAGCGCCTCGGGTCCTGACGGACCGCTGATTCGCCTAGGTGCCATCGGACAAGCGGGTGCTCAGAGCCAGCTCTGGTGGCTCGGGAGCTTTCCCCCAACCAGGCTAAGACCACTAAACCACGCCTGGCCCGGATGAGCTTGGATGCAGCTCCGAACGTGGGGATCCATCGGTGCTGAGAACTGACCTAGGGAGCACCTTGACCCCTGCCCTATCTGGGCACAATTGAAGGGCCAAGTGCCACCAGCCCACTTTCCTGGAACCCTGTCTCAGACTTGGGCAGGAAGAAGAGCCATGAGAGGTCAGGCCTTGCCTCTCCCCGCGTTCCCCATCTTTCTCTGTGCCTCTGTTTCTGTTTTCCTCCGGCTCTCCTCCCTCCTCCTCTCTTTCCTTCCCTGCTGGGTTGGGGGCTGCTGAATTATCATTTCTCAGCTCTGCTAATGTGCTCCCCGCTGCGGGAAGGGATCATAATTCTGGGAGATGATTAAGTTTCAAATTGTTTTTCTTTGTGTTGTTGAAGATGAGGCTTTAATATGGTCCTTCCTCAGCCCGGGAGCCTGCCCCCATTCCTCCACTCCTAGTACTCTCCTCACTAATAGGCTAGGTTTGGTACCATGTCTTTTGTGGTCCTTGCCAAACTTTTATGTGTATGGGGTGGTAAACGAGAGGGGTATAGACCTACCCTTTACTCAAAGGGGAATTTTTTTGTTTTTGTTTTTTTTTGTTTTTTTTGAGACCGAGCCTCACTCTGTCGCCCAGATTGGAGTGCAGTGGCGCCATCTCAGCTCACTGCAACCTCTGCCTCCCGGGTTCAAGTGATTCTCCTGCCTTAGCCTCCCGAGTAGCTGGGATTAGAGCTGCGCGCCTCCACGCCTGGCTATTTTTTTATATTTCACTAGAGACAGGTTTCACCATGTTGGCCAGGCTGGTCTCGAACTCCTGACCTCAAATAGTCTGCTCGCTTCAGCATCCCAAAGTGCTGGGATTACAGGCATGAGCCACTGTGCCTGGCTAGGAATACATTTAATATAGTGGTGAGAAACACTGGTTTGGAAGTCGGACAAGTCAACATTTAAATCCTGACTCTGCCACTTACTACTCAGGTGACCTTGGATGAGTTACTTGAACTGTCTGAGCCTCCGTTTCTTCATCTACTAAATGGGGATACTGTGAATTACCTCATGGAGTGTTGGTGAGGATTTAAAGTGATAAATCATGTAAAGTGGTTAGCCGGGTGTACAGCTTATGGTAAAACTCAGTGAATGTTAGTAGATATTACTACCCACATACCTTACCCTGTTTGATCCTGCTTCCCATAGCCTTCCTGACTTTGTTCTTCTGTTCAATGTTTATCTAATGCCTACTGTTTTCCAGGTACTGTACAATAGAGAGTAAGTTATCCAGGAGTGAGGAAGTTGGCTTTCTTACCTATTTGTTCCTCAAACACCCCTTCCTTTACCTCCTTCCTTCCTTCCTTTCAACTGAAGTTTACTCTCATTTTACCCTCCCACCGGCTTCCAGTTCTTCCTGCATTGTTCCTACTCCATTTTTCCTTCTTTCACTGATGTCTTATCACTTCACTTTGATTCTTATCCTCCTAATACACATACATTTTTTCACCTTCTACATTATTCTTCATCCCATTTGGGGCCATCATAGTGAAAAAAAGGGCTGAATTTTCAAACTAGGAAAGAGAATTCTGTCATGCTGTGTGTATGTGTATATGTGTGTGTGTGTGTCTGAGGAACACACACATTAATTCACATTCAACAGTAACTCTATAGCTGACTTCTGAACTCCTACGTTTGAACTGTGTGCTTGTTTGCCTCTCTATCCCCTCTATTTAAGCTCTTAAAATACAAGTCTATTTCTTTGCCTGCCTACCTGTCTGCTCTGTCCTTGCCTCTCTCTCTTTTGGAATTTGTTGTTTTAAACATCTTTATTGAGATACAACTGATATACAAAGAACTACATGTATTTAATATGTATGATTTGATGAATTTGGATGTCTTTGTTATATTCTAAATGGGAATGCTTACTGGTTGTTAGTATGAGAAGCTGATTTATGATAATGTGTTTTTGTGTTTGCTTAACTGGCCTCCTACCTATCACCATACTGGTGATGGGTTCAGGATACACTACACCAAAATGTGGCAACTTGACATTTGAGAAAACAGCAGAAGCAGGAAGGTCCCTCTCCCTTCTTCCTGGAAGTGGGCCAAAAACCTCTGACCGTCTTCCTCCTTTTCTCCTGAGGTAGAACATAAAACCCTAATTCCAGAGGTATCCTCCCCATACCCAGAGGAAAGGAGCATCCTTGTCCTCAAGTTACACAGAGTTACTAAGTAGAATTTGAACAAAGAGACCTTGCTAAGTTTTCTCCAGTTCACTACCACTAGACTATACCTCCTTTGTCCAGTCATACTTCTGCTTGCCTGTCCACTCTTAATAAGAATCCCAGTCTGGCCAGGCCTGGTGGCTCACTCCTGTAATCCCAGCACTTTGGGAGGCCGAGGTGGGCGGATCACAAGGTCAGGAGTTCAAGACCAGCCTGACCCACATGGTGAAACCCCATCTCTACTAAAAATACAAAAATTAGCAGGGCGTGGTGTTGCACACCCTGAAATCCCAGCTACTCAGGAGGCTGAGGCAGGAGAATCGCTTGAAGCTGGGAGGCGGAGGTTGCAGTGAGCCAAGATCATGCCACTGCACTCCAGCCTGGGCAACAGAGCGAGACTCTGTCTCAGAAAAAAAAAAAAAAAAAAAAAAAAAAGAAAAAGAAAAGAAATCCCAGTCCATCCATTAGGGGCTTTCCTCATTTTTTTCCTTTTTTTTTTTTTTTTTTGAGACAGAATCTTGCTCTGTCGCCCAGGCTGGAGTACAGTGGCACGATCTTGGCTCACCGCAACCTCCACCTCCTGGATTCAAGCGATTCTCCTGCCTCAACATCCCAAGTAGCTGGGATTACAGGCGCGCATCCCCACACCTAGCTAATTTTTTGTATTTTTTTTTGGTAGAGGCAGGGTTTCACCATGTTGACCAGGCTGGTCTTGAACTCCTGACCTCAGGTGATCCACCTGCCTTGGCCTCCCAAAATGCTGGGATTACAGGTGTGTGAGCCACCACACCTGGCCCAGCTTTCCTCATTTTAATCTTCATTGTTTGGTTACTGCTGGGAAAGTTCCATCCCAGTAGCACCAGTTTGGTGTCACAGATTAGTGGGTATGTGACTGGAAGTGTCTTACATTTCTACATTTCATGGGAAATTGGAGAAACCATTTTCATAAACAGCATCCTTTACCACCTGTGGCTCTGAAGGCCTTTGTTTTCTTTAGGCTATCTTTGGGGGTGGTTCTGGATCTTGGGAGGACTGAATCTTTTTGTACCCTCTTTTGAGGATATCTCTTTCATCCATGGTTAAGTCATAAAATATTTATTGGTTTTGGGCCAGGCACGGTGGCTCATGCCTGTAATCTCAGCACTTTGCGGGGCCAAGACAGGTGGATTGCTTGCGGTCAGGAGATCGAGACCATCCTGGCCAACATGGTGAAACCTCATCTCCACTAAAAATACAAAAATTAGCCAGGCATGGAAGCGTGCATCTGTAGTACCAGCTACTTGGGAGGCTGCAGCACGAGAATCGCTTGAACCCAGGAGGCAGAGGTTGCCGTGAGCCGAGATGGTGCCACTGCACTCCAGCCTGGGCAACAGAGCAAGACTCTGTCTCAGAAAAAAAAAAAAAAAAAAAAAAAGAAAGACTTATTGGTTTTGGTTCTGAGTCAATTGATTGCTGTCTTTGATTGAAATAAGAAAAAGGATATTTGAAAGTTTTTAATTTGTTTATTTTTTAATTTTAATTTTTTTTTTTTTTTTTGAGATGGAGTGTTGCTCTGTCACCCAGGCTGGAGTAGCTGGGACTACAGGCGCCTGCCACCATGCCCGGCTAATTTTTTGTATTTTTAGTAGAGACGGGGTTTCACCATGTTAGCCAGGATGGTCTCCATCTCCTGACCTCGTGATCCGCCTGCCTCAGCCTCCCAAAGTGCTGGGATTACAGGCATGATTTAATTTGTTTTTTAAAGAGCTTGGCCGGGCGCAGTGGCTCACACCTGTAATCCCAACACTTTGAGAGGCTGAGGCGGGCGGATCACGAGGTAAGGAGATCGAGACCATCCTGGCTAACACCCTAAAACCCCATCTCTACTAAAAATACAAAAAATTAGCCAGGCATGGTGGCGGGTGCCTCTAGTCCCAGCTACTTGGGAGGCTGAGGCAGGAGAATGGCATGAACCCGGGAGGTGGAGCTTGCAGTGAGCCCAGATCACGCCACTGCACTTCAGCCTGGGCGATAGAGTGAGATTCCGTCTCAAAATAAAAATAAATAAATAAATAAATAAATAGCTCTATGGTGGAAAGTTGGTTTAATTGAAAGTTGGTAGGCTGGGTGTGGTGGCTCACACCTGTAATCCCAGTACTTTGGGAGGCTAATGTGGGCGCGTAACGAGGTCAGGAGATCGAGGCCATCCTGGCTAACACTGTGAAACCCCGTGTCTACTAAAAATACAAAAAAAAAAAAAAAAAAAAAATTAACCGGGCACGGTGGTGGCAGGCCCCTGTAGTCCCAGCTACTCAGGAGGCTGAGGCGGGAGAATGGTGTGAACCCGGGAGGCGGAGCTTGCAGTGAGCCGAGATCGCACCACTGCACTCCAGCCTGGGCGACAGAGCAAGACTCCGTCTCACCAAAAAAAAAAAAAAAAAAAAGAAAGTTGATATTCGGAATATATATATATATATATATATTTTTTTTTTTTTTGAGACAAGTTCTCGATCTGTCACCCAGGTTGCAGTGCAGTGGTGTGATCTTGGCTCACTGCAACCTCCACTTCCCAGGTTCAAGCGATTCTCATACCTCAGCCTCCTGAGTAGGTAGGACTACAGGGGTGCACCACCACGCCTGGCTAATTTTTGTATTTTTAATAGAGACGGGGTTTCACCATGTTGGCCAGGCTGGTCTTGAACTCCTGACCTCAAGTGATTTGCTCGCTTTGGCCTCTCAAAATGCTGGGATTACAGGTGTGAGCCACCATGCCTGGCCCAGAATATATATATATATATTTGTTGTTGTTGTTGTTGTTGTTGTTGTTGTTTGAGACGGAGTCTTGCTCTGTCACGCAGGCTGGAGTGCAGTGGCACAATCTTGGCTCACTGCAAGTTCCACCTCCCGGGTTCACGCCAGTGTCCTGCCTCAGCCTCCCGAGTAGCTGGGACTACAAGTGCCTGCCACCACGCACAACTAATTTTTTTTTTGTATTTTTAGTAGAGATGGGGTTTCACGGTGTTAGCCAGGATAGTCTCGATCTGCTGACCTCGTGATCTTCCCACCTCGGCCTCCCAAAGTGTAGGCATTACAGGCGTGAGCCACTGTGCCTGGCCCAGAATATATGTATTTTAAGGCATTTCTGTTCTGTCTATTGAACCCTGCTTTTCTCATGGGAACTTCTCGGTTGACTGACCCTTTGCCCCCTTCCCAAACTCCTTCTGACTATATTTTCTGTCAACTCTCTCCATCTCCCTCTTTCTTCAGCTTCATTGCCTCTTTGGGAAGCGAAGATCCCCCCAGACTAGTTCCTCTAAGACCTCTTCTTTCCATTTACTTCTGCTTTTCCTTCCTCCTTTTGCTTTGGTCTTCTTTCAGTTCCCTTGAATTCTTGATATGCCACCTTTCTCCCTTCCCTCTCCAGAACCTCAATTACTGGAACTTTAGGTCTCCGGCTCTCAAGATACTCAGAGACTCCTGAAAGTAACCACTTGAGGCTAAAAGAGAGAAAGAAAAATACTATTTGGAAACAAAAAATGGATGTTTGTCTACTTAGATGGGCTTTGGAGGCCGACAGCCACTAGATGTCTCCTCAGTCACTCACCTAAAATTAGTCCATAGCCTCCATAAGATTAACCTCTGATAATAGACAAATATGCCTCCAAAACTTGCATTCTTTTTCTGTGCCATTGAGTTGTAAATTTTCTACCCTGTCTTCTTTAGAACCTAATAGTTACCTTTGGGAAATACAAACTTCAGGGAGGGAATTGTCATCAGAAAAAAAAAAAAAAAAGAGCTATTTGAAACCAGGTAAGTAAAAAATCTTAAAAGTCTTTCCCACAAATATTGGTAAAAAACTTTAGACAACTGAGAAGGTAATCTTAACTTGTTATACCTGCCAAAAACACAATTTAGATCTAGCCGTTTATTTTATAAATTAGTGTGTTTTGAATTATTGTACCTGGCACATGGCTAACATGTTAAAAGCTGTAAGATCGGCTGGGCACAGTGGCTCACACCTGTAATCTCAGCACTTTGGGAGGCCGAGGTGGGCGGATCACGAGGTCAAGAGATCGAGACCATCCTGGCCAACATGGTGAAACCCTGTCTCTACTAAAAATACAAAAATTAGCTGGGTGTGGTGGCATGCGCCTGTAGTCCCAGCTACTCGGGAGGCTGAGGCAGGAGAATCGCTTGAACCAGGGAGGTAGAGGTTGCAGTGAGCCGAGATTGTGCCACTGCACTCCAGCCTTGTGACAGAGCGAGACTTCGTCTCAAAAAAAAAAAAAAACCTGTAAGATCTTTGCCATCTGTCCATATGTTTACATATGTATATGTATTTGTATGTTATGCATAGCTGGTATTTTTCCTACCTCTGGATAGTATTATCACATTTATTTATAAAATTCCTTAAAGGAATTCTACTCAAATTGGTCTGGAAATAAATGAGTGCTTGTATAAAGTATTCCTAAAACTCTCAGAAATGTAGAGTCTAAGCCAGGTGTAGTGGCATGATCCTGCAGTCTCAACTACTTCAGAAGCTGAGGCAGGAGAATCTCTTGGAGAATTCCTTGAGTCCAGTAGTTCAAGACCAGCCTGGGCAACATAGTGGCCTCATCTCTCTCTCTGTCTCTGAAAAAAAAGAAAGAAACAGAAACTAACCCCAAGCTTTTTTGAGTTTAGATGACTTGGGTAAATTTTCTTCCTTCCTTCCTTCCTTCCTTCCTTCCTTCCTTCCTTCCTTCCTTCCTTCCTCTCTCTCTTTCTCTTTCTTTCTTTCTTTCTTTTTTCCTTTCTTTCTTTTTTTTTTTTTTTGACAGAGTTTCACTCTTGCTGCCTAGGCTGGAGTGCAATGGCACTATCTCAGCTCACTGCAACCTCTGCCTCCCGGGTTCAAGCGACTCTCCTGCCTCAGCCTCCCAAGTAGCTGGAATTATAGGTGCCTGCTACCAAGCCCAGCTAATTTTTTGTATTTGTAGTAGAGACATGGTTTCACTATGTTGGCCAGGCTGGTCTTGAACTCTTGACCTCGCGATCTGCCCGCTTCAGCCTCCCAAAGTGCTGGGATTACAGGCGTGAGCCACCACGCCTCGCCAACTTGGGTAAATTTTCAAGAAATAAGATTAGTTTTTAAATTGTTCGTAAAAGAAAATCAGAAACGTCTTCAGAATTGTTAGCATTAAATATAATGCAGGCATACATTTTTTTCCACTTGGGTTTACTAGTCAAACAAGCTTATATTATCTCCACTTATATATTTAACTTTTAGTTTCTTTGCTTCTGTGGTATTTTTGATACTTGCCTAATTTGTCAACAAGAAAAATAACTTAAGATGGTGGCTAGCTTTGTTTAATGTCTCATGAAATTTTCATGAGTAATTTAATTCAAGCATAATTGTTAAGAACAAGTGAATTAAATGAGATATAAGTGGGATAAAAGCTTATAAATAATCTTTTCCAACAACAATTACGTTTTATAAAACATTTCCAGTTAAAAATAATTCCAAAATTTTTTTGGCAACTTCAAGCTTAAAGTTATACTAAATTAAAATGAGTAACAAACATTTATCAAATGGGTCATTTCTATGTAAGATATAATGCTGAAACATTAATCACTGAACATGAGTTTATCTACTTTTGCTTCTTATTTCAGAAGAACGAAATATATTTGGGTCTCAGTAAAAATGTTCTGTGCCACATTGAAAAATTGTATTATGGAGATGCATGTATTTCTAGAAATTATGAAATGGTGTTAATCTACAGAATGTTGGTATGTGACAGTTCACAATTGCTTACTTCTTAGTTTTCACTAGAAATTAAGGATACTAAAATTTAAAATTCAAATTAATATATGGAATTAAAACTATTAGAAATTATAAGTGTAACAACTCTGTATGCAAATAATGCAAGGAAAATAAGATACATTGTTGGTAAGGAAAATTATAAGGCATGAGGATGTGTTTTTCTGTTAGGGGAAAAACGAGTAATTAATTCTGCCATAAAGTAGAATGACTGATCTTCCCAGAATGAGAAAGAGAAAAATGTAGGGAAAGAAATGTTGATGGATATATATATATATTTTTTGTTTGTTTTTGAGATGGAGTCTCACTCCGTCATCCAGGCTGTAGTGCAGTGGCATGATCTCAGCTCACTGCAACCTCCGCCTCCCGGGTACAAGCGATTCTTCTGCCTCAGCCTCCCAAGTAGCTGGGACTACAGGTGTGTGCCACCACACCCGGCTCATTTTGTATTTTTTTAGTAGAGATGGGGTTTCACCATGTTGGCCAGGTTGGTCTCAAACGCCTGACCTTGTGATCTACCCGCCTCAGCCTCCCAAAGTGCTGGGATTACAGGCATGAGCCACCACGGCCGGCTTGATGGATATTTTTAAATGGTTGTAATGGGTTTGAGGAAGGAAATCTTAGGAAAGGAGTCTTATCTGGTATGATCAAAGCTATCTGAGACGGGATAGATTTATTCAGAAGACATTTTTAAAATTAGCCTTAGCATTAATAGTACACTGATGCAAAACTAGAATTTGGTCTCCTCTGTCAAAGACAAAGTTTTGGCTGGGTGCAGTGGCTCACGCCTGTAATCCCAGCACTTTGGGAGGCCGAGGCGGGCGGATTACCTGAGGTCAGGAGTTCGAGATCAGCCTGCAACACAGTGAAACCCCATCTCTACTAAAAACACAAAAATTAGCCGGGTGTGGTGACACATGCCTGTAATCCCAGCTACTCGGGAGGCTGAGGCAGGAGAATCGCTTGAACCTGGGAAGCGGAGGATGCGGCGAACTGAGATCACGCCGTTGCACTCCAGCCTGGGCAGCAAGAATAAATCTCCATTAAAAAAAAAAAAAAAGAAAAGAAAAACAAAGTTTTTTTGATGGGGGGTATATTGGTTTGCTTTTGATAAGAGATTATGAAAAGTTTTTTCATTACCTTTTAAGTAATTGGCATAGAAAACAAAGGTTTTGTGAGCTATCAAAATAATTTTTGGTGCTTCACATGGTCTCCACTAGGTCTTTGATTACTTAAGAAAATGGAGTTCTCTCTATTAAAAGAACTAAAGGTTTGTTTTTAAAACTATGTAACCTTCTGTACTTGCCTTTAAAATATTTTGTTGCCACTTTGATTAAATAGATAACAAATAACCTGATTTAATCAAGAGTTTTACACCTTTTGATATTGTTGACAAACTTCCCCAAATCAAATTCTAAATTAAATCTTTTTGACCTCAATCTAAATTTGGGAGCTTTTAGAGGGCCTCTGGAATATCTCAAAATAATTTATTTTCTCTCCTTATAGAAAGAGAGATATTAAACTAATTTGGCTTATTTGTGTTTTTTTGTTTGTTTGTTTTTGTTTTTTTGAGATGGAGTCTCACTCTGTCGCCCAGGCCGGAGTGCAGTGGCGCGATCTGGGCTCACTGCAAGCTCCACTTCCCGGGTTCACGCCATTCTCCTGCCTCAGCCTCCCGAGTAGCTGGGACTACAGGCGCCCGCCACCTCGCCCAGCTAATTTTTTGTATTTTTAGTAGAGATGGGGTTTCACCTTGTTTGCCAGGATGGTCTCGATCTCCTGACCTCATGATCCGCCCACCTCGGCCTCCCAAAGTGTTGGGATTACAGGCGTGAGCCATAATTTGGCTTATTTGACATGTTAAATTTACACGGGAAACATTGTCAACTAAGAAATGATGTTTAACGTTCTTTGAATTATATCTGTATGGGTATATTATTAATGTGTGTTCCAAAAACTGTATAAAATTCTTAAAAATCTGATATGTTCTCATATAATGTTTTCGGTCATAATTTTAGTTATGTTAAAATGTTTTATCCCACAGGAATAATCAAATTTCTTCATCAGGCCAGGCGTGGTGGCTCATGCCTGTAATCCCAGCACTTTGGGAGGCCGTGGCGGGTGGATCACGAGGTCAGGAGATCGAGACCATCCTGGCTAACACGGTGAAACCCTGTCTCTACTAAAAATACAAAAAATTAGCCACTTGCGGTGGCGGGCTCCTGTAGTCCCAGCTACTCAGGAGGCTGAGGCAGGAAAATGGTGTGAACCCGGAAGGCAGAGCTTGCAGTGAGCGGAGATCGCACCACTGCACTCCAGCCTGGGCGACAGAGCAAGACTCTGTCTCAAAAAAAAAAAAATTTTCTTCATCAATTTTGTTATTATTACAATGAACTCTCATATTTTTAACCATGGCCAGTTTTTTTTGTTGTTGTTGTTATTCACAGACAGTTGTTTTACTATTATTCTTGTCCGAAAGTATTTGCAATCAACTATTGTCCAAAATTGCTTCTTCTTCAAGGACATTCATGAAAAAGATTTTGACAAGTACCCTGGAATAGAATGCAGGTTCAGGTTTCTGATAACTTAAAAATCATACCACTGCACTGGGTAAGAATTTTCAAAACTCTAATGAAGAAACTGATAAATTCATGAAACTGCTAAGCAAGATCAAACAGAACAAGATTTGATTACATGGGACTGAATAAACTAATGAGGATGATTTTGGGGGATGACTTTTTGGCTGAAACATTGCTGGTTCTTTAATGTTTTGTTTTCCATATTTAAGAAAACTTTTTTTTTTTTCACTTTTAAGCTATCTATAGCTTACAGCCACTTGGTAAAGTATACTTTTATAAGTATACTTTATTCAATTTCAATAAGAATTGAAGTCATCACTTTTTCTCCTTACCTGATTCCTCCAGAATTCAGAAACTATTAGTGAGTATCCTTATTTTTATGGCAATATAGTTATCTGCATACGTTCAAAAAGAATCTGTTCCCCTTGTAGCAGAACACATTGGAATTATTGGCTATATTACCAAGGCTTTGACTGGAATGCCTATTTTCAGATATAACCAGAATACTTTAAAGAACTAAGGCTGACTTTATTGATCTAGTAAAGCCTCTTAGGAAAAACTGGCTTGGTAGTCTGCATACATGGTTCCCTTACATGGTTCCCCTATGTGGTTGCCTTACAGGTAAGTAAGTAATGCCACTTTTCGACAGGCCCAGGAAACTCAGGGTATTTGGGGACTTCAAGAAGAGAGGAATTCGGCCAGGCGCACACACCTGTAATCCTAGCACTTTGGGAGGCCGAGGGGGGCAGATCACCTGAGGTCAGGAGTTCGAGACCAGCCTGGCAAACATGGTGAAACCCCGTCTCTACTAAAAATACAAAAATTAGCCAGGCATGGTGGCGGGTGCCTGTAATCCCAGCTACTGGGGAGGCTGAGGCAGGAGAATTGCTTGAACCCGGGAGGCAGAGGTTGCAGTGAGCCGTTGCACTTCAGCCTGGGCAACAAGAGCGACACTCCCTCTCAAAAAAAAAAAAGAGAGGAATTCACCCAAATCTATAGGTATTATAGGCAAAGTATGATGAGAAATCCTTGGTTTGGCTTCCTAGACTTGAGTCAGGTTTTAAAAGTCCAATTTGAGATTCCTTATGAAAAATTCCAGCAAAGCAAACTTAAATGAGCCTTTAGGGCAATCACTATTTTGCTGCACTTATGCAAATAATCAGGTTAAGTTTAATGAGATTGGGCCTATTTTGCAAACAAATTCATCTTATTTTGATCATCTTTGGTAGAAACAGAGGTGACTGTAGGTTTAAAAATTACATTTCAGAAGAAAACTAAAGTTTATCTATTATTGAATTCTAGTCCTGTTCATGTTTTTGAGGTTTTGTTTTGTTTTGTTTTGTTGTTGTTGTTGTTTTAATGAAGAAGTATTTTATTATTTTGCTGCAAAGCTGTTGCTTCACTGTATAAAAATAGCACCACCAAAAAATTCAGTGTATTGTAAAATTAAGATAGTGGTGTTCCTCATCTGACACTGTACAAGCAACAAAAACCTCTTCACTTCCAGTTATTTCCAATGGAAAGATCATTAAGTATTTCATCCCAAATCCAGGTATGGATACATGCAAGTTACAATATTATTAAAGCTTAAGAATAACAATGTTATCTTTGAATTTTGTAATGTTTATAACTAGTTTTTACCATGGATAATTTCATGAATTCTGAACACTAGAGCCTAGTCTAAAAATCATAGGATATTGTGAAAAAGACGCATATTCTATTTATCTATAATCATTAGAAAGTTAAAGGGCATTTTCTTTCATTAGCAGTGTTAACAGTAGTTTTTTCTTCCCCATCGGTAATGCTAAAAGTTGCTATTGTAAGTCTATCCACCACTAATTTAAGACAACTCTGCTGGGTTGCGTTATTTCATACTAGTTTATTTAGGAGTTCCATTTTCACTCCTCAATAGATTTTATGTATTTCTCATAAGCTTCTTCACTCATAAGTTCATCTAGTTCTGAAGGGTTACTCAGTGTCATCTTGATCTGCCAACCATCTTCATAACAAGATTTGTTTACAAGTCCTGGATTTTCTGCAAGAGCTTCATTAATTTCAGTTACTTCTCCTGATAAAGGAGAACAGAGTTCACTAGCAGCTTTCACACTTTCCAAAGCACCAAACTCATCTTGTTTGTTCAATTTTGTCCCAACTTCAGGCAGACTATAGTAAACAACATCTCCCAAAGCTTCCTGTGCCAAATTGCTGATTCCCACTGTTCCAATGCCATTTTCTGTTGTTACGCATTCATGTTTCTCTGTGAATTTACGCACCCAGAGCAGAGCGGGTCCAGTGCGCAGCGTACGGACGGCGTCCACACCCAGCTGCCAGGGCCTTGGCGGGCAGGGCGCGGCGGGTGACGGGACGGCGTGCAGGGTGCAGAGCAGGGCCCGCACGCTCCGCACCACTCACAGCGCCATGTTCGCTGCTGTTGTTGTTTTTTGAGACGGAGTCTTGCTCTGTCGCCCAGGCTGGAGTGCAGTGGCACGATCTCAGCTCACTGCAAGCTCCACCTCCTGGGTTTACGCCATTCTTCTGCCTCAGCCTCCCGAGTAGCTGGGACTACAGGTGCCCGCCACCATGCCTGGCTAATTTTTTGTATTTTTTAGTAGAGACGGGGTTTCACCGTGTTAGCCAGGATGGTCTTGATCTCCTGACCTCGTGATCCAGCCGCCTCGGCCTCCCAAAGTGCTGGGATTACAGGCGTGAGCTACCTCACCCGGCCCTGAGGTTTTGTTATCTACCTATAATCTGGACTGGATCTTAAATTCTTCTAGTTTCCTCCAATATCTGGTTATCACTCTCCAAACAATTTCCAATTTTTCTCCCACCTTATGACTGAGAATCACTAAAAATTAAAACTGCCCTTTTTCCAAAGCCCTGCAAGCTAAAGCTGGACAACTTCATATAGACTTTAGAGAAATCACAACAGCCATATATGAACAATTTTTGTACGTGTTGCTCTATGTGCTACTCAGAAAGTTCCCCAGAACACCTCATGCAAACTGCAAACCAGGAAAATCTATCAGCTTGTCACTACTTGTCCTCATTCTACCATCTCAAGATGCTTTGAGCTCGAATCTAGAAATTTTTTTGACTGGCTGTCTTCCGGACTCAAAAACTGAGTTTATGGATTGCTCTAATTGTTAATGTTTGTTTTTCTATTGTTTGTCTGGAAATGCCTCTTATTAAATGCCTGATTGATTACACTACATAGAGGCCTAACTTTGGTAGAAGCCTGACTGCAATACCCCCTAACAACTGGAATAAGATACAACTGTTAACTATTTAACTGGACTGAGTTATTCCTGGAACTGAGAGATGGTTCAATGGGTTATGCAATAATCTTCCAACTCAGTTTTTGGGCTGTGAGGCCTCTTGGGAAAGTTTCAGACAGGAGAATGATGGGGTTCAGGATACCGTACTCCAAAATATGGCAACTTGGCATTTGAAAAAACAGCAGAGGAGAACCACTCTCACCTTTCCCTCTCCCTTCTTCCCGGAAGCAGGCCATAAAACCTGGGAAGGTTGGCCGGGCGCAGTGGCTCATGCCTGTAATCCCAGCGCTTTGGGAGGCTGAAGCTGGTGGATCACCTGAGGTCGGGAGTTCAAGACCAGCTTGGCCAACATGGTGAAACCCCGTCTCTACTAAAAATACAAAAAAAAAAAAAGTAGCCGGGCATGGTGGTGGGCACCCGTAATCCCAGCTACTTGGGAGGCTGAGGCAGGAGAATCACTTGAACCCAGGAGGCAGAGGTTGCAGTGAGCCGAGATCACGCCACTGCACTCCAGCCTGGGCGACAGAGTGCAACTCCATCTCAAAAAAAAGAAAAGAAAAAAACCTGGGAAGGTTACTCTCTGACCTTCTCCCTCCTTTCTTTCCTGAAGTAGGTCATGAAATCCTCATTCCAGAGATACCCTCCCTATACTGAAGAAAAGGGACTTCCTTGTTCTTGAAGGCAGAAGAATCTGAACAGGACTTGCTAAGTCCCCTACCACCAGTTTATTACCATTAGATCACACCCCTTTTGTCCTATCATACTTCTGCATGAGTGACCACTTCTACTCTTCCTCAAACCTAAGCCTAAATAAATACACAAGTTTTCCTGTTTTGGGGGGGTCTTCATTTCCTTATGAAGGCTCCTGTGTCATGTAAACCTTATATTAAATACATTTGCATACTTTTCTCTTCTTAATCTGTTTTTTATTATTGGAATCTTGGCCATGAACCTAGAAGTGGATGAGAAAATAAATCTTTTCTCTCCAACACAACACTGACTTTTTTTTTCTTTGTTTCTCCAAGGAGTCAGTCATTTCACAACTATTTGAGGGCCTAGTTCAGTGCAGGAAAACAGAAACTACTCTAGGTATTTTGAACTGAGGAGAACTTAGTGTAGAGAATTAGTGTTTACACAATCATTGAAAGGAGTTGTGGAATGGACTTCCCAAAACTGCAACAGGAGAGCGAATATGTTTGCCATGATTAGTAAGATGGGGAATCAAAAGGCCACCACTGTAACTGTTGAGTTAAAGAACACATTGTCAGAGATCTGCCATCCAGGAACTAGAAAGCAGAGATCAGGAAGCTGAATGGCTGTTGCAGGAGAACCCCATGTCTCCAGGATCCTGCTTGCCAACAGAAAGCCCAAAATAGCAGAAAGAAGTCATCTTCCTCCTTTCTGTCTTACAGTCATACAAGTGTGCCTAATTGTAAGGGAGTCATAGAAATGTATTCTAGCTTCCCGGTCCCTGTAACACATTAGAAGAAAATAAGAATAGAGGATGCATGCCAAATGACCATATTCAATACAAACCTGCCCTTTAGGAGTCCACAGATTAGAGAGATAACACCACAATAAATGCAGGTTGAAAGGATGAGCCAGGAAGTATCTGTTTCAGACCGAGTTTAAGTGGCACGAGTCAGGGACCATTTTTTTTTTTTCTTTTTGAGGTGGAGTTTTGCTCTCGTTGCTCAGGCTGGAGTGCAATGGCGTGATTTCGGCTCACTGCAACCTCTGCCTCCCAGGTTCAAGTGATTCTCCTGCCTCTGCCTCCCGAGTAGCTGGGATTACAGGCACGCGCCACCACACCAGCCAATTTTGTATTTTTAGTAGAGACGGGGTTTCTCCATGTTGGTCAGCCTGGTCTCGAACTTCCAACCTCAGGTGATCTGCCAGCCTCGGCCTCCCAAAGTACTGGGATTACAGGCATGAGCCACCGTATCCACCCCATAGTAGTCTTAAAATGATTCCAGACTTAATTTGAAGCCATGGAGGTCAGACTCAGAATCATTAAAGGGACAAAGCTGAAGTCAGTGCCACAGGGAAGAGAGGGGAACAGAAGACACCATGACCTGATGTCAAAAGCTTGGAGCTCTCACTTCCTGCAAGTGGCTGTACACAAGGCCGCGAGTGCAGCCCCAAGTAAATAGGGCCCACCTTCAGTGGCAGCTTCTCTCTCACACTGGCTGGTTATGGTTTATGTGGCCCTTTGTGGCTTACTTGTCACCTGCCTCGAGACCATCATCATTCAGAAATGAGCCCGCAGGATCACCACTGGGAGAAGAGAAATACAGAGGGAAAAGATTCAAAGTGGTCCCATCTTCCAAGCAGGAGGGCCAGGGACTCAGGAGTATTTTGCTGTAGAAGGCCAAGGATCAGGTGCCTCCCAGCTGCCTGTATTTGCTTCCTTCTGCAATTCCAGATGTTTTGGCACCTCTCTTCTGTGACTCCAGGAATCAGGAGCCAGATCCTGGTGGTTCTAAGACAAGGGAATAGTGGCAGCTTCTAAGATTGCAAATAAATCCCAAGTCCATTAAAGGGCACTACTTTGTATCTGTTGAGTGAGTATGAGGTGGTCTGGTATCTCCTCGGGGCTTAAATAGAAGGCAGCCTATCCTGCTGGTTCAAAGCTTGGCCTCAGAGTCCTGTCCTGGCTCAGTTGCTTCCCAGTTGTGTGATGTTGGGCAAATTACTTATTCTCAAAATGGAAATAGTGGTACATTTTTCTCTCAAGATGGTTGTGAGGATTAATTAATTATGTGTAACTATATATAAAGTACTTAGCCCAGTGCCTGGCATATAGTAAGCTTTCTATAAATGGTAGCTGATAGTATTTTTGTTATTATTATCAATACCATATGTTCTCGGCAACAAACATCTCCCATCTTAATTACCAGAAAACATCTGGAATAGAAGGTTCCTCACACAAAGCTTGGTCTAGAACTATGAACTCTTAGTCACATTCTGGATAAGTGCAGAGCCAGACCAGGCCAGGATGCCCCTCAGGCCTGTTTCCTCCAGCTGAGAAGTTTCTGTCTGCTTCAATCCTAGTGCTGTCCCTGTGTAGTTCTACTGGGCATCTTGTTTTTTTTTTTTTGAGATGGAATCTCATTGTATTGCCCAGGCTGGAGTGCAGTGGCATGATGTTGGCTCACTGGAACCTCCACCTCCTGGGTTCAAGCGATTCTTGTGCCTCAGCCTCCCAAGTAGCTGGGACAACAGGTGCATGCCACCATGCCTGGCTAATTTTTGTATTTTTAGTAGAGGCGGTTTTGCCATGTTGACCAGGCTGGTCTCGAACTCCTGATCTCAAATGATCCACCTGCCTCAGCCTTCCAAAGTCCTGGGATTACAGGCTTGAGCCACTGCACCCGGCCTCTGCTGGGCATCTTAACATGCCCCAGGAGAGTTACATGGTGTCACCCTGGCAGGTGAGAAAGGAACATACTGGTGATAGTCAGAGGCCCAAGATCAGAAGGATTTGGAATTATCTGTTCTGACATTTTCTGTCTGTTTTCCTTCTTCTCTAATGTCCTTTCCCCAAAGCATTCAACTTCATTTTTTTTAAATTAATTAATTTTTTTTTTTTGAGATGGAGTTTCGCTCTTGTTGCCCAGGCTGGAGTGCAATGGTGTGATCTCGGCTCACCGCAACCTAGGCCTCCCAGGTTCAAGCGATTCTCCTGCCTCAGCCTCCCTAGTAGCTGGGATTACAGGCATGTGCCACCATGCCCGGCTAATTTTGTATTTTTAGTAGAGACAGGGTTTCTCCATGTTTGTCAGGCTGGTCTTGAACTCCTGACCTCAGGTGATCCACCCGCCTCAGCCTCCCAAAGTACTGGGATTACAGGCGTGAGCCACTACGCCCAGCCATTTAAGTTTTATTGAACATCAATTCTGTGCCAGGCATTGTGCTAGCACTTGGTGTATAGTGAAGAACAGAGAGAAAGGCAACTCCTAACCAACTGGAGTTCTCTTTCTAATGGGGCCACAAACCATATAAATGTGATCACATAAATAATCATTTAATTACAGGTTTAATCAGTGCAAGGAAGGAAAATGACAGAGAGTAATGAGCATGGATAATGGGGGAACTTACCATCCCTCAACAGTAAGGGGTCGGGGCTGAACAGGGGAGGTTGGGTCAGACCTGAAGAATGAGTAAGAGTCAGCTAGTCAAGGAGAAAGAAGTTTCTGGGTAGAGGTGGGCTTCTGCCAAAATGTTGGATGAAAACTTTATGGTGTGTTGCCTTGACTGGAGGTCTTAATTCTTAGCTGAGTACTCCCAAAATGATAAATATTTAATGGTGGAATCTTTGAGAGGCTTGTGACCAGCAGATAGGATCAGGAGGCTTTCTCATTAGCCTTCAAACCAAGCCATATGGCTAGGAGGCCTGGCTCTGGGTATGTAGTGTGTGTGTGTGAGCATGAGTGTGTAGGAGTGTGACTGCATGTTTGTGACTGTGAATGTCAATGCGGGTGTATATGGATAGATGCAGAGCTATAACAGATAATTTTGGCATCTGGGTCAAGCAACAGAAATATATCTTGAAAGTCAGGCATACATCAGTTCAGGAGGGAGTTGGAAGGGAGCAGAGAAGAAAGACTGCTCTCCCACATGCACACAGGAGCCTCCTACAAGTGGGTTCCCTGTTCATGCCTTAGACATTCCAGGTCAGCCATCTCTGCCAAGAGTCAGGGGCAAGCTAGCCAGCACTTCTAGAGAAGGACTGGTGCTGAAGATTGGGGGAGGAGAAGCCTTTAAAATGTGCACAATCTTTGAGAAAATAATTCTTTAAAATGTTGGCACGCTCCACATTTTTGTTCCTGGGCCCCTGGTGAGTGTGCCTTTAAGACTCTGAATGTATATGTGCATATATGTGTGTATGTGTGTGTTGACTGTGCTTATGTGTATATGAATAGGTGTTGGGGACTACCATGTAAATTGTGATAACTAAGAGCCCCTGCGAGTTTGGAGCCAGCAGATGTGTTCCTGCACTCCTCCCCTCCCACTTTATGTGCTCTGACACTCCCACTATGCTTATCTCTGTAGCTCTCATCAGAAGCAGAGGCTGGGATTATCTGCCTAGGGCTGAGTCCCTTCATATTAACAACAGACTGAAGATGTACTGACTGCAACGAGACAAATAGAAATAATATGGTCACATTCACCTCCATTTCATAAAGCAAGTGGAACCTGGGCTCACTGCGATGAATGAGCTTCAATAATTCATCCCAGCTGCTGGTGTGGTATTGACATAAAGCTAATTTAACACTGGGGGAGCCAGGGGAAGTAGGGAGCAGTTAGCCTTCGCTTACAGCATGGTCACTCTGCTAGCACTCTGGTGCTATGCTGGAAAGCAGAACCCCAGAGTAGAAGCAAACCCCAAACAGAACCCAAACAGAACCCCAAAGCAGAACCCCAGACCTGGGGAGGTCAGTTGCCCCCTTCCCTCCTTGTAGCCAGTTGACTTTCTGAAGTTGTTAGGATGGTATTTTCTTCTTGATGATACTCTTGATCTTTTGCATCAGGAATAGAGACTTCCCACCCCTGTCTTCAGATCTGAACTTCTCAACAAAGAGATGTTTCTCAGGTCAGTCAGACTCAGGTCAGTCTCTCCAGGGAATCAAATCAAGGTTGAGGGTTTTTGTTTGTTTTGAGACAAGGTCTCCCTGTGTCACCCAGGCTGGAGTGCAGTGGCATGATCTCGTCTGACTGCAGCCTCCACCTCCCTGGCTCAAGCGATCCTGCCACCTCAGCCTCCAAAGTAGCTGAGACTACAGGCCTGTGCCATCACACCCCGCTAATTGTTTCTGTTTTGTTTTGTTTTTCTAAAGAAGGAGTTTCGCCACATTGCCCAGGCTGTCTCAGACTCCTGAGCTCAACCAATCGCCTGCCTTGGCCTCCCAAAGTGCTGGGATTACAGGCATAAGCCACCATGCACAGCAATGTTGAGGTTTTTGCTAGAGAAAAAGGGAACCTGTGGTTCATATCTTAAATGATATTCAGCAACCCATTTGATTTTTTTCTTTCTCAAAAATAAAAGTCACTCATTCAACATCCAAAACATGTTTGAGTTCCTATCTTTCTTCATTTATTCAACAAATACTTAGGCCAGGCACGGTGGCTCATGCCTGTAATCCCAGCACTTTGGGAGGCGGAGGTGGGCGGATAACTTGAGGTCAGGAGTTCAAGACCAGCCTGCCCAACATGGTGAAACCCCATCTCCACTAAAAAATACAAAAATTAGCTAGGCATGGTGGTGGGTGCCTGTAATCTCAGCTGCTCGGGAGGCTGAAGCAAGGAGAATCGCTTGAACCCAGGAGGCAGAAGTTGCAGTAAGCCGAGATGGTGCCACTGCACTCCAGCCTGGGTGACAGAGCGAGACTCCATCTCACAAACAAAAAACAAAAAACAAAAAAAACCCCACATATTTAGTAAGCACTTCCTGGTACTAGGTGAACCAGACGGATTGGATCCTTGCCTTCATGAAGTTGACAGTACAGCAGGAAAGATAGGCAAATTGTTGCTAAGACTGTTTATTTATATTTATTCATTAATTTAGCCTTCAATGCAATGAGAGAGAATAACATTAAGGAATAGCTTTGGAATGGGAAGAACTCTCTGAACCCTGAAGGATGAGAAGTCTGGAAAAGAGAGTGGGAAGAGTAGACCAGAAGGAGGAAAAGCCACATATTTAAGGTTTTGCTTCTTGCTGCAAGCAGGTGAATAAAATTTACTGGGGCCTAGTGGGAGAAAAGGAATCAGGAAAGAAAGACCTAAGTTCAAATTTGCTTTTGCCACATTACAGTTGTGTAGCCTTGGGCAAGTTACTTCTTTCAATTCTGTTACCTCTTCTATAAGATAGAAATGATCATATTTTCCACTTTATAGGATTGTTGTGGAAAATTAAGTAAAATAATGTTCTAAAGTGCTTACCAGTGCTTGGCATATGGTAAGTGTCAATAAATTACTATTACCGCTATTATGATTATCCTTAAATGTTCCAAGTTCTTTATTACCCCCAGGCTTTGGCACAGTTTGTTTCCTTTGCCTGGATCACACACTGTTCCTTTTACTCACTCATGCACATCTTTCAAGTAACAGCTGAAAGGTATTTCCCTGGAAGGACTTTCCTGACCCCTAGATTAGTGGCTCTCAAACTGTAGTGCAAGTAAGAATCACGGCCAGGCGCAGTGGCTCATGCCGGTAATCCCATCACTTTGGGAGGCCAAGGTGGGTGGATCCCTAGAGCCCGGGAGTTCGAGACCAGCCTGGGCAACATGGCAAAACTCTGTCTCTACAGAAAAATACAAAAAACTAGCTGGATGTGGTAGCATGTGCATGTAGTCCCAACTACTCAGGAGGCTGAGGCAGGAGGATCACTTAAGCCTGGCAGGCGGGGGTTGCAGTGAGCTGAGATCACACCCTGCACTCCAGCCTGGGTGACAGAATAAGAGCCTGTCTCAAATAAATAAATAAATAATGAGTATAAGTGATGTGCACATGTGTGTGCACACGCACGTGCTTAGTACAAAGCAGATTCCAAGTTTTGTCAAAGTGCCATTGTAATGTAAGATGATAACATTAGGGGAAATGGAAACCAAATGAAAGATGTGCAGGAACCCTCTGTACTATCTTTGTAACTTTTCTGTAAATCTAAAATCATTCCAAAATAAAAAGTTCATTTAAAAAGGCAAATTCCTATGCGAAAATCAAAACCACAATGCAATATCACCACACACTATCCCCCCCTAAAAATGAGAAAGAAAGAAGCTGGGCACTGTGGCTCACACCTGTAATCCTAGCACTTTGGGAGGCCAAGGCAGGTGGATCACTTGAGGTCAGGAGTTCAAGACCAGCCTGGCCAACATGGTGAAACCCCGTCTCTACCAAAATACAAAAATTAGCCAGGCATGATGGCGGGTGCCTGTAATCCCAGCTACTCGGGAGGCTGAGACGGGAGAATCACTTGAACCCGGGAGACCGTGGTTGTAGTGAGCCGAGATTGCGCCACTGTACTCCAGCCTGGGTGGCTGAGTGAGACTCCATCTCAAAAAAAAAAAAAAGTGAGGATGTGAAAAACGGAAGCTTTTGTGGGAGGATAAAATGGTACAGCTGCTATGGAAAATAGTACGGTGGTTCCTCAAAAAGCTAAAAATTGAATTACCATATGATCCAGTAATTTTACCTCTGGATATAAATTCAAAATAATTGAAAGCAGGGCCTTGAGGAGATATTTGTATGCCCATGTTTATAACAGCATTATTCAACAATAGCCAAAGTGGAAGCAACTCCAATGTTCACTGATAGCTGAATACGTAAAGAAAATGTGGTATATCCTTACAATGGAATATTATTCAACCCTAAAAAGAAAGGAAATTCAAACACATGCTACAACATGGATGAAACTTGAGGACATTAGTGAAATAAGCCAGTCGCAAAAAGACAACTACTATATGATTCCACTTATATGAAGTACCTAGAGTAGTCCAACTCATAGAGACAGAAAGTAGAATGGTGGTTATCAGGTTCCAGGGGTAGGAGGAAAAGGGGGGTTGTTTAATGGGTATAGTTTCAGTTTTGCAAGATGAAAAAGTTCTGGGTATTGACTGCATAAAAATGTGAATGTACTTAACTGTACATTTAGAAATGGTTAAAGTGGTAAAATTTATGTTGTGTGTATTTTACTCACAATCAAAACTTATTTTTTTTAAAAAAAGCAGATTCCTTGGCTTTACCTTCAGAGCTTTTGACTCAATGCAGAAATGGAAAAGCCAATCCTTAAATTCAAATGGAATTGCAGCGGACCCCAAATAGCCAAAGCAATCTTGAAAAAGAAGAACAAAGCTGGAAGACTTACACTTCCTGATTTCAAAACGTATTACAAAGCTACAGTAATCAAAATAGTGTGATAGTAGCATAAAGGATAGAGAGATATATATCAACGAAATAGAATTGAGAGTCCAAAAATATACTAATACAGCTATGGGGTCAATTGATTTTTGACAAGGGTGCCAAGAGCATTCAATGGGCAAAAAATAGTGTCTTCAACAAATAGTGCTGGGACAACTGGATATCCACATACAAAAAAGGAAGAAGAAGGAGAAGGAGGAGAAGAAGAAGAGGAAGGAAGAGGAGGAGGAGGAAGAGAAAGAAGGAGGAAGAAGAAGGAAGAAGAAGGAGAAAGAAAGAAGAACAAAGAAGAAAGTTGGACCCCTTACCTCGTACCATATACAAATATTAACTCACTAAGGAGCTTCTGGATAGCTGAACACATGAAGATACTTGGAGGGAAGGTGGCATGCCTAGAGATGTATGAAAGCTCTATGCCCCTTCCCACATGGCTTGACCTATCCATCTCTCCATCTGGCTGTTCATCTTTAAAATACCCCTTATGATAAATGGGTAAATGCTACATGTTCACTTGGCATCCTAGGTCAGGCATTTGGTCTCCACCAGAGCCCAGGAACAAGCCCAGGAGCTGTATATTTTATTTTTTCAAAGTGTGAATGAGTTATTTGTGTAAAAAGACATAGCTGCAATACAAAACTCTAGGAGTCTACGTCATGATTCCTCTATCAGGGATTCCCAGATGGTTCACCAGCATTCCTATCTGCAATAGACATTTGGAGCACTGTTGAATCTGCTGGGTCATAAGGCCCAAGCAGGAAAGCAGCTTATATCATACCTGCAATAGCTTCAGAAACTTTTCTTGCTCTGGTCCTGTATTAGCTTTCTATTGCTATGTAACAAATTACCACAAACTTAGTGGCCTAAAACAAAAACAAAAAACAAACAAAAATTTTGAACTCATTATGTATCAAATACCTAAATGTAAGAGCAAAAAGTGTAAAACCTTTAGGAGAAAACATAAGGGTAAATATTCATGACTTTGGATTTGGCAATGGTTTCTTTTTTTTTTTTTTTTTTTTTTGAGAGCGGTCTTGCTTTCATCCCCCAGGCTTGAGTGCAATGGCTCAATCTCGGCTCACTGCAACATCCGCCTCCCGGGTTCAAACGATTCTCCTGCCTCTGCCTCCCAAGTAGCTGGGAGCAAAGTGCCGGCCATCACGCCCGGCTAATTTTTATATTTTTTAGTAGAGACAGGGTTCCACCATGTTGGCCAGGCTGGTCTCGAACTCCTGACCTTAGGTGATCTGCCCGCCTCAGCCTCCCAAAGTGCTGGGATTACAGGCATGAGACACCACGCTCGGCCTGGCAATGGTTTCTTAAACATGATATCAAAACCACATGCAACAAAAAGTAAGTATGGATACACTGGACTTCAGCAAAATTAAAAACTTTCATGCATCAGAGAACATCTTCAAGAAAGTGAAAAGACACTTTTCATTTCATTTGTCAATTTGCAAATCACATATCCAATAAACTTCTAGTATCCAGAATATATAAAGGACTCATAATTTGATAACAAAAAGACAATCCTTTTTTTCTGAGACAAGGTCTCACTCTGTCACCCAGGCTAGAGTACAGTGGAAAGATCACAGTTCATTGCAGCCTCAACCTTCCTGGGGCTCAAGTGATCCTCCCACCTGAGCCTCCTGAGTAGCTGGGACTACAGGTGCCACCATGCCAGGCTAATTTTTTGTATTTTTTCGTAGAGATGGGGTTTTGCCATGTTGCCCCAGCTGGTCTCAAACTCTTGGGCTCAAGTGATCCACACTCTTTGGCCTCCCAAAGTGCTGGGATTGCAGGTGTGAGCACCCTGCCTGGCCTAGATAACTCAATTTTTTAAATGAGCAAAGGACTTGAATAGACATTTCTCTAAAGAAGACATATAAATGGCCAAAAAGTACATGAAAAGATGCTCAACATCATTAGTCATTACGGAAATGCAAATCAAAACTACAATGAGATACCACTTTATACCCACTGTGATGGCTATAATTAAGGAAAAGAACAAGTATTGGCAAGAATGTGGGGACACTGAAACCCTTGGGCCTTCCTGATGGGAACATAAAATGGTACAGCCACTGTGGAAAACAGTTGGTGGTTCCTTAAAATGTTAAACATAGAATTGCCGTATGACCCAGCAGTTTCATTCGTAGGGGTATACCCAAGAGACTTGAAAGTAGGTACTCAAATACTTGTATATAAATATTCACAGTAGCAATATTCACAATAGCCAAAAGATGGAAACAACCCAAATATCCATCAATGGATGAATGGATAAACAAAATGTGGTATACCCACACAATAGAATATTATTTAGCAATAAAAATAAATGAAGTACTGATGTATGCTACAACATGGATGAACCTTGAAAACATTGTTAAGTGAAGGAAGCTAGACGCAAAAGATCATGTAGTGTATGATTTCATTTCTATGAAATATCTAGAAAAGGTCAATTCATACAGATAGAAAGAAGGCTAGTGGTTACCAGGGGATGGGGTGAAGGGAGAATGGGAGTGACTGCTTAATGAGTCAGGAGTTTCTTTGGGAGATGATCAAATGTTTTGGAACTAGATAGAGATGATGATTGTACAACATTGTGAATGTACTAAATGCCACTGAAGTGTATACTTTCAATGGCTAATTTTTTGTTACGTAGATTTTACCTACATTTTTTTAAAAAGCAAGTTCCTTAGGCTCCACATTCAGAGCTTTGGATTCAGCATATCTGGCATGATGCCCAGGACCTGAATTTTCAACAAGTACCTCAGATACCCCTGATGCAAGTGGTCCAGGGACCATATTTTGAGAAACATTGCTAAACAATGTTAAGCTTCGAATTGATTCTCTTCCATTCTCCTTTACTTTTTGTAACATACATCATAATTGTATGGCTTATCCTGCACCTCTTTTCCCATAGACTGTAAACTCCATGAGGGCAGGGCCCATATCTTCCTTCTTCATCATCATGATGCTAGCATTTGGAAAAAGCGCCTTGAGGCTGGGCATGGTGGCTCATGCCTGTAATCTCAGCACTTTGGGAGGCTGAGGTCTGGGCAACATGTCAAAAACCCATCTCTACAAAAAAATAAAAAATTAGCTGGGTGTGGTGGCGCATGTGCCTGTAGTCTCCGCTACCTGGGAGGCTGATGCAGGAGGATAGATTGAGTCTGGGAGGTTGAGGCTGCAGTGAGCTGGGATTGTGCCACTGCACTCCAGCCTGGATGAGAGCGAGACTCTGTCTCAAAAAAAAAAATAAAATAAAGAAAAGAAAAGAAAAAGCACCTTGACATTACACATGCCCAGTAGATACAGGGTGAATTTTTTTTTTTTTTTTTTTGAGACAGAATCTCGCTCTGTCACCCAGGCTGGAGTGCAGTGGTGTGATCTCGGCTCACTACAACCTCACCTCCAGGTTTAAGCGATTCTCCTAACTCAGCCTCCAGAGCAGCTGGGATTACAGGCGCGCTTCACCACGCCTGGCTAATTTCTTATATTTTTTGGTAGAGGTGGGATTTCACCATGTTGGCCAGGCTGGTCTTGAACTCCTGACCTTAGGTGATGCACCAGCCTCGGCCTCCCAAAGTGCTGGGATTACAGGCATGAGCCACCACGCCCGGCCTGATATACAGTGAACTGAATGACCGAACTGGATTAACTAGAAGGGATCAGAGTAGAAGGGAAAAATCTTAAGGAGCCTCTAGCCCAAGAATCCACAGTGTAAGTAGTGGGACCAGCGTTTAACCCCCCTTATCCCCATGGCTTCCATTGCACAACAAAATGTATCAGCCCACAGTGTGGAAACCAGGAAACTATGGTAGGGAAAGGAGGCCTGACTGGGCTCCCCTTGGGGAGGCACCTCTAGGAGCTCATGGCCAAGACTGAGCAAGCTTGAGACCCTGGGGCATGGCATCCAGAGGTGCACAGCTCTGTTGGCCTGGCCTGGCTGGAAGACTCTGGCCAGGTTTTCCTGGTCTCCCTGGCTGATCCCAGTGCCTTTTGGCTTGGTGACTGCTCTCACTCTTGGCTGCTTTCACGGTGCCTTAGGGCACACAGTCAGCAGAATAGCTTCCCTCAGCATCCCTGAGCTGGGTCTGGGCCATCCCACTGTCGCCTGTGCTGACTTCTGAGGCCTCATCAACACTGCAGGAAGCATGATGCACCCAAGAGGATGTAGGTGGGACATCCAGGGGATGGAGCCTCCTGCCTGGGCCTCTCATATGGAGCCAGCACAAATATAATTGTATCCTCACTGCTCTTACCTCTTCTCATCCAGGGGCAGGCTTCCTCTAGTCAAGCAATTTTCCTTTTCTCCTCTGTGTCTTCTCTGAAGGGAAGGGTGAAATTCTTCAAGTCTTCACTAAGTTTGTGACCATCAATTAACCCTAAATCAATCAATAATCACCACCCCTATACACACACACTTATATACACAAATATAGGAAGTCAGCCAGGCACAGTGGCTCACGCCTAAAATCCCAGCACTTTGGAAGGCTGAGGCGAGTGGATCATCTGAGGTCAGGAGTTCGAGACCAGCCTGGCCAACATGGTGAAATCCGTCTCCACTAAAAGTGAAAAAAAAAAATTAGCTGGGTGTGGTGGCACATGCCTGTAATCCCAGCTGCTCAGGAAGCTGAGGGAGGATAATCGTTTGAACCCGGGAGGCAGAGGTTGCAGTGAGCCGAGATCACACCACTGCACTCCAGCCTGGGCGAAAGAGCAAGACTCCTCAAAAAAACCATATATATGTGTGTGTGTGTGTGTGTGTGTGTGTGTGTGTGTGTGTGTGTATGTGTATATATGTATATATATGTGTGTATATATATATGTATATATATATTTGAAGTCAATGTCTTTCATAGAAAAAAGTAGGACCTTTTTAAAATCTTATCATTGGCTAATTATGTGGCCTTCTTCAAGGCCTCAAATCCTTCCCTCAACATGAACAGTTACTGCCAGCCAGGGGCAGAGGCATGTGCCTATAGTCCCAGCTACTGCAAAGGCTGAGGAGGGAGAATCTCTTGCGCCCTGGAGTTCGAGTCTGCAGTAAGCTATCATCATGCCACTGCACTCCAGCCTGGGCAACTAACTGAGACCTCCATCTGTAAAATAATTAAATAATTCAAAAAATAAAAAATAATAAATGAAAAAAGTTGTTTCCATTGAGTACCTACAATGCACCAGGCAGTTAAGCTTAGAGCCTCAAAAATGCATCACCTCATTCAGTTCCCACACAACCCTATAAGGTAAGTAACATTTTCTTTTTTCTTTTCTTTTTTTTTGAGACAGAGTTTCACTTTTGTCGCCCAGCAGGGAGTGCAACGGTGGATCTTGGCTCACTGCAACCTCCGCCTCCCGGGTTCAAGCTATTCTCCTGCCGCAGCCTCCCAGGTAGCTGGGATTATAGACGTGTGCCACCACCCACGGCAAATTTTTGTGTTTTTAGTTGAGACGGGGTTTCGCCATATTGGCCAGGCTGGTCTCGAACTCCTGACCTCAGATGATCCACCCTCCTTGGCCACCCAAACTGCTGGGATTACAGGTGTGAGCCACCACGCCTAGCCAGGTAAGTAACATCTTAAAAAGGTAATTGTGAAATATAACATATATACAGAAGATGTCTAAAACATGTATATGAATCTATAATATATTAATGTATATCTATTACATATGTATCTGTAAGAACATTCCCTTTCTTTCTTTATAGTTTTATTACCCATATATGCATTTCTAAATAATATAATTTAGTCTTGCCTATTTTTGAAATATAAGTGAATGGGATCATACTGTACATATTCTTTCGAGTTGTTTTTTTTTTAAACTTACTCTTATCTTCGTGAAAGGCTAGAAAATGTAGACCCTGACTGGACAGCCACATCCCAGCTGAATTCTAATACCATGGAAGAAGGAGAGAATGGATGTTGGTGGATAATTAGCCATTTTGCTACAATGTATTACTCACCCACTTCCCATTATTTCTGGAGTTATTTCTTTCCCGCTTACTTTGATTAATAATTTCCCCTTCTTTTCTATCTCACGGCAACCTCAATGATAAAATCATGGAACCAATGAGTAGGCTTTAGTTCAAGAAGGCAATAATTTCTTTCTAGGTGGTTTTGGGCAACGTGAGCAGAAATGCCCTTCTACACCATCAAATTTTTTTTTTCCTCTCTCTCTCTCTTTTTTTTTTTTTTTTTTTGAGATGGTGTCTCACTCTGTCACCCAGGCTGCAATGCAGTGGCACAATGTTGGTGCACTGGAACCTCCATCTCCCAGGTTCAAGCAATTCTCCTGCCTCAGCCTCCCAAGTAGCTGGGATTACAGGTGTGCACCACCACACTGGGCTAATTTTTTTTTATTTTTAGTAGAGGTGGGGTTTTACCATGTTGGCCAGGCTGGCCTCAAACTCCTGAGCTCAAGTGATCCGCCCACCTCAACCTCCCAAAGCGCTGGGATTACGGGTGTGAGCCACCACGCCCAGCCTCAAATTTTCTTGAATAAACATATTTTGAGGGCTTACCTCCCATAAGATACTAAGCACATGCAAAGGCATCCTGACTGCTTACCATGCATGGAAATTCCAGTAAAAGGGCATGCACAGTTGAAGGGTTAAGGGTATGTGCACCCACAGGGTAAGCTTAGAACCAACTTATAGAGTCTTAGATGTCCAGCCATATCCTGTCCTGCAAGGACAGTCCCATGTAGTACATGCAGAGAAGGGTGGACTGGATGTGAGATACATAGGGGGCTGTGGGCATAGGAGAGGTGGTGGGATAGGGTGAGGATCAGAAAGACCTAGGAGGTGTTTCCTAGCTCTGCTCTAGTTGGGCAAATCTCTTAATTACTCTCAGCCTCAGTTTCCTCATCGGTAAAATGTACGTATATCTGAGAAAGAGATAGTTATTATCCTCATTTTACAGATGACGAATCCCAGGCTCAGAGAAGTTATCTTGCTCAAGAATTCATTAGAGAAAGCAGAGTCAGGATTCAAGCCCAGGCAGTCTGACTCCAGAGCTGGAGTTCTTTATTGCTAAGAATCACTAGTGGGATGGGAGTGTGCAGAATGAGTGGGGGGAGAAGGATATACGTTTAACACACTTAATACATCCGCTGTTAAATGTTTCCTGATTTCCAAGTTGTTAAAAGGAGAGTAAGTGTGTTTTAGCATGAAGGAAACACGGTGCTGTGGGTGGGCAGGAAGGATGAGGAACAGAGAATGATCCCCGACTCTCTTATGCTGTTTCTTTCTTGGGTTTACAGCCTTGGGCAGGCCCCAAGTAGAACAGCCACGTAAACGCATGCCTAGAGCGCTTGCCTCCAAGATGAGGGCATGAGCGCAGGATGCCACTAAATTTCCCTCCCCCGGCAGCCAAGGTTTTTGGGATTTGGGGGTGGGGTGCAACGGCTGCCACAGTTATTGTTCCTCCAGAGCCTCGGAGCAAGATATCCCCCCAAAGCCATATTAAATAAATAAAAGGAAATTCAGCAGATGGGAACATGAATCAATGAAAACTCCCATATGAGTGCAAAGATTTATGTCAAAAAACAAAACATCAACATCTGGGAGCTGCCGCGTCTCCTCTTGGCTGCTCGTTTGGAATGGATTCTCAGTGTCGCTTTCCGCCTCTTTCTAGCCCTGGGAGAGGACAGCAAGAAATAAAGAATGATGCCCATTAAAAATAGTCATTTTTAATCAGAAATGAACGCTGCTTTCCCCCTCAAGGCTGGAGGGAACGTGATGCAGGCAGTGGAGCTGCGGGCTCGGCCCCGGGATCGTGGGGAGAGAGAGCCCCCTGCCGAGCGCGGAGGGGCGCCCTCCCTCCCAGGCCCCGGGCCACCGTCTGGGGTCGGTTCCCTCCAGATTTCACAGCCGCGGCAGCAGCAGGAGCGCGCACACGCCCGCGCCCACTGCACTGCGGCGGTGCTCCGCAGCTCAGCCTCGGGGCCATCACGTGGGTGCGGCCTGACCCCGGGCGATTCTGGGGCCGTCTCCGCAGGCAGTTGAGCCTGCCGCTGGGGCGCTCCTCTGGTCAGGGCAAACCTGCACCTGCCTTCCCCAATCCGGGGGAAGGGAGGCGGCGAAAGAGGAACCTAGGCCTTGAGGAACGTGTACTGCGGATCCAAGTCCGCACTTAGCTCTTAAGCTGGGCCACGCGGGGCCTAAAGGGGCAGGCGTTGGATCCTGATACCTGGGTTCAAATCAACTCTGCCACCGTCAACTATGTGACCTTGAAGAAATTTACCTCCCTGAGCCAGCATTTCATCATCTGTAAAATGGGAATAATAGTACCAGTCTCCCAGGGAGGCTGTGAAAAGAAAATGAGAAACCATGCAAAATACTTAACACAGTGCACATATACATACAATTTAATAAATGTTAGCTATTATAATCAGGGATAAAAATTCAAATTCTCATCATAGCCTACACGGCTCTTACAACCCGTGCTCCTAGCTCTGCAGCCTTGGAGAGGTCACTGACCCCTTCCATCACTGGGTTCCAGCCACAATAACCTTGACTTCCACTGAGCAACCTAGTTCCTATCTGCCTCAGGACCTTTGCATCTGCTGTTCCCTCTGCCTAGATGGCTCTTTTCCACCTTCTGCTTCAACCCAGCCTGCCCTTTCTTTGGGCCTCAATTTACTTGTAACATTGTCCAGGAAATTCTTCCCGATTCATTTCTGCCCAAAATATAGTTCCTCTGCTCTATGCTCTCATAGCAGCCCAGCTTCTCCTTCCTAGCAACCTTCCTAATTGAAACGTATCATCAGTTTTGTTATGTTTCCCGTCCATCACCCCCTGGACAATTCACTCCATGAGGCCAGGAGCCCAGCCTATCTCATTCGCTGCTGTATCCTCAGTCCCCGGGACGTGACTGGCCTAGGCTCTCTATTTGTGGTAAATGACCCAGAGGGGATGGTGGGACTCAGGCCAGAGGGAATCCTGGGTCTTCTACATTGTTTCACCAGTTCCTTCCAACAGTAAACATTCATTTATTAAGTTCTTCTATATGCTAGGTCCTGTGTTGGGCACCAGAGACACAGACTCATACAATTCAATCTCTGATTTAATGGAGCTTGTAGTTCAAAGGCAGAGATGGATATGTGAACAGAGGACAACACAGATGGGGTGAAGACAGCAATGGGGGTGGTCATTCCTACAAGGACAGGGCCCTTGGCTCCAAGTGGCATAGATGGACTAAGCTAAGTGCTTTACCTGCATTATCTAACTAAAACTCACAACTATTAGAGAGGCCTATTATCATCCCCATTATACAGATGAGACATAAAGAATTTAAACAACTTGCCTAGTGTCAAAAAAAGAGTAAAAGCAGAAGCGAGATTCGAACAGGCGCACAAACATTCCGATTCAGAGCCAGAGCTCTGATCTACTTGGTCACACTGCCTGGAGAAAACAGCTGTGAGATTACCTACCTCCAACCGTCATGACTCCAGTTCTGTGCTGGATAGAGTTCGGCCCTGCCCCTCCTCGGTTCCTGCCAATAGGACTGCCACCACCCAAGAGCAGAGAGGAGGTAGGGAGAGCAGGGCTGAGGGGCGGGGAATGCATCCACCCTGTTCCACACATGGCACTTAATGAGGAATGTTCACAAGGGCGGCAAAGGGGACCTGCAGCAGCTCAGCTAAAAACAGGAGCATCTCTGACTTCCATGCTGCCAAATCCCCAGTGCTTGAGGGAGGCCCCAGCCTAAACCCAGCTCAATGCCCTGAGGGTGTTGCTGTCACCTTTCTCACCCGCTTCCAAACTTCACTGATCCTGCTACACCTCCCTTCACCACCTGGGGCTTTTTTTAAAGGTTGAATTCACATCCTCCATTTGCTCTCATAATGACAGCTCTGCCTGCCCTCCTAGAACCCAAGAGTCAGCCAGCACAGGGTTTGGAGGCTTCTGGGGGAGCTGTTCTTCAGGGCCTTCTCTGCTGAGGCCTGGCTGAGGTCAGGTACGGGGTTTCTTTGAGGATTCGATGGGACCACCTGCCTTTTCAAGTCTTCCCACCCTCCAGCTATCAGAAAGCTGCATCCTCCACTAGCATCTGGGGAATTCTGACAGGTGGATCTGAGGTCACAGCATGACATCTAATGGATAAATCTAGCAGGTGGTGGAGGACTGAACTGGAACTCAGGAAAGAGGACAAAGGTAAGGCTAATGATAGTCACCGTTTTGAGTTCTTTCTGTGTGCCAGGCACTGTGCTAACTAAGCACTTTACATGTGCTCCATTTCATAGATGAGGAAGTGAAGCTCAAAAAATTCAAATAACTTCCCAAAGTGCACACAACTGAGAAAGTGGTGGAGGATTCAAACCCTGATTATGAGGACTCCAGAACCCAAGCTCTTAACCACTGTATTTTCATTTAAGAGTCAACAGGACAGAGGGAGTTTAAGAGCAATAGGGAAAGAATGGACATCTGGACAATGCTGGTACTAGCGGTCAGAAGGAGGAAGAAGCACTGCTAGAGAGATGTAGAGACCAGGGAAGCTGAAGAGGAGACAGATTTAAGAGTCTGATGCAAAAGAAGGTGATTTTGACAGGACCCAGTGACCAACTGGGTATGGGAGTGTCTGACACCTTTGGGGTATCTGGGCAAATCATGAGAAAGCCAGACAGAAAGCCAGAGAGAAAGGGCTCACTTTGTTGCCTCCTGAGTCCATAATTCTGGTCTTTCCTGGGTCCCAGCTGTCTCTTCCCTTGGGGTTCATTAAATGTCCTGTCCACTCTTCCATACCCTGATAAAACTTTTTCAAAAGCTAGCTTCAGTGAGTTTCTAATATTTGAAGTAAGAGTCAAAACTAGTGTGGGGTCATGGGAAAACCTGAACCAGAGGAAAAAAAGAAAACAGAAAACTAGTATTGGGGAGGGCAGAGAAGGAAGCGTTGAGCCAACAATGAATTCAAGATTCCTTTCCTGGGTGGCTTGGGGAAACTACACAATAGCAGAAAAATGGAAGCAGATGATGAGGTTTTGCGTGTGACGTTTAAGGAGTGGATGGTCAACTGAGTCAAGTGCTCTGGCTCAAGGTGTCTGATGGAGCAAAGGTCCACTGGTGGTTAATGAGGTGGTCTTTGATGACCCTAGTGATCCCTGTGTCAGAAGAAAAGGGATGGAAGCTGGGAGACAAGGCTGAAAAGTGCAGGAGTCATGCAGAAATGGAAGGTAGCATGTGTGTTATTACTTAATTAAGAAATCTGGCAGTAGGGAGAAAGAAACAGAATGGTAGCTGAAAAGGGCAGGAGGATCAAGTAAAGAATTTTTCCCCCAAGATTGGAAAGGCCTGTGTATATTTCACAGGCGGAAAGGAAAAAGGTAGGAGAAAGATGTATGCTTTGGCATGAGGGTCGGGATAATTATAGAGACAAGGTTCTAAAAGGGACAGGAAGGGAATGGGACTGAGAACAGAGTTTAGCCTTAGAACAAAGGGAAGAGACAGACCTTTCCAACTGAGACTGTGTTCTTGTCATTTCCGCCAAATCATAAACACGCCTTACATTTATTTGTTTAGTGTGCAGCTAACCTCTAGGTGTACTCACAGCTGCTCTTAAGTTAGATTCTTCTTCATCATCATCAAATACAGCCACCATTTATAGACCGTGTGCCCAGCAGTTTAACTGTGTCATCTCATAAGAAGAATACCATTATCATTCCCATCATACAGATGAAGAAACTAAGGGAAAAGATATTATAATGAACTTGACCAAGATAACCCAGCTGCTAAGGGAGACAGTTGTGTTGGATGCTAGACAATTCAATTCTAGAAGCCCTGCTCTCCTGTGCTGCTTTCTGACACTTTACAGAGTTGCCTCTAGAGAGTAGGATTAGAGGGTAGAGAGCGTGTGGCAGAGGTCTGCTGTCTTTTGATATAAGCCTTTAGTATTATTTGACTTTTTACTAGAGTAGGAGCTTTTCAACGACCATTATTTATCTGAGGGGTCAAATCCACTGAGCTTGGCTTGCTCTATGCTCCCTGCCAGTGGGCTCTTCCTTAATATACGTCACACTTAAGTATAAATCGACCCCTGGCCGGGTGTGGTGGCTCACACGTGTAATCCCAGCAATTTGGGAGGCCGAGGCAGGCGGATCATCTAAGGTCGGGAGTTCGAGACCAGCCTGACCAACGTGGTGAAACCCCGTCTCTACTAAAAATACAAAAATTAGCTGGGTGTGGTGGCGCATGCCTGTAATCCCAGCTACCTGGAAGGCTGAGGCAAGAGAATCCCTAGAACCCGGGAGGCGGAGGTTGCGGTGAGCCGAGATCGTGCCATTGCACTCCAGCCTGGGCAACAAGAGCGAAACTCCAACTCAAAAAATAAAATAAAATAAAATAAAATAAATTGACCCCTGACCAACCCCATGTCCAGATCCCTACCAGGTAGGTTTTCTATGATATGTTCTTTAAAAAGCAATTAAAACAAAAATATTTGTATAAAGGCATTTGCAGTTTTATAAGAAAAATCCCAGCCAGGTGTGGTGGCTCACACCCATAATCTCAGCACTTTGGTCAGACCTCCTCTCCTGAGGTCAGGAGTTCGAGAACAGCCTGGCCAACATGGCAAAACTCCGTCTCTACTAAAAACACAAAAATTAGCTGGGTGTGTGATCCCAACTACTCAGGAGGCTGAGGCAGGAGAATTGCTTGAACCCAGGAAGCGGAGGTTGCCATGAGCCAAGATTGCACCACTGCACTCAAGCCTGGGCGACAGAGCAAGACTCCATCTCAAAAAATAAAAAATAAATAAAAACAAAATCCCCACTAATAAAAAGCAAAAGCAAGAGGAGCTAGTACTAGTATCAGTGCTGAGGTGATGACTCAGCTTTCTCAGGGCTGAAGGTGAGGTCACTGGCCTAGAAGGCACAGGGTGAAAATGAGGGCTTGACCCCCACTAATACAGCAGCCAATAGCCTTTCTTGGATCCCTCTGGCCTGGTCACTCCCTTGCCAAAACCCTTCCTAGATGTCTCGTGCCTTCAGGACAGAGTCCAAATGTTTTACGGGCTTACAAGGCGTTATGACCTTGCGCTATTTACCTCTCCAGACTAAAGGCCTATCACCACCCCATCGCCATGACTCCATGCCTCCCTCCCGGCTCCAGCTACAGTGATCTTAAACTGTGCTTTCTTTGCCTTTCTGGAACTTTGTATCAGTCAGCTGTGTCCCCTGCCTGAACTGGGTTTCTTTTCCTCTTCTTCACCTGGTTAGTTTCCAGGCCTCATCATTCAGGTTAATTTAGCATCACTGCTTCCAGGAAGTCTTCCTGACTTCCATGCCTAGGTTATGGGCCTTCCCTGGGTGTTCCCATAGCACTCTGTACTTTCTTCACAACAGCACTTGCTTGTCTCCAAAGTCTACTTCCCAGTATTTGTGACCTTATGTTTTCCCCTCCCACACTGATTCTGGGCTGACCCTGTGAGTTGCTTTAACCAACAGAGTGCAGAAGTGATGCTATGCCAGTTCCTGCCAGCTTCCACTTGTGTACTTTTGGAAGCTCTGAGCCACTGTGTAAGAAGTTCAGCGACACAGCTGGAGAGGTCATGTGGCGCAGAGGGGACCTGAGACTACATGGAGAAAGAGGCCCAGCCTTTCCAATGCCCTACTTGAGTCTTCATATGACTGCCATCTGACTACAACCTCATGAGAGACCCCAAGTGAGACCAGCAGAATTGCCCAGCTGAGCCCAGTCAATTTGCAGAACTGTGAGAGATAATGATTGTTTTAAGCCACTCAATTTTGGGGTGTTTGTTATGCTGCAATAAGTAACTAAAACACCACTCTGTATTTTAATTGCTTACTGACTTTGTTTGCACTCCTAGGCTATTTTCTGTGAGGGCAAGGACCACATCCATGTTTTGTTTTGTTTTGTTTTAATTTTTCCTCAAGACAGAGTCTTGCTCTGTCGCCCAGGCTGGAGTGCAATGGTGCGATCTTAGCTTACTGCAACCTCTGCCTCCTGGGTTCAAGTGATTCTTCTGCCTCAGCCTCCCAAATGGCTGGGATTACAGATGCGCACCACCACGCCTAATTTTTTGTATTTTTTTTAGTAGAGATGGGGTTTCACCATGTTGGCCAGGCTGGTCTTGAACTCCTGGCCTCGTGAACCACCCACCTCGGCCTCCCAAAGAGCTGGGATTACAGGCGTGAGGCACTGCGCCCTGCCCACATCCATGTTTTAAAATTGTTATATACTTAGCATATCCTTTAGCACTAAATAAGCTGTCATATATTTGATTAATGCAAATTAAGAATGCCTACAAAAATGAAGGCAACAAGTATCTAGAATACTCACTGTAGTGACAGTACACAAAGTACACAATGGCATGTGTAGTCATCATGAAAGGTGATTAACTGGACAGCAGGCAATAGGTTCCCAGTGTCAGTTTACCTTTGTGGAGGATTGAGTCAACTTGAGGGACTGTGTAGAGGGACTGAGCCACAATCCAAAACCACAGAGTTTGGGGTCTGGCAGTTGAGGCAGCTGCCATTCAACCAACAGCACTCCCGTGAGCTGCACTCAACAGGTGATCTGCTGTGGGCTCCAGCCACCCTCGCCATCTACCCTCACACAAGTGGTCTGATGTTTCTGTTTATGGGGACAAGAGATGCCATAATGCCATTCTATACATGGGGGCAGATGTCCTAGTCTCTCCTTCAAAACTTTTCAACTAGCTTCAAACAGGGAGGGCCCTCAATGAATGTTTGTATCTGCAATGAATACATTTCCACTCAAATCAGTAAATCCCCTGGCTGGGGTCTGGTACCCTTGGCTGTAATAATCATTAGTACAAGATGTTCTGTCAACAGGGATTGTTTGGACATATTCTTTGGGCTGACAATTTATGTCAAGCCCTATGTGGGACACGGAATAGGGAAATGCTATTCCTGTCCTGAAAGGAGAGAACTGGGAAGGCTAGAGTTACACAAATGAGATAAATACCAAGACAGCATATAATTACTGCTAAACTGTGTAGTAAGAAATTAAGTGCTATAGGAATTGGGAAAAGTAGGGAGCAGGGAGGGCTCAAACAGTTGAGGAGTCTACACTGAAGAGCTGGGATTGGGCTGAACCTTGAGAAATGACACAAACTATGGATAGTCTGAAAGGAAGGAGGGTACAAAAGACGCAGGAGGAAGAACACAGCCAAACCAGCATACTTGTTTGTTACTTTATTTTCGGGACAGCAACACAAGGAATGTGAAAGGTTGCCGTCCCAAATCCCGAAGCAAGGCTATTTCTGAATAGTTGTCCAACATTCAAACTTCTGGGCCTTTATTTATTGTTTCCTCCGCTTGCAATGCCTTTCTTCCTTCTCCACCTGGCAAGCTCTTATTCACATTTAAAGGCCCCGCTCAAATGCAACTACTTTTCTGAAGCCTTCCAAGGGATCCCACAATCCATTGTTCATGCTTCTATGGGAACCTAACCTATTACACTTGCCTGCTTACCTCCCCTACTAATATAATTAATAGCAACTTACACTTACTGGGCTTTTACTATGTGCCAGGAACTATGCTAAACATTTTTATTTATTTATTTTTTATTTTTTGAAGGGTATTCCCAAAACACCAAGTTAAACATTTTTAACATATTATTTTATTTAAACCTCACAACAATTGCATGAGGTATTTTCCCTATTTTACGGATGAAGCTCTTGAGACTTAGTGTGGTTAAGGAACCTGCACAAGATAACATACCTACGAAGTAAGCAAGCTGTGATTCCAACCCAGATTTGTGGGACTCCAAAGCCCACTACTAATCCACTGGACCGTGTTCCTGGAGGCCACAAATGCTCTTTCCTCAGCTGTCTTCTCAGATCCTAGAACGGGCTGATATATGGCTCAAAAGTTCTTTAACGGCCAGGCACGGTGGCTCAAGCCTGTAATCCCAGCACTTTGGAAGGCCAAGGCAGGAGGATCACCTGAGGTCCAGGAGTTCGAGACCAACCTGGCCAACATGGTGAAACCCTGTCTCTACTAAAAATACAAAAATTAGCAGGATGTGGTAGCAGGCGCCTGTAATCTCAGCTACTTGGGAGGCTGAGGCAAGAGAATCGCTTGAACCTGGGAGGCAGAGGTTGCAGTGAGCCGAGATCACACCATTGCACTCCAGCCTGGGCGACAGAGAATCCGTCTCAAAAGAAAAAAAAAAGTTGTCTAACATATTAATACAACTTTCAAGCCACATGCCTCGGTCTAAAAGTAGGTGCCCCCAGTACACTTTTACCCCAGGTAGCAACTTCCACTCACCTTAAAGTCACATACCTGGAGGAAGGGGATAGGGAGGAAATCTAAACATCTTATACTTGAATGTAAGCTCCGTTATTTCACGGATTCAAATGTGGTGAAAGGAACTATTTTTTTTTCCTTTTTTTTTTGAGATGGAGTCTCACTCTGTCGCCCAGGCGCGATCTCGGCTCACTGCAACCTCCCGTCTCCCGTGTTCAAGCAATTCTCCTGCCTCAGCCTCCAGAGTAGCTAGGATTACAGGCGCCCACCACCACGCGCAACTGATTTTTGTATTTTTAGTAGAGACAGGGTTTCACCATGTTGGCCAGGCTGGTCTCAAACTCCTGACCTCAGGTGATCCGCCCGCCTCGGCCTCCCAGAGTGCTGGGATTACAGGCGTGAGCCACCGGGACCAGACGGAACTATTCTTTTCCACAAAAGAACAAACACATACATAACTTTTGCCACGTCTGAAGACGAGGGTTCTAATAGGGCGCGGGTGGTGTCTCAGGTATTTTGAAAGGAGCTACCCAAGAATCTCAGCTTGTCAGGCCAGTCATTCCATTTGACCCTATCTGGCGCGTATTGGGGCCCCGACAAGGTAAGGGGTTGGCATGAAGCTGCACAGTGAGATAAAGCTGGACCGGAGCTAGAACCCAGAATCAAAGCCTTGCCCTGTGCGGTTTCTCATCGCCTACGCAGTCGGGCCCTGGCCTGGCATCTCCAGGCAGGTGGCCTTGGACGGAAGCCCGGCCTACTGGCTTCATTTGTGGGACCCCGGGGGTCCTCTCCTCCGCCCATGGAGCCTGGTTACTCCCACTTCCTCAAGCCTAGGGCCTGGAGAAGCCTTTCCTGGTTCGCGGCCTCACGGTCTGCAAGGTCCTCTTACTTCCCTGAAGCCGCTCCAGCCCCACTTCCCGAAGGTCCCGCTTCCGGGTGGCTCGCTTCGCCACCTGCGGTCCCCTGCCTCGGCTTGGGAACGCCAAGGACATCCCCCACGGAAGCCTGGGCCCACATCCCCATGCCCTTGCCGCACGTCACCGCCCCGCTGGCCCCGAATACGCCTCCGCCCTGCACTTCCTCTCTGCAGCGCCGTCTTTCCGGCCGGGCTCCCTTCTAATTGGCCAGCTCAGAGCTTCCTCGGGTACTCGGCCACTCGGGGCATCGCGGCGGCCTTTCTAGCCGCTGTCCCAAGGGTTGGTCTCGCGCTTTCGGCTGCGAGCTCTCTGTGGTGCTGGCAGCGACATGTGGCGCCTCCCGGGACTCCTGGGCCGAGGTAAGGGACGTCCAAGCAACCAGCGTCACTCTGGGCCGCAAAGACCGAACTGGAGTGGGGGCGGGCCCGAGGAAACAGCCGAAGCGATCGTGGGCCGGGTTAGAGCCAAGGAAGGCGGGGCTTGAAAGAGGGCGGGGAAGTCAGGGGCTGCTGGAATTTGAGATGTGGATGGGCCTAGCTAGAAGAGGGTGGAGTCCAAGAAGTTGGTAGGACTGTTGGGAGGGGGAGGAGTCCAATGGCAGGAGATGGTGGACTGAATGAATGAAAGAGGATTAGGGGCCAATGGAGTAGGCATAGCCAGTGAAGAGAGGAGAGGTTTAGAGTCAAAGAGCCCCAAACATTAGTGAGAGTATATGTATGAACGTTTGGTCATCTTAGAACAGTGGTTGGCATCCACAGGAGACCAGCAGAATCACATGGGCGCTTTTAAAAAACGTGGATGCTCTACCCTGAGAAATCTTAGTTTATTGGTTCTGGGGTACTACCCTAGAATCTGTAGTAGATAAAAGATTCCCATGTGTATCCATGTTTAAGAACCTCTGCTGAGGCAGATGACAGTGATTCCTGGGTTCTTGTTGAGGTGCCTGAGTTTTGGTTGTTCTGTACAGCTCTTCCCCGTACACTGGGACCTAGCCTCTGGAGGGTGACTCCTAAGTCCACCAGCCCAGATGGGCCTCAGACTACCTCCTCCACTTTGCTGGTTCCTGTGCCTAACCTCGACAGGTAAGATACTGCCATTTTACCACTCATTTCCTCCCCTAGTCACCCTTTTTTTTTATTTTTTTTTTTTTGTTGTTTTTTGAGATGGAGTCTCATTCTGTCGCCCAGGCTGGAGTGCAGTGGGGCAATCTCAGCTCACTGCAACCTCCGCCTCCCAGGTTCAAGCAGTTCTCTGCCTCAGCCTCCCGAGTAGCTGGGATTACAGGCACCCGTCACCACACCCTGCTAATTTTTATTTTATTTTATTTTTTTTGAGACAGAGTCTCGCTCTGTCGCCCAGGCTGGAGTGCAGTGGCGCGATCTTGGCTCACTGAAACCTCCGCCTCCTGGGTTCAAGCGATTCTGCTGCCTCAGCCTCCCAAGTAGCTGGGATTTCAGGCATGCACCATCACGCCTGGCTAATTTTTTTTGTATTTTTAGTAGAGACGGGGTTTCACCATGTTAGCCAGGATGGTCTTGATCTCCTGATCTCATGATCTGCCCGCCTCAGCCTCCCAAAGTGCTGGGATTACAGTGTGAGCCACTGTACCCAGCCAATTTTTATATTTTTAGTAGAGATGGGGTTTCACCATCTTGACCAGGCTGGTCTTGAACTCCTGACCTCGTGATCCACCCACCTCAGCCTCCCAAATTGTTGGGATTACAGGTGTGAGCCACCGCACCCAGTCCCTGGTCTCCCTTTGCCCCTACTTGATAGCCTCTTATTTCATCATCTAGGTCAGGTCCCCATGGCCCAGGCACGAGCGGGGGTCCAAGGTCCCATGGATGGAAGGATGCCTTCCAATGGATGTCTTCCCGTGTCTCCCCGAACACCCTATGGGATGCCATATCTTGGGTAAGGCTTCCCCAGCCTGGTCCTTGACCTTCAGTGTAGATGAGAATGATCCTTCATGGGTATACAGCCGAACCTGGAACAAGGGCTAGGGAATCACTGTGTCCATTTAACAAGTAACCCATGGTATTGGAGCATATTCAAGGAGATATTGCCACTTTCCACACCCCCGCCATGTATGTTTTCCTCATTTAATTCAGTAAACATTTATGTAACACCTTGTCTGGGCCAGGCATTTTTGCTAGTCACTACGGACATAGCAGAGAACAAGATAGATACATTCTTGCCTTCATGGATCTTACAATAAATAATAATACATTGCATCTTTTTTTTATTATTCATTTTTTTTATTTTTAAATTATTATTTTTTTCTGAGACAGAGTCTTTCTCTGTCGCCCAGGCTGAAGTGCAGCGGCATGATCTTGGCTCACTGCAACCTCCGTCTCCCGGGTTCAAGCAATTCTCCTGCTTCAGCCTCCCAAGTAGCTGGGATTACAGGCACGTGCCACCACGCCTGGATAATTTTTGTGTTTTTAGTAGAGACGGGGTTTCACCATTTTGGCCAGGATGGTCTCGAACTCCTGATCTCGTGACCCACCCACCGCGGCCTCCCAAAGTGCTGGGATTACAGCTGTGAGCCACCGCGCCCGGCCTTATAGCATTATTTATTAATGTAAAGTATTATACATGCATTATCTTGTGTAATCCTTACAAAAATCTTACAAGGGAAATATCACCTTCATTTTACAGCTGAGGAATCTCAGGCTCTGAAATATTAGGTAACATGCGTAGGGTCTCATACCTGTTAAGTGGAGGAGCCAGATTTAACTCTGGAGTTCATGTTCTACTGCTTGGTTGCTGCATCAAATACAGAGCCTAGCCCGTAATAGTTGCTCAAAAATATTTGTTGAACCTGATCTATAAGGTCAGATTCTTACTAGTGAACACTAGGTCTCATAGGGCAGAGTCTTCGCTTTTCAGGCAATGTTCCAGGTGGAAGTTCTGCTTATAAGATCTTCTGAATGAAGTTGACACACACATCACTCTCATGTTTGTCACAGCTCATCCCTGCTGCTTTCGTGCTGTGTACTTTGGACAAATGACTTGACCTGTGTGACCCTTGGCTTTCTCATCTGTAAATTGGTGTCATCAGCAGAGCTGAGCCTGGGATGTCTCCATGACAGGGTTACCCCTCTATGGGGAGCTGTGGACTAAGGCCATATCATACCCTGAAGAGAGGAGCATTTTCCCATGTTGCCAAAGAAGATCTGAGCCCTAGGGCTGTCCCATAGTGAGAAGTAGGAAGTGGGCCTGGATTCCAGAAGTCCCAATGCCATCCCTGTGCTCTGTCACTACTGCTCATATGAAAGGGTCTGCACGCAAGCTGTCCTCAGTACCATGGATACTTGTCTCTGTTCTTCACAATGCTGGTGCCTTTTCTTCTGGCCTTAGCCCACACGTCACCCCCACAGACAGGCTTTCCCTGACTCCTTGTCTTGTCAGGACCCCTTTTATGCTCTGTGTAACTCTCTGATTAGTTTCCTTCTTGGCATTTAACATCACTAGTAATTACTCTATTTCTCTCTGTAGTTGTGTTTTGTCTTTCTAAACACAAGATATAAACTTCATGAGGGCAGAAATTATGTCTGTCTTACTTGCTATTGTATGCAGTGCCTGGAGCAACAAGTAAGTATCTGGGTCAACCTGTGTGTTTTTTTTAGGCTGGAGCGCAGTGGTGCGATCCTGGCTCACTGCAACCTCTGCCTCCCAGGTTCAAGCAATTTTCATGCCTCAACCTCCGAGTAGTTGGGATTACAGGTGTGCCCCACCACGCCTGGCTAATTCTTGTATTTTTAGTGGAACAGAGTTTCTCCATGTTGGCTGGTCTTCAACTCCTGGCCTCAAGTGATCCACCTGCCTCAGCCTCCCAAGTGCTGGGATTACAGGCATGAGCCACTGCACCCGACCCTGGGTCAACCTTCTTAAGCATAACATAAGGAGAGACAGGAGACAGGGAAAACCAAGGAGTCTCTGGGATAAGAGCTAGCTCAGGTCTTCTGCAGACCTGTCAGAGAAGAAACACCTTTACAAAGCTTACACCTGGAGATGTGTGTGTGCTGGGGTGGCTTCACTGGGGGAATGGGAGTTGGTGGAAGGAGGGGTTGTGCAAGACTGGAAAGAGAGCCTAATGGGGAACTCTGACCTGTTGCTATATTTGCAACTAGGTGCCAACCTACCCCATTATCTTTTTGCCTGCTTAGTCTTCGCTTATTTAGTCACTTGATCAAGCATTTATTCAGGTTGTACTTATTAGGTCCCTACTATATATTAGCACTGTGCTGTACTTGGGCACCAGAGATACATTGGTGAGTAAAACACACATGGTCCCTGCCCATGTCGTGCTTATAGACTAACAGGAGAGACAGACCTTAGATAAATAAATGTAGAGATGATTGTTTAAATGCCAGTGTGGTCAGGGCTCCAGAGAAGTTAGGGTGTTGTGAAAGTTTGTAGTCGGGGAGCTGCCCCACCTGGATTTCCTGAGGAAGTGATGTTTGAGAATAAGGCCGGGTCTGATGGAGTTGATTGGTGAAGGACCGTGTCCTTAACGTGCTGTCTTTCCCAGGGCACTCTGGCCGTGCTGGCCCTGCAGCTGGCAAGGCAGATCCACTTCCAGGCATCCCTGCCAGCAGGACCTCAGCGGGTAGAACACTGCTCCTGGCACAGTCCCCTGGACCGTTTCTTCTCATCTCCCTTGTGGCACCCATGCTCCTGTGAGTTCTCAGTCCTGGGGACAGGAGGGCTGGGCTGGGCGTTTCTCTGGGCCAGGAAGCGTCTCTGGACACACCTCAGGAAAAGAGCCATCAGCAGCTCCTTGCCTTTCCTATCTGAAGTCAGAGGAAGAGGAATGTGGGGAAGTTCTATCCACCCAGGGCATGGGCCACACCTGCCCCTCAGTGTCTTTCCATTTCCTCCCATCACCTCCAACCAAGGGAGGCCCACAGGGTCCAGACTACTTTAGATTCTGGGTGTGGCTTCCTGGCCCACATTCAACCAGTTAAATTATTCTCTGGTCAGTCACTCAGTCATTCATAAATAAATGAATCTTTATTGAGCACCTATTATGTGCCATGGTGCAGAAGCAACATAGCCTAGTGGTTGAGGCTCTGGAGTCAGATTATAGAGGTTCAAGTCCCAAAATTGCTGCATACTAGTCTTATGTCCCTGAACAAGTCACTTTTAACTTCCTTCTGCCTCGGTTTCTTTATCTATAAATTGGGGTAATAATAAAACCCACCCCATAGGTTTCTTGGGAGGACTAAATGAGTTAATACATGTCAAGGACTTAGGGCAGTGCCTGACACATAGTAAGTGTGTAGTAATTATTAGTTTAAGCATTAGTTCTTGTCCTTATTATGATGATAATCATTAGCAATATTGCTATCAAAGAAAGTGCTAGGTACTGGGGCTACAACAGTGAGTAAGGTAGATGCCTCCCTGCCACTGAAGAATTTAGGCAGAGGAGTGATTGATGCTTAGGGTGGGAGATCAGCACAAATACAGGCCCCTCTAGACTCCTCTGGAGGGAAGCCAAGGAAACAGAGGAGGAGGAGTGTGAAGGAAGTGTCACAGGAGTTTCAAAATTCTTCCTATGGCCTCTAAAACCTCAGGGAGGACTCAGTCAAGCCCGAGCAGCCTGCACTGATCCTCTTCTGACCTGATCACTCTTTTTTTTTCTTTTGAGACACAGTCTTGCTCTGTCACCCAGGCTGGAGTGCAGTGGTGTGATCTTGGCTCACTGCAACCTCCGCCTCCTGGGTTCAAGCAATTTTCCTGCCTCAGCCTCCTGAGTAGCTGGGATTACAGGCATGTGCCACTGCACCCCGCTAATTTTTTGTATTTTTAGTACAGATGGGGTTTCACCATGTTGGCCAGGCTGGTCTTGAACTCCTGACCTCAGGTGATCCACCCGCCTCGGCCTCCCAAGGTGCTGTGATTATAGGTGTGAGCCATCGCGCCTGGCCCAGACCTGACTACTCTTGCTGGCTCTTTCCAGCACTGCGACAACACATCCTCCCCAGCCCCGATGGCCCAGCTCCCAGGCACACTGGCCTCAGGGAACCCAGGCTTGGCCAGGAAGAAGCCTCAGCTCAGCCCCGGAACTTCTCACACAACTCTTTGAGAGGAGCTCGTCCTCAGGACCCCTCTGAGGAAGGTATGTCCCTGCCTCATGGAATCAGCAGAAGGCAGGGGGCGGTGGTGGTGAGCTGGGCAAGATGGACGTTGTTTGCTGCGAAGGGAATTGGCACTCCTGTGAGGTCCCATGCCTTGTGAGGTGATTCAGGGTTATTTCGGTTCCTGGCAAGGGTGCTGGCTGGAAAGCCTGGGTAGACTGGGAGAGTCGGAGAAAAGAAGTACAACTTTCTCCTTTGCCCTGGCCGGGTGTCGGCCTTTCCCTTGCAGGTCCCGGTGATTTTGGCTTCCTGCATGCCAGTAGTAGCATCGAGTCCGAGGCAAAACCAGCCCAGCCTCAGCCCACTGGTGAAAAGGTATTATCCAGATTTGGCCACCTGGATCCCCATAACATTCTCTTGGGCAGGTGGCAATCCTGGTAAACCATCCCTTGGTGAGTCTTTTATATTTCTTTCCCAGGAACAAGATAAATCAAAAACTCTTTCCCTTGAGGAGGCTGTGACTTCCATTCAGCAGCTCTTCCAGCTCAGTGTTTCCATCGCTTTCAACTTCCTGGGTAACCAAATGGACCCTGCCCCAAGGCAGGAGGGTGGGAAAATGGAAAGGGTATGGGGTAGCTCAGATATAGTCAAGATAGGGAGTGGCTTAAACGAGAGATTTTATTTTCTCCCAGGTAGGTAGACCAAATCTGGCATGGCAGGGACCCATTCTTATGCAGATGTGTCCTGCCATTTTTAAAACTGGCTCCCATCTTGAGGCGCAGTTTGGCAATTCCAGCTCCTGCCCTCCTGTCCGTATTCTAGCCAGCTGGTCGGGGCAAGGTAGGGAAGCTAAAGGATCACTCCTTCCCTTTAATCTAGACGTTGCACAAATCCTTGTCCAGAATATAGGCACATGGCCACACCTCGCCACAGAGGAGACTAGTTACTGTGTATGAAGGAAAAAATAATCTTGGAGGGCACGTAGCATTCTCTGCCACACTTAGGAAAGAACAGGCTCCTGGGGTTTGGAGCAGATCCTCGATGTGTGAACAGGAACCTCTTAACCCTCATGTGGGGACTCCAAATACCCTTCCACCATTTGCCCTGTTCTTTGCAGTAACTTGGCTCATTTTAGGCCTTCTAATGCGGAGACTCAGACTCCCCACAGCATCTATTGGGGTCTAGTGGGCAGATAGGCAAGAGGCTGGGATTCATTCACAACAAATTTGTTGAGCATTTACCTTTTGCCAGTTCCTGTTTTAGGTACTGGGGATACAGTGATTTACAAGACAAAGTCCTTATTCTCAGGGAGCAGAAAAACAATAATTGAGAAACAAAAAGAGAATTTCAGATGTTGATAGATGTTATGAAGAAAATAAAGGAATGTGTTAGTGACTTGAGCAAGGAGCAGTTTTTGATTTAGAAGTCCTCACTGAGCAGAAGACCTTTGATCTAAGACCTGTCACAAAGACAGCCACTTTTGTTTCAATCTGGAGAAAGAGCTTTCCAAGTGGCGGGAACAGTAAGCGCGAAAATCCTGAGGCAGGATTGGATTTTGATTGCTAGAGGAACAAAAGAAAGGTGAGTGTGGCTGGAGCTTAGAGATCTTGGGAAGGGCGGAAGGAGATAAAGCCAGAAAAGCAGGCAGGGGTCAGATCAGGTGAGGTCTTCTGAGCCACAGTAAAGAGTGTGGATTTTCTAAGTGAGACAGGAAGTCTTTGGAGGGCTTTAAGCAGGAGCAGGAAAGGGGGCAGCCACATGATCTGATGTACTTTTCCAAAGATCTCTCTGGCTGCCATGTAGACAGACATGGATTGTAGGATTGCCGGGGGGAAAAAGGAGACGAGGCAGGCGCTGTTGGTGACGGCTGAACAAAACATGTCAGTGGCATGGTCTAGATGAGAGAAAGAAGAGAGCAAGAAGAGTAGATGGATCTGGTTATATTAATGAGCCAGGTGGGAAAGAGGAGGATGGTGGGATCCTTTGCACTCTTGAGTCTTCTACCCAAGGGCAGAGGGCTCTGTCAACCCTGGACAGTGAGTTTTCAGGCAGCAAGGAGGCAACTTTATTTAATTCACTGCTGGCTGAATGGAACCTGGTTTCTCCCTCATGAGCTTTATGTGATTTTGATGGGCAAAGAGTCTCTTCTCAGAATTTACTTGCCCATCCCTTCATTCATATATTCATTTATTCAGCAAGCGCTTGGCATGGTGGCAGAACGCGAAAGGAGCATAAGCCATAATCATGTTTTGCATTTGTATGGCGCCTTCACCCTAGGCAAAATTATTTCTTCTACATTCTTTTTCTGCTTCTGCCTCCAGGATTTTACAGTCTAATTGAGGAGACAGGACTTGTACTTTTGAAACGGTTTAGTTTGTAGAAAAAGGCTTGGTATATTAAGTAAGTGCCAAAAAAGTGTTTAAGCCTGAGTGTGGTCCGAAGGTTTAGAGCAGACACAGGATGGGAGCTTTGATGGTGGAGGCGGAAAGAAAGATCCCAGGCAGGAGAGACAATTGAAGCAAAGGCCTTGAGTTGAGAATTGGCCGTGCCCTCATCCTTTCCTGTTTCCTTTTTGTTTGGGCAATGAAAAGAGCATGGACTTTGGGGTTGGATGTGCCTGCATTCAGGTCTTGACACTGCTGTATTACCGCTCCCAATTTCTTCATGAAACAAGATTAACAGTATCACTTGTATCAGTTAGGGTTTGTTGGTTATGAGCAACCTAAACCCACTCTGGCTAACTTAAACATAAAAGGAATCTATTGGGATCTATTGACCTGCCAAGCCTCAGAAAGGACAGGAATCAGGGAAGCTTCAGAGACCTAAGAGGCAGCAGCTGATAGTATCTTCAGAGTGCTGCTGTCAGAATAAACCTACAAGGGCTGTTTTCTCTCCTTGTCCCAACCAGATCAAGGTTCAGATTCCTGAGAAAGAACCTCCGTGGTTAGGAAGAACACAAGCACATTGATTGACAGCACTAGGGGAGGTGTTGTTCCCAATGGGAAATCTAGATGCTACTACCAAGAGAAGGAGGAATGGTTTATAGTAGGGCAGAACCCACTGCTGTCCATGGCAAACCAGTGAAATATTTAGAAGATAGAAATATATGCAAAGGCCAGGCACAGTGGCTCACGCCTGTAATCCCGACACTTTGGGAGGCCGAGGCAGGTGGATCACCTGAGATCAAGAGTTTGAGACAAGCCTGGCCAACATGGTGAAACCCCATCTCTACTAAAAATACAAAAGTTAGCCAGGCATGGGGTCAGGCATCTGTAAACCCAGCTACTTGGGAGGCTGAGGCAGGAGAATCGTTTGAACTCAGGAGGTGGAGGTTGTAGTGAGCTGAGATTGCGCCACTGCATTCCAGCCTGGGCAACAGAGCAAGACTCCATCTCAAAAAAAAAAAAAAAAAATATATATATATATATATATATATGTAAAGTGTCTGGCACAAAAAAAGAAAGGGAGGAGGATCAGATGAGGAGTCTGTAGGTACCTGGCTGAGGGTGTGGGGAAGTTCACTGAGGAAGCTGTGTTTGTGCCCTGTGCCTTCTTACAGGAACAGAGAACATGAAGAGTGGCGACCACACGGCAGCCTTTTCTTACTTCCAGAAAGCTGCAGCCCGCGGCTACAGCAAAGCGCAGTACAATGCGGGCTTGTGTCATGAGCATGGCAGAGGCACCCCCAGGGACATTAGCAAGGTATTCCCCTGCCCCCAAGCCTGCCTTCTGTGCTGGGCTGCTGAGATTGATGTCTAGAAATGAGCAGTGGGCAGGGATGGGGGAAAGTTTGGCTTCTTTTCTCCACTTGGTTCTAGCCCAGCTGCGAAGGAAAAATAAGAAAGAAGCTCCTAACTTCCAGGAATTTAGACTCAAAATTCAGGGAGGGCAGGGATTTTGCCTTTCTTCTTTGCAACTACATCCTCAGCCTAGAATAGCATCTTGATGAATGGATTAATTAATTTTTAAAAAGTGGGATAAGAACACAAAGAGGTTATATATAAGAATGTATTTCGTAGAGTTGTATGTGAAGGCAAAAAAACCCAAAAAAACCTGAAAGTTTCTTCAATGGAAAACTGGTTAATTACATCTATTTGGGCCTTAAAATGATGTGCTAGATCTGTATGTCAGGGAAAGACATTCATGGTGTACTATTAAAGTTAAAAAAATAGGTTATAAAGTAGTATAGAGTGATCTAAGTCTCTCTCTCTCTCTGCCCCCCCCCACACATATGTGCGTGCAAATGCGTAGATGTCTAAAAGGTATGTGTGTGAGTATGTCTAACACATATATGTGAGAAGATATTTGCAAGGCTGTACGCTAAAATTTTAAGCAAGAATGATCTTTAGGAGGCTGAATTTCTTGGGATTTTATGTTTCTATTTTTGGTTTATATTTTTAAATTTTAGCTTATCTGAATTTTCTGACTAGTCTATAATTATTATGTATTAGTTAATTAAAATAATTTTTAAAAATTTCACTGAGTGCAAAAGATGCTTACAGAGTTGCCAGCCGACTGGGTGTTTCTCCCTTTGCCCCAGGCGGTCCTTTATTATCAGTTGGCTGCCAGCCAGGGCCACAGCCTGGCTCAGTACCGCTATGCCAGGTGCCTACTACGAGACCCAGCCTCTTCGTGGAACCCTGAGCGGCAGAGGGCAGTGTCCTTGCTGAAGCAGGCTGCAGACTCAGGCTTGAGAGAGGTGAGTGCCATTGGCAGGGTCTGTTCAAGGTCTCTGAGGCCTGTGGAGCCTGAAAGTGACCAAGATGCCTTCTTTTCCTTCCTCCTTGACCACAGGCCCAAGCTTTCCTCGGGGTGCTTTTCACCAAGGAGCCCTACCTGGATGAGCAGAGAGCTGTGAAATATCTTTGGCTTGCAGCCAACAATGGGGTATGCGATCTCAGTGGACAAGCATGTTGGGGATGAAGCCTGATAAGAGAAGGGATTTTGGAACTGGTACTGAGTTCTTCTGTGCTTAGGAGATTGTTGGATAGGAGCCTTGGCCTGGCTTCAAGCCTTAGCGCTCACTGACTTACTGTGTGACCGTTGGGCAGTTGCAGTAGTACGCCAGAGCTGGCTTGCACCAGGCTGTGAGAGCTGTTGGCAGCTTAAAATCTGCTATGGTGGGAATATTTGCACCACAGAAATTGCTAAATGCCATAAAACAGGGCTTTTTCCCTCCTCGAGAGCCAGTTGTTCAACATTTACCAGCACACTACTGGGCCTGGTCACTTCTTGATTCAAACCTGTTTCCTCGTCTTTAAAATCAGAATAATAATGCTTGCCTTACCTGTCCAGTACTTCACAGGGTGGTTGTGAGGATCAAAATCTAACTGAGATAACTAACAGGTGTGACAGTGCTGTGAAACCTGTACACATGAAAAACACATCATTACAAGTGATGGTAACCCAGGGAAATTAGAAGACGCATCAAGTGGAGACAGTAAACAGGGAACACTGCTCAGTTTGGGGTGGGTGGGGATGTCTGGTTGTCTGTGAACTGGGGTCATTGGCATTCAGACAATTCAGATGTGTTCCATGAAGCATTAGTTCTCTGGGATGCTTGTAAGTCATAAGAGGAAAAAAATGGTTAGATGGGTTTGGGAAATACTGAGTTAAACAGTTAATATAGGAAGTCTCAAAGCTTTATGTCACTGTAGATCACTGAAAAGGCCATCTGTAATTTGCTGTATTCCTCAAGTGTATTTGACCAGTATATCTTTTGAGTTGCATCTTGAAGGACCAGGAGTCTTGGATTAAATCAAGCAATATATGCGTGAACTGTAATCTCCCTACATAGGGGACTGCTGCTTCCTTTGTTTTCTGGCCAATACACTGATAGCTTCGTTGAACTCCTGGGCATCAGAATGCTTTTCCTTGTCTACTCTGTGTTGCCCAGAGTATCTGTAGTAGCTGTCAAAAGGGGACCAATGTCACCAACAGGTATCCACTGCTGTACCTGCCTTGCCTTGAAAGAGCCCCACAGAGCCTTCCAAAGTTGGGCAGGTCTGCACATCCATGTGCAGGGCAAGACTGGGCATGCTGGCCTGCTTTAATCAGACCAGCGTGCTAGCAGGAGAAATGTACAAAAGGATATCTGTCACCTGCTATATGACGCTGTATTGGGACTCAGACCCAACACACTTCCACCCCACAGGGAATTGTGTCTTTCTGGGTTTGTACTGAGCAGTGTTGCAGGGGTGGTGTTTTGGCCTTACGTGTGTCCACTGCTGTGTTGTAACGTGGTCTGTAGGCATGAGTCTGTCATGTTTGTTGGAGAGACTTTTGGCCTGTGTGTTATAGAAGCAGGGGGAGAATGTGTAGACAACTCTTCCCAGAAGTTTGACTGTGGAGGGTAGAAGAGAAATTGGACCATGGTTGAGAGTCAATAGTGTTTTGTTTTGTTTTTTTAATTGGGAGAGTGAATATGATTCATGTAGTGAATGTAAGCACTTTTCATATAGTGTATTTAATCCTTGCAACAACCTAATAAGGTAGGTGCTATTAGCATCCCACTTTATAGGTAAGAAAACTGAGGCACCATGAGGTAGAGTCACGTGCCTGAGTTAACACAGCTGGTAAGTGGTAGAGCCGTGATGGGAGTGCAGACAGTCTGGCTATGCAGCTGGACACCCAGCCTCTACCTGATCCTGTTCCTCCCAGGAGCATAGTTCTCAGAGAGAGGAGAGACAATCGAGGATCCAGAGCTGGGGCAAAGAGCATAGCGTTTTTTGTTTTGTTTTGTTTTGTTTTTTTGAGACGGAGTCTCACACTGTCGCCCTGGCTGGAGTGCAGTGGCGCGATCTCAGCGCACTGCAACCTCCGCCTCCCGGGTTCACATGATTCTCCTGCCTCAGCCTTCTGAGTAGTTAGGGTTACAGGTGCACACCACCACACCTGCCTAATTTTTTTTGTATTTTTAGAGACGGGGTTTCACTATGTTGGGCAGACTGGTCTCCAACTCATGACCTCGTGATCTGCCCACCTTGCCCTCCCAAAGTGCTGGGATTACAGGTGTGAGCCACCGCGCCCAGGCCAAGCATAGCTTTTTAAAGGAGAAGAGTTTCCTTTTCTGTCAGCCCTCCCAGGCAGAGATTCAGGAAGGCACAGGGCCTTTGGGAAGACAACCCTCCACCTTCGCCTCCTTGCTGTTTCAGGGCAACATAGGAGCCCGACTCCCAGGTTTGCTATAACTGGCCTGAGTGTTTCCTGTAGCCTTCGTTGTGCATGCTTTCAGCCAGCCTATGCAAGAGAAGCCTCCACACTGCCCTGGCTGGAATCTCCCTGGGTGGAGGGATCCCCCTCTCCTTTGTGTTGGGTGAGCTCTGAGCCTCTGGCATTTCGTAGTTGAGATCCCTTGCTATGGGGCGGGCCAGGACTGGGCCTTGACCGTGTGTGGATGAAGTCCCAGCATGCCTGACTTCATCTTCCTCCTCCCTTAGCATGTCAGTTCCTCATTCCTGCATGTGTGTATCTGTTTGTCTGTCCATTTTCTCCTTAGGACTCACAGAGCAGGTACCACCTTGGAATTTGCTATGAGAAAGGCCTTGGTGTGCAGAGGAATCTGGGAGAGGCCTTGAGATGTTACCAGCAGTCAGCCGCTCTGGGAAATGAGGCCGCCCAGGAGAGGCTGCGAGCCCTCTTTTCCATGGGGGCTGCAGGTACAGACCCAAGTCCAAGCCAACAGGTTCATTCCCTGAGCTCAGTACTCTGTGACAGATAAGTAGGTAGCAGTAGTCTCTGGTCTCCTAGTCATTTCCAACCCCAGTGGTGGCTAAGAATGCAGCTTTTGGGATGGGCACGGTGGCTCACGCCTGTAATCCCAGCACTTTGGGAGGCCGAGACTGGCAGATCACCAGGTCAGGAGATCGAGACCCTCCTGGCTAACACGGTGAAACCCCGTCTCTATTAAAAATATAAAAAAAAATTAGTTGGGCGTGGTGCGGACCCTGTGGTCCCAGCTACTCGGGAGGCTGAGGCAGGAGAATGGCGTGAACCCGGGAGGCAGAGCTTGCAGTGAGCCGAGATCGCGCCATTGCACTCCAGCCTGGGTGACAGAGCAAGATTCTGTTTCAAAAAAAAAAAAAAAAAAAAGAATGCAGCTTTTGGAGTCAAGACAAACCTGAGTTTTTTTTGTTTTTTTTTGAGATGATGTTTCACTCTCGTTGCCCAGGCTGGAGTGCAATAGCGCGATCTCGGCTCACTGCAACCTCTGCCTCCCGGGTTCAAGCGATTCTCCTGCCTCAGCCTCTCAAGTAGCTGGGATTACAGGCACCCACCACGATCCCTGGCTAATTTTTTGTATTTTTAGTAGAGTCTGGGTTTCACCATGTTGGCCAGGCTGGTTTTGAACTCCTGACCTCAGGCGATCCACCCGCCTCGGCCTCCCAAAGTGCTGGGATTACAAGTGTGAGCCACCGCGCCCAGTCAAACCTGAGTTTTAACCCCCACTATCACTGAACTTGGACTCCATGGCTTAGTGCCTCAGTTTCTTCACCTCTGAAAATGAAGGTAATGGTAGCACCTAACTCATTAAGTTGTCATAAGGATGAAATGAGATGACACTAAGGGACTTAGCACAGCCTGACAGCACAGTAGGTATTGAACAAATGGTAGCTGCTCTGATGATTTTGTAGGAGAGACAATATCCCAAGGTTGCCTGAATTACCCTTCTAGGGCTCTAAGAGCCCTGCTCACTCATGAGTCACTGGGGTTGGGAGTTAACAATGCCTGGGGAACCAAGCCCTTGAAGAAGTGCTGGCTCCAAAGTAGGAGTCCAAGAATATACAGCAAGAGTAAGAGTTGCTCTCACCTCTTCTTGTAGCCCCGGGGCCCAGCGACCTGACAGTTACAGGACTGAAGTCTTTCTCCAGCCCCTCCCTCTGCAGCTTGAACACCCTGCTAGCAGGAACCTCACGCCTACCACATGCCTCGAGCACAGGCAACCTTGGCCTCCTCTGCAGAAGTGGGCATCTCGGAGCCAGCCTGGAAGCCTCCAGCAGGGCTATTCCCCCACACCCCTACCCACTGGAAAGGAGTGTTGTAAGACTAGGTTTTGGCTAAGGTGAGATAAAACATAGTCCCTGGTGCCTCTTAGGGGCCAGAGCGGGCAGGAGGTTGGATAACAAAAATAGAGCATCAGCAACCCTTTCCAGGTAGAAATTCCAGCGGGAGTTCAGGTTCCCAAGCAATTTCACGTACATGGCTGGTAAGTGACTGATCTTTCCCCCCGCTTGGTAGCCTCACAGATGAGTCTTGGATGCATTCACAGTCATTTCTGGTCTGTGCACCAAAGGATGCATTCAGTGACCTATGAAAAACCCTACTGAAGGGTCCAGAGACCCTGGTGCTCACCTTAGCCTTTGTCTTTGAGCAAATAACTTACCTTCTTCCTTCTTATGCCTGGGTTTTCTCACACTTAAATCTGTACTACTGTTTGCCAATGTCTGATGTGTGTATCCCTGGTTCACAAGAAGATTTTAGATGGTATTCAAATTAATATTTTCTATTTAGTTATATATTTAATGTATAATATAAAAATATGATTAGCATATTGACCTGTAGTTTGATAGATGTTCTGTCTAGGATAAAGCTAACTGTAAAAAAAAATAGTGAATCAGTTTAAAGAAAAACATAACGTAAAAGTGGGCACAGATCCAGAGAGGTAGCAAAAATCACAGGGGTGGTTCCATGAATGGCTGACACTTAGGAAACTCTGAATTAGGCCATCCTCGAGACTAGCCCACCATTCACCTCTGTTCATCCCCCGTGGGCTCATAATCGTTTTCATTTCACCTTTGATTTGGAAGGAAGAAGTTTCTTGCCCAAATGCCTGGATGTGTCTGCTTGACTTTCAGAACTTCTCACCTCAGCCCTAAAGAGGGAGCCTGTGGGTTCTCAGAGAGATATCACAATTTGAGTCCCAAAGAAGAGGCCAGATACCCACCCACCTTCCCCCAAATCTTAAGCACCTGCGCCAGTACAGTCAAGAAGAGGAAAGTGTGTGAAGACCCAGGTCTGGCTCTGCCACTTGCCTGGCCATGTCACCTTGAAGCTGTGACCTGACTCCCTATATTGTTTCCTCAGTTGTAGACCAAAGGCAATGGTGTCTGCCCTCCTACCTTAGAAGACAAATGCAAGGGCATTTCACCACAGAGAGGACCTTTGTGCTCACTTTGGCCCAGGAGGCAGTGATGCTCATGGTTGCATGACTTTATGAGTCGCTGGGCCAGGGTGAGGACCTGGGCCTCCTGACTCCTGGCCCAGAGTTCTTGTCCATCAGTTCATACTGCAATTTTATGTGAAAGCATTATGACTGTCCTACCCATGGGAGAGTAAATGTAGATTGAATGCTAGGAGTCTTAAAGCTGGAGAGTATAGATTTTGAGGTCCCCATTTGGGAAACATGTGCCAGAAATGTCTAGGTGTTTAATAAAACAGATATTGGATTATCTCATCACTCTTGCCCTTGAGTATTATGGGAAGAGCCAGGGAGACGGGCAGGGGGAGCTGAAAGCTGAGGCTCCGTCCTCATCTCTAAACTCTCCACTAACCAATTTAAAGGATCTTAAAAGCTTCTCCAGGAGAGAGACTTAGGAAAAAAAAAGATTTCTGAGTCAGTGCTAATGAGTCCAGTTACTGAATTTGTGAATAGCTATTCCCTGGCTTCTGGATGTTAGCCCAAGTTGAATAGCATAGATGTGGTTGAGAGTGGGGTCTGGGAGGGATAGAGAGCCCACCGCCCACCCCCCACAATCCCATGACTGAGTGGAGACCAACCAGCCTGGCCAATTCAAAGGCAAGAAGATTTGAGGGGGGAAAGTTGTCCACGTTTCCCTCTCTGCTTCCCACCCCATCTCTCTCAACTTCTTAGTGGTCCTGCCATACTTTCCTAGCACCTCTCTTTCACCCGGGGAGCCCAAGCGTCCTCTAGCTCCATCTCCTCGCCTGCTCCCTGCCTCCTTTTCAGGGCTGCCCTGCACACTGGCTCACCACTGTTGGACCCTGCACATGGCCACCTTCCACAGATGGCACTCCTTGGGAGCAGGGTCCTTGTCTTTGTATTCCAGTGTCCCCAGCACTGAGTGCAAGGCCCCATGCAGGGTAGGAAACCTGAGGTTTCAAGCTCAGGGTTTTAAGCTGTGCAGTGCACTAAGCTCTCTGCCAAAAAACAAACAAAAAAAGGTTTCTGTGGTTAAATAAGTTTGGGAAATGCTGCACCAGACGTCCCCTTTTTATAGATTCACAATACACATCAGCATATTTGAGGTTCCAAGAAGTCCTCCAGTAAAGAACTTGGTTAACCCAATGTTTTCTCTCACTGAATTGAGCCCAGAGCCCGTTTCCCTACAGATTGCTTTTGAGCCTTCCTGGGGCACCCTCTGCGTGAAATGTCACCGTGTGCCCTCCCTGTGGAGCCCCACTCCCCAGCCTCCTCCCCTCTGTGGTCATTTTGGATTTTCTGACTACTTCCTTCTAGCCATAGCTGGGGCCGAGGGCTGGTTCACAGTCTGGCCACTGGGCGTCCTGTGGTGAAGGCCAGATGCAGCCCTCCCTGAGTGGCTCTCCCTCCCACTCAGTCACTACTGAGCTAAGTACTGATTCAATTTGGGGTGCCAAAGGTTGGGGGTAGGATATTTTTAAGCTCTCCAATTTAAAAAGGAAGGGCCTCTCCTGTGGAAAGGGAAGGATGGCAGAGTCGTGAGAAAGGTGTTGTCAAGGGACCAAAAATCCTTGGCTGTTCAGTCACTGCGGTCTTGATCCAGCCCCAGGGGGATGGGCTTCACTGGCAGAGCTGGGTACTGCTGTGCTTTTGCCATTAAAATTCTGTTATTAATGACTCATCATCAGTGCCCCAGAGGAAGTGTGAGAGGACGAGAGGGAGGTGGCTCCCATCAGCAGGGCCAGCCTGGGTCAGGATGCTGGGTTAAAGCCCGGCGCCCTCACCAATGAGACCTTTGTGGGAAGCTCTACTGCCTCAGTTTCCCTATCCGGAGATGCTGTTTTCAGGGAGTCCTGACACTATGATGGGAACAAGGCTATTTGGTTTACTATATCATTAGTGCTAATATAGTGTGGGGCACTCAGATGTTCAGTAAATATACATTCAACAAATAAGTGAGTGATTATACTCAACTCCCCCCACCCAATGCCCAGCACCAAGCCTACCCAGCACATAGTAGGTACTTTAAGTAATTTGAATGAATAATTTTAAATAACTTGAATGAATAATTCTGTATTGCCCCCCACTCGCCGCCTATACACACGCACACACGCACACACACACACACGGTTTCCTGTGCTACTTCTGGCACTTAGTAATTATTCAATAAACACAAAATGTTTGTTGCATGAGTGTTTCTGATCATGTCCTACTCCTCCCACGTTGTACCCAAAATTTAGTAGGAGCTAGAAAATGCTTATCTATTTTCTAGGTACACACTATGTGCCAGGCCAAGCCTCTCCTTCCTCCTGTCCTCTCTTTTTTGGGATTTGGTTCTCTCCAGAGTTTCAAAGGTAGTGGTTGCCACATCACTCTTATTTCAGCCAGAGAAGAGGCAGCGTCAGTGAGCTGCCAAACTGAAGTTGGGTGACAGACAAGGCAGCTGCCTGTCAATCTCTGAGCTGCCTCCAGGCTCTGAGTGAGCACTGCATTGCACTCCTGGTGCTGGAGAACGGCTGACTATTGATTTAAAAAATGTCCCTCTATGCTTTCCAAATTAGGACGACATGTAACAGTGCTTGCTGGCTCGCCTGCTCCCTCAGTCTCCCAGGGGACAGAGCCCATCTTGGTGGAAACTGTTTTGAGCGTGTCCAAAGTCTCAGCTTTGACATCTTGGCTGATGTCAAGAAATTTCTGTAACCTTCCTGTTCAACACACCCAGTTCTGTTACCATAGACACGGTCTCACTCTGAGCTGTTATTGGGAAAGGTGCTGGTATCAGCTCATCAGGAGGGGACACATGGTGCAGGAGAGAACACTGTCCCTCACGTACATACACCCCCATTCTGATCAAAGTTCAGAACAGGAGCAGCTCTACGCAGGAGTTCTCCAGGTTCTGCAGGGAAGGCAGGGCTGAGGGCTGACCTAGAGGATTGTAGTGCTTTCTAATCTTAATTGGGCCCGAAATCTCTTTGAGAATCTGATCTAAGCACCTACTTCTTTCCATAGAAAAAATGCATATCCTCCCAATTTTGCATGTAGTTCAGTAGGTTCATAGATCCTGAAGTCTAACCAAAGACGTCAGATTAAGAATCCTTGATGTATTAAAAAGACCACCATACTAAATCCCAGATCCAAATCCTGATTTGAGCAAGCACTCAGTTAAATGTCTTAATTTGGAAAGCTCTCCCCCACAAACCTGCCAGGTGGCCTTGGGCAAGTCATCTGCCGTTTCTTTCTATATTCTTGGCTATAAAATGAAGAGTTGAAATAGATAAAGTTCAGACTCTTTATGACAACTGCCCATGTCTGTGGATGTTTAGATAGTATCTTAAAGCAATGCTGTGTAACCTTTTAAAGGTCAAGGTTTCCTTTGAGAATCTGATGAGAATTTTGTATCTTCTGCCTAAAAAAGTGTCTAGACACAAAGTTTTACCTAGTATTCAGGGTGCCCAAGGAGTACAGATTTAGGGCTTTTGAACTAGAATGATGCAATGGTCCCATGTGTCTAGTGATCCAGTTGCCAGCTATAGCTCCAGCTTCCTCAGGTCATCTCCCCCTGCCCACTCTCTTCTCTCCACCCTCCCAACATCTGCTCTGCACTGAAAATCTGCTGGTAACTGGGAGGTCACCATGGTCTACTCCAGTACTGTGGTTCTCAGACTTTGCTTTTACATCACAGAGTCTTTTTTTCTAATGAAGTCCTACCTGGAGCTCCAATATGGATAAAAGGGGCCTCTGAAGCATTTATTGACACATTTATTCATTCATACATCCATTCAACAGCTATTCATCAAGTGTTGCTTTGTAGCAGGCACCTGGCTGGTCAGGCTGGAGACCCTGCCTGCCTGCTTGATATCCCCCAGTTTCTCTCACTGGCCCACAGAACCCAACAGTTCTGTGATCCAGCCTGAAAATCACAGATTCTGTAAGGAGATCACTCTGGCCTAGAGTGAGGTGAGGAGAAACTCTGCCCCTGAAACTCATAACTTTGGGGAGCCTCATTTTCTTCATCTGTAAAATGGAATAATGATACCACACTGTATTCCAAGTATGTATGATGCACATTATCCCTAGTTGGGAGTATGATTGGCCCATTTCTTGAACAGTGAACATGAGCACTGAGCTCCAAGAAAGGACAAAAAGAGGAGCAGATAGAGGAACTTTTGCCTGCAGTGTCCAGGAGAGACCCACACTATTTAGAAGCTAGCTGATTGGCTGCTCGGAAATTTCCAAGAAAATTATAAAGCTGAACCTTGGGAAAATATCTGCTGTTTCTTCCCTCCCCCATCCCCTGGAAGGCTGGCTGCTGTCAGTGCCGATTTCATAGACCCAGTTCACACAGCGTCCTCTGGGATTCACAAGCCTGAACCTGCAATGACAGAGGAAGGTTTACCCGCAAATGGGGTTGGGAAAGATGACATCCGCACTTGAAGAGCTACTTGTTGGGAAAGAACGGGTCTGCATCAGTTCAGATCCAAGTTCCTTTTGCCTTGTGCTTGGGAATGTAGAGAGGTGCGGGCCTGGATGGCTTTGGAAATGTTCCTTTCAACAGTGTTTCCCGAGGGAGCTCGAGCAAGTTCACTGCTGCCAACAGCTCACCTCCAGGGCCTTCCCTTCTCCTGTCTTTGGTTGGCAGGCTGGTGTCAAGGTTGAAGGCATGGGTTTTGGTGTTGGCCCAGCCTGGGTCCAAATCCTGGCTCTGGCTCTACTCCCTGCTTGATCTTGGGAAAGCCACTTGACCTCTCCAAGCCCCATATCCGTGTCTGTGAAATGGGGTTAATAATACCTCCCTCCCAGGATTGTTGGAAAATCAAATTAAATCCTATTGTAAAGCCTGGTGCCTGGCTCATGTAAATGCTTTATAAATAGTTGTGCTTTCTTAGCTCTAATTTTGCAGCTGAGAAGCAGATTAGTTGGTAACATAGTGATAGGGGAACAGGGGTAAGAGCACACATGTCTGCTATTTGTGTACCTGTTACTGTGTACCAAGGTGCCCCACTCCTGTCCAGGCCCAGTGTGACGGTCTTGCCAGGGATTGGATGACAAATAAACCCCACTCTATTACTCTTCCCTTCTCCCTCTTGACAGGTGCAAACAGGAGAATGAATCACTGCTTTTCCTTTATTGATAGGTCAGAGAGCATTTCCTGGCACCCCCAGGGTACAGCCCCCTGACTCCTGCTACCCAAGAAGGCCACCCTTTCCTGCCTGTGATACTCCGTGGCATCTGTTCTGCCAGAGGACTGACCCTTTGTGCTCCACATATGTTTTGCCAGGAAACACTTATCTCAGCCACAAACCGTCCCTGTCCTCCAAAAGACTCAGAGCTGCTTACAAGGGGCTGCTTTGGTCAGTCAGCTGTTAGTCCTGGGGCTCTTGCCTCCTCTGTGGGGGTAGCATCAGTCACCCTAAAGTTCTCAGGCCGCCGCTAGCTAGTGAGTTACAAGATTTTAGAAACCAGCTCTTGTCCACAGATCCTCAGGCCCCTGGTTCTTGGATCCAGAGGCGTCTGAGGTATGTTCACAGGCACCTGCTGCTGCTGCTGCTGCCTCTGCTCTTGCCCTCAGTCCCCGTCTTTCCACCTGGGTCCCCTTGCACTTTCATGCCTGAGGCTGCACTGGTGGCCAAGTCTAAACTGAGGGTCCTCCCGCAGACCGAGAGCCGCCGCAGCGCCTCGGAGGCGGCCTCCACGGGCATGCTGGAGCGCTGTTCCAGCAGCATCTCCAGCAGTGAGCTCATCTCCGAGACAAAGGTGCTGGCCAGCCTCGTGCCTGTTGGGCTCAGCTCTGGTGCCTCTGCCTTGCCGAACGTCTGGAAGGTCCTTGGCTCCTCCGTGGCTGCAGCATCCGGGGAGATCACATTGTCACGGTAGTTGGTGGTGAGGGGCAAAGAGAGTCTCGCCATCCAGGCCGGGTCAGGGGCGCTCAGCCGGTCCAGGGCCAGACCTGTGGGGGAAGGAGGGGACACAGTGAGGGCCAGGCTCCGGGAAGGGCCAGGCGGGTGAGGGTGGGGCAATGAGCAGGGCAAGGGCAGTGGACAAAGGAGGGAAGGGAAATGGCAGGGGACAGACAGAGTGGCCAGACGGGGACAGGAAGGAAGAGGCCCTGACAGGGAAGCTCCCTGGGTAGGAAAGCAGTCGACTGACACACCCGGGCGAACCAAGTGGGGAAGCAGCAGGAGGAGGAGAAGGCCTAGAAGTAGAAATTTGCCGATTTCTGAAGAATTTCCCAATCTGGGCGTGTGTTTCCAGTCTCAGTGTCTTCTATATTTCATCCAGGATTTTTACCCCTCAGGGCGCCTTCTCCCCTCAGGGCTCCACTAGCTGAGGATGGAGGGAAAATCCCTTTTCTTTGCCAAGGCTGGAGTTCCTGACTTAGCGCTGCCTTTTTTGGTTCCCATCCATAATAATAGGGACCACATATTAGGTACTTACGTGATGAGCAATTTACATAATTATTTCATTTAACTTCACAAACCTTTGAGGTCAAGAGTATTATTCCCATTTGATGGATGAGGAAACTGAAGCTGAAAGAAGTTAAGTCACACATCTGCTAGGCAACCAAACCTCAATTTGATGCCAGGTCTGATGACTTTGAAGCCTATGATGGCACCACCCTACCCTCTCTCTGAAGAGCTGGCCCTTCCTCCCCCTGGATACTCCAGGTGCCCAGCTGGGGCCTCTGGAATTCCCAGGCTACCTAAGGTCTGCACTGTTACCACCTGGCCCCAGATCCTCAAATCCTCCTCAACATCATCTCTCAAGCTGCTGGAACCCTGGCCTAGAGTCAGGCTGGGGAGGGGCTGCCTGTCCAAGGGCTGTCCCAGGAGAGGGACTGGGGTAGTGGCGGTGGCAAGTCAGCCTGGTGGCTGGGAATTCAAAAAACTGGCCCCTACATTTGCAATGCCACAGTCACCCTTCTTTTCCCATCCCTTTAACAGAAAATCCTGTTTCAAGAAACCAGTCCCAGGCCTGATGGTAGAGACCAAGCCAGAGGAAAGAAATTATAAGTCTTGGAGTTAAGAAACAGTGTCTTAAAAAAATTAAAAAAAAAAAAAAAAGCACAACATCTACTTAACATTTATCTAATGTTTGCCTAAGGTGAGTTACTTTAAAATCTGCGCACAGAATGAAAGACTGGAAGGAGATATGTCAAAATGTTAACTGAAATTACCTCTGGGCAGAAGCAATCCATTCTCTTTTTGTTTATCTATGTTTTTCTATATTAACCAAATATTACTTATGTAATTTGAACAAGTTATTCCGAAGTATGTGTAGTCATTTATTGTACTGATAAATGAATCTCTGCCCTGCATTCTGGACTGTGCAGCTTGTGAGACACTGTTGGGCTCCTGCCCTACTGGATCCTTGGGTTTAGCCCCATGCCTGGGACTTAGTGAATGTTTGTTGAATGATTGAATGAACATAAATATTAACCTTCAACATTTGGGAAATGCAAACCTTAGTTCCTTGAGACTCTGAGGCTATAAGGTTGGATGGAACTCTTGGTGTTATAGAATCAGGCCTTTCCTTTTACATGGGTCAGAGAGCTTCAGAAGGAGTGAAGCTTGGAATGAGAAAATCACTGGGGCGTATGAGAACAGCTGAAAAGTGATGCTGAATTCACCCAGCATCACCCACCAGTTCTAGCTGCAGGTGGGCACTGGGCCAACCTGGGTTTGATTTCCCAGCTTTGCAGCTTAGGGGCAGTGTGTGTGACCTTGGGAAAATGGCTTAACCTCTCTAAGCTCCCGTTTCCTCTTAGGAAGTGGTGAGACAGTAGTACGTATCTTGTGGAGTTGTTGTGAGGTTCAGTGAGTTCATGCAACCAGGAAAACATTATCATGGTCGCATTCTCAAGTGGGGCAATCTGAATCCGAAGCAGCAAATCTGAAGCAATCTGAAGCAGATCTGAAGCAGCAAGATCCCAGTCTCCCCATGGCAGTCCAGCCTGTGAGCAGCAAAGGCTTTTCTGCCCCTCCTCTTTCCTTACCCCCAACTCCTTACAGTGCCCCTGTGTTCAGTACCCTTTGTGCTGTGGGCAAGCAGGACCGTGTGGGAACTGACCCCACAGGTTCCAGCCAGAGCTGACCAATAGAGATAGAATCCAAAGCTATATCCCCCAGCCATACATAGCCAGTGAGCACTTGAAATGTGGCTGGTATGGCAGAACTGAATATTTTATTTTATTTAATTTTAATTCACTTAAATTTAAATAGCCACTTGTCGCTAGTGACTACCTCATTGAACAACACAGCTCTAAAATTTACAGCCACACTGCCTGTGTTAATAACCATCCACGAGCTGCACAACCTTGGGCAAATTATGAAACACCCCTGACCCTCACATTTTTCCTTTATGAAATGGGGATAATGAATAGCCCCTATCTCATAAGATTTTCTCATGAGGTACTTAGAACAGGGCCTAGCACATAGAAAGTGCCCAATAAACATTAGCAATATTTTTTAACCAAGGAAAGAGAAGTCCCTGCCATACCTTCAGTGTGTCTGCAGCCAGATGGAGCACATGAGAAACAGTGTTAACTACATAGATAGAAAACCACAGCACAGGGATGGTCTGCCGTGGGGTGTGTTACCAAAGGAGGCTGACCAATGTCCACAGCAGGGGCGGGGGGCGCTAGCAGATTCTTGAATTCAAGTTCACATTATGTATTTATTGTCAAAGCTAATTATTTCTCTGCAAAAAAATCTTTTTGTTTTCATTGCAATTGTTAGCATATTAAAGAGTTGACCTGGTTCCCAGGGTGAAAGGGTATTGAAACACACCAAACGCCAATGAGTGGTAAGAAGTCCATAGAGGACAGGCTGGCTCAGGGTTTGGCTCCCCTTCAATCACTGGTGAGCTGGGTGACTCTGGGAAGGCTACTTGATTTTTTTGAGCCTCGGTTTGCTCATCTGTAAATTCGAGGTAATAATTATCTACTTGAGGGGATTGGTTGGAGGCTTAAATGAGATCATGTACATAAGATGCTTCCCCAGTGCCTGGCATGTTCACTATTTTTACAATGATTTTTAAAATGAATAATCAACGTAGGCCAGGTGCCTACTTTGGCTTTGATTACAGGTGGCTCATGCCTCTAATGCCAGCACTTTGGGAGGCTGAGGTGGGTGGATTGCTTGAGCCCAGGAGTTGGAGACCAGCCTGGGCAACAGGTGAATCCCTGTCCCTACAAAAAAAAAAAAAAATCAAAAATTAGCGGGATGTGGTGGTGGTGCTCACCTGTAGTCCCAGCTACTTGGGAGGCTAAGGTGGGAGGATCACCTGAGCCCAGGAGGTCAATGCTGCAGTGAGCTGTGATCATGCTGTGATCATGCCACTGTACTCCAGCCTGGGTGACAGAGCAAGACCCTGTCTAAAAAAAAAAAAAATCAAAGTAGAACCTGGTCTTTAAAATACTTTCTGAGGCTGCAAGGGTGCAAGGGAAGTTAAATGTTGCTGATGTTCCTCCACAGAAACAGAATGGCTTTTCCCTGCAGTGGATTGGAGCAGAACTCTGAAGCTTGGACACCATGGGGCAGAAGCAGGGTCAAGGTAACTCCAGGGGGTCCCTACCTGTGCTGGGGTCCAGCAGACTTGACAGCTCTTCTTCTAGCAGTTGCTTCACAGAGAGGTCCTCTTCAGGATCCAAAGGCCCTTCCTCCTGTTCTGGGTCTGTCTGGCCTCCAGCCCTTGCACTTGGGCCATCTGTGTCTGGGATTGCACTCCTGCAAAAGAAACCAACCAGTCCATGGGTAGGGACATTCCCATATAGATTCATTCATTCATGCCCATTCATGTTTGCATTCATTTACCCATATAGGGAACTGGATACACAGCCTGGCCTCTAGAGTCAGACCAACCTGGATCATGTGATTCCCGCCCTCCTCTTACTCTGTTTCCTCATTTGTAAAATGAGAGTAATAAATAACACCCACCTCACAGGGTGTTGTGAGGGTAAAATGAGACGTTGTAGGTAGAGGGGCCTACCACAGAGCCTGGCACATTGTAAGCACTCAGCAGACAGAAGTGAAGATGAGTTCATTGATATCATTCTCGTTGCCCCTCCCATGTCTAGGTATTGCCTGGCACACAGGAGGAGTTTAGTAAACCTCAGTGGAGCCAGTGCAGCCGTCCATCCGTCCGTAGGAGAAGGCTGGGATTTTTGCCTGTCTCATTGCCTGCTCCCTTACTGATGCTCAGAACAGGGCGTGGCACACAGTGGGTGCTGAATGAGTGACTGAACATTCCTTCCTCCCTACTTTAGGCCAAATCCTAGGCCAGAAGAGCAGACCTATGGAGGGTGCAGCCGGAGTGAGGCAGCCTAAAGCTGCTCAGAATCTGCTACCTGCACCCCAGTCTCCTGCTGTCTCCATCCTGGTCCCTCTCTCCCATAGACACTTGGGGACAGGCCTGGACCCTCATCCCAGCAGGTGGGAAGGCTACCTGAGGGGTTTTAAGGCGTAGGAGTCCTTCTGTTTGTTTGGTTTTGTTCCCCTGTAGCCATTTCTGCTGCTGTGAAGAAATGAGCAGGGAGGTGGCAAGTGTGTGGGTGATAATGACAACTAATGTTTTTGAGCAGTGAGTCTGAGTCAGGCCTTATGCGATGCAAGGTCCATGCACCGTCTTATTCAAACCTTCCACACCTGTAAGGGGTTCTCTTTAATCAACCCATTGTACAAATGAGAAAACCAAGACTTGTGAAGATTTTGCAGGTTGCCCAAGGTCCCCATAGATTAAGAGATAAAGCAAGACTTCAAATCCAGGCCAGTGTGACCCTGGAGTGTGTGGACTCACCCCTGCAGTACACTACCTCTCACCATCCTTGTAAAAAGAAGCTGTAAGTTGTCAGGGCAAGAGCACTGATGCAGGAGTCAGGAACTCTGAGAGCTGGTCCCAGCTTTGCCACTCACTTGTTACATGACCTTTAGCAAAATTGCTTCAAGGGGAAAGGAGTTAGCATTGTGTGTGCACCTACTATGTGTCAGTTGCTGGGCTATGGGCTTAGAATACAATTGATTATGAAATCCTCACCCCATTACCACAAGGGAAATGGGATGGGTTCTGTTTTACAGATGGGGAAACCAAGGTCCTGAGAGATTATCTCACTTGCTCAAGTTTACATAGCTGGTTTGAATCAAGCTACTCAGAGCCTCAGTTTCTCCATCCGTAACAAGAAGTTGGATTTGATGTTCTCTTAAGGTGTCTTCAATTCTAGGATTGCCCAAAGGGACACGCCCACACAGCCATGTCTTTAGTGGGGAGCCTTCATATTATGTTTATGGGTCAAGAGAAAGAGAGGTGACAGTTACAGATATAAAGGCAATTTACAGCACCTCTGTAATTGGGACAAATACAGTCTCAGGGATGAGGTCATTTCCTTGGTGACTACTGTATTGATGGTATTTATCAATACAGCTAGTTAGTCCTACAGGACTTCTAGGTCCTGTAAATACTATCAATACAGTCACCTCACGACCAAAACTCCCAGGGTGGGAGGATGGATGCTGTCTGCTGCACCCTCCCAGGGGACCGGTGTCTGACTTGTGCTCACCCTTCCTCACTCACAGAGGCTGCAGTGATGAGGGGCGGCCAGTAGGGGCCTTGAGATGCCTGTGGGGGCTACGTGCTGCTTACCTGCTGCCTCCTGGCTTGGCCAAGTACTTATTTCCTCGGTGGTTTGGTTTGGGCTGGAATTGGCCCTGATGCAGCAAGGACAGCAGCTGGGAGATTTGCTACAAGACAGGAAAAATCTGTTGACTCCACACAATTCCGACTCAGCACACTTCCTCGCCGGATGTTTCCCTCAATGCCGGTGCTTTCTTTTTATAGTCTTTCCTCTGGCTTCAGATGTTTGTGTGATCAGATGGGGGATGGTGCCCAGTGACAGAGACAGGGACCTGGGCGGGCAGGTCCCCTGCTCTGTCATGTCACCCCAGGACCTGAGTGTCTGAAGGAGAGCAAGAGGACCCTCTGGGCCTGTCCCCTCATACTCATTCCTCCGAGTGTCCTGCACCTGGTGGACTCTGAGAGATGGGGTGAAAAAGGCATTTCCTGACCATCAATTTGTTGTTACTTTGATGAAGATTATCTTAAAGAGTTATGTTCCCCTTTAGCAGTATTTGGACATTCGGCCAATTTTTGTTGACCAGATGTAAGACTATGTTGTAGAGAAGGCAAAATGGTGTCATTGAATTATTCATTTATTCATCTTTTCATTCATTCAACAAGTACTTAATAAGTGCCAGGCAGGGTGGTTGCTATGGGAGTAAGAAGGAGAAGGAGCCCCAGCTGCTGCCCTCAGCGTGGTCACATCTGTCAGGATGTGAAGGTTGCAGGCAGCCCCACAGGGAGGCTGGCTGGAGATCAGGGCAGCGAAGAGTGTTTACCACAGGGGTTGCCTCTGGGCATAGGGAAAGAATGGGGGCTCTGTGGGAGCAGAGGGCCCCTAACCCAACTTGGAGCAGGGAGGAAGCAGGGGGGTGGTACTGGATTAAGTTAATTCATTCATTTCAACAGATGTTACTGAGTTCATACCACATGCCAGGCACCTCTGCTGAGACCCAAAGGCTCCATAGGAGTTTGGCAAGTGGAAAGAGAATGAAGGTCTGGGCAAGGGGTGGGGAGGTTTTCAGGCAGAAGCACTGCACACTGAAAGGCTGGAAGAGAAGGTAGAGTTTCAGAAAGACTGGAGAATGGAGTAGGGGATGGGTGAGATATCACGGCCAGACCCTATAGGCCATTGGAAGGGAGAGGCAACAGATCAAGTCCTGGGAGGCGGAGTTCTAGTTCAAGGCCATTTGTAGCTTATTGTATAGCATTAGACAGGTTTTTAGACCTCCTCAGACCTCAGTTTCCTCATCTCTAATAGGGGGCTAGAAATACCCACACGCCTTCTTCTCAGTGTTGTCACGATTAAATGGTTTGAAAAAGTTAAAAATCCTCTGCAAAAGCAAGGAGTTTGCACTGTTATTCCTAGAAACACTGCTTCCTCCTCCTGGGTCCATCCCCATTCCTCCCTTAGGAGGTCCACCATGCCCCTCTGTGCAGCTTGAGGTAGGAAGTGTCAACCTCAGAGGAGAGTTGGAAGAGGAGATGGCCAGGACTGGGGTTTCACTGTGACTTGGGAGACTCGGGGTCTTATTGCCTGCCTCAGGGAAGATCCCACCTCCCAGCCCAGGCCCAGAAGCCCTCCTAAGATACCTGCCACCCTTTGCTCAAGTGACAGCTGCCTTTTCATGACATGACTCCCTACATGCCAAGCCCTATGCTGAGCACTGTCATTCAGGGTCACTTCACAGTTACAGCCCAGACTCGAATCAGTCAGACTCAGGTTCAAATCCTAAATATGTCCCTGCCCCAGTTCCCATCAGTGTGGCCTTGAGGAATTACTTAAGCATTCTGAGAAAATTACTCAGTTTCCTCAACAGTAAAAAAAGTGCATATTAATGAGACCCAGGTCATATGGTGGGTTACGAGGTTTAAATGAGCTTATTAATAAATCCCATGATAAACAGTGATTGTCCAGTGGTGTATAATCTCATTTAATTCTTACAACAGCCTAAGGGAAGAGATACCATTATGGCCATTTTGCAGAGGTGGAATTGGAGGCTCACAGGGGCTACACAGAAATTAGTGGGAGGGCTGGAATTTACACTCAGATCTGACTCTATGTGCTGCTGGAAAGATATGAGCATTGGGCAAGTTGCCTGTTACCCTCAAGTTGATCCCAAATGGGCACCTTTCTTTCTGTCACCTCAGCGGGGTCACCCACAGGGCCTATTCTCTGTTGTCCTGTCTACCA